>NC_000015.10:55776874-56401874 GCF_000001405.40 Homo sapiens
AACATGGGTATCAAGAGCAGGGCTTGAAGGGAAAGATATAGTCTGTGAGCCAGGGGTGGTGGTGCACACCTGTAGTTGCAGTTACTCGGAAGGCTGATGCAGGAGGATGCTTTGGGCCCAGGAGTTCAAGGCTACAGTGAGCTATGATCATGCCACTGTGCTCCAGCCTGGGCATCTGAGTGGGGAAGGGGAGAGAGGGAGGGAGGGAAGGAGGGAGAAAGAGAAAGAGAGAGAGAGAGAGAGAGAGAGAGAGAGAAAGTGTGTCTGAAAGCAGGTGCTGAAGTAAAGTAAAAGGTCTAACTAACTAAGGCTCATGTCCTTTCAAAGAATCAGCCCATGCCATTCCCTCTCACAAAGGAAGTGGCTGGGCTGCACCTGTTCTCTCCTTCTGCATGCCCTCTACATGATTCCTTCAGAAAGGTACTGTGCAGTTTCTTTTTTTAACTCCACACTACCTGATGCTCACTTGCACTGCCTCTCCTTGTGGAATAGTGGTGCAGAAGCAGGTAGCACAGGACGATTTGCCTAGGATACATCCCCTAAGATGGTTTCAGGCCCCACATCTTCCTGGGCACAGCCCGGGCCAGCTGGTCATAGAGACTAGAGAAGTGGTGAGTATTAGGATGGAAAGAGGTCCCTCTAAGGTGGCAAAGGATGGTGGATCGTCAGGGCTGGGCAGAGTGTGAGGGTGAAGAAATGGATGATTGGAGGTGCTCACTTCCTCTCTGTCTTCTTTTGCCCCCTTTTGTCCACACATCCAGTCAATGAATACACACCACCAATTCAGCCCCTCAGAGAGTCTGTGCCTGTCTCCTCTCTTTTCCACCACCTCCATCTAGTTTGGATTTTAAGTGCTTCTTTGGTTTGCAGGAGTAACTTCCCTAACAGTCTCCCTGTTTCCAGTTCATTTTATATCAAGCTGACAGGTTTGCTTCAATCACAGCTCTGATCCTGCAACACCAGGGCCACCAGCCTTCAATCCCTTTCCATTCTCCAAACTTCATATTTTTCATGTTCCAATTCTTTGTATTCTCATATTGTCATTTCCTAGTATGTATAGGGAAACCAGATGACCAACTACTCTTCCAACATGCCCCTGCCCTCTCTCTCCACATTTGGGCTCAGGCTTTGTGTCTGTTTAAGTCCTATTAGACCCAGTTCAAATGGTATGGGTTTGAGTTTTTCCTTTTTTCTTTTCTTCTTTCTTTTCTCTCTTTATGTCTCTTTCCCCTTCCTTCCTTCCCCTTTTCCTTCCTTCCTTCTTTCTTTTTCTTTCTTTCTTTCTTTCTTTTCTCTCTTCCTTCCTTCCTTCCTCTCTCTCTCTTTCTTCCTTCCGTCCTTTCTTTCTCTCTCTTTTTCTTTCTTTCTTTCTTTTCTTTTTCTTTCTTTCTTCCTTCCTTTCTTTCTTCTCCCTCTCTCTTCTCTTTTCTTTCTTTCTCTTGAGACAGGGTCTTAGTGTGTTGCCCAGTGGCAGGATCACAGCTCACTTCAGTCTCAGCCTTCTGGGCTCAAGAGATCCTTCCACCTCAGCCTCCCAAGTAGCTGGGACTATAGGCATGAGCCACCATACCCCCACTAATTTTTAAAATCATTTTTTGTAGGGAAAGGATCTCACTTTGTTGCCCAGGCTAACCTTGAACTCCTAGGCTCAAGCGATCCTTCTGCCTTGGCCTTCCAAAGTGTTGGGATTACAGGCATGAGCCACATTGCCTGGCCTATGTTATGGTTTTTATAAAGTCTTCTGGGATATCTGCATTCAAATTTAATTTCTCATAACACCTCATGCCTCTGTTATAGCAGAAGATCATGATCAAATTTGTTTTTAGGTTTACATTTGTAAATCTGTTTCTATTAGGTTGTGAGCCCTATGAAAATAGGAATTCTGTGTTTTTATATTTCTCACAGAGGCCAGTATGCAACTTTTCATTCAATGGGCACTTGACAGTTATTGAATGTGTGAAATAATGTATAAGTAAACATGCTGTGTTCATTAAGGTTGAACAACATAAACCAGCATGGTCTAGATTAAACCAAGAAAGTGAATATATAGGAGTCTATTTTGTTGCAAGCTGGATATAATGTGCTGGATAAAAGGACACACTACTAGTTCCCATAGAGTTTTCTGCCTTTGGCTTCCACTCTAGTAAGTTGTGTTTCTTTGTATTTTCCTGTCCACCTCCTCGATTTTTTGGGCAATACTCTGCCCGGTAGCCTCGGGTCTCTGTTGGATCTAAGAAGAGTTATTGATGTTCACTTTGCTCAGCATTTTTCTTGTACAGATGGGAGTGATGACTTCCAAGCCAGACCAGAAAGCAGGTCTCTGTAGGGTCTATTTTGGAGTGGGAAAGACTCAGACAACTCAGATTCAGGAAGGAATGGACCCAGAGTAGTTCTGGGCACTTGTGCAGTAGAAGTTGATCTTCTCTCTAGAGTCCTGCCATTTACATGGTTTAGCACTGACAAGGCCCAAGCTCTCCATCTCTCCCCTCTATACTTTTTACATTCTAGGGAGGGACCCATGGAGGGATTATCTACTCCTGGATCAATCAGCTATGGCCAAAGTCACCTGGCCACAAAGTATGGATGTGCCCTTTGGGGGCCGCCCCTTTGAGTTAGGGCCACTCTTCAGAAAAGGGGTCTTTGGGAGCTGTGCAGAACCACAAGAAGCATCTACCTCACCATCAGAGGTCCTTGTTTGAAAAGTTTGGCAGCAGAAGAGAGAACAGCATGGGGGAAAAATAAATTAACTTCTAGAGGAGGCAAATATTGGGTAAGAAAGAAGTTAATACTGGACGATGGGGAATTGTCCCACCACGGTGGCTCATGCCTATAATCCCAACACTTCAGGAGGCTGAGGTAAGAGGATTGTTTGAGCCCAGGAGTTCAAGACCAGCCTGGGCAACATATCGAGGCATATCTGTTTTTAAAAAAGTTACTGTTGTCCCTAATGTTTTAAAGAATGATAAAGTGGCAGAGGAGGGGTCAAAAGTATATATAATGAAGAAATTAATCATAGATCTACTGCTGATTTGGATCATGTATTTGAAGAATCAGCTGTTAATAGAAAGAGAAAATAGGGTGGCAATTGGAAGGAGGCCATCAATTCCAGGAATTGTTCTCTTCATGTTGGTGGAAACCTTGAGGGTGAGATTGGTTGGGTCAGTAGGATGGGAGGGTGAGGGGATGGGTCAAGTAAGCAGAGGTGGGGCATAGGTAGGGGAGTGTGTCCTTGAGGGGTTAGGAGATGGCTCTAGGAGCCAAGGTAGCTTCCAAAAGAAGACCTAGCTGCTAGCAGGATTTTAAGGAGTAAAGAAGGAATCAAGTTAAATTCTCTGATGGGGAGCCAAAAAAAAAAAAAAAAAAGAAGAAGAAGAAGGAAGAAGTGAGGGGAAGAAGAAGGAAGAAGAAGAGAAAGAAGGAAGAAGAGGAAGGAGGAAGCAGAAGGAGGAAGAGGAAAAAGGAGGTGGAGGAGGAGGAGGAAGAAGAAAAAGAAGAAGGAAGAGGAGGAGAAGAAAGAAGGTGGAGGAAGGAGGAGGAAGAAAGAAAAGAAGATGAGAGGGTAGAGGAGCGGGGGAGAAGGATGGAGGAGGATTAAGAAGGAGGCAGGAGAAGAAGGAGGTGAGAGAAGGAAGAAGAAGAAGGAGGAGGAGAAAAAGAAGAGGAAGAAAAGGAGGAGGAGGAGGTGGAGGAGGAGGAAGCAGAAGAAGAAGAAGAAAGGAGGAGGGAGAAGAAGAAGGAAGAAGGACAGGAAGGAGGAGGGGAGGAAGAAAAGGAGGCACGTGATCAGAGCCAAAGCTTGGGTGGTCAGGTTATTATGTATTCCAGCAGATGAAAGACATCACTCTCTCTTTCAGACCACAGGGAAGATAAAGAGTTCAGCTGCAAAGGAAGGCAGTATGGAGCCTAAAGGCTGTAGCGGGGCTTATTACATACAAGCAGCCCTGACACTTTAACTGGTTATTTATTTATTTATTCATTCATTCATTCATTCATTAATTGAGATGGAATCTCGCTCTGTCACCTAAGCTGGAGTGCCATGGCATGATCTCAACTCACTGCAACCTCCGCCTCCCGGGTTCAAGCAATTCTTCTGCCTCAGCCTCCCGAGTAGCTGGGACTACAGGTGTGTGCCACCATGCCCAGCTAATTTTTGTATTTTTAGTAGAGACGGGGTTTCGCCATATCGACCAGGCTGGTCTCAAACTCCTGACCTCGTGATCCGCGCGCCTTGGCCTCCCAAAGTGTTGGGATTACAGGCGTGAGCCACCGCGCCCAGCCTACTTTATTTATTTCAAGATGGATGTTGTTCCTGTGTTAGCTTCCTAGTGTTGCTGTAACAAATTATCACAGACTGGGTGGGTTAAACTATAGAAAATTACTATCTCGCAGTTCTGGAGGCTAGAAGTCCCAACTCAAAGTGCCAGCAGGGTTGGTTCCTTCTGAGGGCTGTGAGGGAGAATCTATTCCATGCCTCTCTCCTGGCTTCTGTTTACTGATAATCCTTTGCATTCCTTGGCTTGTGGGCACAGCATTCCAATGTATGCCTTCATCTTCACATGCTGTTCCTCCTGTATCTTCACAAGGCTTTTTTTTTTTTTTTTTTTTTTGAGACGGAGTCTCGCTCTGTTGCCCAGGCTGGAGTGCAGTGGCGCGATGTCGGCTCACTGCAAGCTCCACCTCCCAGGTTCCCATTCTCCTGCCTCAGCTTCCCGAGTAGCTGGGACTACAGGCACCCGCCATCACGCCCGGCTAATTTTTTGTATTTTTTTTTTAATAGAGGCAGGGTTTCACCGTGTTAGCCAGGATGGTCTCGATCTCCTGACCTCATGATCCGCCCACCTCGGCCTCCCAAAGTCCTGGGATTACAGGCGTGAGCCACTGCACCTGGCCCAAGGCTTTCTTATAAGGATAATAGTCACATTGGATTAGGGACCCACCCTACTCTAGTGTGACCTCATCTTCACTAATTACATCTGCAATTACCCTACTTCCAAATAAGGTCACATTCTGAGTTACTGGGGGTTAAGACTTCAAAATATCTTATTTTGGGGGGAACACAATTTAACCAATATTAGTTCTCATTATACAAATGAGCAGACTGAGGCTCAGAGAGGTTAAATGAATTGCCCAAGGTCATCCATCTAGTGACCATCAGAGCCAGGATTTGAACCCACATTGCTTTAAGACTGAGATGCTCTTATGTCCTCTGAACTGAGGACTGGTGAAGAGAGAAAAGGTTAGCAGCAGTCAGTGTGGGCAATGACCTTGAAATATCCAATGTCAAATATCAATGGCCAGGGCTCTACTGAGCTGGAGGACATATAATTCTTATGTCAGGTCTGCTAAATTGGATGTCAATTGATATATTTTAATGATAACTTACAATATTTCTGAACCTTAGGATGGGAATGGCAAATTTAGGGGGAAAGCTGATGAGTACTGTCTTTAGAGCAGAAGTTCAAAGAAATAAAAACAACGGTGAGAGCAATAATCGATGCTTCTATAGTACTTTACAGTTTCTACAGGATGTTCACATTCATTATATTACTCAAGTGTCCCTGTACAGTACTTATTGCCAGCCTGAATTTACCCACAGGAAAGCGAGGCTCAGAAAGTAAAGGACTTACCCAGGACCTTTCAGCTGGTACGGAGAGGAACGGTCAGGGTTCTAATCCTATTCTCTTTCTACTGAATCACCTTAGGCAACTTCTTCAGAGAGATGACAGCTGAAGCAGTGCGAATTAGGACACATCACTGAAAGACAGGACAGTATAGAGAAAAAAGAGCATGGGGCAAAGCCTGGGCCTCAAAGACAGTGTTTTAAAGAGTCATGATAGAGACAATTAGAGGAACAAGTGGATGTACTCAGCAGAATCACAGAATTGAGGGAGAAAGCTACAAGGGTAAGCAATATTAAATGCTTGGGGAAGGCCAAGGAGAATAAAGATGGACAACATTTCATGGGATTTGGGAATGAGTAGTCCACTGATGACCTCTTTAAGATTTCAGGAGAACAGTGGGAGGAAACTGGAGTGCAGGGGGTGGGGCTGAGGAAATGGGATGATGAGTGGCTCCATTTTTCATTCCGAAAGTTTGGCAGGGAAAAGGAAGAGAGAACAGGACTGTAGCTGGAGGGCACAGCAGGACCCAGAAAAGGTTTTTCCAAGGGGGAGGCAGGGGGACCTGTGCATGTCTGGAATACATCTGATCTCAAGGCTAGATTCTGTTTCCAGATGTGCAGTCACCAGTGATGAATACAATAACGTCTCCATCTGTCAGCTGAGTACACTCCTTCTCACACAAAGATGTCCATGTTTACTAGCATATGTTATTAATTTTATTTGCATTGCAGTGGACAGTATATTGCCTAAAACTTGTCAGAGAAGCCCCTGCTCTAGATTTATGTCTACGTTACCATGCAGCAACATTTATTGCACAGTGATGAAGAGCTCAGTTTTTGAAGACAGAAAGACCTGGTGTGGACATTAGCTCTAATAGCCAGTGCAGCCTTGGGCCAGTTAACATCCCTTAAGCTCAGGTTCCTCATCTGGAAATCAGGAATCATATCCATCACAGAGTACTGTGAGTAGGATTAAATGACCTAAGTTACGTACAGTGCTTAACTCAATGCCTGGAATATGTAAACACTCAGTACATGGTAACTATTAGTAGTTGTGGTCTTGGATCAAGTAGTAAAAGCAATGCTACCATTGTTTTATCCTTAAAAATCAAAGTGGGGCACTGTTTTTATGTGTATCTCCACACTGTATGGCAACCGTTTAGTCTCCTTTTACCAGGCTTTTACTTAGATCACAGACGAAGGATGCTGAACTGGCCATACCCCACACCAGAGCAGACCCCTTCCCCACTCATTCCTCTACTATCAGGTTAGTCTGTGTGTGGGAAAAGAGATCTGAGTTCTTTTCAAGCAGATCTGGGATGGGGGGAGGAGGAGGGAAGGAAGGACACCAAATGAAACTCTTTGATCTAAAAAAATGTCCTCCTCAACACACACACACACACACACACACACACACACACACACACACACACACACACTTGGTTTTGCTCTGTCCAGTCTGTATCCAGGAGGCCTGTATCTTTTTTGAGGTCTCAGAGACAAAGATAAGAACATTGTTGAGAGTTTCAACGTTTATAAATATTAAAAATTGCAAAATCAGACTGAACCATCATAGCTCTTCCTTGGCCCATAAATCACTACTGGATTCGGTTCTTGGAAATCTTATTGAATTATAATAAACATTTTAACTTTCAGAAAAGTGATCCATTTGAGGGGAATAGATGGGGGGTGGGATGGAGAAATGGCAGAGCTGCTGAATAGCTGTAGGCCAGACTGCCCCAGAAACCTAGACAAATATAAACAAATATCCATGCCCACTGCGATTTTCTTTCAAGTTTTCTCAGCTCTTCACAAATACCACTTCTCCTTTGATCAAAGTTTCTTCTGAAGACCTAGGGGGAAAGATGGAGCAGGCTTCCTGCTGCTCTTGCCCCATTTTATCTCATTGAGACCCACTGCTGATTAGGAGAAGGCCACTTGGTCCAGAAGCCCACACATCTCTGCTCTTGGAATGTGCTCACTACAGTACTCTCTGCTGTCACAGGAAGAGTGATTGCCTCTCTGGAGTGTGAAGATAAACAGATTTCTCTGTCTGCAAAGCTTGTTCCCAGCACCACCTACCCACCCCTGCTCTGGAAGCACCCTCCTGGCCATCCTGTGCTTTAAAAACAACCCCAAAATATGACAGCTCTGCCCCCAGATTCTTTCTACAGTCCCATATAATTGTCATCTCAGGATCCTTGGGGAGAGGAGTGGTTAGCACAACTCAGGCTTTCAGGAGGAGGCAAGGTCAAGACAAACTGCTTCAAAAATAGATGAACAGGCTGGGTGCGGTGGCTCACGTCTGTAATCCCAGCAGTTTGGGAGGGTGAGGTGGGCAGATCACCTGAGGTCAGGAGTTTGAGACGAGCCTGGCCAAGATGGTGAAACCCTGTCTCTACTAAAAATGCAAAAATCAGCCAGGCGTGGTGGCGCATGCCTGTAATCCCAGATACTTGGGAGGCTGAGGCAGGAGAATTGGTTGAACCCGGGAGGCAGAAGTTGCAGTGAGCTGAGATCACACCAGTGCACTCCAGCCTGGTCGACAGAGCAAGACTCCGTCTGGGGGGTGCGGGGGAGGTGAGGGAAGTGAACAAACAGCAAAACAGAGAAGAAAGGGGTATTAACACATATTGGTTCTCTGATGTTACCATTGCCACTGTTGTTCAAATTTCTTTCTGAGGATCTACAGGGATCTTGCCAAAATCTGGGAACTCGTGTCCCTGTTATCCTGGGCTGGGTACCCAGTTGATCATGGTGGCCCCGTCTCCCTCCACCAGAAGAGGAGTATCTCTGAAGCCCCAGAGACATCTTCTTTTTTTTTTTTTTCTTTTCTGTCTGTGATTCAGCAATGGGTGGGGGTGGGAATGGAGAGTGAATATCTGGAAAGGACTCAAATTCTCATATATTATATATTGTTATAGTAGTTCAGGACAAGTGTGGTGGCTCATGCCTATAATCCCAGCACTTTGGGAGGCTGAGGCGGGTGGATTGCTTGAGCCCAGGAGTTCCAGACCAGCATGGGCAACGTGGGAAAATCTCTACAAAAAATACAAAATTGGCCAGGCGTGGTGGCTCATGACTGTAATCCCAGCACTTTGGGAGGCTGAGGCAGGCAGATCACGAGGTCAGGAGTTCGAGACTAGCCTGGCCAACATGGTGAAACCCTGTCTCTACTAAAAGTACAAAAATTAGCTGGGCATGGTGGCGTGCATCTGTAGTCCCAGCTACTCAGGAGGGTGAGGCAGGAGAATCACTTGAACCTGGGAGGCGGAGGTTGCAGTGAGCCAAGATTGCGCCATTGCACTCGAGCTTGGGCAATGAGCAAGACTCAAAAAAATATATATATATTAGCAGGGTGTTGTGGTGCACGCCTGTGGTCCCAGCTGCTTGGGGCAGGGGAGGGGGCTGAGGCGAGAGGTTCATTTGAACCCAGGAGGTCGAGACTGTGGTAAGCCAAGATTGCACCACTGCACTCCAGCCTGGGTGACAGAGTGAGACCCTGGAGAAAAGAAGGAAAGACGGAAGGAAGGAAAGAAGGAAGGAAGGAAGGGAGGGAGGGAGGGAGGAAGTGGGAGGGAAGGAAGGAAGGAATAAAGGAAGGAAGGAAGGAAGGAAATTCAGTGAAAATCTGACTTGCATTTCCATCAGTGAAAGATTATGGGAGGAAAGTGGGCTGGGAATAGTTTGGTTGCAAGAAGCCACGGGCCTGCTCTCAAAATTCTTCCTTTTCATGGCAAAAGCAATAGGCTTTCTTGTTGGGACAATGACAGTTTCCTACTGGCATGATTTGCAAGCCTGGATTTAGCTTTTCAAAGTGAAGTCCTCACAAAAATCGAAGGAATAAACACTGTCCCCTAATGGACTCACACATGCAAATATCATGTCTGGTGGTACAGCTAAAGCACGGAAGAGCACAGCCCCCAGGCCAGGTAGGAATTTTAAAGCGATAACCTTCTCAGAATAGCCAATTGGGTCAATAATCCCCCAGCAGCAGGTAACAAAAGGCTGCTTGATGAGTTGCAGACAGGGCTCCCTGCCAGAGGCCCCTAATGGTCAGAGGTACATTCCCTGGTGTCTTCATGCTTTTGTTCTAGAAAAACCTCTCCAGGCTCTGTGGGTTCCCTTCTGGCGCCAGCTCCCCAGGCAGGTAAGGGAAGGGAGGGAGGGAAACAGAGAGAAGAAGGGGGCTTTCTTCTTCCCTGGCAGCAGGAAAGCCTTCTGTGGAAAGGAGGGCAGATGAGCATGGGGAAGGGGGTGTACCTGACTCTGTCTTCTGCTTGCAGTTTTGGGAGCTGGGTCTCTCACCAGTGGGCAAACTGATGACCCCAAATATTGCAGGGAAGTTTTAGTACTCCCTCTTCAGCTCTCCAGGGCAGGCAGGATAGTGAGCTTGGGGGACTGGGGACTCCTCTCCTTGGGCGCCCTAAGAAAAGAGCCACATTCCATCTGATCTTGGGCAAGAAAAGAGAGGTGAGGCAAAAGTAGGAGGTGTGAAAGTTCACCTTTGGGGCTGGGTGTGGTGGCTAGGCCTGTAATCCCGGCACTTTGGGAGGTCGAGGTGGGTGGATCACTTGAGGTCAGGGGTTCAAGACCAGGCCTGGCCAACATGGTGAAACTCCATCTCTCCTAAAAACACAAAAATTAGTTGGGTGCAGCGGTGGGTGCCTGTAATACCAGCTACTCGGGAGACTGAAGCAGGAGAATCGCTTGAACCTTGGAGGCAGAGGTTGCAGTGAGCTGAGATTGTGCCACTGCACTCCAGCCTGGGCGACAGAGCGACTCTGTCTCAAAAAAAAAAAAAAAAGAAAAGAAAAAAAGAAAAAAGAAAGTTCAGCTTTGGCACCCATTTTTGTCTCCTCTCCTTCCCACCAACTCTTTGATACCTGGCACTCCCACTTGTATTCATTCTCTTGGTCTCGGCTTGAATTCGCCTCCTTTCTGAGGCATCTAAAATGAAGTCGCTCCCCTCTCTCTCCCATCTTCTTTTTAGATTCCCCTGACTCCTGCATAAGTGAGCTCAGTGAGATGTGGGATTTGTTTGTATAATTGTCTCCCTCTAGACCTGAGGACCCTTGAGGCCGAGATGATGTCTATCTGGCAGGCTTGGCTGGCACATAGCAGCCTCTCTCTCTGTAAATGCTGAATTAATGGAGAAATGAATAGTGGATCACTCCCATGATGCCTCTCCAAAGCATCCTTCTCCATTGTTCCAAAATGTCTTTGTCCTTTTCAGTTAACAATAGACAGTAGACACCTGGAGGGTCTCCCAGGTATCTGGCATTCTAGTGGAGGACAAAGAGAATAAAGACTAATACATATAATGCTCACCATGTGACACGCAGCATACTAAGCACTTTACATTTCATCTACTCATCTTGACCTCACCACTCTGTGAAGTAGAATGATTCTTATAATCCCCATTATATAGATAAAGAAACTGGGTGTATGTGGCTTGCCTGAGATCACATGGCTAGTAAGAAGTGGTGGCTTGCCATGGTGGCTCATTCCTGTAATCCCAGCACTTTGGGAGGCTGAGGTGGGAGGATCACTTGAACCCAGGAGTTCAAGGCCAGCCTGGGCAAGATGGTAAGATCTTGTCTCTACAAAAACAAAATAAAATAAAATTGGCCAGGTACTGTGGCTCATGCCTGTAATCTCAGCACTTTGGGAAGCCAAGGTGGGAGGATTGCTTGAGCCCAGGAGTTCAAGACCAGCTTGGGCAACATGGCAAAACCCTGTCTATACAAAAAATATAAAAATTAGCCAGGTGTGGTGGTGCATGCCTGTATTCCCTGCTACGCGGGAGGCTGAGGTGGGAGGATGGCTTGAGCATGGGGGGCGGAGGTTACAGTGAGCTGAGATTGTACCACTGCACTCCAGCCTGGGCAACAAAGCAAGACCCTGTCTCTAAAAATAATAATAATAATAATAAAGTGACAAAGCCCGTATTTACATCACACCCCACTTATCTGGCTAATCAATCCATAGCAGCAAATGAGGTGTCCTCTATAAAGGTTGTGTTCAGAGGTTATAGAAGGGTTCTAGTAGCTGTACTACAAGACTATCAAGGAAATTTTAAGTAAAAATAAATATATGTTTGCTTGGAAGGGCTGGTTCCTACCTCTTTTTGGTTAGCTGTCATATAATAAGTCAGAATGGCGAATAGCTTGATTAGCCCCCTTCAAAATCCCCTTCCCTCAATCTTTAATATTGACAGAAACGCAACGTTTATGAGAACTCACATTAAGGTGTAAAAATATCTTAATTTACTGTTCTAACTTTTGGAAAGGAGCTTGATGCCAAATTACCTCTGAATTACCCTAATGCCAAATTACCTCTGAAGAGGTAATTCAGCAGGTTGTGGGATTTCTTGTTGGGATCAGAGATGGTTTCCTGGGGCTACAGGAAGGACACTTGGAGTGGGAGTGGGTGGCAGAGGTTTTCCTCTCCTAGGATCCTCAGATGATCTCACAGTTTGTTACAAAAGGACTCAGTTCACAGATTCCCCCCTTCCAAGTGGGATTCCCTAACAAGGCCTGACATTTTATACTTTCTACACAGTATTCACCTTTATTCTTCTGTAGGATCCTCACCAACAAACTGGTGATTGAACAAATATGAAAAAAAGGGACAGGAGGACGTTTTCCTTTTGGAAAGTTGTACTAACAAATGGATGGCCCAGGTGTGATCATGCACTGTTCTTGGGATGCTGACGGGAGTGGCATTGCATGCTGGGCAGCAGTGGGCAGCTAACAGTAGGGGGCGCTGTTGAGGTTATGATATGGGGCATTTTGGGAGGAGAGGAGTGAAGAAAGAGAAATGATGGTGATTTTTAAAAAAGTGTCTAGAAAGGCCGTTGGGAGCCTGATGGTGAAGGGTCTTGCCTGCCTGCAGCGGGATCTGACCCTAATCACAGCCTTTCTCTCATTGCTTTTCCAAGTCACACGAGTGCCCTCAGGATGTTCGGACATGATCCAGTTTGAAGGGGTCCTATGGTTTACTAAGCTTAATCTTTGGGTTAGACAAGTTAGATAGGTTCCCCCCTCATATGGTTTGGCTCTGTGGGTCCCCAACCAAATCTCATGTCAAATTGTAATCCTCAGTGTTGGAGGAGGAACCTGGTGGCAGGTGATTGGATCATGGGGACGAATTTCCACCTTGCTGTTCTCGTGATAGTGCGTGAGTTCTCATGAGATCTGGTTTAAAAGTGTGTAGCACCCTCCCCCTCCCCACTCCCGTTTGTTCTCTGTCTCTTGCTCTGCCATGTGAAGATGTGCCTGCTTCCCCTTCACTTTTGGCCATAATTGTAAGTTTCCTGAGGCCTCCCAGCCATGCTTCCTGTATAGCCTGCAGATCTGTGAGTCATTTAAACCTCTTTTCTTTATAAATTACCCAGTCTCCAGTAGTTCCTTATAGTAATTCAAGAACGAACTAATACTGCCCCCCCCCACCCTCCACCACCTGCCCCATGAATTTTCAGAGTCTAATATATTCTAAGAGGCTTTATTATTATTATTTTTTAGCATGCAACATGCTGTTTTATTATATAGGATAAAAGCATTTTTGTATGATTCAACAAATCTTCAGCACTGTATTAGCCAGGGTTCCCCAGAGACACAAAACATGCATGCACACGCACACACACGCGTACACACACACACACACACACGGAGAGAGAGAGAGAAGAGAAAGAGAGACAGGTATTGAGATTTATATGAGCTAACCAGCAGGCTAGAAATTCTAGCAGGAGTTGGCACAGTATTGAGTCTGAAGACAAAGTTTGGTGGCAGCATTCCTTTCTTTTCTGGGAACCTCAGGCTTTTCTCTTAGGGCTTTCCCCTAATTGGATGAGGTCCACTGACATTATGGCGGGTAATCTTTATTACTCAAAGTTTACTGGTTTAAATCTTAATCTCATCTAAAAAAATACCTTCGCAGCGGGCCGGGCGCGGTGGCTCACGCCTGTAATCCCAGCACTTTGGGAGGCCGAGGCGGGCGGATCACGAGGTCAGGAGATTGAGACCATCCTGGCTAACACGGTGAAACCCCATCTCTACTAAAAACACAAAAAATTAGCCGGGCAAGATGGCGGGCGGCTGTAGTCCCAGCTATTCGGGAGGCTGAGGCAGGAGAATGGTGTGAACCCAGGAGGCGGAACTTGGAGTGAGCCGAGATCGCACCACTGCACTCCAACCTGGGCGACAGAGCAAGACTCTGTCTCAAAAACAAACAAACAAACAACAACAAAAAAACCCTTCACAGCAACAGCTAATTTGGTGTTTGTGCAAGCAGCTGGGCACCACAGCCTGGCCAACTTGACACCTAAAATTCACCATTATGAAAACCCAGAAGGCACTAAACATGGCTCTAGACACTGGATGACAGAGAAGTAAACTAAAGAGACAAGGTTCCTGCCCCCCCATGGAGCTTATGTTCCTATAGATGAGTCTGAATGTCATGTCCGGGATGAGTTGGGAGTGGGAGGCCAGGCAGAGAGAGAACAGAGGAGGCTGGAGTCTAGAATGTTAGAGACTCTTGTGTTAGCATGAAAGCCAAAAGGTCATATTAAGACTGGAGTAGGGCAGTCAGCCTGGGGTGAAAGGGGCTGATAAAAGATTTGTTTTGGAAAAGGACTCAGTAATAATTAATAATAGGACAGACACCAACTCTTCATTTTATAGGGGGAAAATAAACTCATATAAGGTCTTGAGAGGTGACACAATGAGTTCAAGATCTCATGACAGGTAGTGACATTCTTGATTTAAGGCCCTTCTCAACATGTTTGCATTGATGTCCTGGAATAATACCCTGAATCACAGTTCCGGGCCAAATTTTAATCAACCTGAATTTTTAAAATATGTATAACCAAGGATGCCTAATGTCTTAACAAAATACCGCAGACTGGGTAATTTATAAAGAACAGAAATTTATTTTCTTACAGTTCTGGGGGCTGGGAAGTCCCAGATTAAGGCACCAGCAGGTTTACTGTCAGGTGAGGGCCTGTTCCCCACTTCAAGGTGGTACCTTGTTGCTGTATCCCCACATGGCAGAAGAGCTGGAAGGAAACAAACCCACTCTCTCAAGCCCTTTTATAAGGGCCCTAATCTCATGCAAGAGGGCTCCTCCCTCATGCTTAGTCACCTCCTAAACATCCCACCTCTTAACACTCTTACACTGGTCATTAAGTTTCAACACATGCATTTTTGGGAACACATTCAGACCATACCACCCTATTTGGCCACAACTAAGCATGGCCTATTGTGAAAAACCAGACCAAGATTTGAGAGCCAAGCAATGGAATATAGAATGAAACACCCCCAACTTGAAAGTAATGGGATAACAAGTCAGATCACCTGGTCTGTTATCTGAACTTTGCCTCAGATAAATGTGGAGTGACCCAAAAGGAAATCAGATGACAAAGGAGCATAGCAATCCTGGTTTGTTTTTCTGATCACCCAGCCCCATTGCAGGAAGCAGAGGGAATGAAGTATTTGGGAAGAGCAGCCTGGAGAGAAGCAGCAGCACAAACCTCACCCTCAGTGGGTAATGAGTGTTTACATTAGCTGAGTGAGGCCCAGGAAGTGGCAGGTGGGGCACCCTTGCCTCCTTCCAAGCCCAGCTGTAGAGTCACACTACTGGAGAGGCTTTAACTATAATTAGCATTGGTTCTGATGACATTTTGGAAATATTTTCTGTGGTAAAGCAGCACCACGGCATTTAGACATTGAGAAAACACTAGAGAGTGGACTGAACTCATCTTACTCCAGGATGGCAGCTGTCAGACCAAAGACCACTTGTCCGCAGACCACTGGCCAGCCCGACACTGCTGGGTGTCCCTCATCCCCCTCCCAAAACCTGGTGTGGGGTCAGACCACTACTATGGCTGTTGGGGGCAAACCCAGGCCAAGCTGAGCTTAGAGTTTGGGTTTATTTAGAAGGGAGCCCCAGTGTCCCATTCAGTCTGGGGCCAGCTGAGATCTGGCTGTCTTCCTAGTCTTTCCCAGGCAGTGCTGAGCTAGACCACCTTCGTCCTCCCTTTTCATAAGGGCTCCACTTCCCCAGGCTCACACAGGCCCAATCAAGCTGTGAGGCAATAAAATCTTAAGACAACTTGTGATTAGGCACCTATTGTGGGTATAGGGAATAGTTTCCTGACTATAGCAAAGGATGCAGTGACTGCAGTGAGGGCAGGAAAGGCATCCCAAAGTAGCTGGAAATGAAATTGAGCCTGGTTAGTGAGAACTCAGCCTCATCAGATGTTTGGAATAACCATGATGACTATTTTTTGAGAAACTGCTGTGTACCAAGCACTATGCTTAGCAGTTTGCATATATCTCATTCTTCATGTTCCATGAATGCAGTTAACCTGATTGCTGTGTTCACTGCTGTATCTCTAACATACAGAGCAGTTTCTTGTACATAGTAGGTGCTTAATAAATATTTGTACAATACCTGAGAGGTAGGATTATGATTTTTCTTTTTATTTATTTATTAGGGACAGGGTCTCACTCTGTCGCCCAGGCTGGAGTGCAGTGGTGTGATCATAGTTCACTGCAACCTTGAACTCCTGAGCTCAAGCAATCCTCCTGCCTCAGTCTCTTGAATAGCTGAGATTGCAGGCATGTGTCACCATGCCCAGCTAATTTTTTTTTTTTTTTTTTGTATAGACAGGGTCTCATTATGTTGTCCAGGTAGGTCTCAAACTCCTGGCCTCAAGTGATCCTCCCAAAGTGTTGGGACTACGGGCATGAGCCATCATGCCAGGCCATAATTTCTCTTTCACAGTGCTGAAATTTAGGTTTGGGGGGGTGTGTTATAGTTTGGCTGTGTCCCCACCCAAATCTCATCTTGAATTGTAACTCCCACAATCCCCACGTGCTATGGGAAGAACCCAGTAGAAGGTGATTGAAATATGGGGGTGGGTCTTTCCTGTGCTGTTCTTGTGATAGTGAATGGGTCTCATGAGATCTGATGGTTTGATAAGGGGAAACCCATTTCACTTGGCTCTCTTTCACTCTCTGGCCACCATGTGAGATGTGCCTTTCACTTTCCACCATGATTGTGAGGCTTCCCCAGCCACGTGGAACTGTAAGTGCAATAAACCTCTTTCTTTTGTAAATTGCCCAGTCTCAGGTATGTCTTTATTAGCAGCATGAAAACAGACTAATACAGTAAATTGGTACCAGTAGAGTGGGGCATTGCTGAAAAGACATCCGAAAATGTGGAAGCGACTTTGGAACTGGGTAAGAGGCAGAGGTTGCAACAGTTCAGAGGCTCAGAAGAAGACAGGAAAATGTGGGAAAGTTTGGAACTTCCTAGAGACTTGTTGAATGGCTTTGACCAAAAGCCTGATAGCGATATGGACAATAAGGTCCAGGCTGAAGTGGTCTCAGATGGAGATTAGTAACTTTTTGAGAACTGAAGCAAAGGCGACTCTTGTTATGTTTTGGCAAAGAGACTGGCTAGGCCCAGGGTCCCTGTGCTGTGTGCAGTCTAGGGACTTGGTGCCCTGTGTCCCAGCTGCTCCAGCCATGGCTGAAAGGGGCCAACTTAGAGCTCAGCCTGTAGCTTCAGAGTGTGCAAGCCCCAAGCCTTGGCAGCGTCCATGTGCCATTGAGTCTGCGAGTGCACAGAAGTCAAGAACTGGGGTTTGGGAACCTCTGCCTAGATTTCAGAAGATGTATGGAAATGCCTGGATGCCCAGGCAGAAGTTTGCTGCAGGGGTGGGGCCCTCGTGGAGAACCTCTACTAAGGCAATGTGGAAGGGAAATGTGGGGTCAGAGCCACCATGCAGAGTCTCTACTGGGCCACTGCCTAGTAGGGCTGTGAGAAGCAGGCCACCATCCGCCAGACTCCAGAATGGTAGATCCACTGACAGCTTGCACCGTGAACCTGGAAAAGCCACAGACACTCAGCGCCAGCCTGTGAAAGCAGGTGGGAAGGAGGCTGTACCCTGTAGAGCCATAAGGGTGGAGCTGCCCAAGACCATGGGAACCCACCTCTTGCATCAGGGTGATCTGCCAAAATCACAGGGATAGAGTCAGGACTCAAACCCAAGTCTTACTGACCTAGAACAAGACTTTTAATCACTCTATTGCATTGGAAACATCTGGGCTTTAAAGAGGGCTGTGCTCAGTGCCTGCAGTCTGTAGACTGGACTTAATGCAACGACATACCTACCTAGTTCTCTGGCAAATTAAACCAAAGAATCAACAGTATTCAGCATACTTTTTAGCCCCTTTTTTGAAACCACCCCTCATCCCTGCAACCTGAGGGATTTTCCTCTTAGCTCCTTTTAGTCCTATAATGCACTGCTGGCACATAGATATAATACTACCCAATGAATATTAATTTGAATAGGTGTTTGTTCCTTACATGTTGCTCATGATATTTCTTGCATTTTTTCTCGCATTTTTGAATTGCTGCTTCCTTTTTGCATGCACCCCTGGTTGTCCCAATTGGACTATAAGTAAGGACTGTGCTCCCAGGGTTAGTCTCTGTTTTATCCTTCCTACTCTATCCAGGCCAGGGCTAGTCCATTGCAGGGCTTTACCAATTTTAACACAAATGAGAGAGGCTGTTCTAAAACTCTCTGTGGGCAGGAACTCCATGACTACTCAAGGTATTTTCTTCTTTCCACTATTAGTTCTTTCAGTTGGTCCATTTGTAAGGCCTTTTGCATGTGCCAGAGGCTGAGCTAGAAGGGGAGGATGAGGAAAAGCCTGCTTCCTGCCCTCAAAGGGCATACACAGGGTGGGTTAGGTGTGACACAGACAGGGCTATAAATAACCATTACTTGAAGTGGGAAGAAATAGTTTCATTGGAGAAGTATAGACAAAGCTTAGTAAAGCATGTCAGAGGAGGGAGAGATTGTTTCCAGCTGTCTAGATCAGGGAAGGTACCTCCCAGGATGTTCACTGTCTTATGCCACTCACCCCCATCAAAGAGAAGTGACCCCGAAAGACTTCAAAGGATACTACTAACTAAGTAGATAACTAAGCAACTGGAGAATCTAACCTTGTCTATATCCCTTGGAGTACATTTGAGTTTACCAAATACTGCACAGTGGAATCCTGTTTTAAAGAATTGCATTGACTATATAGAATTCTGAGAGAAGAGAATGGAGAAACAGCCTCCAGCTTTGGTGATCAAGTTAGAGGTTGTGTGGGAATGCAACTTTGAAAGAGTGGTAAGAGCAGAAGCCAGACTGCAAGGACAAAAATTGGGAAAGTATGATGAGGAAATGGAGACAGTCATTTATTCAACAAATAATTGAATGTCAACTATGATTATGCCAAGCACTAGGCTAGGCACTGGAGATACTGAAATATACAAAACAGACATGGTCCCTACTCTTTGGAATTGGCAACCTGTGAATCCTCTTTTGAGAGGATTGGAAGTTCCATGAGCAGAACTGGGAGGGTGGCTCCACAAATAGGTTGAGGGGAGTTTTTTGTTTGTTTGTTTGTTTGTTTTTAAGTAAGACCAGCAGGAGTTAGAGATCAGCCTGGGCTACGTGGTGAAACCCTGTCTCTACTAAAAATACAAAATTAGCCAGGTGTGGTGGCGCATGCCTATAATCCCAGCTACTTGAGAGGCTGAGGTAGAACTACTTGAACCCAGGAGGCAGAGGTTGCAGTGAGCTAAGATCGTGCCATTGCACTCAAGCCCGGGCAACAAGAGTGAAACTCTGTCTCAAAAAAATGAAAAAATAAAAATAAAGTAAGAGAGACCAGGACATGGTTTCAGGCTGAAGGGAGGAAGTTAGAGATAGTTTGAAAATGCCAGGGGGGATGGATAACTAAGAATGTAAAATCCTAGAGGACATATGTGTATAATGTTTAAATCATGCCAGCATTGTGCTCCACACATCTTGTAAATGATCTTATTCCATCCTTACAATAATCCTATGCAGCAGTTATTGCTAGGTAAGGACACTGAGATGCAAGGTCACATAGCAAGTAGGTGGAAACTGAGATGTGAAGCCAGGTCCCACTGCCAAAGACATGCTCTCGAGAACTCCACTGCTTGGAGAGAATGTGGCCAAGAAAACATTCACCGGGTGTAAAATTCACTCCAGCTGGTCTACATCGCAATGTTTTGCAGTCTTCTCAGCCAATGTTTACCTGAACTTTTCACAAAGTTTTGAGCTGTGCAGCATGAGAGAGGGAGAATTACCTTCCCCTACTTCAGGCTGCTCTGAGTTTCATCTGCAATAATCTTCTGGCATAGATCCAACCCTAGGAACAACACTGCCTGCTCCTTTTTCACCTCAGGCCCCACATTGTGAATCATCCTTGGGTGCCATTGTTGCTTCCTTTGGCACATCCCCAGCACCTGTTTTCCCAATTCATTTCTCTAGGTGCAGGCAGTCACTCTCTCTCTACCCACCCCATTCAGCACCCCCACCCCCAAACTTAACACAGTGTCTCGCACACAGCAAATGTTGTAGAAATGATTAACAACATTTTACATTTCTGCAGCACTCAACTTCAACTCACATGGAATTTAAAAACAAAAACAAAAAAAACCAGGGTTTGGATCAGACAGAGCTAGATTTCAGTTATCTTTCCATTACCTAGAAGCAGTGTGACTCAGGACAAGGTACTCTGAACCTGTATCCTCATCTAAGAAATGAGATAACATGGCTGGGCACAGTGGCTCACCCCTGTAATCCCAGCACTTTGGGAGACCGAGGCAGGCGGATCACAAGGTCAGGAGATCGAGACCATCCTGGCTAACACATTGAAACCCTGTCTCTACTAAAAATACAAAAAATTAGCTGGGTGTGGTGACGGGTGCCTGTAGTCCTAGCTACTCGGGAGGCTGAGGCAGGAGAATGGCATGAACCCGGGAGGTGGAGCTTGCAGTGAGCTGAGATCCCGCCACTGCACTCCAGCCTGGGCGACAGAGGGTGACTCCATCTCAAAAAAAAAAAAAAAAAGAAATGAGATAACAAAACCTATTTCATACAGTGTAGTGAGGATTAAGTGAGGCAATTGATGTCTTTGTTAAATGTCTCCTTCATAGTATATTTCCAGTAAATTGAATCAAATATTGATTTGATTTCTGACCCCTTCAAATGCGCTTTATTTTATGTTATTTATTTATTTATTTTTTGAGATGGAGTCTCGCTCTGTCACCCAGGCTGGAATGCAGTGACGTGATCTTAGCTCACTGCAACTTCTACCTCCCAGGTTCAAACAATTCTCCTGCCTCAGCCTCCTGAGTAGCCGGGACTACAAGTGTGCACCACCACACCTGGCTAGTTTTTGTATTTTTAGTAGAGATGGGGTTTTGTCATGTTGGCCAGGCTGGTCTCAAACTCCTGACCTCAGGTGATCCACCAGCCTCGGCTTCCCAAAGTGCTGGGATTATAGGCATGCGCCACTTTGCCTCGCCCAAATGCATTAATAAAACACTATACCCCTTACGAGAGTCTGTTGAATTAGTTTTCTGATCCTCATTCCACTCTGTGGGGAAAATATCAAAGAAAGAAACAGGACCTAAAGCACCTTCCAGTTTCTCAGAAATTCAACTGAGTTTGTTTCTCAAAACTGAAAAGACTCTACCTTTCACATGCTGCCACAAAAGGCATTGCACACCAGAAGGGTGAAGTTAAAATAAGAAAGAGAAAGGAACTGCCTTTTGCAAGGACTGTGCATGGTATTGATAAAATTTTTAAAAAGCTACTACAGAATTCCCTAATAGAGTTCATTTGTTGTTGGTGTCCTGAGATGCTTGGCTGACTTTAGAGTAGAACTTATTCATTAGACCAGGAGAAAGCCAAACCTTCCGCAAGGATGTCCTCTTTCCCTAAGCAACAACAGATGAAACCATGATAATGTTCTTGCCCACAGTCATCTGCTCCCATTCTGCAGATGAGTTAGGGGCAAGAGGAGGAGGGAATGTTCTGGGATGTAGCAACCCCTGACCTCCCTACCCAGTGAAAAGACAAGCCTCCAGTGAGACTGCACGATGAAGCTGCAGAACTAGCATTTTGACAACCTCCTGGTCCTGTTCCACCTCGTGAACCTTGAAAGACTTAAAAGACATGGGTTTTTAAATGTAAATTTCACAGCCACATACAGAGCACTTGGTTAGTTTGTAATGAAGAAAAATGATTTTACTTAATAAGATCTACACCATCATCAATGGGACTTGACGGTGTGTGACTTGATTTCTCCGGCAATTTAAAATAATCAGGTTAGCTCTAATAGAAGGGACCAGAGAGGAAACTGTGTTCTGCCTGCTCTGCCTCCTTCACCATCAGCAAGGAATCACCGTGGCTTTTTTGGACAATTAAAAAAAAAATTTGCATGGTGTCTCACAGTAATATTTTTCCTCTTCAGAAGGGGATGCATTTTAACTATTCTGCTAAGGCTAGCATTAGAGAAGAAAGTTTTCACAACCTAACATTGGAAAGGTCAGAATCAGTCCACAGGATGATTTGATTTAGCCCCTTAATTATCCAGGCTGACAACTAATAAACGTCTAGTGCTTACATGTGTAAAGCAGATAGAGCAAGCTAGAAGCAAAGACCAAATAATACATTTATGTTTTATATTTAAATCTTAAAGTATTTTACTTCTTATAAGAGAAAAGGCAAAATAATTGATTTGACTCTTAACTATTTCCAACAAGTAATCTACCTCTCTCTCCTTTCCTCTCCCTCTCCTCTTCCTTTTTTCTCCTTCCTCTCTCCCTCCCCTTTTCCCTCCCTTTATCTTCCTTCTCTCTCTTTCTTCCTCTCTTCCTCCCTACATCTTCTGTTTCCTAAACTCTCGAGAAAAGTCGAAGGGTGGGACACAGTTAGGGAATTTTCATCTTAAATTCACTTTTCATCTCCAGGACTGGCTTTGGGTAAAATGAAGAATTTGGCCCTCTTGGCCTTAGGTCCTTTTCCTGCCCTGCACACAGTAACCCGAGAAGACTAGAAAACCACATTTTCTGGGCCTCTCCAGCCTAGCTGCTGCCAGAGATCTGAGGCTGCAAAATTGTATCTGTGACCCTCTGTGTGGCAATTAGGCAATTGCCAGCCTAAGTGGCCATTTGTGCCTTCTGAATAGCATGCAAATGGCTGATTGTAGGTGCAATTCAGCAGCACATGCTCTTGGATATCTGCAGTTTTGCTTCTGAGCAAAGGGAAAGACCACAGTGGGGAAGTGACCCTCACCAACCGCCGTTTCTCTTTACCCCTTCCCTAAATACTGAGGACTAAATATTGAGAACTGAGGAAGACAATTTTGATATTCTTGGAGCAAGCAAAAAAGTGGAAAATTCGGTCACATTCAAGAAACATCAACCCCAGGATTTAAAAAGTTAGTTTAGAGGCAGCTGCTAAGCAGGTGAGTTTTGAGGCTCCTTTTCAAAGCTAAGGGGAAATTAACAAATGGTCAGCCCACCTCTCTGCTGGAAACATGAATCAGTGGTGCCACCTCCTGGCAGAAACGACCTTCGGACCAAGGCTGGGAAAAACATGGCAGCCATTTTGTTTTGGGTGCCAGAAAGTTCAGCGCTGGGAGAAATCACAGGACTGGTTCCAGTACAACCTCTACATTTTAGAGGAAATGAGGCCTGGAAAAGGGACATGAAAAAATCTGTGAACTGAGACTGAGGAGCGAAATGATCCAATATCTGTTGAATCTTTACTAAAGGCTGAACACTGTGCAAAGCATAACTACATCCTCACAACAACCCTACGAGGAAGATATATTTTGTACCATTTTCCAGGTAAGAAAAGTAAGGATCAGAGAGGTTCAAGTGATAGCTAATAAATAACAGAGCTATCTCTACCTTTAAGACACATGATATCACATGGAACAGATATTAAACTCGGGCTGGAATGTGTCTGGAAAAAATGCTGCCATATTGTCCCGCTCTGGAGTCCTTCAAGCCTGAATGAAAACAGGCCCTGTTCTGTGGAGTGGGGGTTCCCCAGGGAGCAATGGAATGGCATCCTGAGAAGGCAGGTGGTTCCTGAGAAGTGGATCAGTAAAAATCATTTATCCCACACCCTGTTCTCTCCATTAGTTTTTTCATAAATTTCAGACCAGCTTCTTATTTGGAAAATATGGTCCTTATGTGGAACACAGCAGAAACTCAACAGATAGTTTTAGTTAAATGAACTGTTGCAAAAGGGAATTTGGAAATAATTTCTTTATTCAATGCTGTAACCTTCTCTAACATGCATGCACACGTACACACACACACACACACACACACTTCCAATTCTTTTTTTTTTTTTTTTTGAGACGGAGTCTTGCTCTGTCGCCCAGGCTGGAGTGCAGTGGCCCAATCTTGGCTCGGTGCAAGCTCTGCCTCCCGGGTTCATGCCATTCACCTGCCTCAGCCTCCTGAGTAGCTGGGACTACAGGTGCCCACCACCACCCCGGCTAATTTTGTTGTATTTTTAGTAGACACAGGGTTTCACCGTGTTAGCCAGGATGGTCTCGATCTCCTGACCTCGTGATCCACCTGCCTCAGCCTCCCAAAGTGCTGGGATTACAGACGTGAGCCACTGCGTCCGGCCATATGCTTCCAATTCTTGATCTGAAGTCCAACACTCTACCTCTGAGCTATACCGCCTCCTTATACTTCTTTTTTTTTTTTTTAAGATGGAGTCTCACTCTGTCACCCAGGCTAGAGTGCAGTGGTGCGATCTCTGCTCACTGCAACCTCTGCCTCCTGGGTTCACACCATTCTCCTGCCTCAGCCTCCAGAGTAGCTGGGAATACAGGCACCCGCCACCACACGTGGCTAATTTTTTAGTAGAGACGGGGTTTCAATGTGTTAGCCAAGATGGTCTCGATCTCTTGTCCTCGTGATCTGCCTGTCTCAGCCTCCCAAAGTGCTGGGATTACAGGCGTGAGCCACCGCGCCCAGCCCCACTTCCAGTTCTTTACCCAGCTTGAATACCTCCAGGAAACTCACTAGTTTTAGAGGTGACCTATTTTCAGTAAGTGCCTATTATTAAAATTATTCCTGTTGTTGAGTCAGTTTGTCATGCAACAAATGCGCTCCCTTGTCCTAACTATGACCAATTAGGCAACACAGGACCTATATTGTCTTTTACATCATAGTGGTCAAGTTTTTACTGCGCTTCTCTTCTTTAAGCTGAATCTCCTTGGTTTCTTCCATAGGTCCTCAACAACTTTTCCCTTCTCACCGTACAGCCTGTATTTCTGGTGACACTGTGTCCCCAGAACCCTACCCTGCCTCCTGAGAAGCTTGACTGGTGAGGAGCAGGGCTGACTTCTGCTTAGGCCCAGGAACATCCAGACCCAGCACTGCCTACTTCTGGATTATTGGGTAAGACACATGAACCTGTAGAGCCAGCTTTCTGTTACTTACAGCTGAATACTTTCCTAACGGATACAGGTATGTGCTTTGTACCTAGCTCTGTGAAGACTGTTTACTAATGCCATCTTAATCCTGGGGAAAATGGATTAACCATCCCCCTCTCAGGCTGTCATCTGTAAAACGAAGGATCTGGGCCTGATTACCTCTGTGGTCCTTTCACGTCTCTGATGTAAGCCCCATTGGCATCACCACAATAGTGCTGAGCGCCTACACTGGACTCTATAAACAGTAGTGGCATTTTTCTTCAGTGATTTACAGTCACAACTGCACTTCATTTGCATTTTAATATTTTTCTTCCTGAAAAAAGTTTTCATAATTGCTCCAGGTTATTTTGGAGAAGAGAGAAGGGTTTTTGCAGAATCTGTTCCAGCTGACTTGGAGAATCCTTAATATTCCAGGTCATCTCTCTTTTCCTTGCCCTCCTCCCACTTGTCAGCCAGCTCAGGCAAGTCACTGCAAGCAAGTGCCCCCAGATACCAGTTTCCATTGCTTGGTTGCCCAGAGAGAGGAGTGGGAGGTGGGCAAGGGTTGTGGTGTGGGCTGTTGCCCACTGTCCACCAAGCTCAGGCGGAGGGACAACACTGAGAGTACTGTCTGATGAGCCCAATATAGCATAGGCTACTGACTAATGTCAGGACATCTCAGGCCTGTATGTCTTCACCTGTGTGACGGGTTGGTCATGATATCCCCTGCCCTGCCTAGCCTGCCCTGTGAGGTTGCATTGAGGTTTAACGCTGTGAGGAGGCTATACAAATCAGGATTAATTTTAAGATTATGATAGCCACTCTTTCCATATAATTATAATTTTTATGATCAAGACTATCATTATTATTTATTACAATTCCATAAATGTGGAATGTTGTCTTTATCTCCATATCTCCATGTGGTTAGAACATAATTTGTGCAATTACTGCATTTATCGTGATGGAGAATACAGAGAATTCAGAGCATATAATTATTCTGGCAAAAGAAGCATTTACGATTATATCTTCCTAAAGGGGAAATGCACTCCTTTAAAGTAAATTACAGTTGCCTGGTTATGGCCATTCAAAGACCCCATTATTTCTGACTTTTTTTTGTAAATCTCTGAAAAGCAAGGCAAGGATTAAGGCTGAAACTCTAATTCGAGCCCAGCTTCAGGGCTGGAGGTTGCCACTGAGTGTTCTCGGGTTTCCCTGTGGGTAATGGAAGGCAGCAACTCCTCTAGTGGCCACCACTGCATGGGAATAATCATCAAAAGAGAGAAGAGACAAAAATATTTTAATTGTCTTGTAACCTCTCCTTAGCTGTGAAACAAGGTGGCCTTTACAGCTGCCCCCCAGAGAGACTAAACACTGGGCTGGGACTGTTTTGAATGGAAAGCTATAAAGTGCAAGCATCTAAAAGGAGTACTACTCTGTAATCACCGCTGCTATTTATAGAGCTTGCCCAGCTCCTCAGGCTTATGGCTGCACAGGGAACACCTCTCAGCAGCTGCCTTTACCAGCTGACCTTGCTCAGATTGGGGGTGGAGGTCCCCGTGGAACCTGCAGTTGGAGGAAACCTGGGCCCTGTGATGCTGCAGTCACTCACACAAGGTGTCCCAGGAAGGTACCAGGGCTTGAGTCCAGGCCAGAGCCTTCCACCATGCCAGGCTGTGTGGGAGGAAGGTGAACAGACTGGTTGATCCCTCATCTCTTCTCTCTCTCTCATACACTAAACTTGGAAGCCAGGATTTATTCCCTCGGAATAATAAAATACCTAGAAGTTCTCTGCTGACGAAATTGAGCAGCTCTAGAGTTGTCTGGATTCTAGCATTTAGGGGGTGTTCAGCGTACAGCTGGCTTCCTGCTCAATCACCTGCTGGCTGACAGGCTTTTCTCCTACTCACACTCCTTAACTCCTCATTCTTTTTTTTTTGAGATAGGGTCTCACTATGTTGCCCAGACTGGAATGCAGTGGTGCAATCTTGGCTCACTGCATCCTCGACCTCCCAGGCTCAAGTGATCCTCCCCCTTCAGCCTCCCAAGTAGCTGGGACTACAGGCATGCACCACCAGGCTCAGCTAACTTTTGTATTTCTTTTTCTAGAGGTGAGGTTTTGCCATGTTGACCAGATTGGTCTCAAACTCCTGGCCTCAAGTGATCTACCTGCCTCGACCTCCCAAAGTGCTGGGATTACAGGTGTGAGCCAGTGCACCGGCAACTCCTCATTCTTTATTTTTTTTTTCAGATGGAGTCTCACTCTGTCACCCCAGCTGGGGTTGAGTGGCGTGATCTCAGCTCATTGCAACCTCGGCCTCCTGGGTTCAAGTGATTCTCCTGCCTCAGCCTCCCAAGTAGCTGGGATTACAGGCCTGTGCCATCACACCCAGCCACCATACCTGGCTGCAACTCCTCGTTCTTAAACATGAGCAGAAGTGCAAGGATTACCAGACAGTTGGTTAAAATAAATGAAAAAGTTAAACAAAAAGAAAAATTGACCTCTAGAAAACAAAAGTAATTCAGAGAACAGAACAGAACTTAAAACAAAAACACCAATCTGTATGTAGTATGCTCAGAAGGTATCATGTCCCTAAAACAAGAACAGGATGTTATAAAATAGGAAAAAAAAGAATTAGAAATTAAAATATGATTGCTGAAATGGAAACTAAATGGAGATATGAGAAAATAAAGACAAGGAAATCTCTCAGAAAAACAAACAAACAAACAAAAAGACAAAGACATGAAAAAGTAAAGGTACAGAAGATATGGGCCAGGTGCAGTGACTCATGCCTGTAATCCCGGCACTTTGGGAGGCTGAGGTGGGCAGATCACTTGAGGTCAGGAGTTCAAGACCAGCCTGGCTAATATGGTGAAACCCTGTCCCTACCAAAAATACAAAAGTTAGCCAGGTATGGCGGTGCACGCCTGTAATCCCAGCAACCTGGGAGGCTGAGCCAGGAGAATGGAAGTTTAGACTCAGCCTTCAGTCTCCTAAGTTTCAGAAACAAAGAACCATGAACATGGAAGAAAGGAAATAATGAAGGAAATGATATAAGAAAAATTTCTAAAGCTGAATGACATTACAATGGCAATGAATGACATTGTAATTAAAATGAGCCACTGAGTGCTTAGCACAATAAATCAAGAAAATAGATGTATACCTATGTATAGCATGAAAGTTCACAATACTGAAAATGAGGAAGATCCTAAATATTTCAAAGGAGAATAAAACAGGACATCTACAAAGAGGCAAGAATCAGAATAACAATAGCAACCATAAATGGTAGAAGTTAGTGAGAAAGACCTCAAAATTCTGAGGGAGAATGATTATCAACAAGAGATCAATATCCAACAAAACTATCATTTGAACATGAGAGTAAAGCCAAGATATTTTCAGGACTCAAAACGATTTCATGCAAACCCTTTCTTAGGAATTTGCTTTCAGATATGCTGTAGAAACATGAAGAGCAAAATCAGGAAAAAAATAAGATCTAAGCAATAGTGGATCCAATGTAGGGGAGTAGTCAAGGTGTTCCAGAGATCCCTTCAGCAATTAGTCCAAACTGGAGCAGGAAGACAGGAATCCCAAGAAAGAGATATCCAGGGAAAACGGACACATAATACTTAAGTTATGAAGAATTTGGAAATAATTGGGAATTAAAAAAGGCAATTGGTGGAATAAACATAAAGGAAAACAAATGAGAAATTCCAGAAAAAAAACCAGAAAGCTAAACAAAAGGTAAAACTTCAATTAAAGGCCAGGCGTGATGGCTCATGACTGTAATCCCAGCACTTTGGGAGGCTGAGGCGGGTGGATCACCTGAGGTCAGGAGTTCAAGACCAACCTGACCAACACGGTGAATCCCTGTCTCTGCTAAAAATACAAAATTAGCCAGGCATGGTAGCTCATACCTGTAATCCCAGCTACTTGGGAGGCTGAGGCAGGAGAATTGCTTGAACCTGGAAGGTGGAGGTTGCAGTGAGCCAAGATCATGCCATTGCACTGCAGCCTGGGCAACAAGAGCGAAACTCCTTCTCAGAAACAAACAAACAAACAAACAAAAAACCCCGAAAACCACAGAAGAATCAAATAGACGCAATAAAAAATCATAAAGGGGATATCACCACCAATGCCACAGAAATACAAACTACCATCAGAGAATACTATAAACACCTCTAAGCAAATAAACTAGAAAATCTAGAAGAAATGGATAAATTCCTCAACACATACACCCTCCCAAGACTAAACCAGGAAGAAGTTGAATCCCTGAATAGACCAATAACAGGTTCTGAAATTCAGGCAATAATTAATAGCCTACCAACCAAAAAAAGTCCAGGACCAGATGGATTCACAGCCGAATTCTACCAGAGGTACAAAGAGGAGCTGGTACCATTCCTTCTGAAACTACTCCAATCAATAGATAAAGAGGGAACCCTCCCTAATTTATTTTATAAGGCCAACATCGTCCTGATACCAAAGCCTGGCAGAGACACAACAAAAAAAGAGAATTTTAAACCAATATCCCTGATGAACATTGATGCAAAAATCCTCAATAAAATACTGGCAAAGCGAATCCAGCAGCACATCAAAAAGCTTATCCACCACGATCAAGTAGGCTTCATCCCTGGGATGCAAGGCTGGTTCAACATACGCAAATCAGTAAACGTAATCCAGCATATAAACAGAACCAAAGACAAAAAACACATGATTATATCTATAGATGCAGAAAAGACCTTCACAAAATTCAACAGCCCTTCATGCTAAAAACTCTCAATAAACTAGGTATTGATGGGACGTATGTCAAAATAATAAGAGCTATTTATGACAAACCCACAGCCAATATCATACTGAATGGGCAAAAACTGGAAGCATTCCCTTTGAAAACTGGCACAAGACAGGGATGCCCTCTCTCACCACTCCTATTCAACATAGTGTTGGAAGTTCTGGCCAGGGCAACCAGGCAGGAGAAAGAAGTAAAGGGTATTCAATTAGGAAAACAGGAAGTCAAATTGTCCCTGTTTGCAGATGACATGATTGTATATTTAGAAAACCCCATTATCTCAGCGCAAAAGCTCCTTAAGCTGATAAGCAACTTCAGCAAAGTCTCAGGATACAAAATCAACGTGCAAAAATCACAAACATTCCTATACACCAATAACAGACAAACAGAGAACCAAATCATGAGTGAACTCCCATTCACAATTGCTTCAAAGAGAATAAATACCTAGGAATCCAACTTACAAGGGATGTGAAGGACCTCTTCAAGGAAAACTACAAACCACTGCTCAACGAAATAAAAGAGGACACAAACAAATGGAAGACCATTCCATGCTTATGGATAGGAAGAATCAATATCGTGAAAATGGCCATACTGCCCAAGGTAATTTATAGATTTAATGCCATCCCCATCAAGCTACCAATGACTTTCTTCACAGAATTGGAAAAAACTACTTTAAAGTTCATATGGAACCAAAAAAGAGCCCACATTGCCAAGACAATCCTAAGCCAAAAGAACAAAGCTGGAGGCATCACACTACCAGACTTCAAACTGTACTACAAGGCTACAGTAACCAAAACAGCATGGTACTGGTACCAAAACAGAGATATAGACCAATGGAACAGAACAGAGCCCTAGGAAATAACACCACACATCTACAGCCCTCTGACCTTTGACAAACCTGATGAAAACAAGAAATGGGGAAAGGATTCCCTGTTTAATAAATGGTGCTGGGAAAACTGGCTAGCCATAGGTAGAAAGCTGAAACTGGATCCCTTCCTTACACCTTACACAAAAATTAATTCAAGATGGATTAAAGGCTTAAATGTTAGACCTAAAACCATAAAAACCCTGGAAGAAAACCTAGGCAATACCATTCAGGACATAGGCATGGGCAAAGACTTCATGACTAAAACACCAAAAGCAATGGCAACAAAAGCCAAAATTGACAAATGGGATCTAATTAAACTAAAGAGCTTCTGCACAGCAGAAGAAACTACCATCAGAGTGAACAGGCAACCTACAGAATGGGAGAAAATTGTTACAATCTACTCATCTGACAAAGGGCTAATATCCAGAACCTACAAAGAAATTAAACAAATTTACAAGAAGAAAATCAAACAACCCCATCAAAAAGTGGGCAAAGGATATGAACAGACACTTCTCAAAAGAAGACATTTATGCAGCCAAAAAACACATGAAAAAATGCTCATCATCACTGGCCATCAGAGAAATGCAAATCAAAACCACAATGAGATACCATCTCACACCAGTTAGAATGGCGATCATTAAAAAGTTAGGAAACAACAGGTGCTGGAGAGGATGTGGAGAAATAGGAACACTTTTACACTGTTGGTGGGACTGTAAACTAGTTCAACCATTGTGGAAGACAGTGTGGCGATTCCTCAAGGATCTAGAACTAGAAATACCATTTGACTCAGCCATCCCATTGCTAGGCATACACCCAAAGGATTATAAATCATGCTGCTATAGAGACACATGCACACGTATGTTTATTGCGGCACTATTCACAGTAGCAAAGACTTGAAACCAACCCAAATGTCCATCAATGATAGACTGGATTAAGAAAATGTGGCACATATACACCATGGAATACTATGCAGCCATAAAAAATGATGAGTTCATGTCCTTTGTAGGGACATGGATGAAGCTAGAAACCATCATTCTCAGCAAACTATTGCAAGGACAGAAAACCAAACACCCTATGTTCTCACTCACAGGTGGGAATTGAACAATGAGAACACTTGGACACAGGGTGGGGAACATCACATACTGGGGCCTGTCGTGGGATGGGGGGAGGGGGGAGGGATAGCATTAGGAGATATACCTAATGTAAATGACGAGTTGATGGGTGCAGCACACCAACATGGCACATGTATACATATGTAACAAACCTGCACATAGTGCACATGTACCCTAGAACTTAAAGTAAAATAATTTAAAAAACAACAACAACAACAACAACAACAAACTTCAATATAGTGCATACACTGTTTGAATCAGTAGGGAACAATATTTGCCTGGTCATAATAATGATTGTGGCTTACTGATACTCAGCTGTTGGGCTTAACCAATAAGCAACACAAAGAAGACTAAGTTATGTTTTCAGAACAAAATGTAACCATTATAAATCTTTAAAATACATAAGTAAATTTAGACAAACAGGATTAGGGGAGGAAAGGAGAGGAGACCCGCTGGAGGAGAAAAAAGTGGGGGTTCTGATAGGAAACCAAGAAATATTATCTATAGGAGATGGAAGAAGAGATAAAGGTATTGTCTTTAAAGTGATAAAAATGATCAACAGAGGCCAGGTACGGTGGCTCATACCTGGAATCCCAGCAGTTTGGGAGGCTGAGGTGAGAGGATCACTTGAGATCAGGAATTCAAGACCAGTTTGGCCAACATGGTGAAACCCCATCTTTACTGAAAATAGAAAAATTTGTTGGGCGTGGTGGTGGGTGCCTGTAGTCCCAGCTACTCAGGAGGCTGAGGCAGGAGAATTGCTTGAACTCAGGTAGCAAAGGCTGCAGTGAGCCAAGATTGTGCCACTGCACTCCAGCCTGGGCAAAAGAGTGTGACTCTGTCTCAAAAAAAAAAAAAAACAAAACAAAAAACAAACAAAATAACCCCAAAAATCAGGTCAACTGAGAAATTGAGACTTGAGGGCTTACTCGGGTAAGAAAATGACTGAGCTAAATCATCTATTACAGTAGGAAGTAAATAGTAATGTATAAAATTTATAAATCAAGAAATAGAAGCAGGGTCAGGTGTGGTGGCTCATGCCTGTAACCCCAGTACTTTGGGAGGCCTAGGCGGGCGGATCACCTGAAGTCAGCAGTTCGAGACCAGCCTGGTCAACATGATGAAACCCCGTCTTTACTAAAAATACAAAAATTAGCCAGGTGTGGTGGTGCAGGCTTGTAATCCCAGCTACTCAGGAGGCTGAGGCAGGAGAGTTGCTTGAACCCAGGAGGCAGAGGTTGCAGTGAGTCAAGAATTTGCTGCTGCACTCTAGCCTGGGCGACAGAGTGAGACTCATCTGAAAAGAAAAAAAAAACAAAGAAACAGAGGCAAAAATATTGTTTACAGTTGTGGATCAGGAAAATAAAACTTCGAGGGTAGAATAGCTGTATTGATAAAAATTTCAAACTACATTATTTTCTTTATATTTTGCAGTAATCTTAGATTGAAAGAAAAGTTGCAAAAAACAGTACAAAGATTTCCTATATGCCTTTCATCTAGATTTCCTTTATGTTACCATTTTACATAACCATACCTCAATATTGGAAACCAGGACATTAACATCGATACACTACTATTAACAAAACTTTAATACCCTCTCTGAATTTCGCCAGTTTTTTTTTTTTCCCTGTCATGCTTTTTCTGTTCTAGGATTCAACCCAGGAACACATAATTCATTTAGCAGTCACATAGCTTTATGTCAGCTCCAATCTGGGACAGTTACTCAGTCTTTTCTGGTCTTCCATGATTTTGACAGTTTTGAAGAGTAAGTTATTTTGTAGACTGTGTCACAATTTGGGTTTTTCTGATGTTTTCTCATTATTAGTTTTTGGCAAGAAGGCCACAAATGATGCCGTGGCCTTCTCAGTGCCTCATATTAGGGTCGGGAGGTGTATGATGTCAAAATGGCTTATTATTGCTCAAGTTAACCTTGACAATTGGTTAAGATGGTGTCTACAGTGTTTCTCCACTATAAAGTTACTATTTTTCCTTGGCAATTAATATCTTTGGAGAGATGCATAGAGAATATGCTCATGTCCTATTTTCTTCTCACCTTTGGCCACTTTAGCATCCATCAGTGAGTCTTGTTTGCCTAATCATGCTTTTCAATTTGTTGTTCCTCTCACATTAATTGGAATTCTTCTGTAAGGAAGAGTAGTCTACCCTATATATAGTATTTTTAATTTTTAATTTTTTTCAGGAACAGAGTCTTGCTCTGTTCCCCAGGCTAGAGTGCAGTGGCACTTTCTTACCTCACTGAAGCATTGAATTCCTGGGCTCAAGGGATCCTCTTGCCTTAGCCTCTCAAAGTCCTGGGATTTCATGTATTTATTTATTCAATTATTTGTTTATATCAGTATGGACTCATGCATATTTATTTTATTCTATGGGTCACAACTTAATACTGTCATTTATTTTCTTGCTCAATTTGCTCCAGCCTTCTCTATCAGGAGCTCCTTCAGGTTGGTGCCTGTGTCCTTTTGATGTTCCTTTATTAGTTTTTGAGTACTTCCTTGCTTTCTGTAACCACAAGAGGTTCCAGGCTCATCTTTAATTTTTCCTGCCCCAGCCCTGGATTGAACTATTTTTTCCAAAGAGACCTGGTTCCTTTTATTGGAGAATAATAGATGTATGTATATATGTATATATGTATGTATGTATGTATGTATCTTTATATATATTACAAACCACAAGTTCATCGTTATTCCTGCAAATCTAATCCAACACCATAGAGCTCCTTCCAGGCTTTCCCCTTTTTCTTATTGGTAACTTCCTTCTGGAACCTTGAGAAATGTGGCTTTCAATATCTGTAGTATATTTACTTATTTATTCTATACTGGCATATACCTATAGTCATTTCAGAATTACTTATTAACTAGAGTACAGTATTTATATAGTTTGTTTTTGGCCTTATATTATCCAATCAAAATACTGTTTTGCAAAGTTATTTAAGTTATTTCTTTTCTTCCTTACTTCTTTCAGTGAAGTTATTTGCAATTTAATTAATTTTTTTACTATTTTATGCTACTTTGGATTCCCCCCAATCCTGGTTGATTTTTTTTTTTTTGAGACAGGGCCTTGCTCTGTTGCCCAGGCTGGAGTGGAGCGGTGTGGCATGATCATAGCCCATTGCCACTATAGCCTTGACTTCCCAGGCTTAAGCCATCTTCCTGACTCATCCCCTCAAGGAGCTGGGACTACTACAGGTTTTCACATCACGCCCAGCGAATTTTTTTTTTTTTTTTTTTTTTTTTTTTAGAGAAGGGGTTTTGCCATGCTGCCCAGGCTGGTCTCAAACTCCTGGGCTTAAGCGATGCACCCACCTTGGCCTCCCAAAGTGCTGTGATATGGCTGTCTTCTTATATGAACCCCAGTCATATTGGATTCAGGGCCTACCCTACTCTAGTATGACCTTATTTTAACTGATTACATTGGCAATCACTCCATTTCCAAATAAGGTCACATTCTGAGGTACTGGGAGTTAGGACTTCAACATATCATTTTGGGAGGGATGCAGTTCAACCCGTAACAGTAAGCTTTGTCTTTAGTTTCTGGCTTATCCTCCCTGTATTTCTTCTGAACAAACAAATACAGTAAGTTCTCACTTAAGGTCATTGATAGGCTCTTGGAAACTTCAACTTTAAGTGCAATGAAGTATAACAAAACCAGTTTTACTATAGGCTAATTGATATAAATAAGCAAAATTCTACACAAAATTTCAAATCACAAAAACATCACCAAACTTCTAAATGAAGATCCCAAACACAAGCTGGGTGTGGGGGCTCACACCTGTAATCCCAGCACTTTGGGAGGCCAAGGTGGGGTGGATCACCTGAGGTCGAGAGTTCAAGACCAGCCTGACCAACATGGAGAAATCCTGTCTCTACTAAATATACAAAAGCGGGGCGTGGTGGCGCATGCCTGTAATCCCAGCTACTTGGGAAGCTGAGGCAGAAGAATCGCTTTAACCTGAGAGGCGGAGGTTGCGGTGAGCCAAGATTGTGACATTGTACCCCAGCCTGGGCAACAAAAGTGAAACTCTGTCTCAAAACAACAACAACAACAACAACAACAAAAACCCAAACACTTCTTTTTTTTTTTTTTTTGAGACAGAGTCACACTCTGTCCACCCAGGTTGGAGTGCAGTGGCGCGATCTCGGCTCACTGCAGGCTCCGCCCCCGGGGGTTCACGCCATTCTCCTGCCTCAGCCTCCCGAGTAGTAGCTGGGACTACAGGCGCCCGCCACCTCGCTCGGCTAATTTTTTGTATTTTTAGTAGAGACGGGGTTTCACCATGTTGGCCAGGCTGGTCTCGAACTCCTGACCTCAGGTGATCGGCCCGCCTCAGCCTCCCAAAATGCTGGGATTACAGGCATGAGCCACCATGCCCGGCCTCTCAAACACTTCTAATATTAAACATTGAAATAAATGTGAGTTACACTTATATTTAAGAAAGATGAAAACAAGATAATTTTTGGGTGCAGTGGCTTATATCTGTAATCCCAGCACTTTGAGAGCGTGAGGCAGGTGGATCGTTTGAGCCCAGGAGTTCGAGACCAGCCTGGGTGACACAAGGAGACCCCATCTCTACAAAAAAGAAAAAGAAAAATATTAGCCAGGCGTGGTGGCACATGCCTGTGGTCCCAGCTACTTGGGAAGCTGAGGTAGGAGGATTGCTTGGGTCCAGGAGGTCAAGGCTGCAGTGAGCTATGATTGCATCACTGCACTGTAGCCTGAGAAAGACACTGTCTTAAAAAAAAATACAATTATCCAACTTTTGGTGAATCAGTAAGTAATGGCAGTCATAGGGATGGTGGGTTAAATCAAAGAATAAATGTTTGCAAAGGGAAATTGTAAGGAGCACCTCCTCCCACCACACAATGCAAAAACAATCATAAATATGGTGGGCTCCCTGAGTCCTTTCACACCACATTGTTTGTCAAGCATGTGTATAATTACCATCTACTTCATGAATTTTTATTTTACAATAACTTGTGTCCATTCATTCACTCATTTTCCAACTTGCTCTTGCCAGCTCAGGATCGGAGGTGGCCCAAGTCTATCCCAACAGCTCAGGGAGCAAGGTGGGAACCAATCCTGGACAGGACACCATCCCAACACAGAGCGCACACGCACGCTCACTCATCCTGGCCAACTGAGACATGCCTATTCACCTAAAGAGTACACCTTTGGGATGTGGGAGGAAAGCAGAGTATCCAAAGAAAACCCACACTTACCTGGGAGGGTATGCGAACTCTGGCACGGTGGCCCCAGCTGGGAATCGACTTATTTTCATCATGAATCTTATAATGAAACAATGTTGAAGAAAAGATGTTATTGGAGGAACTGCTGTACATGTATTTTTTCTTATATTCCTTCTTTATTACATGTAGGATAGCATACTATCAATGCTCTTTTGCATGTTATTTTTTCACTTCACAGTATATCCTAGAATCTACTGATACCAGGTTTACAGACTCCTTTTTTTATTTTTTTTTTGAGATGGAGTTTCGCTGTTTGTTGCCTAGGCTGGAGTGCAATGGCGTGATCTGGGCTCACTGCAATTTCTGCCTCCCAGGTTCAAGCAATTCTCCTGCCTCAGCCTCCCAAGTAGCTGGGATTACAGGCGTGCACCACCACGCCCAGCTAATTTTTATTATTTTTAGTAGAGACAGGATTTCTTCATGTTGGTCAGACTGGTCTCGAACTCCTGACCTCAGGCGATCCACTTGCCTTGGCCTCCCAGAGTGCTGGGATTATAGGCGTGAGCCATTGCTACCGGCCTCCTCATTGTTTTATAGAGCCACTTAATACTTTACTTTATGGATGAGCCTTAGTTTATTCAATCAGTCTCCTATGATTGAGCATTTAAATTTGTAATGACCAGAAATGATGCAATGAATAACTTTGTGCATATATATTTTTTCACATTGTTAGAACTATATCTTCAAGATGATTCCTAGAAGTGCTATTGCTGAATTAAATTGCATATGTAGTTTTGTTAGGTATTGCCAAATTCTCTTTGCAGTTTGCATTTCTACCAGCAATGTATGAGAATGCCTGTTTCCTCACAACTCACAGAATGTATCACCATACTTTTTTTTTTGCCAATATGACAGGTGAGTATCTCACTGTCTAATTTGCATTTCTCTAATTATGAGTGAATCTGAACAGTTTTTCATATATTTGAAAAAGATCTTGCCCATTTTCTGTTGGGTTTTGGTCATTTGTCCCTTCATTATTTTTTAAACATCTTTATCAACTTCATAATATACTTCCACCCCTTTCAAGCGTACGGGTTTTAGTGTATTCACAGAATTCTGCATCCAAATACAATCTGAGTTTAGAACATCTTCGTTACCCAAAAAGAAACCCTAAACTCACTCCCTGTTACCCCTCCTCCCTCAGCTTTATGCATTTACTAACCTACTTTCTGTCTCTATGGATTTGCCTATTTTAGACATGTCATATAAATGAGTCACATAACATATGCTCTTTTGTGACTGACTTCTTTCACTTAGCGTAACATTTTCAAGGTTCATCCACGCTGCAGAATGTACCAGTATTTCATTCTTCTTATTGCTGAATATTCCATTGTATGAATATACCACATTTTGTTTATCCATTCATTAGGCAACAGACATGCGGGCTATTTCCACTTTTTGCCTATTGCTAAAAGCACCATTTAGAAAAATGTCAAGTTTCGCTTTCAGATTTGAGATGCCACCTTTAAAATCTACTAAATTTTTGATATGTACTCTGGTGTATTTTGGGGCTTTATATCCTGTTTTACTGGTCTATTTGTCTATTTATGTGGTACTACCACACTTTTAATCATAGAGGATTTATAGTACAATACATTTCAATGTCCTATAGAGCTACTCAGCTCTCATAGCTTTTCTTCGGTGCTTTCCCACCTATTCTTGGATGTGTTTTTCCATGTAAACTTTGATATCAACTCATCTAAAAAAACTTATTAGTAGGCCGGGCGCCGTGGCTCATGCCTGTAATTCCAGCACTTTAGGAGGCCGAGGCGGGTGGATCACCTGAGGTCAGGAGTTCGAGACCAGCCTGACTATTAAGAAGAAACCCCGTCTCTACTAAAAATACAAAATTAGCTGGACATGGTGGCAGAGGCCTGTAATTCCAGCTACTTGGGAGGCTGAGGCAGGAGAATTGCTTGAATCCTGGAGGTGGAGGTTGTGGTGAGCCGAAATCACGCCATTGCACTCCAGCCTGGGCAACAAGCGTGAATCTCCGTCTGGAAAAAAAAAAAAAAAAAAAAAAAAAAAAAAAAAAAAAAGCTTGTTAGTATCACATTAGCTTTTAAATTAAGATAAGGAAAATGACATCTTTATAATGTTGAGTCATCCTATGCAAGAATAGGAGCTATCCTTCCATTTATTCAAGAAAGCTTTTGTGTGTTTCAGAAATGTCAAATTACATTTTAAACTGTACTTGTTTTTTAACTACTTTAGGGACTGTATTGAGTTTTTTGGAATGTGATACCATCAGAATGGATAAAATATATGTCACATTGTCTGCAGAGAAAAGACCAGGATCTTAAATGCTAATCTGACTCACACAGTAAGTAATGTTTTAAAAGCCTGTAGTCTGAATGACCACTGCCTCTGATGAAGTTTTTATCAATCTCAGCTGTAGAAGGATGCTTTGGGCAGTCAGGAAATGCCAGAGATACAGGATTATTTTCTTTTTTGGATCTTCCTCTCTGTGCTCTGCAGGAAGCCAGATCTTTCCCACCTAAACCATAAAACTTCTTAAGATAAACAGTTTCTCTCTTCTTGAAGAGAGGGAAAAGGAGGCTGATATAACCAGTGGTGTCAGTGATCTGAGATAAAAACTGTCAGAATAAAGTAAAGGAGAAAAACTAAGCATGTAAGTGTTTGTAGCCAGGTCAGAAAGCCCTTGTAATAGATCAGGCGTTGGTTATATTGCAGATAATTGACACATACACACCCACCCTTTCTACTCTCATACACAGAGGGGAGAGGATGACAGAAAAAAAACTTATCAAGACACAGAGAACAAAGAACTCAGAGGTATAGAACAAAGGCCCTCATTAAGCCACCCTAGCTGGAGAATCTTTGCCACGGCCTCCTCTGTAAGTCACGTCTGGTGTTCTGAGCCAAAAGCATCTCAATATATTAGATTTCTAATTAGTTGTAATATTTAACTATTTAGGAGATTTTATTTATTGCTGGTATTCAAGTTATTTTGAGAATACCGTTCACTGCGAGTCCTGGTTTAAGAATCTAAGAAGTCTATATGAAAAAATGCAAATCTGGCTAGGTCCTACTGCCCATTAGTCCCTGGATCAGGGATGGACGGTTTGCATTTCGTTTATCAACACCCATTGTGTCTGGAAGAGAGAAAGAAACACTAACTATATGACTGATACTCCAAATAGACAGTTTGCCTCCAGACCTCACCTGCAGGTCAGGCAGAGTGAGATTTAGGTGAGCTCATTAGTCCTAGACACAAGCTATGAAGTTGTAGGGCCAAGATACCACCCAAAGAGGCTGACTGCAACTTCTAGATCGGCTCCTAATTTGCAGTGCACCCAAAGGCAAACCCTTGCTGTGTCTTGTTTTCCCTTTCTGAGCTATCAAATGAGAATGATGAAGTGTGCCCTATCTCCTTTACTGGCATTGAATAAGAGGAGACAATAAATGTGAAAATGCATTAAAGTGAATTAAAAGTGCGATCTAAATGTAAGAGTGATTCAGTGAATTGTGTTCCAGCATTCTTCAATGTCCTAATGAGGAAGAAATGTTCCTAATGAGGAACAATTAGATAGCTTTCCAGCATATTTATCATGGATTTAAAAAGTATCCACTCACTTAGTGGCTGAGTCACTCTTCCAACCTCTGTTGTATGCATGTTAGATCATTTTAAAAGGGCTGGGAGGCCGGGCGTGGTGGCTCACACCTGTAATCCCAGCACTTTGGGGGGCCGAGGCGGGAGGATCATGAGGTCAGGAGATGGAGACCATCCTGGCTAACACAGTGAAACCCTGTCTCTACTAAAAACACAAAAAATTAGCCGGGCATGGTGGCAGGTGCCTGTAGTCCCAGCTACTCAGGAGGCTGAGGCAGGAGAATGGCATGAACCCGGGAAGCGGAGCTCGCAGTGAGCCAAGATTGCGCCACTGCACTCCAGCCTGGGCGAGAGCGAGACTCTGTCCCAAAATAAATAAATAAATAAATAAATAAATAAATAAATAAATAAATAAAACAAAAGGGCTGGGAAACCTCTGTTCTACCAGCTGAAAAGACTTCCAAGCCCCCATAACTTGGCAAACAGGCTTCGGATTGTGGCCGTCCCACATTGCTGGCAGAGTGGGCTGAGGTTGAGTCAAAGGAAAAAAGTTATTGGCACTCTGGAAAAGATTTTGTGGACTCAGAGATGTAGTGTCTGTTATATATAACTAGGGAACCAATATAATTAAGGAAAACCTCACATTTTTGTCTGTCCCTCTTGATGTAAGCATATTTGCCCTCTGAATTCATGCCCATGGGTAGTAAGCATCTTTTGGGTAATTTAATACTTGGAAGTATTTCATGACATAGAGATTTGTGAAATACTTCTCCTACACAAAACCCCAAGTGAAATCTTATGCAGATAAAATAATTCAATGACCTATGCTGTGACAAAGACCATCACTGCCCACACTGGAAACTGTTCCAGCTGTTTCTCTTGGTCTGAATTGGCTTCAGGTAGACAGAGCCTAAGATAAAATGGCAATGCTGAGAATATTGGTCTTTCAGGCTCTTGATCTTCTATTTCAGGGCTCTTTTCCAACCTAGGAGAAGTGTCCCTTTTTCTAACCTCTATCAATCCTGGAACAGCTCTTATCTTTTACTATGAATACATTTGGGGTCAGAAATCTTTTCCTTTGTGTTGTAATTTCAGTCTTCTAAGTATGGAAATGAAAGGCCTTATTTGCTATTAAGTTCAGTCATCAGAAAACAGGTGAGAGCATATTTGGTTTCTCTTGAACCTCACCATTCCTGCTATGGGGGCCAGCCCCGAGAGGGAGCTACGTTTAGTCATTTAAGAGACTTTAGGGTCACTTGTTATTTGGGATAGAAAGGTAGAGAGGAGGGGCTCTCTCTCGCTCCCCTCCAGGGTCTGCTACCTTACCTGGTCGTCCATCCTGGGGCTGCCAGGAGCTTATTCCAGGTAGTGCTTGAGACCACACAGACTCCCTGCCAAGGAACCTGCATCCCATGTCCTTCGTGCTCTTTTAGGCGTCCCTAGCTCATCTCTAATCTCTATTTCTTTTTCTCCAGCACTCTTCCAAGGGCCTCAGAGTCCATTTTCATTGTGCTTCTCCCTCCCCAGGGCCACCTGGCCAGTTGCAGCCTCCCCACTCCCCACCCACGCAAACTTCTTTATGGCGGTCATAGGGCTGTTACCCAGCAGTGACGTTATCCACAGGTGCAGGGGCCAGAGCTCCTACAGCTTTTGGCCTTCTAGCACCTAGACGCCAAAGTGAAGAGCAACAAGAGGACCACTTTATAGTGCAAGGCACAGGCAGGGTCTCAGGTGAGAGCAACTGCAGAGAAATTGGGCCTCGCACCAGGGAGATTGGGAATGGGAGCCAGGTCATCAGCAGCCATCAGGCTATGGTTGTGCACACACATGTGCGGGTGTGGGGAGGAATTCCACCCTGAGTGGAACAGGACACCAGAGAAAACTGTTGGCAATAATTCTAGAACTTGGAATACCTAACAGAGACAAAAGAAAAACCTAAAAGCCTCCTTTTGGCTAGGAAAACACTACCAATTACACTGTTTATAGTCTTCCCCCACTCACCACTTATTCTATTAAGTATAAAATATATTAGAATTTGCTTATCAGAAGTGATGTTTGATAATTCAATCAGCTTTCTTAGTGTGCTGCACGTGTAACAGGGTCTCCTCACGGGCTACTGATTATTTGCTGATAACCTCCATATCTCTACCCACCTTTAGATCCACAGCCGCCTGCCGGCAGCCTCCCTTCTGATGTCTCCATGATCCTATTTCCGTTTCAGTGGCGGCACCAGCTTTCATCCAGCTGGCCCAGTTAGAGACTTAGGTGTGGGCCTACACTCCTGTCTGTGCCCTTCCTGCCCTTCCCTCTCCAAAAACAAGGGCAGTTCAGCCTCCCTACATCTCTGCATCCCAGCTTCTCCAGGCTGACTTCAGACCGCCACCATCTCTCCCCTGTGTCACTGGAATGCTCGCCAAACTAAGGCCGGCTCCCGGTCTTACTGCCCCTGGAGAGAAAGAATGAGCTTTCTGAAGTGCACATCCCATCATCCCACCCTTTGGCATGTAACTTTTGAATAGTTCCCCTATTGTTGACAGGATACAGATCAGATTACTTTCACTGTCAAATCCCTACTATTTCTCTCAATACAATCTGCTGTTTCACCCATTGAGAGTAACTCATAATGGCCTCTGATGATCCCTTGTTTAATTTCACTCTTTCTTTTTCATGGGCCACACGCACTGCTGAAAATTAGAGGGCTGGTTCCAGTTCAAAGCCTTCAGCTGGGCTGAGCTCCATCTGCAGTCTATTAGCCCTTCTGATCGCATTTTGTTATTCTCCTTGCACCAGAAAAAACAAACAGATGCCTCTCCCACAGTCTATGCCTTCCCCTCAGTGTCAGAGGTTGGCTCCCAGGTGACCCCCTGTGACCTCCTCAGCAGTGGCCTTACCCTCCTAGTTGTCCTGTCTCAACACTGCTCGTGATTTCTAGCTGTTTTTCTCTTTTTTTTTTTTTCCTTTTTTAAATTTTTGAGACAAGGTCCCACTACGTTTCCCAGACTGACCTCGAACCTCTGGGCTCAAGCGATCCTCACAGCTTAGCCTCCCAAGTAGCTGAGACTACTTGGCGTGCTCCACCATGCCCAGCTACCGGATGTTTCTTTCTGATAAACCACCCAGGTGCCAATGTGCCTCCTCTGTTCTGGTGATGATCTTTCAAGGTGCTAGATCCAGCACTTCATACTGGAAGCTGCTTCCCAGCTCTTCCCACATGTTTGCTCCTGCCCACAGCTTCCATGACCTTCAGTAGGGAACACCTTCAGTATTGTGGGGACCACCTCAGTACTGGGTGGGCGACTTTCAGCAAAATTCCTGCCTCTATAGGAGCTACAGTGGCACACTCAGGTATGACTTGGGGGCTTAGCCCACCTCTACATAATCCGCATCAGCCTCTCACCCGAGCCCCCCCTAGTAAACATATAACCTAAGTGAAACTCATGTGCTTACAGTGGAAACACAGCTCCTCCTCAAACCAGACCACCATCCTTAAGCTCCTGAGTGGAAATTATATTTTTTTATTTTTGGTGTAGGCATTTTAATCTGGCGGTGCACATGTATTTTCTAAACATTCTACAATTTGTACATGTTCTATTTAAAATAAAACAGAATAAGTGATTTTAAAATTTAAAGAGGTGAAAGAAACTGTAAGAAAACAGATGCTTTAAATGAGGTGGTTTCAGCTGGGTGCGGTGGCTCACGGCTATAATCCCAACACTTTGGGAGATTGAGTTGGGTGGATAACTTGAGGTCAGGAGTTTGAGACCTGCTTGGCAAACGTGGTGAAACCCTGTCTCTACTAAAAATACAAAAATTAGCGGGCGTGGTGGCGGGTACCTGTAATCCCAGCTACTCGGGAGGCTGAGACACAAGAATCACTTGAACCTGGTGGGGCGGGGGGCAGAGGTTGCAGTGAGCTAAGATCGCGCCACTGCACTCCAGCCTGGACGACAGAGTGAGACTCCATCTCAAAAAAAAAAAAAAAAAAAGGTGGTTTCAAAAGAAGGCATAGATTTTTTCAAAAAAGTTAACAATTAAATACATGCCAGAGTACTGCACAAACTTTTGGAGAACAGAAGACATGCAAAAGTACTTCCAGTCTTCAACATAAAATAAGTCCGAGCATTGCTTTGTATGTTTGTTGGCTATTTGTATATTTTCTTGTTTTTTTGCTTCAGCTTTTAAGTTCCATGGTACATGTGCAGGAAGTGCAGGTTTGTTACATAGGTAAACGTGTGCCATGGTGGTTTGTTACACAGATCAACCCATCATCTAGGTATTAAGCCCAGCATCCATTAGCTGTTCTTGATGCTCTCCCTACCCCCCGCCCCCACTGACAGGACCCATATGTGTTTTCCCCTCCATGTGTCTGTGGGTTCTCATCATTTAGCTTCCACTTATAGGTGAGAACATGTGGTGTTTGGTTTTCTGTTCCTCATTAGTTTGCTGAGGATAATGGCTTCCAGCTCCATCCATTGCAAAGGACATGATCTAGTTCCTTTTTATGGCTGCATAGTATTCCATGGTGTATACATACCACATTTTTCTTATCCAGTCTATCACTGATGGGCATTTGGGTTGATTCCATGTCTTTGTTATTGTGAATAGTGTTGCAATGAACATACGCTGGAATGTATCTTTATAACAGAATGATTTATATTCCTTTTGGTATATATCCAATAATGGGATTGCTGGGTCAAATGGTATTTCTGCTTCTAGGTCTCTGAGGAATCACCACACTGTCTTCCACAATGGATGAAATAATTTCTAAGTGTAAATTTTAAATTTCAAAACGTGACTGTCTAGATTAGAATGTTGTTTGAATTTCAACATTTGGCTTTCCTGGAAGAACTTCTTCCTAGTCTCTGGGGTTCCCTGGAGGAAGAAAAATAATTTAGCAACATCGCTAGGTGAGCCACTTGTAGCTGCCTCTCAATTCCTTTATGTTGTGTGGAAGTTTGTCGTTAGGCCCATGGATTCCAGCACTGTCCAGTATGGCAGCACCAGCCATGTGTGGCTATTTGAAATGTGGCCAGTCTGAATTAAGATGTGCTGTAAGCATAAGGTACATACTGGGTTTCAAAGACTTAGTACCAAAAATGGAAAATATCTCATTAATAATTTTATGTTTATCACATGTTGAAATGATTTTTTTTTAGACGGAGTTTTGCTCTTGTTGCCCAGGCTGGAGTGCAATGGGGCAATCTCGGCTCACTGCAACCTCGGCCTCCTGGGTTCAAGTGATTCTCCTGCCTCAGCCTCCTGAGTAGCTGGGATTACAGGTGCCCGCCACCACACTTGGCTAATTTTTTATATTTTTAGTAGAGATGGGATTTCATCATTTGGCCAGGCTGGTCTTGAACTCCTAACCTCAGGTGATCCACCCGCCTTAGCCTCCCACACTGTTGGGATTACAGGTGTGAGCCACTGTGCCTGTTCTGAAATGATGTTTTGGATATACTGAGTTAAATAAAATAGATTACTACAATTAATTTTCTTTTTATATTTTAAAACATGGCTACTAGAAAATTTAAAACTACACATGTTGCCTGCTTTATATGACTATTAAATAGTGCTGGACTAATCCTAAGATATTGTAGGCTCAACTGTGTCTTAATGTGCCTTCCAAAGGCTTGCAGTACGTGCTGAGTGTAACTCCCTTCCCCTACCTTGTCAATGCCTATATTAGTAATTAGAGGTCTTGACAATAAATCCCAAATTCCATTTCACAATGTCCCCAGATGGAGATAGGGCAAGTACATAAATTGAGCCCCTGGGGGAACCACAGATATTCCAGAGTCCTAGTAGTGGCTGAGTTAATAGAGCTTTCTTTTTTCTCTTCGTACACTTCTTTTGAAGGGGCAGACAGGGATAAAACATTGCACAATTCCTCATAAAACCACACACCATCACCATCTATTCACAAGCATGACCCCATTCCAACAAACAGCAATACTAAAAAAGCGAACCTATTTGGCTGCCATCCATCAATCACTGAGAACTTAGTTATCCCTTCGGAGGGCTAAACATAGAATATTTCACTGTCATCAAGTCTGGAAGAATATTTATGCTACACTTGGACTTATGCCCAGTGACTGGGTATTAACAAAGTCATTAATCTGGATAGTGTTTTCAAGTCCAACATCAGTGAAAATCCTGTTTGTTTAAACTGAGATTATCTTAGTTCACTGTGCTCATTACCTCCTATTAGTTTGAGAAAATATGCTTGAATTTCTCATTTATAAAATATTCTTGTTACAGAAAAACAACTTTTAAGAAGGCATGATGTTTGCCTTTATAATAATTGATTATTTTTCAGAAGAGAACTTAAGTCAGGACCTAAATAATGAATAGAGTATAACTCATGAGCCTATAGTTATGGCTTTAATCTTTGGTTAATTTCACCAGGAGAAAAAACTTTGTTCCAGGGTCATGTGATTGCACAGGAACTTTCATTTACTTGGGCGTTTGGAGGCCCTCCCTTGCACATCTCTCCAGAGATTTAAAGCAGTTCTAAACACATCTGCAGAGAATGTTCAGCAGCTCTGGGCTGTGAACTGCTTTCTTCCCATCATGGCTGTAGTCTGATTTGGACCCACCTTATAATCCTGACCATGATTTCACTGGAAAGACACCAACCTTCCCAATAAAAGGAGCAATTATGGCTTTTCATTTCTGCTTGTATAAGAAGCAAGATTGTAAGGATGAGTTGAATATAATTTCAGGCCAATGCAACCTTCTGGTATTGAGAAAAATATGAATTGATGGCTCATCTGAGAGTAGTGACTTGTGAATTTATAGCTGCTGAAGTGGAATCTTACCGGCTGTTGTTAGCATTAGTTTATTTAGCTGGCCTTTCATTGACAAAGAGTGGAAAAATGAACGCACATTATAAAATTAGATATACATAAGTGTTTTTCAAGGTGAACCTCCATAATCTTTAACTTTTCTATCCTTAGCCTTTATGTTGTGTGGAAGGCAGGATTTTCTAGTAATGATCTAGGAAATATCTCATCCTCCTAATCTATGCTGTTTATGAACGTGATAAGATCTTGGTCCCATGACTGTGTTCTGCGCCTATGGTACAATTTTCTTTTTTTCTCTGAGATGGTTTTTTCGTGTTTTTTTTTTTTTTTGAGTTGGAGTTTCGCTCTGGTCACCCAGGCTGGAGTGCAGTGGCACGATCTTGGCTCATTGCAACTTCCGCCTCCCGGGTTCAAGTGATTCTCCTGCCTCAGCCTCCCAAGTAGCTGGGATTACAGGCACGCGCCACCACGCCTGGCTAATTTTTGTATTTTTAGTAGAGACAGGGTTTCGCCATGTTGGTCAGGCTGGTCTCAAACTCCTGACCTCAGGTGATCTGCCTGCTTTGGCCTCCCAAAGTATTGGGATTACAGGCGTGAGTCACTGCACCTGGCCAGTACAGTCAATTTCCAAAAAGGAAGACTATTCAGGTGGGCCTGATCTATTCAAATAAATCTTGGAACACAGAGAACTTTCTCCGTCTGGTGGCAGAAAAGGGCAGCTGAATGGGAAATCAGAGATTAGAAGCATGAGAGGCATTGTTGGCTTGAAGAGGGAGAGAGGGCCAATCCATGAGGAATGTGGGTGACATCTGAAAGTTAAGAGTGCCCCCCAGCTGCCATCCAGCAAGAAAACAAGGACTTCAGACCTGCAGCTACTGGGAACTGGATTCTGCCAATAATCGGAAAGATCTTGGATGCAGGCAAGAGCCCAGACACCATGATTTTGGCTTTGTGAGACCCTGAGCAGAGAACCCTAAGCTAAGACCATGTACACTTGTGACCTACAGAAATCTGAGATAATAAATGGGTATTGTTTTTAGCTGCTAAGTTTATGGCAATTTGTTGTGCAGCCCAAGAAAACGGATACATCTTGGTAATTTGTTGGATTCCATAGCTTTTCTTTGTTGTGGTTCATAAATCCACTGAGTTTACAAGCTGTGTGGCCTTAGGTGTATTACTTGTCCTTGAGCCTATAAAACCTGTCTCACTGAGTTTTTATGAAGATTAAATGAGATCCACATAAAGTGTTTACTGCAGAATCCAGCACTCAGCAGGATCTCAATCAAGCTCCCTCTCTGCTTGAATATTTACGTAGTCCCCAATGTCCACCTAACTACAGAGCTCCTGCACATTATTGCAGTTCCAGGCACACCATGCTCCTAAATGGATTCTATACACAAACAGTACTTTTAAGCTCAAATTCGTCAAATATTTGCATTGGGAAATGAACATATGAAAAAGATGGATACATAATTGTCTTTGTCCTCAAACTGCCCAGAAGTCTGTAGGACAGAATTATGTAAACAAAGAATTGTAATGCAGTGTCATCCGCACTAGTATATACCAACTGCTGAGGCCACAGCACCGTTCCACTGTGTCCAGAAAGTGGAGTGACTTACCAAGTAGACATGAGAAGTGAAAGCATTCAGGTGGCACCGGAGTCTGCAGTGATTAGGGGCTGGAAGGACTCTGATTTGGAGGGGAACCAAGGGCACCTGAGTGAGGTATGATGGAAGGTGGAATTGAGACCTTAGGCTGAGGATGGACTGCATTCCATGCGAACCTCCATGCTAACGGGTTTGTGCTTCATGCTTTTGGCTCTGGGGAGCTCTCAGGTTTTTTGGCGGTACAGTAACCTGATCAAATCTGTGTGCTAAAAAGGAAACACTGATTGTGATGGAGGGACTGCATAGGATGCATTGCAGGGGAAGAGATGAGCGGAACAGAAAGAGGAGGCTAGTGTGATAGGCTTTAACTTTCAAGGAAAAAGACAAAAATCTACTAAGTCTCTTTCTTCATAATGAGGTACTGACATTCTAATACCTTAGTTTAATATCATTTATAAAATAAATGTCTGCCGTGATGGACAGCAAAGCAAGGACTTCTTGTACAGGTGGGGCATGCTGTGGGCTAGCTGCTGCCCGAGTTGGCTAGAACAGGAAACGTGGAAGCAGAGGGCCATGGCCTAGGTCCCCAAAATTAAAAGCTATGGCCTGGATTATGGCAGAAACAGGGGGCTGGAACAGCACCTTCCCAGGCTGGCTTGAGTGGGTGGGAGTGGATTCCCTTCTAACTGGGAAACTAATTCTCATGCCTGAGAGGAAGGAGGAAAAGACACTTCGTTCTGAATTAACACTCCGAACTCTTTTTCTCATAGAAATGATGTTGTAAATAGTGGTTGGCTACAAGAATGGCTTCTTTGATGAGCAGCAAGGTGCCTGAAATCCAGTCCATTTTTAGCTATTATTTTTATCTTCTGGCTATTTCACTAACAACCAGACTTATGCAATACGACCTTTTTGTAAAGTGGAAATTAATTATCTGTGGTTGAGAGTTTATAATCATGTTAGTTCATCAGGTAATAAGTTTAGGATTGCACTGAAAATTTAACGTGCTGCTGTGAGGAACTAGACCAGAAGACATCACCCAGCATACTGACTTGGAAACACTCCTATTTTATAATGAACCACAGTTTTGTTTTGTTTTTTAAAATCAGAATAGAACTTTATTTGTGGATTCAAGATTTTAAAAAATGATTTTACACTTTAAAGTGTGCAATAAATTTTGATACATCAATCTTGATATATATATTTACTGTGTCAGAAGATTTTAAAAAGTCAAATAGTTTATAATCAAAATGAATTGTGTTTAACTTGATACTTATATGGAATAACTTCAGCATTATAAATAAAAACCCAAAACAAACACCATTTAAATTTGAGTTCTGATGAAATGCATTTGTAATACAATTTTGTTAAAAATTTTTAATAAGAGATTGTAGGCTAAAGTTATATGCTTGTAATTTCTAGAAACATATGATGTCCTTGCTTTATGAAAATGATCCTACTGACTGTCCCGCAGTAGAATGCATTTGAGACACTTTTCTATCTGGGATAAGGGGCTGTGTTGCTTGATAGATGTTTCTTCCAGACCACGAGCCCCTAGTGGGAGATGAAGGGGATGAAGGTCTGCAGCTGGGGACTGGTGGCAGTTGAGTCTGGTCTCATTTAACATCATGTTCTATGAGTCACAGAATCATCCAAATGAGTATCAGCCAGATACAAAGAAAGCTTTGTATTTTCTCATGCTTAGATAGTTCACAAACATAATATTTAAATAATTGTGGCAAAATCCTGTTTTAACAAAAATAATTTTCACATTCCATTCTACATAATGAGGACATTTCCAAAATGCATTGGCCCACATTACTATTACTTTGCTGATATGAAGAAAATGAATTATGATGGTAAGATCCATATACAGATATACACATGTGTATCCATATTATTTATATATTTAATATCAGAAATGTTCCTACTTCCTTGTCTCTTAGAAGTCACTTTACTTTTAAATGATTCTTTGGGAGTGTGGTCAATTTGCACACCTGACTTGACACAATCTGACGGTCAGCACAAAGCACCTTCTGATTGTATAACACTTTACAAAGTACTTTTTGCTTTCTCATCTGTCTGGAACTTCTGACAATCTGGCATGACAATGAGGGTGGGCATGATTACTCTCATTTGACAGATGAAGAAATATGAATCCAGAGAGGTTAAGTAAGCTGCTTCAGTTCACATGGCTGGTGAGATATCAAACCAGGACTATACCTGGTGCTCATCCTTGACTGCTGGTTGACAATGGTGAAGACAAAACGCAGGGTACATTAATCTGTGAATTGCTTCCCCTAAACCATGCTGATGCTGTGGTGTTTGGAAAGTAGAAAGTGGTTTTGCTACTGTCACATTTCAGATTTCTATCAGGTGCTAATGAGTACTCATCATGTTATACCCCAACAAACTTAAACCAAGAACCAGAGGTACTTTTTACAGTTCTCACAGGGTGTGTATATATATATATTTAAGAAGATTCGTAACATATATTTACAATTATTCCTAAATCACCAAGATACCATACTGAGAAATAGGTTTAATCTTTTTAAGAGCATTTTCTATATAATCATTCCAATATAAGGATGAAACAATATAAGTATGAAATATAAATACAGTCTTGGCACACTTTATCTTTGCAGGTGTGCTGGAACCTAGAACACTTTCCCTTTTGCCTTATTCTGCTTACGCCTACTTTTGATTGTTTTACAAATTCATAGACACATTTGCAAGTTCCTTGAGGATCAGGACTCAGCTTCTCTGAAGCTGACAACTCTTACCCCAGAGCATAGCACAGCGCTAGGCACGCAGCATTCAATAAACGTTTGATGAATACATGTACATGGTCTTTATGTACTTCAGTTTGGTTAAAGGAAGATATGAACTGTAGCATTTTGCCTACAGAATTCTGGATTTGTAATTAAAAACATTGTCTTCATAGTAAACAGTATTTTAAAAGGCATAAGAAATAGTAATAAATTTAATACAAATTATGCATTATAACAACTCTTTGGTTATTTTAAACAAATTATTTGGTTTTTTTACTAGAGTGATACTAAAAATATAAAAATGCGACTACAGAAATTAGCTTAATCTGTAAACATGATAAACCCTGTAAACATACATTTACTACATAATTGTACAAGTGTAAAGAATATCTAGTAAAGGCAAGTGCTATACACTTCATTTAGTTCTTCAAGGCATATTTAGAAATACTGCTTTGTGGATCTTTAATGTTTGAAGAAGGAATTCTTCTAACTACACTAAAATATGAAAAAGTGATGACTATACCAATGGTCAATAGGATATGCAGGCAAGAGAAAGGCTTTAATACTTTTTACCCATTGCAAATATGAATTTGCTTCACATGTCTTATGAACCATCTGTTTAGTAAAACTGCATATTAACAAAAGCCAAATACTTCGAAAGTGAAGAAGTAAACAGTTTTTCTGTGAGTTAGTTGGCTAGAAATATAGGTAACACACTTTCCAAAGTTTTTTCCCAAAAATCTAGGCAGTAAGGTGCATAAGGCAGGTCTACAAAATAATAAATAGCTGCGAGTAGCACTAAATATATTGTAGTTTACTCAATAGTAAAGTATTTCTTTTTCCAAATTTCAGTTTTCCATCTCAAAATGCATCAAACTTTTCACACATGACACGTATCACAAATATTTCACAGTTATCATCTCAGTAGTTTAAGAAAAAACTGCCTGGCAGATACTATACAAGAGGTAAATGTTAAGGACAAAATTCACTATTTAAGTCATACAGGACTTATATCCTATTGTGTGAACTCTAAAGCCAGGTGTGGTGGTGCCTGGCTTTAGGCAGGCACCTAACTCTAAAGACAGCATGAAACAACTGTGTAAATGCAACACATTATTTAAAAGTGATTAAAAATAAGTTGTCGTACTATTTCTTCAAATGCTTTTTATATGATTTTCTTCAAGATCTGGGAAGACTCAGTGGCCACATTTTAGTAGTTCCCCGGAAAATTTTAAGTCAAGATTTTGGTTATAAAACTATGGCAGTAAAAACACTACAGATTGTTATTTGTAATCTAATCAACTCCATCAAAGCCCTGGGTGTTTTCAATTGCCATCTGAAGTTTATCCCATAATTCTTCAAATGATTCATAAGGTGGCAAGTCCAGGCGATTAAAACTGAAAGAACAGAGAGGAAGTGGTTATGAAAGACACTGACAAAGCAAGTACCACCACAGCAAACAGAGCAATGCTGCTATTCTTGATGAGAATGTTCCAACACCACCAAAATATGTCTTTTCACCAGGGGTAGAAGTAAGACGTAGGACTGGGTTCTGGGCATGGATACTCTGCACAACTCCTTGTGGAGTGCTGCCCCCACCACATCTTCCAAATGTCTGAGTTCTCTGCCACTTCAGCCTCCAAGATGGAATGTTCTAGCCTGTCTTGGGACAGCCCATCACTCATCACTCAGTTTAGGTGGGTCTCTCTGATCTTCAGCTACCTGGACTTCAAGCTTGGGCCAACTTGGTAACAAAACACCTGTTCGTTGGGTGTCACCAACTCCTTCTTACCCATAATCCATACCTGCCACCGACATAACACAGAGGAGACTAGCCCTGCTGTGGCTAGACTAACAGAGGAATCTCACTCTCTGAGGCTTTGTTCTATCAAGGTCCAAACAACTGCTTACCAGGTATGAGCTCTTGGCAGCTTTTCAGGAGTACCCCACTGTTCAACTGTAAATGACTGTGGTCCATTTGAACCTATAAGGAAGAATTTATTTGGTTTCATTTACTCTCTACAAGGATCTCCAGGCATATCAAAACTTTTTCTAGTGTACACTAGTTCCTACACACACACAGGGAACTAATCTGGTTTATTTATTTATATTTTAGAGATGGGGTATCCCTCTGTCACCCAGACTGGAGTGCAGTGGTACGATTCAAGCTCACTGTAGCCTCAAGCTCCTGGGCTCAAGTGATCCTCTTGCTTTAGTCTCCTGAGTAGCCAGGACTACAGGTGTGCACCACCACGCCTGGCTAACTGTTAAAAAAATTCATTTTGTAGAGATGGGGGTCTCACTATGTTGCCCAGGCTGGTCTTGAACTCCTGGCCACAAGCCATTCACTCTGTCACCCAGGCTGAAGTAAAATGGCATGATCTCGGCTCAATGCAACCTCTGGCTCCTGGGTTCAAATGATTCTCATGCCTCAGCCCTCCCAAGAAGCTGAGATTCCAGGAGTGTGCCACCACACCCAGCTAATTTTTGTATTTTTACTAGACATGGGGTTTCACCATGTTGGCCAGGCTGGTCTCAAACCCCTGACCTCAGGTGATCTGCCTGCCTCAGTCTCCCAAAATGTTGAGATTACAGGCATGAGCTACCGCACCCAGCCGCCTTAACATACTTTTTATTGGCTATCTAATATTGTAATTTTAACATTTTGAAATAACTTCTTCCTATAAATACATAAGAATTTGACTTTGTATTCTAAGAATTTGACTTTGTATTCTAACACAAACAACTCTGGCTCTATGTGTGGGATATTTGCCCCAAATTTCAAACAGTGCATGAAATCAGTGGATGGCTATGGGGCTGGGTTACATAGAAGAGAGAAGAGAGGCCAGAGACGGAAAGGGGCATTTGTTTGCCCTGCCTTCATTTTTCGCTACTAACTTGTTAAAGTAGAGAAGATGGAGGAAGGGGAGTCAGGTGAAACCATGAAAAAGAAAGAGGCTATCAAGTCCAATTAGGCAAAGAATGACTGAATTGGTTACTGGCAAAGCTAACCACTTTGAGTGGTTACTCTAGGTAGAGAGGTAGCAGCTGCTTGATCAGTTCTGCAAACTCATATTAATGAGGCTTGGCAAGCTGACCAGATTTGCCATGGAGAAGAAAGGTTTAGCTATCCCATCATATGGTCAGCTTCTATTTGCACAAAAAATTCAGCTTAGCAATTTCCTAGGCAGCAGTCCCGACTTGTAGTCCCCAGGTCAATCCTAATCTTACTCATTGTTCTGAGTAGGCCTCCTACTTTAGGTACATCCTTTGTAAAAGATTTATTCTTGGATTCTTGGTTTCCTTAAAAGCAAGTAAATATCATTCCAATAAACAGAATATGAATCAATATGAGAAAAGTTGCTGTAATCTACATCAGAAATGGCACTTTTAAACAAAACACACTTCCAGTTTTATACATCAACTGGAAAATAATTTGATAGAATACATAGAATCTTACTTTACCGAAAACTGCATTAACTATTCTGAAAATCAAGAGATATGTAGTCTTCCCAGTCCTGCTGCCTCCCACAAGAAATGAAAAATAGTAGCCTAATGAGATTCTCCACCCCTATCTTGAAAAAAAAAAAAAAAAAAGATTTCATGATCAAATAAGTTTGGGAAACAATGCTTTTGTTTTCTTCTAACAGTAAAGGTTCTACAGAAGTCCTGAAGAAATCCATTTAACTTTGTTTAGTCCAGCATTTCCTTAAAGGTATTCAACCATGACTCTGTTTTTATTTTTTTAAAAATACACTTAGTAACATTCTGTGAAACTTCAAATGCTATCCTGAACTATCACATTAGAAGTAATGCTTTTTCTTTTTTTTGAGACAGGGTCTCAGTCTGTCACCCAGGCTGAACTACAGTGGTGCGATCTTGGCTCACTGCAACGTCCGCCTCCTGGGTTCAAGCAATTCTCCTGCCTCAGCCTCCCAAGTAGCTGGGACTACAGGTGTGCACCACCAAGCCCAGCTAATATTTGTATTTTTGGGTAGAGACGGGGTTTCACTGTGTTGGCTAGGCTCATCTTGAACTCCTGACCTCAAGTGATCTGCCTGCCTCGGCCTCCTGAAGTGCAGGATTACAGGTGTGAGCCACCCCTCCCGGCCAAGGTAATGCTTTTTCTGTAACGGATGCATACTGGGCATAGAATTTGAAGTTAAAGAACGGAAAGTGACTCAAGTCATTTGATGTTTCCAGTTTTCCCCTTTATTATCTGATTAGAAGGTGTAAATATATTTTAGCCTACTCCAGTGTCCCTAATGGTATCACTTTCAAAATCTTAATTCTTTTTAAAATTAAGCTAAGTGTTAGTAAATGATGGAAGCTTGCGGATTCGTCAGCCATGAAAAAGACAATACGCATTATTCCATTTTTTTAATGATCTATGGAAAATCCTTACCGTATAGTTCAGCAAATCCATTCATAGGCACCCGAGATGTGCCAGTGACAAACTGAAGTAATCTTATTCTTTTTTCTGAATCCATCATTAAAACAGCCTGAATAAGATAAAAACATCATTTAGGGAACAGCACTGGGAAAGAGGTAAACAAATTATCCTGAAACATAAGCTATCGGAATTTAGAATATTAATAATCCCTTACTAGATGTGGATGTTTCTTTCAGTTAAATTTTTGTTTATAGATGGTTTATAAAGTTCTTGAAAACTTTATTTCTAAGGCTACATGTCAACTTTTTAGAATGGGATTATAACCTAGTGAAGTAACAAAATTTCTCTTGAGATGTGACTCATGACTTTTAAAAATTATATGCTGGGTGCAGTGGCTCATGCCTATAATCCCAGCACTCTGGGAGGCTGAGGTGGGTGGATCACTTGAGGTCAGGAGTTTGAGACCAGCCTGGCCAACAAGGTGAAACCCCGTCTCTACTAAAAATACAAAAAAAAATAACTAGGCATGGTGGTGCATGCTTGTAATCCCAGCTACTCGGGAAGCTGAGGCAAGAGAATTGCTTGAACATGGGAGGTGGAGGTGGCAGTGAGCTGAGATGGCACCATTGCACTCCAGCCTGGGAGACAGAGCGAGACTCCATCTCAAAAAACACATTATATTAATATGATTGAATGGCATACATATTTCTCTATGAGAAATTTTAAAAGAGCCACCCAGGAGTCCCTAGGAATACCCTGCAGGTTATTACAAGTTCTTTCAGTCCCTACTTTAGTAGAAAACTAAGTGCCTGTCTCAGCCTGTCATTCCACTTACTACCTTCTGAACATTTTACTTACCTAGTAATAGTTACAGACCCAGAAGGTGCATGTATACAGTATAAAATCAAAGATAATTTTTTCTGGTCTGTATATTTTTCTGTATCAGTTAAATGTAATCCACCAGTATAGTTAATCAAGAGTTGACTTAAATATGATTCAATCTATCAAAAAGTAAGTTATGAAAATAGAAGTTTCAAATTACCTTCCAAAACCACTGTATAACCTGATGATTTGCACTGTAGCCATTTTTATACTTTGTATGTTCCCTCCAGTCATTCACATCAACATCTCCCAGTCCACACATAAGAAGCTACATAAGAAATGTCAAATTATAAACAAGGAAAATAATGGGTTCACAATTTCTGTTTCAACATAAAATGTTATGTCTTACCTCTAGTTCATTTTCATCAAAAATTTTGATGAGATCCTGTGGTATTAGTTCAAAGAATCCCTAGAAAAAAGATGTATTTAAAAACTTGATGGGCAGGGCCAATGGCCTTTCCTATGCCTCAGCTTCTGGATGCTACTGGAGGAATCCCACATCCACACAAGTTTCTACCACTACACAATCACGGGCTCTTCACTGAGATCTCAATATTGGCCAGAAAATGTACATGTGCACAGTCTGTTCTCTCTCATTTATTCCTCAAAGTGGCTATTTTTAAAACTTCCTGTGGCCAGACGCAGTGGCTCATTCTGTAATCCCAGCACTTTGGGAGGCTGGGTGGGCAGACTGCTTGAGCCAAGGAATTTGAGACTAGCCTGGGAAACATGGTGAAACACCATCTCTACAAAAAAATACAAAAATTAGCCAGGCATGGTGGTGTGAACCTGTGGTCCCAGCTACTGGGGAGGCTGAGGTATTCCAGCCTCGGCAAAAAGTGAGATCCTGTCTCAAAACAACAAGAACAACAACAAAAAACAAATTTCCCATCCTTCTCAAGCCTCCACATCACCCCTTCTTTACAGTAGGTAAGTGTAAGTTCTATTTGAGGGAAAAGAGGCAATTATGCACAATGGAACTCCCTCAAGCTTCTCCATCCCTGCGTCCCAACCATCACCAACACCCATCATGGCCTCCTTCCCACCGCAGTGCCGCCTCTTCTTTCAGGCTAGGCCTGCACCTGTGCTTCACCTGCTCCTCAGGGAGGTCATCTCACTAGATCTCTTTCTCTTTATTGGCTCACTCTGTACGCATTTAAATGTGCTCAACCCATACCTACCTTTAAAACAAAGCAAAACAAACAAACAAACAAACAAAAACTAATGACTCTCTTTTTCCCTTCACAGCCAAGTTCTTGACAGTGTTATGCACTTACCAAATCCATTCACTCACCTCCCATCTAACCCCTCAACCCACTGCAATCGGACTTCTACACTACAGCTTCCTTGAAATTGTTCTGGAAAAAGTCAAAGATGGCTTTGCAGCTATATCTAATAAACATATTTAATTCCTTATCATATTTGACTTATTTGCAGTATGATATGATTAAAACCATCTTTTCTATTGAAACTCTGTCTACTCTTGATACCTTTTTGTCTGCCTCTGTTAATTTCCTTATTTCCTTTGCAGTCTCCTGTTCTGTTTTTTTTTTTTTTTTTTTCCCATGCCCTAAACTGTCCATTTATAAACCATCCATTCAAAACAACAGTTAAGATGCTGGTGTTCCCAGGTCTCTCTCCACATGTGAGGCCATCCGCTTTCACAGCCCTTTCACATTTTCCATTGTATCGAGTTCACAGCTTCACTACACTTAAGCAGATGATCCCCAAATCCATACATCTCTATCCTTTAAGTCTCCCTTTTTGAATGCCATTCAAATGCACATGCAGCTCTGAACACCACCACTATCTTCATTCCCTTACCAATCCTATCTCAACTCCCTCACCATTCCCTTAATTCCTCACCATTTCTCACCAAGATTACTGTAGCACTTTCCCAACTCTGCTGGGAAGTCTCTGCTGCTAGTCTGGCTCTCCTCTAACTTGCTCTACATAGCACTTCCAGAATGATCTAAAACATAAATTGAATCTTGGTGTCTTATTGGTTAATAGCCTTTAATGCTACCTTCCTTCTCCCTCATTGAAATTCAGAGAAAACTCCGAACTCTACCACTTCACACACAGGCCCTGTATAAGCTGGTCTGTTAGCTCCGCAGGCTGATTGTTTCCCTCTTGCATTCTCTCACCCAGCATACTCAACTGCCTGTGGGTACAGCCTACCTTATTGCCAGACTTCACACACGCTGCTCCTGTTGCTTAGAACTGCATTTCCCTCTTCTCCATGGTTGGCCAATCCCTCTAGTCCTTCTTTGTCCCTTCCTTTGCCCCTCCCTGGTTTGTACTTCTCTTCTGTGCTCACCTAGCACTTTATGCTTGCCTCTGTTCATTTCACTCTTTACATCATACATACCTTAATAACAGGACCTATGTCTTTTGGCCTGGTACAGCACCATACACATAGTACTCAATACTGAATTTATGAAAAAGTATGTGACACACACACACACACACACACACACACACACACACACACACTTTAGAGACAAAGTTTCACTCTGTAGCCCAGACTGGAGTGCAGTAGTGCCATCATAGCTCATAGCTGACTGTAGCCTCGACTTCCCAGGCTCAAGTGATCCTCCAGCCTCAGCCTCCCAAGTAGCTGTGACCATATGCACATGCCATGACACCAGGCTAATTTTTTTTTTGAGACGGAGTCTCGCTCTGTTGCCCAGGATGGAGTGCAGTGGCGTAATCTTGGCTCACTGCAACCTCTGCCTCTCAGGTTCAAGCAATTCCCCTGCCTCAGCCTCCCGAGTAGCTGGGACTGCACGTGCACGCCACCACGTCCGGCTAATTTTTTTGTATTTTTAGTAGAGACAGGGTTTCACCACATTAGCCAGACTAGTCTCAAACTCCTGACCTCAGGCAATCTGCCCACCTCGGACTCCCAAAGTGCTGGGATCACAGGAATGAGCCACCGCGCCCAAATTTTTAATTTTTTATAGAGATAAGGTCTCCCTATGTTGTCCACGTTGGTCTCGAACTCCTGGGCTCAAGCAATCCTCCCGCCTCAGCCTCCTCAAGTGTTGGGATTTTAGGCGTCAGCCACCATGCCCAGCCAGATACATATTTAACAGAAGATTGTAAGTTAGCTTAAGAAATGAGTGCTCTGACAATCTGTCTACCAATTGGAAAAATTTAAGTAACTTTTTAATTTATATTCTGAATAAAATATAGCCACAAAGAAAGGCAGCTATATGTCGTCACATGTAAATATCCCTAATAAATATCTGATAAAAGAAGAAAGTAGGCCGAGCACGGTGGCTCACACTGGTAACCCCAGCACTTTGGGAGGCCAAGGTGGATGGATCACTTGAGGTCTGGAGTTTGAGACCAGCCCGACCAACATGGTGAAACCATGTCTCTACTAAAAATACAAAAATTAGCCAGGCGTGGTGGCGGGCACCTGTAATCCCAGCTACTCAGGAGGCTGAGGCAGGAGAATTGCTTGAACCTGGGAGGTGCAGGTTGCAGTGAGCCGAGATCACGCCACTGCATTCCAGCCTGGGCGACAAAGTGACTCACTCCGCGCTCAAAAAAAAAAAAAAAAGAAGAAAGTAAGTCACAAAACAAAATGTGTAAGGTGATCCTATTTAGAAAAACAAACAATATGTTATACTATCCCTAAAGCACTCTTGTTCTTTTGCTGTCCTAAAGTGAAGAGAATGGAATAGGGAAAAGGCTTGGGGGAAAGGGGACCTGTCCATGTTTATTGTCTAGACTTCTTGAATGACTGAATGGAATATTTAGTTAATATAAAAATATAATTTAGAATGATTTCACAAAACAAGCCATATACTTATTTTTCTCAGATGTGATGAGGCCTAATATTTGAAACTTATAGGTTATACTGTGACATTATGGAAGAGCAAATAAAAGAAAATGAATACCTCTTTAAAAGCAGCCATTTGCTTCTGGATTCGGTTTACAAATCGCCATTGTATTACAAGACTAAAAAGAAACAACATTTCATTTTCATGTGAACCAAGACAAAATTCTGAGGCACAATTATTCTAGTTAGAAACAAAAACTAAAGGCTAGCTGAGACCAAGGTAAAAGCTGAATATGAGTGCTTGCTACTGCATTGTGATAGAGAAAAAGAACACTGAGATTCTGGACAAGGGGACAGAGAAAGATGGTAAGAAGAGTCTTTCTGGAATAAAGTACAAAATTATATCCAATAAAATACATACTAATAAAATACTTACTAAATATATTCCTTTTTGTTCTTATTGGTGACAACTATTTCTGATCCACCATTTTTCAGCTCATGTTGATGTGTCTAAAATTAAACACAATAACTTGATATGTTATTTTAGCGAGAAAAATTTAAAAAGTATACATATTGTAGTTATACGAGAAACTTGGTGTTTTAAATTAAGTCCAGTCAAAAGTTAAAAACTAAGAAAACTTAAAATACTAGTTTTACTAAAATAAATATGGAACGAGTCAAATGTTAAAGAAAGTACAAATTCTTGCTCAGAGACAGCTTTTGTTACTGGGAAATGAATGTAAAAACAGAGCCTAGGAATGTATTAAGTGTACGTATTAACATCTAAACATTTGTCTCACAATTTATGTGCCATTTTAACTGATCAAAATTCACAAACCTGTCCAAAAAGTTCTTCATCTATGATAAACCTGAGGTCCAATTCTGTTGGGTCATTTTCAAGAATCCATCTTAGGGAATTGTAATATTCACTATCCTAGATGGGAAAAATTACATATTTAAAATTTGTATCTATAACACACCTGAAATTGCAAAAAACAGTATGTAGAGGGTCTGAATAATTGGGTAAAAGATGAGAGGTCAGATGGACATCCTTTACTTACACACATATATAAACAAAAATGTATGTGTGTATGTGTGTGTATTACAAAAAGAGATGGATGACAGGTAAGGGCAAGAGTAAAAATGCATCAATCAATTAATCAATTGGTGCCTACTTAAAAGTTTAGAATCTATGTTTATGTGGAAGCAGTGGAGGTACAGATTTTATCATCCAGTTAAAGGAATGAATACAGAAGTTTTCAGATAAAACCTAACTTCTCTGGATATCCAGGAGCACTTAGCACATTCCTCATATGCCTATGTGACTTCGTGTTAAATGTTTTATTTTTATTTTTTAATTTAATTTTTTTTTTTTTGAGACAGGGTCTCGCTCTGTCCCTTAGGTTGGAGTGCAGTGGGGCGACTGTGGCTCACTGCAGCCTCGACCTCCTTGACTCAAGTGATCCTCCTACCTCAGCCTCCCAAGTAGCTGGGACTACAGGCGCGCACCACCACGCCTGGCTAATTTTTGTATTTTTTGTAGAGACAGAGTATCACCATGTTGGCCAGGCTGGTCTCAAACTCCTGACCTCAAGTGATCCACCTGCCTCAGCTTCCCAAAGTGCTGGGATTACAGTTGCACACCCCTGTGTCCGGCACTAAGTGTGAAATGTTTAAGTAGCTATGAGGAGGCCATTGTTTATACCCAGCCCGAGTTAAAGAAAAATCTCTTAATAAATATAGAGGCTCAATGAACCAACTCAAGTAACTGTGCAATCTTATGATTTATAAAGAATCACACTGTTTGTGCTGTTAATATGTAATAAGAAAAGAATAAAAAATGAACTTGGTACTAAGGAAGATGCCCTGGAATTCATGTGAACACACATTGTGTGAGGCTATTCAGCAGCACAGGAAACAACACGGCTACAGTCCGGGGTTTAATCCTTGGGCTTCTGTTTTTTTCTAGGAACCTAACCATAACGCTTTGCCTTTCGACTGCCATTTAAAAAATATACACCATTTGGCCAGGTGCGGTGGCTCATGCCTGTAATCCCAGCACTTTGGGACGCTGAGGCAGGCGGATAACGAGGTCAAAAGACTGAGACCATCCTGGTGAACACGGTGAAACCCCGTCTCTACTAAATATACAAAAATTAGCTGAGTGTGGTGGTGCGCGCCTGTAGTCCCAGCTACACAGGAGGCTGAGGCAGAGAATTGCTTGAACTTGGAAAGCAGAGGTTGCAGTGAGCCAAGATCACGCCACTGCACTCCAGCTTGGCAACAGAGTGACACTCTGTCTCAAAAAAAAAAAAAAAAAAAAAAAAAAATATATATATATATATATATATATATATATATATATATATATAACATTCATCATAAAAGATCATAATGCAAATACTGATTCAAAAGACATATAACTTGGTATAACCTATTGAAGTATTTAGTGGGATGTTTAATGTTATCTATAACTTACTCTGAAATGCATGAAGAAACTAAGACAGACTGATGGATAGACAGATAGGTATGTGATAAAGTAAATCTAGAAAAAAAGCAATTGTGAGTAGTTGATATACAACTGTCCAATGTAAAATTCTTCCAACTTTATTATATGTTAGAAAATTTTCATAATAAAATGTTGAGGAAAAAGTTCATTTGTATTTTGAAACATGATAATATATTAATTTCCATGTCATTAAAAGCAAATTCTTCAAAATGTTCAAGCTGCTTGTTAAATTATACTTCGTCTATACTATAAGTGAAAAAGACATACCACAGATTCCATATCATGAAGGGTTATTGGTTTGTGAAGCATCATCTTGTAAAATGGGCGGATGAAAAAACCTTGCAAAAAACCAAATACATTTAGGATGATTACCAAGTGAAAGAAAACAGGTAATTATATTGTAAAAAGTTTATACTTAATACTAACCATCCAACAGTTTGCCATGATAAACTGCCATTCCAGCTACCCGACCAATAAACTTGAAGTAAGAGAGGTGATCTTCGTTACACAATCCAGAGTTTGGATTTATCTGTAGGGTATAATTGTCCCTGTAAAGACAACCCCATTTAAATACTTCATTTGAAAAACTTTAATATGACAAATAATTACAAATAATCTTCCTCCTTTAAGAGTTGTTTACCACTGTTAGAACCACATTCCTCCACTGGATTTAATGGTTTTAAAAATAGTAATTTCTGTCAAAAAGTGGAAATAACCCAAATGTCCTTTGGCAGATGAATGTATAAACAAAGTTTTGTTTGTTCGTTTGTTTTTGAGATGGAGTCTTGCTCTCGCCCAGGCTGGAGTGCAATGACACGGTCACAGCTCACTGCAACCTCCGCCTCCCAGGTTCAAGTGATTCTCCTGTCTCAGCCTCCCAAGTAGCTGGAATTACAGGCGCCCGCCACCATGCCTGGTTAATTTTTGTATTTTTAGTAGAGACAGGGTTTCACTATGTTGGTCAGGCTGGTCTTGAACTCCTGGCATTGTGATCCACCAGCCTTGGCCTCCCAAAGTGGTGGGATTACAGGCATGAGCCACCACGCCCAGCCTAAACAAAGCATTATATGCAAAAATAATGGAATATTATTCTGCCTTAAAAAGGAAGGACATTCTGATACATACTACAACATGGATGAACCCTGAAGACATCATGTTAAGTGAAATGAGCTGGTCACAAAAAGACAAATATTGAATGATTCCACTTATGTGAGGTACCCGAGGAGTCAAATTCATAGGGACAGAAAGCAGAATGGTGGCTGCCAGGGAATGGGGAGCGAGTGCTTACTGGGTATAGGGTTTCATTTTGGGAAGATGAAAAAGTTCTAGAGTTGGATAGTGGGATGGCAGCACAACAATGTGAATGTATGTAATGACTCTAAATTGTATATTTAAAATGGCTAAAATGGTAACTTTTTTTTTTAGAGGAGTCTTGCTCTGTTGCCCAGGCTGGAGTGCAGTGGCGTGATCTCGGCTCCGCCTTCCGGGTTCACGCCATTCTCCTGCCTCAGCCTCCTGAGTAGCTGGGACTACAGGCGCCCGCCACCACGCCTGGGTAAGTTTTTGTATTTTTAGTAGAGACGGGGTTTCACCGTGTTAGCTAGGATGGTCTCGATATCCTGACCTTGTGATCCGCCCGCCTCGGCCTCCCAAAGTGCTGGGATTACAGGCATGAGCCACTGCACCCGGCCGACTCTTACTTTTAAAACAGTGATTTTTCTTTTTCTGCCGATAATCATTGTAAAGGTACTTACGTAGCAGAATATTCAAACAACCCATAATAAGGGTTAAACATTTCCTTTGAGATCAGGAAGAACCATTCTCTGGCAACTCCTCCATAATCCAATCCCTTTTCACCATCAAACTCAATCCACAGTCGAGCCTTCAGGAAGTCTGCTCTCTTGACACCCATAATTCTCCGGTAAGAGTCTTCAAGAACAGTTGCTCGGCGAAGTTTCATTTCAAATTTGTTTGGAATGTCATTCTGAAAATCCAGAGGAGAGACGTACTGTTTAAATCAGTTCAACATAATAACAAACCCATCTCTCATAAAGTTATAACATTCCCTCTACACCCTGTGTCCAAGTCTCTTTTTCCTTACGTAATATACTCAGGGAAAACACAACTAGGTATATTGTCTTGGTTTCCTCTATGGTATGAGACAGTTTCTGCATTTTCTTTAATCACTTAGTAATATAGACTTCTTTACATCTGAAGAAGCTTTTGTTTTTGGAGACAGCTCTGTAGTCCAGGCTGGAGTGCAGTGGCGTGAACATGGCTTACTGCAGCCTCGACCTCATGGGCTCAAGTGATCCTCTTGCTTCCGATTCCTAAGTAACTGGACCACAGGCGCATGCCATCATGCCTGACTAATTTTTTAAGTTTTTGAGGTCTTGCCATCTTGCCCAGGCTGGTCTCAAACTCCTAAGCTCTAGCAATCCTCCCGCCTTGGCCTCCCAAAGTGCTGAGATTACAGGCATAAGCCATGGCACCCGGCCTAAAGAAGCAATTGATGGTGATGGTAATGCCCCCATGAAGGCATTTCGTTAACAGTCCTTTTCATATTAAGTTCCAATGAACACCGTTCTGTGACCTGTAGGATAGCCACTGCCTGCTAGCTGTTGTGCCTGTCTGTTCAGGCTTTTCCCTACCTCTACTTTCCTCCCTGGAGTCTATCTTGCTTCACTCATTAACAGATGGTGACATTTACAGACTGTGCCAGTGATATATTCTGGCTGTGTCCCTACCCAAATCTAATCTTGAATTGTAACTCCCACAATCTCCATGTGTCATGGGAAGAACCTGGTGGGAGGTGATTGAATTATGGGGGCGGATCTTTCCTGCACTGTTCTCATGATAGTGAATGGGTCTCACGACATCTAATGGTTTCTATGCACAAGCTCTCTCTTTGCCTGCTGCCATCCATGTAAGATGTGACTTGCTCCTCCTTGCCTTCTGCCATGATTGTGAGGCCTCCCTAGCCATGTAGAACTGTAGGTCCAATAAACCTCTTCCTTTTGTAAATTGCCTGGTCTCAGGTATGTCTTTATCAGCAGCATGAAAACGGACTAAAACAGCCAGGCATGGGTACCCTGGAATGGCAGGTTAACGTGTTTAACCTCATAACAACACTATGCGAAAGCTACTATTATTGTCTTCATTTTACACATAAAACTGAAGAAGACGACTTAAGAAAGTCTTAGCTCCTGAGTCTGTGCTCTTAATTAATGGAGCTACATTGCCTCACTAATCTTTTGTACGTTCTTTGCTTATGTGACAAATGTACACAACTATGCTTTAGGCAGAACTTATTGTAAATTTTACAAAAGATATATCTAAATATTTTATTCCTCAGTACTTCATGGGCAAATTTCCAGGGGAAACCAGTAAGAGAAAACATGCCATCAATATTCTGTCACCTCCAAAAAAGAAGGTTAGCTCTAAGGAAAAAAAATCAATTTCATTCTCAATTTATTTAGGGAAAATGGAAAGCCCTATAGAAACATAATAATGTAAGCAGTTGATATAAGCAATATAAGCATGATATGAGCAGTTTCCTATACTGCTTATGTCATTAAAAAAATGGTAAGCTTGCAGAACAGCAACTTTAGACTGGATACTAGGCAGCTGGTGCAGGTAAGCATTTATCAAAGGCCTACTCTGGGCCAGGTGGTATTGTAGTAGGGCCAACGATGGGGAATAAAGGGAATAAAAACATAGGGTAAGATGTCCTTGCTTCCTCAAGGAGTTTCTCATCTGGCGTATATGTGAAAAACAAGTGTAAATGATGCTAATTCTGAGACTTAAAATAGGAGGACAATTGCTGATGATAGAGATGGAAGCAATGTTCTGCAGGGCATAAAAGACTGAGCTATTGACTTCAAATGAGGCAATCAAGAAGGCTTTGAGAGGAAGTCTTTAGACAGAGAAAGGGAGGGAAGGACGGAGGAACAGCATACATGAGAGGTCTGATATATTTAATACCTAGAGGGCACAGAAGGAGAAGAAGGGAGAGGAAGGGAAAGAAGGCAGGGATTATAGGGGAAAAATGCAAAAAAGTAGTCTGGGGCCAGAGGGTGGACAGTGTGAATGCAGTTAAGAAGAGAGTTTCTGGGTTGGGGAGCCACACGGTCAGATTGCTGGGTTCTCAGAAGCTGACGGGACAGGGTGTAAAGGGTGGTTTTAAAGAGGAGAAACAAGAGGCACACTGGTCAGTTAAAGACCCCTGGAATAGCTGAGTGAGAGAAGACAGAGGGACCTGTGAAGGAGCAATGGTAGTGGAAGAAGAGGGGGGTACAAGAGAACTTCAGTGTTTGAACTGAGTAGTAGACAAGTGCATGCATTCTGGAATCTGGTCCTGTGTTATTGACTCCACCATTCACTAGGAGTGACACTTTGGGCAGGTTACATGTCTTTTCTAAGGATTAGTTTCCTCATCTATAAAATAGGGATAATAATAATGATAGCTACCCACATGGAGTTGTTTCAACTCCATGCATTAAAAATGCTTAAACAGTATCTGGCATATGGTAATTATTAGCCATCATTATTCCTAACTACAAGATGTTGAGGATAAGGAAGAGGAAAAGGTTAAAGACAGTGCACGGCTTTCAAGCACCGGTTTTCAATTTTTTTTTTTTTTTTTTGAGACAGAGTACTGCTCTGTCATTCAGGCTGGAGTGCAGTGGCATGATTATAGCCCAGTGCAGCTTTGAACTCCTGAGCTCAAGTAATTCTCCTGCCTCAGCCTCCCAAAGTGCTGGGATTACAGGCATGAACCACTGCACCTGGTGTTTTTAATATTCTTTATTTCTGTTTTGGTGTTACATGTTCTTACATTCTAAGTGTTCTGCTCTTTTGCTATGATGTGTCTAGATACAGATTTTATTTTTAAAGTACTGCTTGGGCCTTTTTACTAATGTGAGAATTCATATTCTTAGCCTTCTCCTCTTCATGATCTTGGTCCCCTCCTTCTGGGGTGACTTCATGTCTTTTAACCTTTCTTTTATATGTTTATCCCCTTACATACCTTTGTTGCATTCTGGGTAATTTCCATACAAATTAATTAATTTCTCTCTTAATTCTCTTAGTCACCAATATGACATGTCATGTTGCTTAGGAACATGGGATCTGGAGCTAGACCACTTAGCTTTTCTACTTAATAACCATGGGACTTGATCACATTACCTATTCTCTCTGTGCCTCAGTTTCCTCATCTGTGAAAGGTAATAGTAGTCCCTTCCTTACAGAGTTATTGTAGACATTAAATGAATAACATATGTAAACTTCTAAGAAGAACGCCTGGTATGCAATGAGAGATCAACAAATATAATTGCTTTTATCATGGTTTTTTTTTTGTATTTTGAGGCCTGTAATGGCATTGTCTCCCATCTCCTGCTGCCTGGAAGACATTAATAATTAGATACTACAACATGTTTCAACCACTCAGAGTGGCAAATGGAGAAGCTAGTGCTTCTATTCCTCCAGCGTATTCTCATTAACAATGAAAATATTTAGCAGAACAATAAATCAGTAAACATTTAAAATCCCAAAGTCTAGAAGTAGAAAACAAATTTCCAGGGAAATTTCGACACAAAGTTATTCTTTTTTTCTTTTTTCTTTTTTTTTTTTTGAGACACTCTGTTGCCCAGGCTGGAGTGCAGTGGCGCGATCTTGGCTCACTGCAACCTCTGCCTCCTGGGTTCAAGCGGTTCTCCTGCCTCAGCCTCCGGAGTAGCCGGGATTAAAGGTGTGCGCCATCACACCTAACTAATTTTTGTATTTTTAGTAGAGACGGGGGTTTCACCACGTTGGCCAGGCTGGTCGTGAACTCCTGACCTCAAGTGATCCACCCACCTCGACCTCCCAAAGTGCTGGGATTACAGGCATGAGCTACTGCACCTGGCCCACAAAATTATCCTTAAAAATGAGTTTAGAAAGTTTATGATATTTAAGGATTTTATTAGGGCATAAAATGTTTACACTAAAAAAACTATCATGTTTTCTTTTTGCTAAAAATTTGGGTGAAACTCTGAGGTGGCCCACCCACCATCTTGAATATTTGTGAAAGCCAGCTTCTGGCTTAGAATGCAAGAAAGTATAACCCAATATGGCCACCTAGTGGTAGTATTCCTAAACTGCAGGCAAAGGAGGACAGGATGAGCAAGTAAGAGAGGCGTTAAAACTAGTAAACAAAACCAGGAATGAAACAGATGGCCAGATGATGAGTTTAGTTCCAAACATATTGCATTTGTGGCGATGGGAAAAAGTGTAGTGAACATAACTGATAAGCATAAGGAGACAAGTCACAAGAGCACAGTTCCACTCATGATTGTATTTTTAAATTATGCAGAGACATTACATTTGAAGCCGTAGAGAATGAATGACTTTCGCTGGAAAACAACAAAGTCATAAAAAAATCCAGACCGTCCTCCAACACAGTCAAAGACTAGGCCAGAAGATAATTTCCTGACCCACTCTTGCTCAGATTCTACAAAGATCAAGCCCCATAAACCCCACAGGGATACACCAGGTTAGAGCTCTGGAAAGCAAACTTTAAATGCCATTTTTCTATATTATAAAATATACTGAAAAATAAAGACATAAACTAATTATGGTCTGTAGTGATATATCACAGCTACTCAAAAAATGAGCATCCTTTCTCTAGGAAAAACTGTTCACTCAAAGTTGTTACAAATATAGAACAAATTATTACTGTAAAAAACATTTCCCATTACTTTCCATCTATATATTGATGACTCTTAAGTATTTATTATAAACATGACTAACCTGCTTCTTCAACTTTCTTCGGAAGAACTCATACTTTCTTTTGTAATCCCTGGAGTAGGGCACTGCCTTTAGTTGGAAATTTTGGAAAAATAAAGAAGTTTAGGTTGTTTTTATTCTGGAACAATTTTTATTTGTTGTATTTTATGAACGTAAGGGCATTAAAAGAAAAATATTTGGAAAGAAAAGTTTAATTAGAAGAAAAACAAATACAAAACTTTAAACTTTAAAATATTTAATTTCTCTGTTTAAGATAAAATTGTATTCAGCAATTCCTATGGCTGTAATTTTCATTATGCAATATTCTTAAAATGCAGCATGCCAGAAATAGGAAATTTCTTCCAGGTAGAGAAATATTAGAAACAAAAATTTCCATTTCTAAAGAGACTTTCAAAGTGATTTCTCCATTAAAGGGACAATGTGAAAAGCGTACTTTTTCCTTGAACTCCAAGGAGTTGCCTTTTTGAGCCATTAAAGGACTACATGTTGAGACAGTAAATAGTAATAAAAAACGGTATCTTCAGTTTTATTTATTTTTATGAATTAGAAAACAAAATCTGAATAAAATGGAAAAAGCAGCTATAAAAAAGGATAATTTTCCTATCAATCTGACTCAAGAGTAGTACAATTATCATACGTGGTAATATTTATACTTAAGTGTGGATGTGTCTTACATACTGGGCATTTACAATGATTTCTTTTTCTTTTTCCTTTTTTTTTTTTTTTTTTGAGATGGAGTCTCGCTCTGTTGTCCAGGCTGGAGTGTGGTGGTACAACCTCAGCTCACCACAACCTCCGCCTCCTGGGTTCAAGTGATTCTCCTGCCTCAGCCTCCCAAGTAGCTGGGACTACAGGTACCTGCCACCATGCCCAACTAATTTTTTTTGCATTTTTAGTAGAGACAGGGTTTCACCACGTTGGCCGGGCCGGTCTCGAACTCCTGACCTCAGGTGATCCACCTGCCTTGGCCTCCCAAAGTGCTGGGATTACAGGTGTGAGCCTGGCTTGATTTCTATAAAAAAATTTAAGAATGACCCTGGAGTGGATAGGGTGCTGCTGCTTCCTCATCCGCATACACTCTCTGCTCCTCTCTGATTTGTGGAGGACTGTCATCATTCTTGTTCAGACAGTGGGAGGCACCAGCCTGAGCTCAGCAGCCCACACTGCCTTAGCATTCTGACTGTCTGGCTCACTTGTCCCCTCACTGCTATTGCGTAGGGTAAGGATAATGACGTTATAGAATCTTTTCAAATAACTGAGACTTGGAGTATGGGAAATGGGGGAGAGGAGAGAACGGCCAATGTGCTTTCCTCTCAATGCCTGTAGGGTTATGCCCGTGACTATCTGCTCTTGAAGAGACAGGTGAGCGGACAGTCCCATCAGAGCACACTGGCAGAGAGACTTACTGGTCCAGTTATTGCTACATTCTCCAACCGAGGATCTTCCCATTGTGTTCTTTTTATATCTGAAGGGAAGAAAAAGAAAAAAGATGTACTTTCTCACACATAAAATTTATTACAAAAAATAACATAATGAAAAATCGCACTGCACATACTGTGATTTATGTAGAAGATTCTTCCATCTGTGTGAGTTCTCTCTTCCCATCCTGGCTATAATTAAAAATGTATTTCAATTATTTTAGGAGAGGGGCGTAGATGAATGGATAGAAAAATAGCACTGGTTGTATGGTTAATTTAACTTGCATATTCCATTCCATTCTTAGAAGGTATCAACATTTTAATAATAACATTAATTATAGATGATAAAGAAATACTATACCCGAAAATGCAAAATATTTGAGATAGCCAAGTTAGATGGGTTAGCATTTCTATACACTTACAGGTAAAGGCCCTAGATCATTGGAAGTATCAAGTGATGTCTTTCCTCTCAGATGGGCTGGAATTTTCAATCTTGGATCTTCCTTTTTTGGTAGAGTAAATAAAGAACAATACACACAAATTTTAAAATAATCAAAGTCAGTCTGTTACCATGTTTTCTAACATCAATGGATATTTAAAATATTCTCTTGTAAAAGTCAATTTATACTTTATTTCCTAAATATGTGACACAATATTTTCTCCTTCTAAAATCTATCACTGTCAGGCTATAATATCAAAAGGAATAACGATCAGTTCTCAGGGATCACCACTAACTGGTCATTTCTTTTGCCCCGCTCTTTAGGAAATGTGTCACTATATAGGGCTTTTCTCTATGTAAAAACTGGTGAAAGAGTAGGACATTAAATTGGACCACATGATATTTCTTTCTTTTTTTCTGAGGTGGAGTGTCGCTCTTGTCGCCCAGGCTGGAGTACAATGGCACCATCTCAGCTCAATGCAACCTCTTCCTCCTAGGTTCAAGGGATTCTCCTGCCTCAGCCTCCTGAGTAGCTGGGATTACAGGCATGCACCACCATGCCTAGCTAATTTTTGTATATTTAATAGAGACGGGGTTTCTCCATGTTGGCCAGGCTAGTCTCGAACTCCTGACCTCAGGTGATCCACCCGCCTTGGCCTCCCAAAGTGCTGGGATCACTGTGCCTGGCCCTGGACCACATGATATTTCTAAGCCCCAGAACATGCATTTTGCCAGCTATCTGTTCAAGGGTCGATTAATATTTTTGAATAACAGGAAGGTAAGCCCAAAAAGGTTATCAAAGGCCAATTCAGAATGTTAAAAAAGAGAACAAAATTAAATTTATTTGGTTTAATTTATATATATTATTTTAATATTATTAATTTATTAAATAAGTTTAGTATTATTTAAGCTATGTTGGTCTTTTAATAATTAATTAAAATATATTCATCTGCTGCTAATTTTAAGTAATTTTTTTTTTTTTTTTTTTGAGATGGAGTCTCGCTCTGTTGCCCAGGCTGGAGTGCAGTGGTGCGATCTTGGCTCACTGCAACCTCCGCCTCCTGGGTTCATGCCATTCTCTAGCCTCAGCCTCCTGAACAGCTGGGACTACAGGCACCCGCCACCATGCCTGACTAATTATTTTGTATTTTTAGTAGAAACGGGGTTTCACCATGTTAGCCAGGATGGTCTCGATCTCCATCTCCTGACCTCGTGATCTCCCCCCTCGGCCTCCCAAAGTGCTGGGATTACAGGCATGAGCCACTGCACCCGGCCTTTAGGTAATTTTTCTATTAGTAGTAAGCCAAGCACTAAACAATTTTAAGCCTTATCTTAAAATAAAAATACTTGTTCTACCTAGCCTCACAAGGTTTTTTTGATATTAAATGAGATATGGATTCAAAAGTGCTTTGGAGCTATAAAGCCTCATATAAAAGCAAAGGATTATTCCTATGTATCTTCTTAAGCATTTATGGCTAGTGAGCTAAAAACTGGAAATAGGAAGTAAACATGAATATCTCCATCATAATCCAAAACAATATTAAAAAGACGCATAAGCATTCTCCTGAATACAAATAATATTATTAAGAATTCAATATACCTTTCAATGAATATTAGGAAACATAGGTTATACTAATACATACTTAAAGATTTTAAGGAACTATACATAAGAGATGATTATTGTTGTTATAAATTTAAATGGAAAAGTATCAAAGTTACCCAGGTGGTGGTTTTAGTGTTGTGGTCAATAAAGAAAGGCCTCCCATTTGGTGCATGCCGGACTTCCCAGCCTTTAGGAAGGAATCCTTGCTCAATTTCAGATGGCTGGGTCACCTGCTGGCCTGAATCACTGGTGGAGGCTTGTGATTGAGGGCCTGCAGAACTCTGGCTTGAGGTCAGCTGACTGGTCTCCACTGTGGCCTAGCACATTAATGAAATCATATTGTAATATTTTATAGAGAGAACTCACAAATAGATGTAGTTAAAAAGGTAACTTAACCTGCAAATAGAATACACACCCTCCATTAAAGAGACTCTAAATATTTGAGGCTCATTTTCAAATGTAGTTATGGCATGTTAATATTTTCCCAACATTTCAATAATGCATTACATTTAATAACATTTTTCCAATAAATTATTTTGTAAAACTTTATTTTTACAGTAATTTATAATTTTTCAACTAATTCTCAAGCAGTAAGATGTTAGTTAACAGTATGCTGTGGGTGCATCTGACTGAAGGAGCGAGGTCTGCAAGCTCAAGCCCTAGCTGCAAGGGGAGCTCTCGTGCCTATAGGAGGAGGTCGTCTTTGTTTTCCCAAAACTCACAGGATGGGGAATTCCTCATACACAGAAGTAGATTCAAATGATGGGCAGACAAAATGAATGGCAAATATCTACCACAGAAATGGATAATTGAAATGCAATATATTCATGATGGAATATTAGTAGTTAAGAGAAATACACTGGATCTATAAATAACAACATGGACAGAGCTTTAAAACAATGTTAAGCAAAAAGGTGTAGACTTACAGGGCCACAACATCAATGCAAAGTTTTTTTTTTATCAAGCAGCACCTCATTCTATAAAATAAAATGAGTGTTCTCTCGTTGCAAAATTAGAAACACAGGCATATAAACAATATTTTACATTTTCTTTTCTGTTTTTTTTTTTCAGATGGAGTTTCGCTCTTGTTGCCCAGGCTGGAGTGCAATGGCATAATCTTGGCTCACCGCAACCTCCGCCTCCCAGGTTCAAGCGATTCTCCTGCCTCAGCCTCCTAAGTAGATGGGATTACAGGCATGCGCCACCACGCCTGGCTAATTTTTGTATTTTTGGTAGAGATGGGGTTTCTCCATGTTGGTCAGGCTGATCTTGAACTCCCGACCTCAGGTGATCCTCCCACCTTGGCCTCCCAAAGTGCTGGGATTATAGGCATGAGCCACCTTGCCCGGCCCAGCATAAACTTCTTTAATAGATCCCAATCGCCAAGATTATCTGTTAGTTAAAATAATGATCCTAACTATTCAAATTACAAAAATACCCAAAGACGAGATCATTTGCTTTTTCCTCTTATTCTCATTTGTACTTGTTTTATATAATAACAAGTGGTAATTCGTGTATATTAGAGATTCATAGGAAAAGGTAGACACTTAACATCAGTGTCAGAATATAAATAATTAGAAGATGCTATGACCAGGCACGGTGGCTCATGCCTATAATCCCAGCACTTTAGGAGGCCGAGGTGGGTGGATCACCTGAGGTCAGGAGTTTCAGATCAGCCTGGCCAACATGGTGAAACCCTGTCTCTACTAAAAATACAAAAATTAGCCAGGTGTGGTGGCGGGCACCTGTAATCCCATCTACTCAGGAGGGTGAGGCAGGAGAATCGCTTGAACCCAGGAGGCAGAGGTGCAGTGAGCCACGATCACGCCATTGGACTCCAGCCTGGGCGACAATACTGAGACTCCATCTCAAAAAAATAAAAAAAAAAAAGAAGGTGGTAGAAGTATCCAGTGTATCCTACAAAGTGATGTAATAGTTTACATAGGGATGTGACAGTTTAAATCCTGTAAGAAAGCAAGTTGATAGATTACAGGATACCTGTACAGTGGGCTTTGTCCAAGTAGTCGTTCTGGAATTGTGATCTACATAATATGATCTTCCTCTTTCATCTTGTTTTTCTTCCCAACCTGGTGGTAATCCAGATGAAGTAGGCAAAAGCTAAAGTGAAGAATAACAGAAGAATTAAATACATCAAGTTTAAGAATCCTTCTATCACCCCCAAAAGTTCCCTCTGTCCCTATGTCTACTCTCAGCCCCAAGCAACCACTCATCTGCTCTGTTACTACAGTTTTGCCTTTTCTAGAAATATATATATATATATATATATATATATATATATTTACCTTTTCTGAGAGAGTGAGAGAGAGAGAGAGAGACAGAGAGAGACAGGGTCTTGCTCTGTTGCCCAGGCTGGAGTGCAGTGGTATGATCTCGGCTCACTGCAACCTCTGCTTCCTGGGTTCAAGCTATTCTTGTGCCTCAGCCTCCTGAGTAGCTGGGATTACAGGCATGTGCTAACACACCCAGCTAATTTTTTTATTTTTAGTATCAACAGGGTTTCACCATATTGGCCAGGCTGGTCTCGAACTCCTAATCTCAAGTGATCCACCTGCCTTGGCCTCCCCAAAGTGCTGGGATTACAGGCATGAGCCACTGTGCCTGGCCAGAAGAATTAAATATTAATAAGAAAGAATCCTTTAAAAAACACCACATCCCTTCTTCACTACTTGTTTGCTTTAAAACAAATTATATTTTATTTTGAACTAAAACCATGTATTATAATAAAAATGGGTAAATTATACATTTTAGTGAAATAAACCACATTTTAAATATCTTAAAATGTGCAAGATAAAGTGTACAGTACTTCACTTGGGAAAAAAAACACTAGAACAATAATAATGAGAGTGATAACAACCCTAATAAAACATACCAACAATAACAAGCACGTGTCCTGTTTAACACAGATAACGTCATTTACTTCCCACCTGAATTTCAATGAGATAATTACTAATACTGGCTCATTTTACTGGTGAGTAAACAGAAGCTTACAATATGGAAGTAACTTGTTACTATACTTGATCTTAGCCAAAAGGCCGAGAGTAATGGAAGTAACTTGTTAAGCGACATGGCTTCTAAGGAATGGAGCTGAGATTTGAACCCAGGTAATCTAACAACAGAAATCATGCTTATCTGCTGAATCAACAGTTACTCCTGCCTTGTTTCTCTAAAAGCTAGGAGAATGCTATTTATCATAGTTTGTTACAAATGAATAAAGAGAAGTCTGGTTATTTCCAGGCTTACTTAAAATAGTCCTAAATCCAGGCTGGGCATGATGGCTCACCCCTGTAATCCCAGCACTTTTGGGGGCTGAGGTGGGCGGATCACCTGAGTTCAGGAAGTCGAGGCCAGCCTGGCCAACATGGTGAAAACTTGTCTCTACTAAAAGTACAAAAAAATTAGCTAGGCATGGTGGTGGGCACCTGTAATCCCAGCTACTCAGGAGGCTGAGACAGAAGAACTGCTTGAACCGGGAGGCAGAGGTTACAGTGAGCTGAGATTGCACCATTGCACTCTAGCCTGGGCAACTGAGCAAAACTCCGACTCAAAATAACAGAAATTAGCTGGGCATGGTGGTGCACGTCTGTAGTCCAGCTACTCGGGAGGCTGAAGCAGGAGAATCACTTGAACCCAGGAGGCAGAGGTTGCAGTGAGCCGAGATCGCCTGGGCACTCCAGCCTGGACAACAGAGCAAGACTCCATCCCCCTCCCCTCCGAAAAAAAAAAGTCCTAAATCTGGCCTTCCTGTTGTCATTTTGAACCAGATAAGCCCTGGTTTGGTGTGGCTCCCTAAGGTGGCTTACAACATAAAAACCATCACCACCAGTCTCTACAATGAAGACACCACTTACTAAATACACGGGAGTCCTACGTACTTTGGGGACAGTTGTGATGAGCTGATACATCACAAAATGATGCATTTAAATGCTGCCCAGTTCTACAAGTGTCCATCAGCTGGTGAATAGATAAATGTAGTGGATATATCTCTACAGTGGAATACCGTGCACTAATAGAGGCATGCAATAACATGGGTCTATGTGAAAAACAGCATGCTAAGTGAAAAAGGTCAGACACGTAAGCCCACACCCTACGAGTCCCTTTACACGAGATTTCTAGAAAAGGCAAAAACTGTAGCAATAGAGAGCAGATGAGCGGTTGCTTGCAACTGAGAGTAGGCATAGGGATTGAGGGAACTTTTGGGGGTGACAGAAGTTTCTTAAACTTGATTGTGGTGATGTCTCCATAACTGTATAAATTTACAAAAACTCTTTAATTGTATGATCAAACATGGGTGGATTTTATGGTATGTAAATTATACTCCAAGAAAGCTCTTAAAAAAAACCCCAATCAATGTATTGAGGGAAAAAAAAGGCATGGAAACAACTTTTCTGGTACTAAAATATAAATCATCTCGAGATTCTGCTGCTCATCCGGTCCATCTAAAATTGTGTCTTGGGTGAATGTCTGTCAGTCAATGAGAACTTCCACATATTCATTGTATAGAGGACATTATAACGTGCAGAGGGAAAAACACCATGGAACTCAGCTTGAGCGGGCTCTGATCTAATGGAGGAGGCTGGACAGATGACAGTGAGTGAGAGTAAGGCTAGCGATGATAGTCTTTCAATGGCATCTGTCCTCTTGTTGATGGTCAGTACTGACCAGAGCAATGATGCATAGGTGGGCGACCTCTCATTCCTCAGCACAGGATCTGTGTCCCTTTCTTAGTGCAGGGTGTTATTTAGACAGATAACCCACTCATGGGATGAGGATTTTGGAGACTCTGCATTCCTGTGCTAGAACATACCCTACTTTTCAAAGCTGATATCTAGACTGCCATTCAAAGTTCCAGATGGTTGGGGAAGAAAATGAGAAAGCCATTCCAAGTGGGGAAATGGAATGCACACAGACTCAGAAGCGGGAGAGAATCAGGACATGGGAACAGTCTGCTTGGAAGAAAAAGCATAGACAGGAATGAAGGCAGCAGGAGGCTTCTGTTGGGGGATAAGGAGAAGGGTAGGCTGAAGAGGCTGGGAGCCTGGGAGTTTTACTTTGGTTTCAAAAACAAGTAGGGCTTCTGGAAAACAGAGACAAACTCAGTAGTGAGGCTTGTGTTAGGAAGAGGATGGAGGCAGGGTTAAGGTCCAAGCTGCCATCCAGGCTGTGGCTGGGACAGCACTGAGCAGGAAGCAGAAGGCCTTAGTAGACTGGTGGATGTGATATTGCAGGGAAGAAACAGACCAAGGACTGATAAACTCCAGCCTGGCTGCCGGGCATGTGAATGCCAGTGCACGCCTGAGTGATGAAACCCTGGCTATTCTTCATGTACAGGGCAGACATGGCTGCTGGATGCCATGTGCATGTGCAGAACATCAGCAAATGGACACAGTGATCCTGAATTGTATGCCGTATGCAGCGGATCACCTCTAGCCAGCACAGCACTTCAACTGACAAGCCCAGATACCACCCACAGTCACCAGCATGCAGAGACTTTGCTTTTAACATGGGAGAGACGGTTCTCCATGTTTTGTCTTTAAGCCCCTTCCCTGAACATCACCACCTGGAGCCTACATTCTGTGCTGTATTGGCTCCCTGTAAGGCAAACGTTCACACTCAATCTTCCAAAAAATAAAAAGAGATGCTGAGTTTTATATTTTTATTGATTGATGGGAGAGGGTAAAACTCACCACAGGAAGTGTAGGTTGTTCCTCAAAAGTATAGGCTTGTAAGCTGCCTCTTCTGCTGGAATGATTCTTGTGAAAAAACAAGACAACAGAAGAATACCTTGATATTTGTGATTTGCCTTTGAGTGACAGCTAAGGTAGTGAGGGTAAATATGACAGGGCAGAAGAGAGAAGGCTGGCTAGGATGCAAATGTTGAGAGTGCAGGCTGAGTCATGTGGTCGCTCTCAGCCCCCTACGTGGACACCTTCACACATCCAGCTCCCATGCCCCCCGTGCTGGACTGCCTCCTGGACACCTTCTCTTGAATGTTTCACAGAAACCATTCTCAAATACACTCCCTCTCCACTTTAGTTACTAGTTTTATTGTTGTTTTAACTTCAAGTTTCATCTTTTGTCACTTTGATTACAATGGCAGCAATATCCTAAGAGGTTTCCCCGTTGCAAGTCTTACTTCCTTAAGTCCATTCTCCATGCTGCACGCTGCAGGCTCAGAGCATCCTGCAATGCACAGCCAGTCCTGTCCTTCTGGAGCTGAAGTCAATGACAACACAGAAAACAATGCTTCCTGAACACCACGACCTGCCTCTTCCTGACTTCTTCAGCCACTTCCCACTTCGCAATCTACCCCCTGGACATTCCAGACTACTTGTTTCCTGGAAATCTCATGTTCTTTCTTTCCTTATGTTTTTCTATACATGCTATTATCACTATCTGAAATATCTTAGTTTTGTTATTTAATGACATCAAAATTTACAATGCACATACAAATTGAATCAGAATATCCACTGTAGTACTGTTTATAATAGTACTGTAAACAATCTAAAGTCTTTCAATAGGAGACTGGTGAAATGCCTTAAGGGTTACTTGTACAATGGAATATGCCAGAGTTTAATGACTGTTTTAGTTGGTTTTTAAAGGAGTACATCTATCTGTACTGAAATGGTTCAATGTCTAAGAGACAGCAAGTGAAAAAAGCAAGTTACCAAAAAGTATGTTTAAGATGATCTCAGGTTAAAAAATCATCTACAAATATATGTGTATGCATGCATGTTTATGAATATACAGAAAAAGTTTCTATATATGTATGCATGTGATTTATCACCAGCAAATCAGTATCATTTATTCTTTAGGTCTTTGACCACTAATAGTAACTGAGGGAGCATATATTAGTGGTAAGATAGAAGGTTTAATTTTTATTTATTATTTATTTATTTTTTTGAGACAGAGTCTTGCTCTGATGCCCAGGCTGGAGTATGGTGGTGCGATCTTGTCTCACTGCAACCTCCACCTCCCAGGTTCAAGCAATTCTCTTGCCTCAGCCTACCGAGTAGCTGGGATTACAGACACACGCCACTGCACTCGGCTAATTTTTGTATTAGAGACGGGGTTTCGCCATGTTGGCCAGGCTGGTCTCGAACTCCTAACCTCATGTGATCTGCCTGCCTTGACCTCTCAAAGTGCTGGGATTACAGGTGTGAGCCAAGATGCCCAGTCTTAAATTTTATTTTATATACCTAAATACAATCTCAATTTGTAACCATAACCATACAGTGCTTTAAAAATATTTTTTAAAATAGGTAACACTCATACATGTTATAAAATTCAAAAGGAGCCTGGGAAACAATACTATACCAAGTCTTTACAAAAATTTTTTAAAAAAATTAGCAGGGGTACAATGGCATGTGCCTGTAGTACCAGCTACTCCAGAGGCTGAGGTGGGAGAATCCCTTGAGCCCAGAAATTTGAGGTTGCAGTGGGCTATGATCATGCTACTGCACTCCAGCCTGGGCGACAGAGTGAGACCCTATCTCAAAAAAACAAAAGGTACAAACAATATATATCCTGCTCATTCTTTGCCTCTCTTCAGAGGCAAGCAAAGTTATTAGTTTCCTGTTTAGTCCTCGAGTAAATTATACACATATTTATGCTCTGCATTTAAATAATTTACATAAATTCTGGTGTAACAAACACACTGTTCTGTACCTTGCTGTTTTTCATTTACCAGCATCTCTTAGGGATTGTTCCATCCAACATATACACTCGAGCCCACCTTGTTCTCTTCAATGGCTGCATAGTATTACACTATATGGTTGCCATGTATTACTTTAAGTAAAAAAAATACCAGGAAGAAGGGGAATGGGATCGTATGTGATTTATCATCAGCAAATCAATATGGTTTATTCTTTTTTTTTTCTTGAGACGGAGTTTCACTCTGTCACCCAAGCTGAAGTGCAATGGTGCAATCTCGGCTCACTGCAACCTCTGCCTCTTGGGTTCAAGCCATTCTTCCAATCTCAGCCTCCCAAGTAGCTGGGATTACAGGTGTGCACCACCACACCGAGCTAATTTTTGTATTTTTAGTAGTGACAAGGTTTCGCCATGTTGCCCAGGCTGGTCTTGAACTCCTGACTTCAACCCATCTATAATCCCAGCCTCCCAAAGTGCTGGGATTACAGGCGTGAGCCACCACGCCTGGCCTAATGTAGTTTAGGTCTTTGACTGACCTGTCCCACTCCCCTGTGAAAAAATGAAATGAATGGAAGACAGAACAGACAAATGGAAGAAAGGAAGGGCAGGAGGCAGGCAGGCGGATTTACTGGCAGATATTCATATTCACGTACAACTATCTACTGTGAAGCTTCTTGAAGAAGATGCTAGAGCAGAGGTTAGCACACATTTCCTGTTAAGATCCAGACAGTAAATACTGGCTGTGGGCCATATGGTTGCTGCTGTAACTACTTTATTCAGATGATGTCGTGTGAAAGCAGAGATGGGCAATACCAAAACAAATGATGTGGCTGTATTCCAATGGTAATTATTCATAACAGGCAGCTGCTGATTTGGCCCACCGGTTGTAGTTTGCTTTCCTCTGCACTAGAATGTAAGTCCCATGAAGGCAGGAGATATTGTTAATTTTATTGACTGATGTATCCTCAGTAACTAGCATATAGTACTCTGCATATATGTGATCAGCTCTCATTAAATATTTACTAACTAAATGAAAGGCAGGGAAACCTCAACTGGAAATGACAAATAGCATCCTCAGAGAATAATCTTTGTCTTCTACTCAATCTCCCTTGATGATACATATTAGACAGCTAGCTATGAAGTTCTCATCGTGGAAGCATATGCTGGGATACTTTATTCTGAACCCTATGGACAACAGTTTTTACAGTGGTGGCTGAAGTGAAAATGTCATCTATCTCCTTGTTTAGTCAAAGTATATCAGTTCTTATTCATATATACCTGTTGGTGACATCTGTGATATAATGTTAAAACTTCAGGCCAGAAGCAGTGGCTCATGCCTGTAATCCCAGCACTTTGGGAGTCTGAGGCAGGTGGATCACTTGAGGCCAGGAGTTCAAGACTAGCCTGGCCAACAGGGTGAAACTCCTCCATCTCTACTAAAAATACAAAAATTAGCTGGGCGTGGTGGTGTGCGCCTGTAATCTCAGCTATTCAGGAGGCTGAGGCATGAGAATCGCCTGAAGCTGGAGACGGAGTTTGCAGTAAGCCGAGATAGCACCACTGCACTCCAGTCTAGGTGACAGAGTGAGATGTCTCAAAACAAACAAACAAACAAGCAAACAAAAAACCAACTTCAGCATAACTGGGAGAGAGAAAAGCAGTCCCTAACATCCAAGAGCTGGCCTGGCACTCATAGGTAAGATCAAGACAAAATCAAGACCACTCTGTAATCGTGGCTGAATATAGACAAAACATGAACATTGTCCAAGCCACAAAATACCAAACATTTCCCCATCCTGGCAAATGTGAGTGACTGTTCTACTTTGCTAATCATAGCTTTAGCCTCACTACAGATAAGATTTGAGATACAAAATCATAGAATTATCCCTGCTTCCCAACAGCATCTCATGTAGAGCAAAGTCCTGCTTCCTAAAACCCTCTTCAAAATCACCTAACAGGAGCCCAAATCCCTGAAGTCTTTTCTAACATTCTGCTACCAAAACACCAATGGTGCGTGTTCTCCCTTGCTGAAATGAATAATAAACCCAACTTGTTCAATGACAAATGTGTCCCTAGTGATTTTTGACTGGAGGGCACTGACATAATGGAAATTTGGATGCCATGACTCTGGTCCATACTACTAATGAGGATATTTGAAAAATGACCATGTTGTAAAGTCCCAAGGTCCCTAATGTATTATTACATATTATTGCATTTAAGACAAAATTTTACATAAAAGTTAGTTGTTGAATAGTATAATATGCATAATATAAACTACTGAAGCCGTAACAAAATCTAAGAGCATCTTACTGAGCTCGATGCTGGCTGGCTCACGGCTGAATTTCCAAAAATGGTGAGTCTGGCATTCAATTCTTCTGCAAGATGAGTTGGAACATCCAAGTTACTTGACGGTGGAGGTGATGGGAAGGCCTGGTTGCTATACATGGTGGCTTCATCTTCTCTTATAATTTCCCAGTTCTAAAATGAACAGAATAAGCTTGAGCCACACATACTTTATTGCTATAGCATGTGTCTTTCAAGGAGAACTAGGAAACTACTTATACCTCGGAAGACTCTCGGTTGTCAACACTTTCTGTTTCCTCGGATATCTGCCGCCTGGTGGTAAATGCACGTTGTGCTTGCAGTTGAATGTTGCCATTCTCAGCATCTGTTAGGTTGTCCCTATATTGGAAGTATAAAAAGCCATCATCCATGTCTTAAGTAGTTAAAATGATTGTCAAAGATTCTGTGATCATTGGGAAAAAAATCTACATTACATCAATAAAAAAATTTATTGTCTTTGACCAAAGGCTATTTCAACATGCAAAGATTCAATCATGGGTAGGCAGACTGGTATATTTAGAGTACCTTACGGAGTTTAAGGTTTTGTGAAAAGGTATAACATGTCTGATTTGATATTTTAGTTTGTCACTATGTCTAGGATAATGTCCAACACATATAGGTACTCAAAAATATTTGTTGAATGAATAAATATCAGAGCGCTTCATAGATTATTTCATTGTATTATTTTGCCATGTTATTATAAGAGTAATAGAGTTACACATACATACATCTTTGTGAATCAGATAGTACATTTTCTAGAATTGGTCTTAAGCCAGGAGTAGAGTACTCCATGCATGAATGTGAAGGGCAGAATGAAAGATGGTGTAAGAACTTTATAATGAAAAGCTTAATGGTTTAGGAATTACATATCTATTAGTAATGGTATCTGTTTTTCGTAATATACAGTCATGGGCCTGTCCTGAAAAAGGTAATAGTAAAGATTTGTCTGAGCTTAGGAGAGGTACAATAAATCAGATTGGACGGTTAATGAGTATTAAAAAAAACAGAAAGAATGAATAAGACCTAGTATTTAATAGCTTAACAGGTGACTACAGTCAATAATAATTTAATTGTACATTTAAAAACAACCAGAAGACTATAATTGGATTGTTTGTAACAAAAAGGATAAAGGCTTGTGAGGATGGATACCCCATTTTACATGATGTGATTATTATGCCTTGCATGCCTGTATCAAAACCTCTCATGTACCCCACAAACATATATACCTACTAGGGACCCACAGAAATTAAAATTAAAAAAAATCAGATTGAACACCCTTACCCCAGTCATTTATATTATTCTAATTATTTGCATTTAATATAACCAGTCTATCAGATCAAGAATTTTGTTCAAATATTTAATAATAAAATTACTGTTTATTTAATGCGACATGAGCTCAGGCTAGTCAGAAGACCAGTTCTTACTGTACCGTAGCTAAAGAAAACATAATTTTGATACATGGCTCTAAGGGAATGCTTCAGTTTTTTTCCCCCTAAATATATGATTTTGGCTACCTGAAAATGACATCAGCCACAGTGAAAGAACTGTGATTTTGCTCATGTAAGGCTTGCCATAATACTGAGGTATGCAACAGCGCAATTCTACAGAATTTTATAGTGTCTTCAGCTTTGCAGTCTGTACGTCACTCTATGAAGACTGAAGCTTCTGTGCCATGAAGTACTTGAATTGCTGATTTGTTTTGGAAGGATTTGAGAACAGAAAATATCTGTAAAAGTGCTTGGCATATATCAGGCACAAAATATCATAGCCAAAAATTAGGAGGCTAATGAACACATTAAAAAATTACGAGTATGTTTCAAACAGAAGACTAAAGGAAGACTTTATAAGACTATATGGAAGGAAAAATGGAAGGGGATTTGAGAATAAATATGAATAATGGGAGATTTTATAAATGTATATACAGTCTAATAATAAAAAAAATCACTGAGGAGACAGAAGTTAGAATATGTTGAAAGTCATTCCGTCCTTGATCTGTGCGTGCTGGAAGTTATGTGGACATTGACCAGACTGTCAAATGCGCGTTTAACGTAATACCCTTATTATTGAGTCCTTTATATTTTACAAATAATTTATATTTTAAAAATAGAGTACTATAGAAATTAACATTTTATTACATTTTAATAACAAACTACAAGAATTCTCCAAGACTTCTAATTCAGCCTAAAAATAAAAATCTACCATTTGTGGCTACATAAAATTAAAAACCTATTAAAATTAAGACGCAATTAAAAGGGTAGTATCTAGAGTCAAGTAATTTTGAATATTATCAAGTCATTTAAAAAACGAAACAGCAGAGTTAGGATTTTTAAAGTCCTGGGCAATAAAAATCCTAGTATTCTTATAGTTTATGGATCACTATACTGTTATGAATCCATCTGAGACATGACTTCAAAATGAAAATTCGTAGTTAAAGTGTTTCCAGATTAAAATTGTGAAAGCCATCAGCACATACTGAGGGGTTGGTCTTTTCCACTGTGTTCTTCTAGATTCATGGTTTACATAATAGGTCCTTCCAAGGATATCCTGCCTCTCTTCCCACCCTGGAGGTAGAGGAGAAGGTTCTTGTTGTTGCTGCAAATGGCAAGCAGCATCTGGTTGGTCCAAAACAACCCAGCCAGGCTGAAAAACAGGATGGCAGCAATTAAGTTTACGCATGATTTTTTTAACTTTCTAAATTATATGCTAAAGGAAATTTAAAAAGAGATTTATTATATCAAGTTTTAGAAATTATGCATAGACAGAATAAACAATCCTCAACTTTTAAGACCATAATGTAAATACTTTATGATAATGAAGACTCTTTTTGCAAAAATGATAACCATTTAAATTTTGTTTAAAATTGTCTAAAAATTTTTCAAAAAAAACTTTAAAGGCACAAGCCTGTAAAGTTTCCACCAGGTTCTTCCTGGGTGACAGAACCAGATCCCATCTCAAAACAACAATAAAACAGAACTTTAAAACAAATCTATTTAAAATTTTCATAACAAAAAAGTAATAAAAGTATGTGAGGTGATTTAATGAGATTAATTAGCCTGATTTAATCATTTTGCATTGTAAGTATATATCAAAACATCACATTGTCCTCCATAAATATATACAATTATTGTCAATCAAAAATAAAATTTTAAAAAATCTAATAGAAAAAAAGGACAAAAAATCGTTTAAATAAACAACCACGGAAAGTTGGAAAGTACTGAGAAATTGAGAAGTATAGTTTAAACTACTAGTGTAATCTTAGGCTGTTCTCTAAATTATCAACTGAATGAAGGGCAAGGATTATTTCTTATTGGTCATTGTCTTTCCTACAGAGAAAGCACCTTGCTTACGGTAGAAATCAATAACTATCTGACACATGGAAAAAATCATTTGATAAAGGTCAAATATACAAAGGGGCAAGATGGGGAAGGCAAATGATTTAGAAATAACTGCTACAGTGAACTCTCTAGTGATGGAAAAGTCATTCTCATTCCCTTGTCTGATTTCTCTCTTTCTCCTCTGGACCAAGGCAAGGCATTTTATCAAGTCATAAAACAGCCAAAGAAAGATTTTTAAAAAATGCACTGAGAAGTTTGGTTTCTCAGAGATTAACAAGGGGCAAAATTAACATAAAGCCTTAGGGCAGTTAAAGTAAGGAATTGATAGAAAAGAGTAGCAAGAGTTAATGCTTTTATATGAGAAACCTCACAAAAGAAAAGGCAGTAGGTCAAAGATTCTATTAAATACTGATTGGTTAGGAAAGCATTAGAAACTGAAATAAACTGGTGAAGAAAACTTTAAAATGCTCCCAAAAGGACACAAAAGAAGACCTAAATAAGGGAAAGACATAGTCTGTTCTTGGCTGGGAAGACTCAGTCTCACAAAGGTGTCAATTCTTCCCAAGTTAATCTATAAATTTGCCAAGATTCCAACAAAACTGTATTATGATTAAAAAAAAAAATAGGCCAGGTGCGGTGGCTCAGGCCTATAATTCCAGCACTTTGGGAGGCCGAGGCGGGCAGATCACTTGAAGTAGGGAGTTTGAGACCAGCCTGACCAACATGGAGAAACCCCATCTCTACTAAAAATACAAAATTAGCCAGGTGTGGTGGCGCATGCCTGTAAATCCCAGTTATTCGGGAGGCTGAGGCAGGAGAATCACTTGAACCCGAGAGGCGGAGGTGATGGTGAGCCGAAATCACGCCATTGCACTCCAGCCTGGACAACAAGAGTGAAACTCTGTCTCATAAGAAAAAAAAAAAAAAAAGATACGAGGCAACTCTCAAGTTCAACAGAAACATAAACAAGCAGGAATAAGCAGCACAATTTTTAAAAAGAAAAGCAAGAAGTGAAGATCAACCCTACCAGATAAAAACACATTATAAATGACAACAATTAAAGCTGTGTGGTTCTGGTGCATGCATCGACAGGCAGCTCAATAGATTTGCCCAGAAAGAAACTCAACTTTATAGGAATTCCGGCCAGGCACAGTGGTTCATGCCTGCAATCTCAGCACTTTGGGAAGCTGAGGTGAGGGGGTCACTTGAGGTCAGGAGTTTGAGACCAGCCTGGCCAACATGGTGAAACCCCATCTCTACTAAAAATACAAAAATTAGCCGGGCATGGTGGCGGGCGCCTGTAATCCCAGCTACTCGAGAGGCTGGGGCAGGAGAATTGCTTGAGCCCAGGAGGCAGAGGTTGCAGTGAGCTGAGATCGCACCACTGCATACCAGCCTGGGCGATAGAGCAAGACTCTGTCTCAAAAAAAAAAAAAAAAAAAAACTTTATAGGAATTTAGAATATGATAAAGACATTTGAAATCTGTGGCAAAATACGCAGATTACTTAGAAAATGGGCACCCATTTGGAAAAAACTTCACTTGAATTCCTACCTCATGCCTTATATCAGGATAAGTTACAGACTGAATAATATCTAAATGTTTAAAAGTGAAACCAAAAAGTAGTAGTAACAAACTTTTGAAAATTTTAGAAATATATTTTAAAAGTGGGACACTGTTAAGTATGACACCAAACCTTGAAGGCATGAAAGAGAAGATCCATAAATTTGATAACAAAACACCCACATTTGTATATGGCCAAAACTACTAAATAACATTAAAAAAAAAAAGACCAAATGACAAAGTGGCAAACATTTTTGGTGCTTTGATAACTGACACAGAATAATTTCCTTAGATACACAGAGCTTCTGTTCTAGGCCTGGAGATCAGCAGTAAATGACTGCTGTGTGACAGGCAGTGGACGGCTTCCAAGATGGAAGAGAATTCTTCCACGTTGGAAGGCTAGACCTGAAAACGAGGCCTCAGGGAAAAGAGTTGGGAAGGAAAGGAATGTTTTTTGGTAGCAGGGAGAAATGGATAGGGGTTTCTGCAGCAAGGCTGATCTAGTTTGGCTAGCTCTGTATAGAAGGTGACGAGTAGTGGAGTAGGAAGATGACAGAATAAATTATTTTGGGAGAAAAGGTCTGGAGGGGAATTTCTCTCTTTCTTCTCTCTCTCAACAGGGTCTCATTCTGACACCCAGGTTGGAGTGCAGTGGTGCCATCACAGCTCACTGCAGCCTTGACCTCTTGAGCTCAAGCAATCTTCCACCTCAGGCTTTAGGTGTGTACTACCATCCCAAGCTAATTTTTAATTTTTTTGTAGAGATGGGGTCTCGTTATGTTGCCCAGGCTGGTCTCAAACTCCTGGGCTCAAGCAATCCTCCTGCCTTGGTCTCCCAAAGTGCTGGGATTACCAGCGTGAGCCACTGTGCCCAACCTTTCTTCTTTTTTTTTTTAAATTTTTACCTCTTTTATAAGAATTGTTCTCTCTATTTTTTCTTTTTATTGCCCAAATTTCATTCTCTTCTTTCCTTATATCCTCTTACTTTGTCTGCCCATCCATGTTGATCTTCCTTCTTTCTTTCTTTTCCTTTCTCTTAAATTATGATAATACAGGATCTAGCATACCTAAAATTTAGTCTTGCATATATTGAATCAGACTGTATGTTTCTGGTTTCAATCCCAAAACACGTTAAGTTTTTATATTTTACTCTTTTGAGAAAATATAAATTTAACATTTTTTGGTTGAATATAACCATTGATTACTTTTCCTTTAAGATTAATACAATTTATTAATAAAATAGTTCTCACTACTGCTGTAAAGGATTATAAAAATAGTGCTAGAAAAATGGTAGCAAAAGAATATTTCTTTTAAAGCTTCTTAGAGATTTCTCTCTTAAATGTCTGCTTAATGTATTTATATTATCTGAGTAAATTCAGGAAGAGAAAGAACAAAAATTAATTTAATTAAGGGCTTAAAAAAGACCTGTCTCAAATTTGTGGAAGTAGAGTTGTACAATCAAACACGGCTTAGAAAGACTGGATACAATGCCTCTATACAGTCAATTTTTTGGATAGAAGGCCTTCCTATTAAATATGTATCAGCTGCTATTCTTTATAAAATAACTTTCTAAGTATCAATGAACCTTATTTAATTTCTAACCGCAAAGCCAATATGTAATTGCTCACAATTTAATCAAGTCAAAGAGGGTCAGAAAGAAAGCATTCAGAGGTACAACCAACATTTTATGTTAATTTTGTAAAATACATACAACTAACCCTAAAGTTGCAAATGGTACAAAAATCAAATGTTACATAATTATCTATTATAGCCATACTTTACTACAGAATACAAACTACCTAAGAGTGAGCTTCATTTCAAAATTACAATTGTTTTCCTTAAATAGTAGAATTTTATATATACAGTCACAAACTAGCTGTCAAAGGACTAGGCAAGACTCCTCTAGTCATTAGCTACACAGAAGGTAAATAAGCACAGATTCATGTGTTTGAATTCCTAGGGCCTTTCATAAATAAACTCCTACAAGCTTACATCTCCTGAAATTATAAGGTGCATTCTGAGGGAATTCAAACACTGAGACATGAGACCGCAAAATGAAGTGAAGCAGTTCTCTCCACAGAAACTCAACTGTGAATAGGGTCCTATGATGCGTGCATGTGGGCAAAACTTGGAGCAGGTTACTAAATAATGAAATGCTGTTAAATTTTTTCAAGTTACTAAATAAATAATTTTCTTTCTTTACAGCAGATATCCTTCATTTCAAACAGAATTCCATTATTCGAGATACTCTGGTACACCAAAAAGCCAGGTAGAGAAACTTCTACTGAATGAATACTTGAAAACTTTAAAAACAATTATACGAAAATCAGAGAAAAATACCTAACAAAAAGTTAATCAAATAAGTGAAGAGAGTTCTTTGATCACCAAACCAGGGGCTATCTATACTCTGTGATTTGAAGAAAAAAGGTTCTTTCCTGGCTGGGTGCCGTGGCTCACGCCTGTAGTCCCAGCACTTTGGGAAGCCGAGGCGGATGGACGGCTTGAGGCCAGGAGTTCAAGACCAGCCTGGCCAACATAGTAAAACTCTGTCTCTACTAAAAATACAAAAATTAGCCAGGCATGGTAGCACATGCCTGTAATCTCAGCTACTTGGGAGGCTGAGGCATGAGAATTACTTGAACCCAGGAGGCAGAGGCTGCAGCGAGCTGAGATTGCACCACTGCACTCCAGCATGGGCCACAGAGCAAGACTCTGACTCCAAAAAAAAAAAAAAAAGGTCTTTCCTTCTATTATTATAGATTCTCCTGCAAAGCAAAATCTCATTAGTGCATTTAAAATTTTCCCAGAAAGCTCTGCTGCAAATTCACTACCTGTTCTAGAGCTTTTCTTTCTCAAGGTACATGGGCATGTGAGGTAGAGCCTAGCCCCTGGGGAAGGCCCTCAGCTTCACTGTTCTTATGGAGACCTAAGCAGGCCCTCAGTCAGAGGAGAAAGTGTTAAGCAAGGCAACAAATAAGAACCCTCCAGAGCAATTTGGTGCCATACGCTGTGTGCTTTGCTTTCAGTAACTGCTGTTAATATGGTTTGGCTGTGTCCCCACTCAAATCTCATCTTGAATTGTAGCTTCTATAATCCCCTCGTGTCGTGGTAGGCACTCAGTGAGAGGTAACTGAATCATGAGAGTGAGTTTTTCCGGTGCTGTTCTCATGATAGTGAATAAGTCTCATGAGATCTGATAGTTTTATAAAGGGCAGTTCCCTGGCACACACTCTCTTGCCTGCCACCATATAAGCTGTGCCTTTGCTCCTCTTTCACCTTCCACCATGATTGTGAGACCTCCCCAGCCATGTGGAACTGAGTCCATTAAACCTGTTTTTAAAGCTTTATAAATTACCCAGTCTCTGATATTTCTTCACAGCAGTATGAAAATGGACTAACACAGCTACTGAATAAATGATACTTCTTTTTGATGATAATGTGCTTTCAAAGGGAACCTCAACGAGCAGGTGTTTTTTTGACCCCTTTCCAAATCATAAATTTTTTTGCTGGAAGAAACCCTCGAGGTCATCTGATGCCATCCTGTCACTCTGCAAACAAGATCCTGAGGTTCGGAAAAGTTCAATGACTCACACAGGTCTGGCTAGACAGAGTGTGCAACTAGGATTCCAGTCTCCAAACCCTATCCAATTCTATTCCAAATACATACTTTCTGCCTCCTACTTGCTTACTCCAGATGCATGTAACTCTACACAAATCTTGACTTGGACTTTCCTCTCATCCTGTCATCCATGAAAATTGTTAAATTCTACTTGCCCCACATACAGAAGGCTCTTTATTAGATCACTTAAATTTTCCTTGCTCCCTAATTCCCCTCCTTTCCTATGAGCCCTCCCACCATAATAAGAATATTAACAGGACTTAAATTTCATAAAAGAGTTCCTAATCAGTGGAGTCTCCTCAAAATGTCCATATATTTAACTTCAAAATACTAAATTGTGTTCTTACTTTAATGGAGAATATACAGTTTTAGAAAACTTTGAAAAACTAGATTTATATTCTATTCTCTACTCCTTAACCTTTAAGAAGGCCATCAATAATGGCCATTCCTTCTACGGAAATATCCTTAGAGGGAAAACTATTAATGCTTGGGTGAAATAAACATCCAAGTAAATAATCTTCATTGCACATGTTAACTTCATTCAATAGTTATTGTTCTTCAGAGTACAGTAAAATAAGAAATTAAAATTTTTTTAGTTTAACCAAATATTTATAAAATCTCACCTCTAATTCCTCAGCCTGTTCTGCATTATCATCTTCTGAGCCACTGGTTTTAGGTAAATAAGTCATTTTTAGTCTCAGATAACCTTTAACTCTTGATTTGTGACTGTAGAAAAGAAAATAAATATTCATAAAACTTTAACACCGGGAGAAAAGTATTCAATTAATAAGAGTTTAATGAACACCCACTAGGTACCAGGGGGTCTACAAAGGGAGGTTCAAAGACAAGTTCCAGGGCAGAAGATATCTAGGGAAAGGAATAGAAGGTAGAGAAAAGGCAAACATATATAAATAAATAAATAAATAAATAAATAAATAATTGTTATGACACAAAGAAGATGCTAAGGAAGTTTAAGTGAACGATCAGAGACAATGTCAAAGAGAAGCTGGCCTTTGAGTTGGGGTTAGAAGACTGGGGAGGATTCTTACCTGTGGCAGTAGAGGAAAAGGCATATGAGTAAAGAAGAGGGCAAGATCCAGGAAACAGATGGGAAATTTGGGGTGCAATTAAGGAAATTGCAGTAGTTGAGTTTGGCTAGATTATAGGACATGTAAAGGGGACTACAGGAGATTGGGATGGTCCAGAGGTCATGCAAAATCAGACAACTTCAGACTTTATTTTGCATATTTTGGTAAATCACTGAGAATTTGGGGGATAGAGAAAGGTATCCTCAGAGATGTGCTTTAGGGATGCTAATCTGGCCATATTTTTTTGGATGACAGAAGAGTAGAGGGCAAGGCCTGATCAGTGTCTGAAACCTGCTACATCTCTTTGGCAGCTGTTTGAATCTGTCACACATTAATTTACCTAATCTATTTTTATATTGTATCACCTTTTTGAATAATCAGTTGTCTAAGCTAAAGGCTGCTGCCTGCTGTAGTAATATTTTAAATCTTTTGAAAACCTGTCTTTCATAAGCTGCTGCTGCTTTTTTTTTCTTCTTCTTCTTCTTCTTTTTTTTTTTTTTTTTGTTTTGAGACAGCATCTCCCTCTGTCGCCCAGGATGAAGCACAGTGGCTCAATTACGGTTCACTGCAGCCTTGACCTCCCAGGCTCAGGTGATCTTCACACCTTAGCCTCCTAAATAACTGGGACTACAGGCACACACTGCCATGCCCGGTTAATTTTTGTATTTTTTTGTAGAGACAGGGTTTTGCCATGTTGCCCAGGCTGGTCTGGAATTCCTGGGCTCAAGCAATCCACCCACCTAAGCCTCCCAAAGTGCTACAATTACAATGCTTTCATAAGGTTCTAATTTAAGGCTTAATTCTATTGTCCTCATCAATTCTAGTATCCTATGATTTACTTAAGAAATCCTTACTTGTCTCAGCTCTCTATATAGATTTTTTGGGGATGATTTTTTACAGATATCAGATATGTAGCAATTACCCTTTGTCTTTCTAGACAAGAGTCCTAATCCTTTTATTCTGTCTTCAAGAGATTACCTACCCCCACTCCCAAGCCTCCCCTAATCTTTTTAGCTCTTCTCTGTATGGTTCTCATGGATTTGGCAAATTTAGTGTATCCTTTCATGAGTAGTCAGTGAAATCCTGATGCTTATTCCCAAGGCCGCTAATGTGGCTTGTGTCTCCATACTGAAGGAGATGTGAACATTCTGACTTGTGGCTATAAAAGATGGATACAGAAAATGTGCTCAGACAATGTTTTGTTGAAAAGTTTCTCTACAATTGTATGTTTCATGTCTTTTCAATTGGAAAAGAAGCCTCAAGGTTTTGACTTAATGGGGCTCACACAAATTTAGGAATGTAGTACATTTTCTATCTGAATAAAGTTCTTTCTACACTTGCAATAATATTCATTGCAGACAGAAGAAACAAATTGTATTTTTTAAAGATAAAGACGCTAGAAAGCATGTGACAAATTGAAAAGCAGGCTGCTAGGACAATCAAATAAGAAAAAACAATTTAGTTATTCTTGATATGCAGATGTCACAATCAGTCTAAAATTAAAAGACTAAAAGAGATTTACATTCCAGACATCTACAGAAATTAAATGTGACTTCCTTTATAGAGAGTAAATATTAACAGTCAGTGAGCACTCCTTTTCATTTTTTTAATATTTACATTACAAACAGTAATTTAAAAAATCATTTTTAAGTGAAAAATTTTACTAAGTTCCAAAAGTACATTTTCAAATGCATTTTATAGTTTAAGAAACAAGACAAATACTGTTGCTTTCACAGATGTCCTTTCTCTGCTTTAGTTTGACCTTTTTGACAGTAAATCCACACACGTTTTCACTAGATTTTACTTGTCAATGAGGTATAGAAGATCAAAAGGAGTTTTAGTTACAGCTTAAATTTAAATTTTTTTGATAAACATCAAGTAACTTTGTTTGGGAAAATGGAATTATAAGCATGCTATTTGGGTTTTAAATTCCAGTCTTATGTTATTTTCTCTAAATATTTGAGTCTTCTGAAATACTAAGTATGCAAAATATAGTTAGGTTTTTCTGAAATTGGCTTTGTGCACGTCGAGTTAGGTAATGGTTTTAGATGAATTCATGTTTGTGATTTTTTAAAGCATAGTATGACAATATGACATAAATAGCCTTCTAGTCTGATAAGTATTAGGAGAACGAATCTTTCCCAAAAGGCTGTGATCACTTTCTGTATTTTCAGAATGTTTTGCAATGTGCATACAGTACTTTTAATCAGAAATAGCAATGAAGCTTTTAAAATAATAATAATAATAATAATAATATTTAGAAGTAACTTATTTACAGAGGTTTAAACCCTGAATTTCTAATAAGGCTACTGTAAGGTGTAATGAAGAGATAAAAAATTTAATATGCTATTATTATTTTATATTTACTGACCTTCTTGGATGAAGAACAAAATCCTTAAATGTATATGGTCTCTCCAATCTTGGATTTTCTGTCTAGAATAAAATAGTGGGTTTTCAAAATATATCTATAACACCAAAAGCATGTACTTTTCAAGAATACTCATGAACTATCACCTAAGGCATAATTTAAGTTGGAAGTGAGAAAAAAAAGTAGCTTTAGTTTATCAAATGCTAACTTGACAGTGCTTTCACTTTCCTGCCCAAGAGGAATTGCAGCCGACATCACAACTCAAATGAAAACTAGCTGAGCAGGTGGGTTGTGGAGCCAAAGGGAGGGCAGAAGAGAATAAGCAGAAAAACAGTATAGAGTGGTTAGTATGTTAACATCCCAAAAGAACACGGACTATGCACATGTCTGCAGGCTGGCTTGGTTAGAGCATAGAGATAATTCTAGGAGATCAAAAAAGTCAACAGCCTGGAAAGTAAGACTGGATTAAATATATTACTGAAAGCTTATGGTCCTGCACCCTGTTTAAAAAAAAAAAAAAAAGATTATGCTCTGGAAAGACTGTGGAGAGCCAATTAATATAACTCACAAGACTGAAAAAGAAGTATTTTTTCTCTTTCTTTAAAATTCAGCAGTTGTTAGTTTTTATTATCCTTCTCTGATGTTCTGCATTGTTAACTACCCAGTCTGCCTTGAAACTCCTTTCTTAAATTCTCATGACATTATTTTACTTGGCTCTTTTCCTGTTTCCCCTTGTCTGTCTTCTCTTTCTTTTCTGATCCACTCACGTTGACTGAGGGTCAATGGCTGGCCCTCCGTTCTTATCTCTTTCATCAGGAGAGCCCATTATTCTCAGAGATTCTGCTGTTATCTGGACAGTGATAACACTCAATCCTTCCAGTCCCTTTTCCCTACCTAGCTGATTTTTATCTCTCTGTCAGCAGTCTACTTTAAACTTTCATTTTCTTTGTTTCCTATCAAAACTCTGTTTGTCCAAAAATAAATTTTTTGCTTTTCAAAACAAAATGGCTTTTCTTCCTCACTTTTCTACAAGAGACGCCACTCTTATCTTCCAAGTTCAACTTGTATTATCTTTACTTCTTGCTTATTTTCTTAAGCCTCCATGTCAGACATGTGATTCAATAATGTTCTATTTTGCAATGTTTCCTGAATCTGTTTTTCTCCTTGCTATATTCTTAGTCCTGATTCTTAGTGTTTTATGTTTCCATTGTCGTAAACTATCTTAGTTTTCTTCTGTGAGCTTAGGCACTCCTCATTCTAGTTATTCAGCAGAATATTTTCAAACTAATCTTTTTTACACAATGTTTTCACAATGCCAACAAACATCAGAAATTCTCTATTTCTCACTGGGGTTCATGAACGGAAATCTTAAAGAGAAAATGGAAACGGAAAATTGAAATGAGTTTTTAGAAAACAGTATGCTCAATAAATAAAAGTAGTATACATTTGATAAATCAATTATTTACAGTAGCTATATTATATATGTAAGTATTTATTAAATTAAAAAAATAAGCCCAAAAGGAAAATCATGGACACCTATACCAACCGGTAATGGATAAAGTGGAACATCCACTTGACCTAGGAAATCATCTCTTGTCTATAAGAGAAGGAAGAAAAAATATAATTAGTAATACGCTCAATTCCTTTAGAAGAGTTTGATGAGATAGTGCCACCATTCACAGAAAATGTAGAGTTTTTTTTTTATTCAGTCATATGCAGCATCAATGGAAAATAAAAAGTAATGTGGTACAACTTCTGGTAATGGCAGAGTAGCATATATTAGATTAATCCTTCTGCAGATAACAATTATATTCTGTGACAAAATACTAAAAGAGCTATTTGAAAGTACAACAGAATGACCCCAAACAAGCAGAAACTGGAGGGATGTCAATCCTTCAAAGAAGGAACTACACTAGGTAAGATTCAGTATTTATATGGCTTTTCCTCTAGTAGTATTCTACAGTCCACATAATGCAGAGAGCCTAGAACTTAAGCTGAAATCTGCACTATTACTGGCTTGAGGAGTCAGAAGGCCTAGTTTGGGGTTGACAGCATATCTAGAAAAAGAGGAGAAACGTCCCAGAAAAAAAGAAGCCACCAGAGTTCTTCCAAATCTATATATAAACTCTTACCTAAATCCCTAGTTTTACTCTGAACTGAACAAGTGAAAATCAACAGATGGAAGACTGAGAGGGCTCAGCACTGATTTCAGCTGATGTTCACCAAAAGGGAAGCAGAATTTGGAGTTCAGCTATGTTAACTTGCTAGAACAAAAATCAACACTGGGCATGGAGGCTTACACCTGTAATCCCAGCACTTTGGGAGGCCGAGGTGGGCGGATCACCTGAGGTCAGGAGTTAGAGACCAGCCTGACCAACACGGTGAAACCTCATCTCTACGAAAAATACAAAAATTAGCCAGGTGTGGTGGCACATGCCTGTAATCCCAGCTACTTGGGAGGCTGAGGCAGGAGAGTGGCTTAAATCCAGGAGGCAGACGTTGCAGTGAGCCTGGACCATGCCACTGCACTCCAGCTTGGGTGACAGAGTAAGACTCCGCTCAAAAAGAAAAAAAAAAAGGAAATCAACTCTCCTCAGGGAAATATAATAAAATTCACTGTCTCTATTAGTTACTATATTCATTGTCCAGCCCACAATAAAAAAATTACTAGACATGCAAAGAAATAAAAAAAAAAACCCAGTAGGAAGAGAAAAAGTAATTAACAGAAACCAGCCACAAGATGACGCAGATCATGGAATAAGCAGACAAGGAAAATAAAGCAGCTATTATAAAGATGTTCAAAGGACTTAAAAGAAAAATAAGGTCATAATGAATGAAAAGATGGGGAACCTCAGCAGTGAAGGGGAAACTAAAAATGAATCAAATGCACATTTTATTTTATTTAATTTTATTTTTGAGACAGAGTCTTGCTCTGTCACCCTAGCTGGAGTGCAGTGGTGCAATCACAGCTAACTGCAACCTCTACTTCCTGGGTTCAAGTGATTTGTCTTGTCTTAGCCACACAGGTAGCTGGGATTACAGGCATGCACCATGCACTACCATGCCTGGCTGATTTTTGTATTTTTAGTAGAGACAGGGTTTCACCATGTTGACCAGTCTGGTCTCAAACTCCTGACCTCAGGTGATCCGCCTGCCTCAGCCTCCCAAAGTGCTGGGATTACAGGTGTTAGCCACCACGGCCGGCCAGATGTACATTTTAGAACTGAAAAATATAATACATGAAATAAAAAAATTCAATAAATGGGTTTAAAAGACAATTGAAGATGACTGGAGAAAAGTATGAACTTGAAGATATAGAGACAGAATTTATCTAATATGAAAAATAAAGGGAACTTGTGGAAAAATTTCAAGCAGTCTGACGTATGTGTAACTGGAGTTCCATAAAAGGGGATAGGTAATAGGGCAGAAAAATATTTGGGGAAAAAAACAGCCAAAATATTCACACATTTAGAAAAACACAAGCTGAGACAGTCAATAAAGTCAGTGAACTGAAGCAGGATAAACATAAAGAAAACATGGGTAGGCACACCATTATTAAACGCTGAAAACAAAAGATAAACAGAAAATCTTGAAAGCAGCCTAAAATACATTACACACAGGAGAATAAGAATACAAATAATGGTTGACTTCTCGTCAAAAACAATGGAAGCCAGAAGACAACTGAATGATATCTATAAGTGCTGAAATGGAAAATGTACCAAGAATTCTGTATCTAGCAAAAACTATCCATAAAAAAGGGAAGGAAAATAAAGATACTTTCGGATAAAGTAGAGATAATTTGTCATCAGCAGACAAATTGTTGGCACTACAGAATATGCTATAGGAAGTTCTTCAGGCTGAGGATAAGTGGCACCAGATAGAAATTCAGATCTAAAGAGAGTAATAAAGAGCACCAGAAAATGGTAAATATGTGGGTAAAGTTTTTTTTTTTTAAGGTACCTTCTCAATCTTTTAAAGAACAAATTGTTGTATACAAAAAAAAAATTGTATCGCTATACTATGGGTTTAAAATATATGTAGATGTAATAAAAATGACAACATTGTGCACAAGATAGGTGGAATAATCAAATCTATATTGTTGCAAGACTTATATTTTATATAAAGTGGTATGATTGACATAAGTTAATCATTAATTGACTGCAGAGCTAAAAAGCACAGAGAAGAGTTAAAATGGAATATTGGAAATATCTGACTAACCCAAAATAAGGCAGGAAAAGAGAAACAAAGAAACAGATGAGAGGAACAGAAATAAACTGCACATTCTGAGAGCTAAATCCAGCCATATAAATTATGACAAACTAGTCCAATTAAAGACAGAGATTGTCAAGCTGAATAAAAATGCAAAATCTAACCATATGTTGCCTATAAAAGACATCTATCATTATTGTTTAAAAATATTTTATTAAATGTTTTTCTTTTTTTTTCACTTTTTTTTTCTTTTTTCTTTTTTTTTAAAGAGATGGAGTCTTGCCATCTTACGCAGGATGGTCTCAAACTCCTGGGCTCAAGCGAGTCTCCTGCCTTGGTGTTTCAAAGTGCTGGGATTACAGGTGTGAGCCACTGTGCCCAGCCAACTTCTCATTTTAAAAGAATTTCAGATTTAAAAAAATTGCAAAAATACTGCGAGAGAATCCTCATATACTTTTCACCCAGATCCACCAAATGTTAACATCTTAAATAACCATATTATGATGATCAAAACCAGAAATACTATTAACTACTCTACAGACTTGACTCAAAATTCACCAACTGTCTGCCTAATTTTAGTCCAGGGTCCAATTCAGACTCATATATTGCATTTAGTAGTCCTGTCTATTTAATTTCTTTAAATCTGGAAAGTACCTTAGTCTTTCTTTGTCTTTCATAATCTTGACATTTTTGAGCAGTACTGACTAGTCATAGAACATCCTTCTAATATTTCTTCATGGTTGAATTTAGATTATGCATTTTTTGCAAGAATACCATAAAGGTGATGCTTGTGCCCTTCTCAGTGCATCATATCAGGAGGCACACGATACTGATTTGTTGCATTACTAATGGTATTAACTTCAATCATTTGGTTAAGGTGCTGTCTTCCATGTTTCTCAATATTTTCCCCTTTGTAATTAACAGTATCTTGTGGGAAAAGCCTTTGAGGTTATGTAAATAGCCCATTTCTCATCAAACTTTTTCTCACAAACTTTAGCATCCATTGATGATTCTTGCCTGCAACAATTATTACTGTGGTGCTTGCCAAATGTTGACTTTCTATTTCTACCATTTCCATTATTCTTTTTATATTAATTAATTATTATTCTGCTTAAGCAAAGAATTTTCCCCTTCCTCCCATTTATACATTCTAATTTATATCATCATAGACTCATTGATATTTGTTTTATATTATCTTATAAGATATAATCCATTATTGTTACTTATTTTTTTACTCAAATTGTCCCAGATATGGTCATTGAGAGTCACTTCAGGTTAGTTTTTGTGCATTTCTGATATCTTCTCAATTTTTTTGTGTACTTCCTTACTTTTTGGCACCACAAAAATGATTCAGGTTCAGCATATACTCTTCTTATCCCTGCTCTACAATCAATCAGCCACTTGTCCAGAGAACCCTGATAAATTTTACTGGAGAATCATATTTAGATATAAAGATCCGGGTTCAAGGTGCTTATTACTTTCAGGCTCAAGAGATGAACTTTGAATTCAAATATACAGATAAATTGAAGATAAAGGTATGGAAAAAATAATCAGGTATACAGTAAGTATAAGTGGCTATAATAATATCAGACAAATTAGATTTCATGATGATGAGTATTACCACAAATAAAAAGAAACATTTCATAATAATAAAGAGATCAATTCATAAAATATTACTATAAGTCAATAATATGAATCAATAATAAACAGAAAAACTGTCCCATTAAAATGGGCATAAGACTTGAACAGATATTTCAAACAAGAAGATAAATAAATGGTAAATATTATATGAAAATATGCTTATCACTATTAATCATCAGGGAAATGCAAATTAAAATCACAATGCAGTACTACTTCAAACCCCCTGGAATAGCTAAAATAAAAAAAGTCTGACAAAAACAAATATTGGTCAGGGTGTGGTGCAATCAAAACTCTCTTATAAAGTTAAACATATACCAGTATATGACCAAGAAATTCTGCTCCTTGTATTTTCTTAAGAGAATAAAAACAAATATCCTCTAAAATACTTCTTCAAGAATGTTCACAGAATTTCATTCATAATAGCCTAAACTGGAAATAAATGTCCTTTGAAAAATAAAACTGTGGGATATACAACTAGTAGAATTACTCAGCGATGAAATGAAATGAACGGATATACAAAATAACATATATAAATCTCAAAGAAAAGTGGTTTTTTTGTTTGTTTGTTTTGTTTTTTTGAGACGGAGTTTCGCTCTTGTCGCCCAGGCTGGGGTGCAATGGCGCGATCTCGACTCACTGCAACCTCCGCCTCCCTCGTTCAAGCGATTCTTCTGCCTCAGCCTCGCAAGTAGCTGAGATTACAGGCATGTGCCACCACAACCAGCTAATTTTTTTGTGTTATTAGTAAAGACAGGTTTTACCATGTTGGCCAGGCTAGTCTCAAACTACTGACCCCAGGTGATCCACCTGACTTGGACTCCCAAAGTGCTGGGATTATAGGCATGAGCCACAGTGCCTGGCCAGAAAAGTTTAATTATAAAAAGAAGATACAAAAGAGTACATGCTGTCCGATTTAATTTACATGAACAGTAAAAGAAAGAAAAAAGGGAGACTGGAAGAGTAGATGACAGCAGAGAGATAAGTGAGAGAATGAGTGAAAGTCCTAATACCAAACAATAAGGACCTCTCCAACTCCTTTGTTTCACTTGGCTTCTAGAATACTGGCAGACAAATATATACTTCCCAGGAAAGAAAATTCCTCTCTGGAACAACTAAGCAACCCAATGAGACAGACTTATAGATATTAAATCCAGGAAGTCTTCCAATAAAATGACTAATTCTCTCTGCTCACCCCAAAGTGAAGTCCACTAGTCAGTAGATGCCCATGAACAAAACCCTTCCAATAAATATTGGAATATTATACATTATGGGCAGTTATGGACTACTAAATATTTGGGGAAAGTTTATAACATGAAACACACAGACCTAAATGAAAGACGGGAGTCTGATGAATAAGAATCAAGTCAAATTGCAAGAAAAATACCTCAGAAAAACCGTAATATTCCCAGAGATAAGAGGAGATGAACCACCTGTCAAACAAGATAGGAGGCTGCAAAAAAGAAGCAATTAGAGGACAAGAAATATCTCTTAGAAATAAAAAATATAACTCAAAAACTTCAAGATAGAGTTAGAAGATAGAGTTAAAAAAATTCTCAGAAAGTAGAACTAAAAGACAATACACTATAGGATTCTTCAAATAAGGAAATTACAGGAGAAAATTCAAAAGTCAACATCGAAATAATAGGCATTCCAGAAAGAAAAGAGGAAAGGGAGGACATTATCAAAAAAGCATTTTAAGTAACTTTGCTTGAACTCAAGGAAGAGAATATTAAAAATAAAAGGGCTGGCTGGGCATGGTGTCTCATGCCTGTAATCAATCCCAGCACTTTGGGAGGCCAAGGATGGCGGATCATGAGGTCAGGAGTTCGAGACCAGCCTGACCTACATGGTGAAACCCCATCTCTACTAAAAATACAAAAATCAGCAGGGCATAGTGGTACATGCCTTTAATCCCAGCTACTCAGGAGGCTGAGGCAGGAGAATTGCTTGAACCCAGGAAGTGGAGGTTGCAGTGAGCCGAGATCGCACCATTGCACGCTAGTCTGGGTGACGGAGTGAGACCCCGTCTCCAAAAAAAAAGAATAAAAAGGCCCACTGAATATTAGGCAAAGTGCATGAAAGGGGAAAAAGACTTGCTGCAAGGCACATCACCGTGACATTTCAGAGCACCAGAGATAAAGAAATTCTAAAAGCTTGGAGAGTAACAAAGTAGCTAATACACAAACCTGAAATATAAGAGAGTACTTCCTGCAAAATAATGAGAGAAAGATATTTCTTATGTAGAATTCTACATTCAGAAAAACTACCTTTTTCAATTATGATGGTAGAATAAAGACATTTTCAGATACTGGTATTTTCAGGGAGGTAATGGAGGATATACTTCACCAAAATGAGGGAGTGTGCCGTGATATGGAAGATGCAGGGGATTCAAGATAGGAGAGCATAGAGGAATCTCAGAAAGACAGGGAAAGGAAGTCTCAGAGTAACAGTTATGTAACACCTAGAGAGCAACCAGTGCATACTGGAGCAGGAAGACAGCTACGAGAGAGATGTTTCCTAGAAGAGTAGGGATAATCATATCGACTAGTAGGGTTTGGTGAAAATTAAATAAGAGAATACAAAGTGCCCTGCATAATACCCAGCACACAGTAAGTATTCAAAACATGTTAGCTAATATATATTTAAAATACTGGCGTATATAATGAAACCCCTGCTCCCCTTTCCCTGGACCAGTGTGTGGACATTTCAAACAGGTATATCCAAGAAAAGGAGTACGGTTGGAGTCTAAGGCCTAACAAATTAGCTTAGTTTAACGCCATATTCCTATTCTAGAACATGAGTTGATGATAATTTTTGAAATGGGTAAGTTAGCTTTTAATGATGTTTTCAAGGCTATATTGCAGTAAGTTTCTTTTCTTTTCTTTTTTTTTTTTTTTGAGATGCAGTTTTACTCTTTTTGCCCAGGCTGGAGTGCAATGGCGTGATCTCGGCTCACTGCAACCTCTACCTCCCGGGTTCCGGCAATTCTCCTGCCTCAGCCTCCTGAGTAGCTGGGATTACAGGCACACGCCACCACTCCCGCCTAATTTTGTATTTTTAGTAGAGACAGGGTTTCACCATGTTGGCCAGGCTGGTCTTGAACTCCTGACCTCCAGTAATCTACCCACCTCGGCCTTCCAAAGTGCTGGGATTACAGGCATGAGCCACAGTGCCCAGCCAGTATGTTTCTTTATTCCTGTTTTTATCACAAGTAGATGTTATGCTTCATTAAGTCTGATCTTTAAGAAGCTCTACATGAATAAGTAAAATATAACAAAAAATAGTAAAATCTCAATCAGGATGACTGAGGAATAAAATATTTTGGGTAACTGAATTATCTAGTTAACTTAGGTTTAGGCTTAATCAGATTAAAAAAAACAAAAACAAAAACAACTTTTTTTTTGGTTTAGTCTTATTAAATAGCCTTGTCCTGAGTAAACAGAATACACTGAACATCTGTATGTTTGATGATTTGTGACCCTGCAGTGCTTAAAAAACATAGCTGTGATCAACTGTCACTAGAGTAATACAGGCACAGAACAGGGTTTCTCAGCTTGGGCACTACTGACAATTCGAGCCAGATAATTTTTTTTTTGTTGTGGGGGCTGTCTTGTGCATTGAAGGATATTTACCAACATTCCTGGCCTCTACCCACTTGTGTCAGTAGTACCCGCCCTCCAGTTATAACAACCAAAAACATTTTCTGGCTTTGTCAAATATCCCCTGGGTGGCAAGATCATTCCTCATTAAGAACCACTGCTACAGAAGGTATAAGACCAAATGTTCCAACAAACGTGCAGAAGTCTCTTCCTAATTTTGGTTTTTAAAAGTAACAGCTTTTAGGCAGGAAGTGGAGCAAGAAAACCAAATAGAAGCCTCCACTGATCATCCTACCTGCAGAAACACAAAATTTAAAAATCACACAAAAAGCACCTTCATAAGAACCAAAAATCAGGTGAGCAATCACAGTATCTAGTTTTAACTTCACATCACTGAAAGAGGCACTGAAGAGGGTAGGAAAGACAGTCTTCAGTTGCTGACACCCACCCCCTCCATCCCCTGGCAGTGGCTGTATGGCATGGAGAATCCGTGCACTTAGGGTTGGGAGAGCTCAGTGACAGTGGGACTTTGCATTGGAACTCAGTGCTGCATTGTCACAGTGGAAAGCAACACCAGGCAGAACTCAGCCATGGTCCATGAAGGTGGCATTTAGATCAGCCAGAGCCGGTGGAGAATTGTCCATCCTAGTGGTTGGAGCTTGAGTTCTGGCAAGCCTCACCACTGTGGGCTAAAGCACTCTGGGGTTCTAAATAAACTTGAAAGGCAGTTTAGGCCACAAGGACTGCAATTCCTAGTTAAGTCCTAGTTCGTACTGGGCTTGGATTGGAACCAGTGGACTTGGGGGGCAGGTGATCTAGTGAGACACCAGTTGGAGTGGTCAAGGGAGTGCGTGTGCCACCCCTACACCAACCCCAGGCAGTGCAGCATGCAGCTCTGAAAGAAACTCCTTCCTTTTGCTTAAGAAGAGTAAAGAGGACTTTGTCTTACAACCTGGATACCAGCTCAGCCATAGTAGGCTAGGACACTTGCTGACTGAAGAGCCTTAGGTCCTGAATAATCAGCAGCAGTAACCAGATAGTATACATCATGGGCCTTAGGTGAGACTCTGAGACATACAGGTTTCAGGTGAAATCCAGCACATTCTCAGCTGTGTTGGCTATAGAGACTCCTGCGTGGGAAGAGTAGAAGGAAGAGTAAAGAGGACTTTGTATTACAGTTTAGGTACCAGCTTGGCCACAGTAGGGTAGAGCACCAAGCCTCTTGGGGTCCTTGATGCCAAGGCTCAGTTCTTGGATGGCATTTCTGGACCTTCCCTGGGATACAGGGGAGCCCACTTCTCAGTAGAGTGAATTCCAGGCCTGGCAGCATTCACCACCAGGTGACTGAAGAGCCCTGGGGCCTTGAGTGAACACTGGTGGTAGTCTGGCAGTACTCCCCATAGCCCTGTGGCAGGAGTGGCCACGGAGAGACTCTGCCTGTGGAAAGAGAAGGGAAGAGTGGGAAGAACTTTGTCTTATGGTTTGTGTGTCCACTCAGCTGCAGCAGAATAGTGTACAAGGTAGATTCCTAAGCTTTCTGACTCCAGGCCCTGACTTCTAGACGGCATCTCTGAATGCACTCTGGGCCCAAGGTAACTTGCTGCCCTGAAGAGAAGGTCACAAGCCTGGCTGACTTTATCTGCTGATTGTAGAGCCCTAGGGCCTTGGAGCAAACAGAGGTGGCAGCTAGCGAGTGGTTACAGCAGGCCTTGGGCGAGACTCAGTGCTGTGCTGGCTTTAGGTTTGACCCAGTGCATTCCCAGTGGTGGTGGCCACAGGGATGCTTGTGTCATCCCTCCCCTAGTTCCAGGCATCTCAACACACACACACACACAAACACACACACACACACACACACACACACACAGAAAGAGAAAGAGAGAGAGAGAGACTCTATTTGTGTGTGAGAGAGAGAGACACTCTATTTGTCTGGGAGAAAGTAAGGGAGAAGAACAAGAGTCTCTGCCTGGTAATCCAAAGAATTCTTCCAGATGTCATCCAAGACCACCAAAGTGGCACTTCTTTTTTTTTTTTTTTGAGACAGAGTCTCACCCTGTTGCCCAGGCTGGAGTACAGTGGCATGATCTTGGCTCACTGCAATCTCTACCTCCCAGGTTCAAGCAATTCTCCTGCCTCAGCCTCCCAAGTAGCTGGGATTACAGGCACCTGCCACCATGTCTGGCTAATGTTTGTATTTTTAGCAGAGATTGGGTTTCACCATGTTGGCCAGGCTGGTCTTGAACTCCTGACCTCAAGTGATCCACCCACCTTGGCCTCCCAAAGTGCTGGGATTACAGGCATGAGCCACCATGCCTGGTCCCAAGGTGGTACTTCTGTAAGTTCAAGAGCCACAGCATTACTGGGCTTGGAATGTCCCCTAACACACATATGGCTGCAGCAACCAAAACTCAGATCACAACAACCAGGTCCCTTTGAATACCTGGAAAGCCTCCCCAAGAAGGATGGGTAAAAATAAGCATAGACTGTGAAGACTATAATAAATACCTAACTTTTCAATGTCCAGACATTGGCAAACATCCACAAGCATCTAGACCATCCAGGAAAATATGACCTCACAGAATGTGCTAAATAAAGCACCAGGGACCTATCCCAGAAACAGAGATATATGTGACCTTTCAGACAGAGAATTCAAAAGAGTTGTTTTGAGGAAACTCAATGAAATTCAAGATACACAGAAAAAGAATTCAGAATCCTGTCAGATAAATTTAACAAAAGAGATTAAAATAATTAAAAAGAATCAAGCAGAAATTCTGGAGCTGAAAAAAGCAACTGATATATTGAGTAATGCATCAGAGTCTGTTAATATCAGAATTTATCAAGCAGAAGAAAGAATAGTGAATTTTAAGAAAGGCTATTTTAAAAAACACAGTAAGAGGAGACAAAATAAAAAGAATAAAAAACAATGAAGCACACCTACAAGATCTAGAAAATAGCCTCAAATGGGCAAATCGAAGAGGTATTGTCTTTAAAGAAGTAGAGACAGAGATTGAAGTAGAAAGTTTACTCAAAGGGATAATAACAGAGAACTGTCCAAACCTAGAGAAAGAGATCAATATTCAAGTACAAGAAGGTTATAGAACACCAAGCACATATGACCTAAATAAGACTCCTCAAGATATTTATTAACAAAACTCCCACAGGTCAGGGGTAAAGAACGGATCCTAAAAGCAGCAAAAGAAACAAATAACACACAATGGAATTCCAGTACATCAGGAAGCAGACTTTTCAGTGGAAACCTTATTACCTTGGAGATAGTGGCATGACATTTTAGAAGTGCTGAAGTAAAAAAAGTTTTACCCTACAATAGTATATCTGGCGAAAATGTCCTTCAAACATGAAGGAGAAATAAAGACTTTCACAGACAAACAAAACCTGAGGGATTTCATCAATACCAGACCTGTCCTACAAGAAATGCTAAAGGGAGTTCTTCAGTCTGAAAGAAAAGGATATTAATGAGCAACAGGAAATTATCTGAAGGTACAAATTTCACTGGTAACAGTAAGAACACAGAAAAGCACAGAATATGATAATACTGTAATTGTGGTGTGCTAACTACTCATATGTTAAGTAGAAAGACTAAAAGATGAACTGATCAAAAATAGTACCTATAACAACTTTTTAAGACATAGTACAAGAAGATATAAATAGAAATAAAAAAAAAGCAAGAGGACAAAGTTAGAGTTTTTATTAGTTTTCTCTTGGCTTGTTACTTTGTTTATGCAATCAGTGTTAAGTTGTCATCAGTTTAAAACAATAACTTATAAAATATTTGCAAGCCTCTTGGTAACCTTAAATAAAAAGACATACAAAAGATACACAAAAAATTAAAAGACAGAAATTAAAACATACCACCAGATAAAATCACCTTCACTAAAAGGAAGACAGGAAGGAAGAAAAGAAGGAAGAAAAAACTATAAAACAACCAGAAAACAAATAACAAAATGGCAGGGGTAAGTCTTTACTGAACAATAATAACACTGAATATAAACAGACTAAACGCTCCAATCAAAAGACATACAGTGGCTGAATAGATTTAAAAAAAAAAAATCAAGACCCAACAATCTGTTGTCTACAAGAAACACATTTCACCTATAAAGACATAAAGACTAAAAACAAAGGGATGGAAAAAGGTACTTCATTAAAACGGAAATCAAAAAAGGGCATGAGTAGCTGTATCAGATAAAATAGACTTCAAGACAAAAACTATAAAAAAAGACAAAGAAGGTCATTATATAATAACAAATGGGTCAATTCAATAATAGGATATAACAATTATAAGTCTATATGCACCCAACACTGGAGCACTCAGATATAAAAAGAAAATATTATTAGCGATAAAGAGAGAGACAGACCCCAATACAATTATAGCTTGAGAATTCAACATCACACTTTCAGCATTGGACAGATATCCGGACAGAAAATCAACAAAGAAACATCAGACTTAATCTGCACTACAGACCAAATGGACCTAATAAATGTTTAGAGAACACTTCATTCAACTGCTTCAGATTACACATTATTCTCAGTGCATGGATCCTTCTCAAGGACAGACCATTTATTAGGCCACAAAATAAGCCTTAAAACGTTTTAAAAAATTGAAATGGGCCAGGCGTGGTTGCTCACGCCTCTAATCCCAGCACTTTGGGAGGCCGAGGTGGGTGGATCACGAGGTCAGAGATCGAGACCATCCTGCCAACATGGTGAAACCCCATCTCTACTAAAAATACAAAAAATTAGCAGAGCGTGCTGGTCTGTAGTCCCAGCTACTCGGGAGGCTGAGGCAGGAGAACTGCTTGAACCCAGGAGACAGAGGTTGCAGTGTGCCAAGGTCACACCACTGCACTCCAGCCTGGACAACAGAGCAAGACTCCGTCTCAAAAAAAAAAAAAAAAATTGAAATAATATCAAATATCTTCTCTGACCACAAAGGAATAAAACTAGAAATAAATAACAAAAGGAATTTTGGAAATGATACAAAAACATCGAAATTAAATAGTATGCTCCTGAATGAATGAACAGTGGGTTAATGAAGAAATTAAGAAGGATATTGAAAATTTTCTTGAAACAAATAATGGAAGAATAACATACCAAAACCTCTGGGATACAGCAAAAGCAGTACTCAGGGGAAAGTTTATAGCTAACAGTGCCTACATCAAAAAAGAAAAAAAAAACTTCAAATAAACAGCGTAAAAAGTGCATCTTAAAGAACTAGAAAAGCAAGAGCAAACCAAACCCAAAATTAGTAGAATAAAAGAGATAATAATGATCAGAGCAAAAATAAATGAAATTGAAATGAAGAAAATGACACAAAAGACCAACAAAAAGAAGTTGGTTTTTAAAAAAAGATAAACAAAATTAACAAACCTTTAGCCAGACTAAGAAAAAAAGAGAGAAAACCCAAATAAATAAAATCAGAGATGAAAATGGAGACATTACAACTGATACCACAGAAATCAAAGGATCATTAGAGATTATGACCAAGTATATGCAATAAATTGGAAAATCTAGAAGTGGATAAATTCCTAGACACATACAACCTATTAAGATTGAGCCATGAAGAAATCCAAAACAGGAACAGACCAATAACAAGTAATGAGATTGAAGCTGTAATAAAATGTCTATCACCAAGGAAAAGCCCAGCATCCAATGGCTTCACTGATGAATTTTACCAAATATTTAAAGAACTAATACCAATCCTACTCAAACAATTCTGAAAAACAGAGGAGGAGGGAATACTTCCAAACTTATCATATGAAGCCAGTATTACTCAGAGACCAAAACCAAACAGACACAACCAAAAAAGAAAACTACAGGGCCAAATTTCTGACAAGCATTGATACAAAAATCCTCAACAAAATACTAGCAAACCGAATTCAACAACCTATTAAAAAGATCATTCATCATGACCAAGGGGGATTCATTACAGGGATGCAAGGATGGTTCAAGATATGCAAATTAATGAATGTGATACAACACATCAACAGAATGAAGTATTGATTATAAACAGAATGATCATTTCAATTGATGCTGAAAAAGTATTTGATAAATTTCAACATCATTTCATGATAAAACACTACAAAAAATGGTATCGAAGAAATATAGCTCAACATAACAAAAGTCATACATGACAGACCCATAGTGAATATCATACTGAATAGGGAAAAACTAAAAGCCTTTCCTCTAACATCTGGAACATGACAGGAATGCCACTTTCACCACTGTTATTCAATGTAGTAAGGGAAGTCCTAGCTACAGCAATCAGGCAAGAAAAAGAAATAAGGGGCATCCAAATTGGAAAGGAAGAAGTCACATTATCCTTGTTTGTAGATGATATGATCTTATATTTGAAAAAACCTAAAGACTGCACCAAAAAACCATTAGAACTGATACATTCAGTAAAGTTGCATGATACATAATTAACATACAAATATCAGTAGCATTTCTCAATGCCAAGAGTAAACAATTTGTAAAATAAATCAAGAAGGCAATCCTATTTACAATAACTACAAATAAATTACCTAGGAATTAACCAAAGACGTGAAATATCTCTATCAAACACTGATGAAAGAAATCAAAGAGGACACAAAAAATGGAAAGGTATGTTCATGGATCAGAAGAATCAATATTGTTAAAATGCCCATACTACCCAAAGCAATCTACAGATTTGATGCAATCCCTATAAAAATGCCAATGACATTTTTCACAGAAATAGAAAACAGAATCCTGAAATTTATGTGGAACCACAAAATACCCAGAATAGCCAGAGGCATCCTAAGCAAAAAGAACAAAACTGGAGAAATCACATTACCTGACATCAAATTACATTACAAAGCTATTGTAACCAAAATGGCATGGTACTGGTATAAAAACAGACAGACCAATGGAACAGAATAGAGAACCCAGAAACAAATCCATACATCTACAGTGAATTCATATTGGGTAAAGGTGCCGAGAACATACACTGGGGAAAGGACAGTTTCTTTAATAACTGGTGCTGAGAAAACTGGATATCCACATGCAAAAGAAACAAACTAGACTCCTATTTCTCACCTTATACAAAAATCAAATAAAAATGGATTAAACACTTACATCTAAGACCTTGAACTATCAAAGTAATAAAAGAAAACTGAAGAAACTCTGCAGACATTGGAGAAGGCAAAGATTTCTTCAGTAATACTCCATAAGCACAGACAACCAAATCAAAATGGACAAATGGGATCACATCAAGGTAAAAAGCTTTTGCACAGCCCACAATAAACAATCAACAAAGTGGGGAGACAGCCCATAGATTGGAAGAAAATAGAACGACCATATAATCCAGCAATCTCACTACTAGGTATATGCCCAAAAGAAAGGAAATCAGCGTATTGAAAGGATATGTGCACTTCAGTGCTGAAGAGATATTTCAGCACTGTTCACAATAGCCAAGATTTGAAAACAACCAAAGTATCCATCAACAGACATATAAAGAAAATACGGTACATATACACAATGGAGTACTATCCAGCCATAAAAGGAATGAGATCCGCTCATTTGCAACAACTGGATAAAACTGAAGGTCATTATGTTAAGTGAAATAAGCAAGGCACAGAAAGACAAACTTCACATGTTCTCACTTATTTGTGGGAGCTAAAAATTAAAACAATTGAACTGAGATAGAGAGTAGAATGATGGTTACCAGAGGCTAACAAGGGTAGTGGGGTAGGGAGAAGTAGAGATAAGTAATGGCTACACAAAAAAGAATAAATAAGATCTAGTATTTGATAGCAGAATAGGGTAACTTTAGTCAAAAATAATTTAATTTAGTGTTTTGTTTTGTTTTGTTTTGTTTTTTTTGGAGACAGAGTCTTGCTCTGTCACCCAGGCTGGAGTGCAGTGGTGTGATCTCAGCTCACCGCAACCTCCACCTTCCAGGTTCAAGCAATTCTTGTGCCTCAGCCTCTTGAGTAGCTAGAATTACAGGCATGTGCCACCACGCCCAGCTAATTTCTTGTATTTTTTAGTAGAGATGGGGTTTCACTGTGTTGCCCAGGCTGGTCTCAAACTCCTGAGCTCAGGCAATCTGCCCACATCGGCCTCCCAAAGCGCTAGGATTACAGGCATGAACCACCACACCAAGACTAATTGTACATTTAAAAATAACTAAAAGAGCATAATTCTACTGTTTGTAACAGAAAGGATAAAGCTTGAGGGGATGGATACCCCATTTACTCTGATGCAATTATTATGCACTGTATGCCTGTTTCAAAATATCTCATGTACCTCATAAATATATATACCTACTATGTACCCACAAAAATTAAAAATAAAAAAAGCTTTATTAAGATGTAATTCACATACAATTAACCCACTTAGAGTGTACAATTCAATGTTTTTTAGTATTTTCACAGAGTTGTTCAACCATTAGACAATCAATTTTAGAACATTTTCATCACCCAAAAAGAACACCCTTACCAATCAGCATTCACTGCCCATTTCCCCACCCCTCCTTCAGTCCTAGGCAACCACCAACCACTTTCTGTCTTTATGGATTTGCCTATTCTGGATATTTCATATAAGTGGAATTATATAATACGTGGTCCTTTATGACTGACTTATTTTACTTAGTATGTTTCCAAGATTCATCCATACTGTAACATTCCTTTTTTATTGTTGTTACATTATATGGATATACCACATTTTATTTATCCATTTTTCAGTTGATTGACATTTGGGTTGTTTCAACTGTTTGGCTATTATAAATAATGCCACTATGAACATTTGAGTAAAAGCTTTTGTACGAACATATGTTTTCATTTCTCTTGGATATATACTCAGGAACAGAATTTGCTAAAAATCTGCCAGACCGTTTTCCAAAGTTGCTGCATCATTTTACATTTCTATCAGCACTGTAAGATTTCAATTCCTCCCCTTTCTTACCAACAATGACCTGTCTTTATGACAATACCCTTCTTAGTGGGTGTGACGTAGTATACCATCGTGGCTTTTTGCATTTCCCTGGCAGCCAATGAGATTGAGCATCTTTTCATGTGCTTATTGTGCTTATTTCCTAAAATCTCTTACAATCTTCCCTACAGCTTTCATCTCCATTGGAGAGGCAGTGCCTGGTCACTGAGGGACAGAAAGAAAACTCATCCCATCCCATCTCCCTAAAAAAATCACCTGTTTTTATTGCTCTATATTTGTTGTTCATTGGTTGTCTTTGGGAACAAAAGAACAAAAATCCCACATGGTGAGAATTTTCTTGTCTCAAGTACCTACATTTTAAATATTTCTTGCAACAGTGTCTTATTTAAAGCCAATGATCTGAAATGAGTTTCTTCACTTCTACATAAAATGAAATGATCCCAAATAGCTGTATTTCCAATATTTGAAAAATGAAAAAATTTTCCAAACTAAAAGTCAATATGCATAGTCTCAGAAGAAGATGGAGAATCTGAAATTGGGAACTATCCTGGAAAGTCTGGGACATATGGTTGCTATAAATACAGGACAATTAGAGGTTCTTTTTCCATTTACAAAGGAAAAGTAATCGTTTTAAATTCATTCCTATGAAGGCAAGTCAGTCTGTGATGTTCATTAATATTTCCCTAGCCAACCAATTGTTCCAAATTCTGAGTATCAAGCATTTCTTTGCAAGAGTTATTTCCTATATTTGAACTGCATGCAGCCTACTTCATAAAACAAATTTGCATTTGGTATAATATAAGTAATTTAAGAATGCCTGAAAGTCTGAAAAAGAATTTAGAACACCAGGTGATTTTAAACAGGACTATCTGCAATGGGCACAGTTTAGTCAGTAAATAATACCTTTTCTAGTATTATAATGACATGAATTTCAGTTTCTTAAAACAATTTTTAGAACATAAAAAGAAAATCCAAATTGCTGTTTTTGTAAAAACTTTAATTAGAACTAAAGATGCTCTAATTTTAGGAGGTCAAATGTTGTTAACTTTAATAAGAATGAATAGTAGCTAAATGTTATGCTTTAAGAGAATCCAAAGTAATAAAAAATCAGAATTTAAAAAACAGTTAAGTTAAAGTGTCACAACTTTGAAGAATACTTTGCTTTAAAAAGAGTTTCTATTAAATATGAATTATAGGCTGGGCACGGTGGCTCATGCCTGTAATCCTAACACTCTGGGAGGCCAAGGCAGGTGGATCACCTGAGGTCAGGAGTTTGAGACCAGCCTGGTCAAAACGGCCAAACCCCGTCTCTACTAAAAATACAAAAATTAGCCAGGCGTGGTGGTGGCCACCTAGAATCCCAGCTACTCGTGAGGCAGAGGCATGAGAATCACTTGAACCTGGAGGGGCAGAGGCTGCAGTGAGCTGAGATCGCACCACTTCACTCCAGCCTAGGCAAAAGAGCAAAACTCCAACTCAATAAATAAATAAATAAATAAATAAATAAATAAATAAATAAATAAATAAATAAATAATAAATATGAATTATAAATAATTTTCCAGGGCAAATCTACTGTAAAAGGCAAAGGATTATAGAAAGAATAATTTCTTCACAGCCAGAGGCCAACAAGATAGCCAAGGTTTTCTGCTGTAATATCAAACTTTTTGTTTCAATCATGCTTTTTAAAGAGTAAAAATAAATTTTATACCTGAATATTAGATATAGTATAATTTGTTTTTTCAGTTTTCAGATTTAGCTATCAGCACTTTTCTTTCAAGAACATTTTTTAAAAAGTAATTTAAAAATATAAGTAACACATACACCGAGTACAAAATCAAAAAGAAAATGAAACAGTTTCTACCCTCCAGCTATCCATTTTTACCCTCTGTCCTTGCAAAAGGTGATAGCTGTTTTATTTTTGTGCCTATCCATCCCTTTAGAGTTTTCTCTGACATAGTGTTATGCAGCTTGCTTTCCCCCCTTCAACATTATCTTTCATACTTTGTTCACATATCAATATATATAGAGATGCTTTACCTTTTTGGTGGTTGTATGGTATGCTATTATATGGTACAGCAAAATTTCCTTAACTAGTTCCCTATTGACAGACAATTAGATTGTCAATCTAAATTCAGACTGACAATCTAAATGGTTTCAAATCTTTTGCTACCACAAACAATGCCTCAACCAAGCTGGTATTTATCATTTTGCATATATATCTAAAATAATTTTATTTTGTGTAACAATAAAGATTACAGTAAACTAACCTGAGATAGAAACAGATCTTAGTGATTAATTGGATGCTACAGAAGGAAATACTTTTCTGAGTGAGCCAAGAAGCACAGATAAGTTTAAATACCTTTCTTCAAAGGTAAGATCAAGATCAAAGATTCAAGATCAAGAGGCTTACATTTGTATTAGTATCTTAATCATTGTTAATAACAACTGTCTTCACAGAGCTGTATTAAAATCCTCTATGCGCAAATGTCATGATTCCTCTGTATAGATCATATAATTCTAAAGACAAGAATTGGGGCAGGCAGTAAAAAAAGAAATTGAAAGAATTTACAGCCATAAAAATGTTCAAGCCGTTATTAATCATACTATTTAAATTAAGCTAACAGATCAAGAAATACTTCAGAGATCACAAAAGACCAGAATACAATTAAAAACTTAAAGTTTTTAATTAAAACTTTAATTGTAAGTTTTACAATTAAAAACTTGAATTGAAATTATCTAAGAACCTCTTTGCTTAAAGTGGAGTTTAAATTTCCATTCTATTTATAAGACATTTAATTTTTTTTTATTTGAACACATGAAAAGTGGGTATTTGGACACATGATATTCGCACATGAGTGTCTCAGAAAAATAAGCAGAACTTATATGAATAGACCTTTTATAGTATTTTAAAAATAAGAAACCATATTTTTCTGCTTGCTGAATATAATAAAAACTATTATTTTAAATGAACATCCTTCCTCTCAAAATCCACACTATATGGATTCATACTACATACTAGATATAGATAGAAAAAAGGCTCACAAAAATCACTGTAAATTTAACTTAACTGTTTTCTAAGGTAAACCAATCTTATTAATAAACAAAATTGCATTTGTATAGCTGCTTCTTTCCTACTTCCTTATTGACTGTGCTTTATACTATAATGGGCTTATTTAAAACATTTTCCTAGAAGTTCAAAATTTACTGAGTCAATCTTTCTATATGTCAATGAGGAAATGGAGTTAGATAAACAATTTAATCTGTGCTATAAAATCATAGTGCTTTGGAAACTGGATATCTTTGCATAAAGCAAGCATTCCATGTCTTAAGTTTGTGATTTGCTCGGCCTCTAGCCTTTCTGGTAGATCTGACTATAAGACATAAACTGTATAGTCAGCTCTCTCTATCGGTGGATTCAATCAATCCGGGATCAAAAATATTTGAAAAGAAAAAATAACACAACAATAAAAAAATACAAATTAAAAAACAATGCAGCACAAGTATTTACATAGTGTTTACACTGTATTAGGTATTATAAGTAATCTAGAGATGACAAAATTTATGGGAGGATGTGTGTAGGTTACATGCAAATTTTATACCACTTTATTTAAGGAACTTGAGTATCTGCTCATTTTGGTGTCTGTGGGGTCCTGGAACCATTCCCCCTGCAAATACCAAGAGACACCGGTACTTGGTTCTTTGATAGTAGCTTCACACTACTTGAAATTCTACGGCCCTTAGAAACCCTCACATCTTTAAAGGGGCTTTTACCTCACAGATTGGGGTGAGGTGGAAGTCAGGAGAAACTACTTTCTAAATCAGTTTCACTTTGAGTTATTGTCCTTTGAATTTCAATTTCTTTGGAGTTCTTACTTTCTAATTATCACAGACTTGTGAAAACAGATGATTTACCTTGTCAAGTTTATCTTTACATGCTCTAAAGTTTCATTCATGATTTATTGTGAGGATTTAAAAATACAAACCATTTTTTAATATGCTACAGGAAAGAAGGAATCTGAAGCAGGCAAGACATAACAGGAATCAGAGGTTGTGTCCGTATCAAATATAAATAGGATTTTATAATTATTTCTAAAGTTAAAATGTAATATATCCAACATTTTTAGGAGCAATTTATATTGTATGCTCCTAAACTAGATGACTACTAAATATGAGAAAAAGGTTTTGCATTTGTTTCAACTTTCTTTCCACCTCTAAAAAAGGGAGGGGCTCATCCCATTGTTTCAAATTTATATTTCTGAACAAAGGAAAATAACAAGAGAACTAAGGTATAAAGTTATAATTTAGCCAGGAAATACTCACAGCTAGGTAACTGCTAAAATGGATAAAGCTCTTCCTTTCCAAAAGAAAAGTATTCACTCTCGACTGAAAATAGAGATTCACACTTCTGAGCACTAATTATGATATTAATTTTTTTCTTTTTAGAAATGTCTGCCAAGCTACTAGGGAAAGGAAAAGATAACTTTCGAAGAGGTGGACGCTAACATTCTCTGGAGAATTATCTCTGCAGTTTAAATGAGAAATGAAATCAGCAGACGACTGCTACTGTTGCAAATATAGAGTGCCTTCAATTCTAAGAAACCAAGGAGCTGAGCTGTGTAAAATCTTGGATGTTCAATTTAAAAACAAGTAAGTGTGAGAAGGTGAATTTTAAAACAGATAAACAGGAAACTACTTTAAAATGGATAAAAGGAAGCTGTGGTAGCTGAGGAAAGCTGGAGGCTCTGTGCCCAACCTAATCTAGAGTTTCAAGATTCAGGCTGAAATTCAGTGTGTGTTAAAATCACCTGATAGGCTATTTAAAGACAGATTGCTGGGCTCTACCCCTAGAATTTCTGATTCTGCTGATCTGGTATAATGTGTGAGAATTTGCAGTTCTTGGGTGATACTAATGCATCTGGCCAGCAATACACCTTGAGAAACATGTATCTATTCAGTGTCTGGAGAAACCAGGAGGAGTGAGCAATGATTGTTAATAGCTGAAGATAAATGAGCAGGCCATCTAACGCTGGTCATATAATTGGGATACATTTGGTTAAACCAAGCTCAAAAGTTTATTTCCTACAGAACTTTAGGAACTTAGATTTACTAATGTGCACTGTGGTATTCCAAGATACAGCATGTGGCATTATACAAACCTATCTGTCAATGGGGTAGGTTTTATACGAGGCATCTTACAGACTGGTGAGGACCACATTTCAAAAATACTGGTCCAGAGGAAAAACTAAATTCCTTGGCATGGAATTCTAGTTTGTTTTTTCCAATCTACCTTGCAGCCTTCTATTAACAAAAGCCCCCCAATAGCTGCAATGATCCTATATTTTGCCCTCTCAAGCTCACTCAGCACACCCAGCTCAATGCCATTTTATTCACTTTTGTCTTTATTTATTTTGAGACAGAGTCTCACTCTGTTGCCCAGGCTGGAGTGCAATGGCACGATTTTGGCTCACTGCAACCTCCACCTCCTGGGTTCATGCAATTCTCCTGCCTCAGCCTCCCCAAGTACCTGGGATTAGAGACATGCACCGGTATGCCTGGCTAATTTTTGTATTTTTTTGTAGAGATGGGGTTTTGCCACGTTGGTTAGGCTGGTCTCGAACTCCTGGCCTCAAGGGATGCACCTGCCTTGGCCTCCCAAAATGCTGGGATTACAGGGTGAGGCACCATACCTGGCCACAATGCCATTTTAATAAAAATTTACCTGATGATACTAAATTGCTAATTTCCTCCTCTGTAATTCTACTTCCCTTTGTATCTGTTTTTAATATCTGTATTATAGTTCTCTTGCACTCCAACCAGACGGTAAATTCCTTGAGGTCAACAAATACTAGTGACTAGCTTCTAGAGTCAGGCTCCAGGTTAAGTTCAGGAGGGTATTTCTGGTATCATGGAGCCTCCAGTCATGCATGGTGGACAAATATGCATATATAATTAAAATCTGTGTAAAAACTGCAAAGGAAAAGGATAAAATTCTATTCATGTATATAGAAATGTTAAGGAAAACTTTTATTCTTTGTTATAGCCCAATGTGCCTTACCTTTATAGTTTTAACATAATTTATCTATTTAAGACCTAAAGATAAATTCTAAATTATTAAACATGATAATTTATAAATATATTTGTATATATTTATGAATATACAATTTATAAAATATTAAATATGATTATTGACATGGCTTTTTTTGAGATGGAGTCTCACTCTGTTGCCCAGACCGGAGTGCAGTGGCACAATCTTGGCTCACTGCAAGCTCCACCTCCCAGGTTCACGCCATTCTCCTGCCTCAGCCTCCCGAGTAGCTGGGACTATAGGTGCCCGCCACCATGCCTGGCTAATTTTTTTGTATTTTTGTAGAGATGGGGTTTCACTGTGTTACCCAGGATGGTCTCGATCTCCTGACCTCGTGATCCGCCCGCCTCGGCCTCCCAAAGTGCTGGGATTACAGGCGTGAGCCACTGCGCCCGGCCGATATGGCATGTCTTAATGGAAAACTCTGCTGTGTCATCTTCGTCTTACTTAATCCTTCCTTTGTAAACATTAGCTATTTAGACCTGAGGAAGTACTCTAGGACGTGGAGGGAATTTTCCAAGAAGGAAATAGGAATAGTTCTAGCATTACAAAACTAAATCAGGAGTTGTGACAGGAAATGCTGCAATATCAAAAGAAGATGGTATCAGATTTCCTTTGACTTTTCAATCACTAGATTCTTAAAGTCCCACTTTGCCCATTTCAAAAGGGTCAGTATGTTCAACTTGGAGCAATAATAGTGAGGGTCGAATGACCTGCTCAACTCCCTGCAATCTGACTGCCTTCTTCAACCTGGCCTTACATTTAGCTTTCTGCCAGCAGTTTGACAGCCTGGTAAGGTTTGGGCTCCAGACTGGTTTATTAATTCCCTGCCCATGTGTCCTCCTGGCCTTGACTGTGGCTTATGTTCCTGCATCGTTTACTGTCTTTCCTGCCTCAGGGACTGAATTGTGTTTGCTTCAAGTTGTGGCAAGTTGTCTTCCTTACGAAGGGGTGATCCAAGCTTTCCCCTATACTTTTCCCCAGGCTTCCACATCCGGTTCCTGACCTTTCCTGCCCTCTAGTGGCCATGAGCCACACTCCCATCCTTGGCTGTGGAATCTGCACACAGTTGGTAAAGTTTGACAGATTAGAATATTTTACGTGAATTTCTATTATTCAAATGCCATGATATTATAACCCTGATCTTCCATTGACATTACCCCACAATTAAAACACACATCCATGAGAGGTGAAATCCACAACTCAAGTGGACTTAGATTCAGATAAAACTACCCCACTTAATAGTTTAAGTATAATCTAAGAATGTTTACACAATGTTCCAAAAGGAAGGTTAAAAATAATTCCTAAGTTTTTCCATATAGTGTAAGGCCTACCAACACACTGCACATAGTTGGAAGTCACTATTTAGCTCATCATTTGGTTGTTAGATTTATTGCTCCAGATTCCGGTTTTAATCATTTTCAAAGGTAAATGAATCTAAAAGTTACAAACTACTGAACTTCATATTCAATTTTTTCTATGTATTAAACAACACTAGCATTAGTGGGCCTGAAAACACTGTTAACAACTCAGGATTTATGAAAGTTTTCAGTCTACAGACTTTACTGAGATTATCCTCCTGCAAACTTCCTTAATTCACGGGCAAGCAGCCTTGATGCTTACAATAATTTCAACACTCTGATCCTTCTTTAATAATTTCAAAACATCTTATATATGTTCTTTGTCTTCCTTGCCTAGACTGCCCTATCAGAAGTTGGGATAATATCTTCTGCTCTTTTGTATTTCACAAAAAGAACTTTTTTTTTTTTTTTTTTTTTTTGAGACAAGGTCTTACTTTGTTGCCCAGGCTAAATACAGTGGCACAATCGTAGCTCAATGCAACTTGGACTCCTGGGCTCAAGTGATTCTCCTGCTTCAGTCCCTGAGTAGCTGGGACTATAGGCAAGCGCCACCACACCTGGCTAATTAAAAACAATTTTTTTTTAAATAGAGACAGGGGTCTCACTCTGTTGCCCAGGCTGGTCTTGAACTCCTGGGCTAAAGTGATCCTCCAATCTCAGTCTCCTAAGTGCTGGGCTTACAGGCGTGAGCCACTGTACCTGGCCAAGAAAAGACCTTTAAAAAGCAAAATCTGTTTGTTAGATTTTTAGTAGTCTTTTTCCTATTCATTAACAAATGGTAGTAAGCACAAATGATGCACAGTGATCAGTGAAAACAAAGATTTCTTCTCAGTACAATAAACACACTGCAAGAAGTATGTGTAAAGATTGTACATATGGCCAGAGAATATTTCTAAACAACAAACAAAATAATTATCAAATAATTCCCAAAGTAGTTTTTCTTCTTCTTTTTAATTCTCTCTCTCTCTTTTTCAAACCTTGGCACAAGACTACATTATGTAGTGGCAGAATAAAATGTTTTCTATAAAAAGTTTTACTTTTTGAAATGAATAGCCTTTTATTAGTTTTTAAAAATGTATTTCAGAAGTAGAAACTGATTATTCTTACAATTTGATTACCTGGTTATCTGATCAAATGTAAGTTTAGCTGATCTATAAACAGTTTTTAAGATTTTTTCCAGGGTTGAAAACTCATATGATTTTTACTGAAGACTATAACATATCAATGAAAACAGGAAAAACGGGGATGTGGGTTACTGTTGCTTAAGAAAATAACTCAACAAACCCCTTTAAAACCAGTATTTTCTTGCTTAAACATTAGGGCAGGTACCAGTAGAGAAAAATAAAGCCATTGGGATGGGGCTCCACTCCTTCAGCCATAACCACCTAGTACAGCAGCTTTAGGCGTTTTCCTCAATACACTGGATCATTGTGAAAGTACAGGGGTATCAATGTCTTGCAGCTTGAGACCTAATGTTCTAGGGGAACCCTGTCCAACAGAACTTTCTGTACTGATGGAAATGTTCTGTACTACTGCTGTCCAATGCAGGAGCCAGTGATCACATGTAGCTATGGAGCACAGGAAATGTGTCTAGTGCAAATGAGGTTCTGAATTTTAAATCCAATTTAATTTAAGCTAATTTAAATCTCAATAGCCACATGTGGCTACTGGCTACTAAACTGGACAGTGGTGCTGTAGGAAATTTTTTTTAGTAAAACAGTACTTTCTGGTTTTAAGATCTTAGTTTTAGTTCTTGCTGTCTCTGAGATTCAGACATGTCCTCAAAGCTGAATGATGCCCCACACCACACTGTGTTCAGAATCATGACTCCACTTTTTTTTTTTTTAAACTAGTTTGGCTCATCATACCTAAGAAAAGGTTGAGATAAGCTTTTTAAGGATGCTTCTGGACAAGAACTCATCGTAAGGAAAGGAGGAGGAACCAGAGCCCAGTGGGACACAGCAGGACTCCAAGGTGACAACAGGTGCGCTGCATATGCCTGGAAATACTGCTCCACAGGACTGGATTTGTTTTAGAGCGCATGGGAGCCATGCCTGGGAATCCCAGAAATACTGAAGAGCACTTTATAGCTGCTTGGGATCTTTTATGAGAAGAGAAGAGCTAAGTCAGTGAAATTTGGGTTATAATTGTTATTTTGTATCTACTGGTCCCTGCAGGCTGGTGAAGCTTAGGAAACTCAGATTAAATGGAGTAAACAGATTTGACTAGCTTGCTCCAAAATTATGGTATCAGTATAATATATTTCGGCAATTTTACCACCTGTTGCTAATATTTATAAATAACATGCCAGGGTCATACCCAAATTAACTTCAGAAGGTTAAAAAATATCCTAAGAGCCAAATACATAATTACTTTCAGTAAAGGGAGAGATAGCTATAAGAGAGCTTTATAAAAGCCCTATCAGACCGACAAAATTGAGTTGCTTATATGAATCATACAAAATTGAGCTTTTATGTATGTCTCAAAGAGTAACTATATAAATGTAAAATTATAATAGCTGAATTACTTTGCTTTTACCCTGTCAACAACTGCCAACTAAACATTTTAATATGAAGATAAATTGGCACACTAGGATATATTTCCCATTGCAAATGTATTAATAATATTTTGTTTAAAATATGAGGCAAAAACATTGATGACAGCTAGAAGATGAACTGATTCCTAAAGATCAAGAGTAAGATAAAAACCAAGTTATAATAGTGGTTTTTACAAAATAAGATGTTTATTTTAATGTTTTCACATATAATAAACTCATTTAAATAAAAAGAATGCTATTAGCGAAAACTGGTATCTAACTTTTTTTAATTTTTAATTTTTGTGGGTACATGGTAGGTGTATGCATTTATGGGGTACATGAGATGTTTTGATACGCTATGAAATGCATAATAATCACATCATGGATGATGGAGTACCTATCCCCTCAAGCATTTATCCTTTGTGATATCTTAACTATTGAGAGCTCTGTGAATTCTTTAGTTTAAAAACTGAAGAGAAAAAAGTCTACAATTTTATGTTTTACATTTATGAAATCGTCTCCATAAGTCAAAATTTTCAATGGGGGATCAAAGAAACAAGAGTTCGTTTTAGAACTACCAATTATTGGATATTCAATGTGGGGCTTGTGGCCCACATATAGGACTTTCTGGCTAATTATTTACTCCTGTTAATTTGCTGTATAATTCTTATTTTTGTTCTCCTTCAGTACATCCAGTGTTGACACTGTCCCTAAGAATACATCCAATCAAAATTCGTGAGTATAAGTAAAAAGAATTGTGGCTTAATTGTTAATAGGCTTTAGAAATCCTGTATTCCTTTGAAAACAGACTTTGATCTTTGCTTTGGTTTCTTATGAAGAAGTGCTTCCCCAGATTCGTGGTCTGTGTATTTTTACTTGACTTTTTAATGTGTTCTTTTCATGCATTTCCCATTACTTAACTGTTCATGTGGATTCATAATTACATATATGATTCCATTTGTACATATAAAAAACAATTATTACATGTTACATATCATGGCACTTTACAGTTTACAGTGCCTTCAGACACTCTCACAACAATATAAGGTAGATAATGAGAGCTACTCTTTATTGAGCATCAAGTATTTGCCAAACATATAAAATTTCCAGTACTTGAAACACTGTTGCAATGTTTCATAAATTTTATATTATATAAATATAAAAACCAGGATTTGGAAAAGCTATAATAGGAACTAATAGAGTTACTTCAACATAGAGTACATTTTCACCTCTGCCTAGGAATGAGTAAGGTAGCTATCCCAGATGTTTGAACCCTAAATACAGTGCGGCAATTAAGGCTTAGATAAGATGTGGTTAGATGATAAATTCCAAATCTGAACTCTAATCTCTTGGTTTTAGGTTCCAAAGGAAGGCCTCAATTATATTGGTAACCCATGCATTATCAAAAGTTATCTGATTAAAGAAAGAGAAAATCCTATGGTAAATAACTGACATGCTCCATCCCAAAGAGATGTGAATATCAGAAAATAGATGAATTAGACAGATGCAAGTCAAAAGAGATGTATCCATCTTGAATTTTGTCAATACTAAAATGACATAGTGACTTAGAGATTTATCTAGCCAAAACAGTTTAGAATTAATGTTGCTTTTACCATTAATTTTGTCACGACTGCATGGTGGCTTTATATATGTAAAAGGCTCCTAACCATCACAGATGCATTTCAACGTGTTTATGGGTACAATATGTATTTTTTAAAAAAGATTCTAGAAAAAAGGAGAAGCGAGGAGGAGATGGATGATATAATCAACAAAATGTTGATATATTTTAGAACGGGATGAGGCATACATAGGGGTTCACTGCAATATTCTTTCTACTTTTGTGTATGTTTGAAATTTTCCCTAACGAAAAGTTTTAAAATATTTGGGAAAAAACTAGCTTATAATAATATAGGTAGTTTATAACATTTATTAAATAAAAAGAACTTAAGGATGAAATTCATAAACAATGTTATAGGAGGCAGAAAACAAAGTATGTGTTAATCAATAAAAGTAATCAGAAAAAAACAAAGTAATTATAAATCACAAGTTGGAAGACAAGGAAGGAAATATTTGAGAGAAATTAGGTCAGCATGGTGGCAGGTGCCTGTAATCGCCGCTAGTCAGGAGGCTGAGGCAGCAGAATCACTTGAACCCAGGAAGTGGAGGTTGCAGTGAACCGAGATCGTGCTATTGCATTCCAGCCTGGGTGACAGAGCGAGACTCCATCTCAAATAAAAAATAAATAAATAAATAAAAAGAAATATTTGCGAGAGAAACTGGTTCTCTGGTAATGTTTAATAATAATCCCTAAACTTTTTTTTCACTCAACAATGGCCATAAGAAAACACTTGATCTGGACTATACATTCTTCAGAGTGTAAACATTATTCATTAGATTGTAGTCAGCCCAAATGGAATTTTTCCTTTAGACAACTCTTTTTTTTCTTTCTGATGCTATTTTTACCAAAGTAATCTTTTCCAAGCAGCTTTATCCTGTAGGATTCTCCCAGTGCCCGATGAGAGTCCTTTTGGCTAGTGGTAGTAGAAAGGTGCTTTAAAATACATAATGGAGTTGCGTTTTGGTTGAAGTATGACATTTGCTAGATTTGTGATTTTCAGCAAGTCATTTAAAAATTTCTGGGCCTTTCTACTTATTTCTAATATGGAGATATAATCACTATCTCAGACAGTTTCCTAAAATGTGGCACATGAAGTATGCTGTTTTAAACTTTTACAAATATAAGGCTAAGGGTTTAAAAAAGAATATACTGGGGCCGGGCAAGGTGGCTCACGCCTGTAATCCCAGCACTTTGGGAGGCCGAGGTGGGTGGATCACGAGGTCAGGAGATCGAGACCATCCTAGCTAAACACGGTGAAACCTCAGCTCTACTAAAAATACAAAAAATTAGCTGGGCGTGGTGGCAGGTGCCTGTAGTCCCAGCTACTCGGGAGGCTGAGGCAGGAGAATGGCGTGAACCCGGGAGGCGGAGGTTGCAATGAGCCGAGATCGTGCCACTGCACTCCAGCCTGGGTGACAGAGTGAGACTCCATCTCAAAAAAAAAAAAAAAACACACATATATATATATATATATATATACACACATTGGCTGGGCACGGTGGCTCATGCCTGTGAATCCCAGCACTTTGTGAGGGCGAGGTGGGAGGATCACCTGAGGTCAGGAGTTTGAGACCAGCCTGGCCAACACGGTGAAACCCCATCTCTACTAAAAACACAAAAAAATTAGTCAGATGTGGTGGCGGGCACCAGTAATCCCAGCTACTTCGGAGGCTGGGGCAGGAGAATCGTTTGAACTCTGGAGGCGGAGGTCACAGAGAGCCGAGATTGCACAACTGCACTCCAGGGACAAGAGCAAGACTGCATCTCAAAAGAAAAGAATATATCAAGGTTTTCTCCAAGTTAAAAATCATAGTTGAGGCTTCAAGTCCTAGTGACAGTGAACATCCAATATTAAACTCTACTAGAAGGCTGTTAGGGTCTCTTCCTCCTTGTTCTATTTCCATACACCTTTTATTTTATTTCATTTTTTTGAGACAGAGTCTCACTCTGTCACCCAGACTGGAGTGCAGTGGCTCGATCTCGGCTCACTGCAACCTCCGCCTCCCAGGTTAAAGACATTCTCCTGTCATAGCCTCCTGAGTAGCTGGGATTACAGGCGTGCACCAACACGCCTGGCTAATTTTTCTGTTTTCAGTAGAGACGAGGTTTTACCATGCTGGCCAAGCCTGTCTCAAAGTCCTGACCTCAAGTGATCTGCCCACTTCAGGCTCCCAAAGTGCTGGGATTACAGGTGTGAGCCACCACACCCGGCGTATTTCCATACACATTTTAAACAGGTTGATTCTCTTCTTCTGAGTGACAGGTATGCATATTTGCACTTCAATGTATTACCAAGAATGCAAAAAGTTGAGAAATACGTTAAGGAAACCACATTTTCTACTTGAGAGTGTTTACTTCAGTCTTTCTAGGAGTGTATATGCTTCTAGAATATACACAAGGTATGTCAGACCAGAGGTATGAAAATGAGGCATTTTGGCCAGGCATGTAATCCCAGCACTTTGGGAGGCCGAGGTGGGTGGATCACCTGAGGTTGGGAGTTTGAGACTAGCCTGACCAACATGGAGAAACCCCGTCTCTACTAAAAATACAAAATTAGCCGGGTACGGTGGCACATGCCTGTAATCCCAGCTACTCAGGAGGCTGAGGAAGGAGAATTGCTTGAACCCAGGAGGCAGAGGCTGCAGTGAGCCGAGATCGTGCCATTGTACTCCAGCCTGGGCAACAAGAGCGAAATTCCGTCTCAAAAAAAAAAAAAAGAAAAGAAAAGAAAATCAGGCATTTCATTTACTGCAAATGAATTAAATTATCATCAGCATGTTAAGAATTCTGTAAGTAAATATCACTTTTAAGACATATTTTACCTGGAATTCACTCAGTTGCAGAACTTATATAAAGGAATCACCTTCACTCCTGATTTGTCACTAACCATGGCTGTAAAACATAACTGGCAATCATTAGAAGTTTCTTCTCTGGAGAAACAAATTGACCTCAGAGAGAAGACACTAACAATTGGGGGGTTTCCCAACAGTGAAACCCACCAGTTGAAAAGCCCAACATAATTACAGAACCTCCAGGCAACTTCATAGCGACTTACTCTCAAATATCAACAACAGATATCTGGAGGGAAATGTCCAGTATTAAAGAGAAATAACAATAACAACAGCAAAGGGACCAAAGGGAACCAGAGACAACATAGGACCTGAAACAAAACTTAAGAAAGAAAATAGACCAAACCCGAAGTAAAATATTCTCAGAGAAATAAGAGATTGTATTCATAAAAACAAGTAGGACGTTAGGACTAGGAAATCATCAGAAACAAGAAAGAACTTTAAAAATAAAATTTTATATCCTTCGCCCACTTGTTGATGGGGTTGTTTTTTTCTTGTAAATTTGTTTGAGTTCTTTGTAGATTCTGGATATTAGCTCTTTGTCAGATAAGTAGATTGCAAAAATTTTCTCCCATTCTGTAGGTTGCCTGTTCACTCTGATGGTAGCTTCTTTTGCTGTGCAGAAGCTCTTTAGTTTAATTAGATCCCATTTGTCAATTTTGGCTTTTGTTGCCATTGCTTTTGGTGTTTTAGACATGAAGTCCTTGCCCATGCCATCAACAAGTGGGCGAAGGATATGAACAGACACTTCTCAAAAGAAGACATTTATGCAGCCAACAGACACATGAAAAAATGCTCATCATCACTGGCCATCAGAGAAATGCAAATCAAAACCACAATGAGATACCATCTCACACCAGTTAGAATGGCGATCATTAAAAAGTCAGGAAACAACAGGTGCTGGAGAGGATGTGGAGAAATAGGAACACTTTTACACTGTTGGTGGGACTCTAAACTAGTTCAACCATTGTGGAAGACAGTGTGGCGATTCCTCACGGATCTAGAACTAGAAATACCATTTGACCCAGCCATCCCATTACTGGGTATATACCCAAAGGATTATAAATCATGCTGCTATAAAGACACATGGACACGTATGTTTATTGCAGCACTATTCACAATAGCAAAGACTTGGAACCAACCCAAATGTCCATCAATGATAGACTGGATTAAGAAAGTGTGGCACATATACACCATGGAATACTATGCAGCCATAAAAAATGATGAGTTCATGTCCTCTGTAGGGACATGGATGAAGCTGGAAACCATCATTCTCAGCAAACTATCGCAGGGACAAAAAACCAAACACCCCATGTTCTCACTCATAGGTGGGAACTGAACAATGAGAACACTTGGACACAAGAAGGGGAACATCACACACCGGGGCCTGTTGTGGGGTGGGGGGCTGGGGGAGGGATAGCATTAGGTGATATACTTAATGTAAATGACGAGTTAATGGGTGCAGCACACCAACATGGCACATGTATACATATGTAACAAATCTGCACATTGTGCACATGTACTCTAGAACTTGAAGTATAATTAAAAAATAAATAAATAAAAAATAAAATTTTAGGCTGGGCGCAGTGGCTCACGCCCATAATCCCAATGCTTTGGGAGGCTGAGGCAGGTGGATCACTTGAGGTCAGAGGTTCAAGACCAGCCTGGCCAACATGGTGAAACCCCATCTCTACTAAAAATAAAAAAATTAGCCAGACAGGTGGCACGTACCTGTAATCCCAGCTGCTCGGGAGGCCAAGGCACCAGAATTGCTTCAACCTGGGAGGCAGAGGTTGCAGTGAGCCAAGATCACGGCACTGCACTCCAGCCTGGGCGACAGAGCCAGACTGTCTCAAAAATAAAAAAAAATAAAAATAAAAAATAAACAAAATTTTAAAATTAAAGAAAGGGGGAAACTTGGAAGAAATCTTCCAAGAAGTAGATTAAGGAGGCAAAGAAACAGAAAACAGGAGAGAAAAGAAAATTTTAAGGTCAATCCAGGAAGTGCAAACTTTGGCTAACAGGAATTCTAGGAAGAGAAAACATGGAGAAAAAGACAGAAAATCTTCAAAGAAATAATATCTGACTTTTAAAATGGGCACATGTTTTACCTTGATAAAAGTAATTAAATCATATGGGCAATCACATATCTCAATGTTTAGGTGTTTACCTGCATGAAGTAGGTATATAAACATTATTATATATTATACTATATTGTTCTCTGGTTGTTTTCTATGGATTATGCCATTGTCTCATTTCAATTATAACCTCTTCACATCCAGGAAGAATATTTGCCACTTATGGCAGGCACATATTCTATTTCTGATAAATACTTGTTAAACTCATTTGCTTTGAAGACGACTTGAGTTTCCAGTAAGCTCTGTGACTGTTTAAGAGGGTTCAGTCTTTCAGCCTTGTTACAAAAGTAAAGGTCATTCTTAGCTGAAACAGTTACTTAAAACTCCAGGAACTAGTCTGAGAATCCCAGCTCTTACAATAAAGTCTAGAGGGAAGTCATTTTATAAAACAACGATAAACTGAAAGAAAGCTAGTCAAATGGCTTTTGTCTGAATACCCTTAAAGATCTTTGTCCATTCAATCTTCTTTTCAGGAAACTTGATCTGAGCCTCTATCCAGACACCCAGTTATACGGTACCAGTTAGTGGAATATGTAGGCTATGAATCAGACTCCACTGTGGAAACTAATCCTTGAGTCACGATCATAATATTCCATTGGCATTCACCCCAGGGACAAGGTATTCATTTAAGAGTGCCACTCTTCCACGCAAAGGATGAAGCATCACGTAGCTCCCACTCATCATCACAGTCATCACTCAAATATCCTAGTTTGGTTATCTGTTTCTGCAAGGCTGTGTGTAGTCATCCTCACCTATCAGGATTCTGCAGTCATCTCTACCTCATTCCAAAGGGTCCCTGGCTTTATTCATTAATTTAATAAATATCTATTAAGTGTCTATTTTGAGCTAGTCATTGTTCTCTATAGTAGGGAACTGTATTCTAGCAAATCTGAGCCCAGAAAAGATTTGCTTAATCCATTCTCCAGAATACTTCTCTAATCAATTCTAGTGAATTTACATTTGCCTACCTATTGCCATATCTCCATCTTTAACTTTTTTTTCTGCTGCATGTACACTTAGTATCTGAAGTATTATTGATATGTTTTTAATGAATTACTCGTGATAATGGCCACAATAATGGCATTGCAGGGACTCAATGGATACTTCGACTTTGAACTGTATTACTGTTCTCATCAAAGAATGGCCTTAAGACTTACTTCTCAAAGTGTGTCTGGGGAATTACCAGCATTGGTACGATCTGTTATAAATACAGAAATCTCAGGCCCCCATTCTGAGACCTACTGAACCAGAACCAGAATCTGCATTTTAATAAGATCGCCATGTTATTTACATGCACATGAGAATTTAAAAATCACTGGCCCAGCTGACATCTTAATAAGCCATTCTCTAATTCCTTAATAAAGCATTAGAGGGTAGCCTGTGAGTCGGACACAGCAGTGCACCTGTAGTCCCAGCTACACAGGAAGCTGAGGCAAGAGGATTGCTTTAGCCCAGGAGTTCAAATCCAGCTTGTGTAACATAATGAGACCTCATCATAAAAAAACAATTGAGATAAAAAGTAAATAAAAGGAAGCAATCCTGGATAATATTATTTTAGGTATATCTGTACTTAACTTCAGGTATAACTATACTTAACTAAGTTTAGTTATAACTGAATTTAAAGACATTGTCTACTATATCATCAATATCTTGCTTGGGTAATGTATTTTTCTACTAAGGTAATCAAAATGTTTCCTAGTGTTATGGTTTTATAATACCTCTAAGTCAAGAGAAGGCCTACGCTCTTTCTTCACCAACAGACATCCTCGGGCCTAACTAGAAATGCCATGAATTTACTTACTTGTTCAAGGTGTTCTTTGTTGTGACTCACCCATGAATCGAGCTACAAGGTGCACATACACACTAGCTGGTTGCTCGTCTAAGCCCTCAGGTCTGCTGCTCTTGTTCTATCCCAACAGTTCGCTTCAATCTTAGTGTGGGTAAAATTGCTTTTCAACAGTTGCTCCCATGTTGAGTCCTTCCCAAAACATCTCATTGAACTGGGACAGATCTGCTCATCTCTTGTTTTGAAATTACTGTATCTCTAAGTATCTGTCTTCATCTGACCATGGTCTCCCAATTTTACACAAGGAACAGAGGATACTGAACCAGACGTGTGAGCAATACTTTGGATTATTTCCAGGGTATGCTGACAAGACAACTGGTTCCCTTTCTCAGCATTCATTTGCTCCTTCTGCTAACCACCTTCCTGACCTCAACACATCGCCTGGCCTCACCCAGAGACTCTGCCAAGCCCCTTCAGCCTACAAAGCCTCTTGTCCTGGCTTCTCCTGGTCTGTCTTGTTTCCCTGTCACCTGTGATGTAAAGGGAGAGTGGACACAAACGGGTGAGGCCTCACAACAGCTAGCACATGGTAGGCTCCATAGCCTGTAAGAAGCCGGCAACATAGACAGAATTGCCTATTATCCAAGTAGTTTCTGGGAATAGGCCTTAAAACCTTGACTTGTTTTCTACATGGAAGCTCTATTTTGTCTCGTCTTATTTTTGGTGGTAGAGAGGGGACTGAGAAAGTTAGACTAATGCTGTCCAAAATGAGGTGTGAATATTCATAAGCGATTTCAAGTTTTCACTTATAATTTTCTGTTTCCTTCATTTGATATTGCTGAATTTCCTTTTCACTCATCATACTTGCTTATTCTATAGTTCCAAGGTGAAAGAACGTAAGACTGTAACCTTTATTTTTTTCTCCAGGAAAAAGAGACTGTACTCTCCCTGTAGAGAGGGAGTTTGTCTTATACATCTTATATCCACTTCACATATGCCTTCTGTATAACAATAACTACATATATACCTTGCCTATGCTATCTCATGCTTATTTTATGACATCGAGCAAGCAACCTATGCTGGCTGTTTCTGCTTCCTTACCTGTTTGATTCTTTCTTCAATCTGGCTTTTAACCCCGCATTCTCCTGAGCCTACTCTTGCTAATGGACCTCCTAACTGACACATCCAGTGGATACTTATGTTCTCTGTGGTACTGTCTGCTTTCCTCCTTCCCTCACCTTTCACCCATGCCTCTATGCCTCCACGCCTCCATGCTCTCCATGCCTCCATGCTCTCTTGGCCTCTGTGTGGTTCCTCCTTAGTCTCTTCTTTATCCCCTCTTCTACCGCCTCACCAAAGTTGGTGGTCCCCAAAATTATAATTTATCTTCCCTTCCCATCTCACTGTATACCTTCCCTAACGTGTTCATCCTTATCTGAGGCTTTGACTATACTCCTGACTCCCAATCTACATTTCCAACTCTCACTTCTCTCCTGAGCCTTGGTCCTGTATGTCCAACTGCCCTACTTGAAAACAGCACTATCAGGGCAGCCTCTGATACACATAAACTTCATACATGATTTCTTCTTCACCCTCCCAATCTGGCCCCTCTCCTGAATTCTCCATCTTAGTTCATAACATCACTGTTAACCCAGTCATCCAAGTTAGGAAAACTTTAATTCATTTATAATCCATGAAACCATGAAAAATTGTCTTCTAAAAACCTTAAAGAGAGCACTTCACACTCTCAAATAAAGACCTCCATTGCCCAACTACTTAACTATCAGCCGAAGACCCCCTTCTTTGTCTTCAGCATGAAGCACCAGGCCTAATCGGACTCTGACCCACTTCTGGCAGATCACCGCCTCCCACATCCCCAGGCTACCCTATGCTTGAGCCCCACTGGACTATTTACAGTGGAGATTCTTTCACATTTCTAGCCTTGCATATGCTGCTGCTGCCACCTACAGCAGTGACTCTCAACAGGGGACAATTTTGCCCCTAGGGGACATCTGGCAATGTCTGGGGACACTTTTTGATTGTCACACTGGGAGAAAGGGGTGTTACTAGCATTTAGTGGGTGGAGGCCAGGGATGCTGTTAAATATCCTACAGTGCACAGGATAGCCCCCACTACAAAAGTGTCCAGCCCAATATAATAATGCTGAGATGGGGAATCCCTGCCCTAGAATCTCTTTGATTTCTCTGCCTGATGAACTCCAGTTTACCTATCAAGACTCGGTTCAAATGTCACCTCCTCTGGGAAACCTTCCTCTACCAACCAGGTCCTCTCTCCAGATAAATAATGTCACATCTTTCTACTTTTTCATACACACCTCTATTTAGCACATCACATATTAGACTGAAAAAAAATTTTTTTTTTTTTGAGACGGGGTTTCGCTCTGTGGCCCAGGCTGGAGTGCAGTGGCGCGATCTCGACTCACTGCAAGCTCTGCCTCCCGGGTCCACGCCATTCTCCTGCCTCAGCCTCCCGTGTAGCTGGGACTACAGGCGCGCGCCACCATGCCCGGCTAATTTTTGTATTTTTAGTAGAGACGGGGTTTCACCGTGTTAGCCAGGATGGTCTCGATCTCCTGACCTCGTGATCCGCCCGTCTCGGCCTCCCAAAGTGCTGGGATTACAGGCGTGAGCCACCGCGCCCGGCCTAGACTGAAAATTTTTATGTTTACAAGCATGTCCCTATTACTAGAATGGGAGCTCCCCTAAATAGAGACTGTATTTTACTCATCTTTTATTCTCAGTGCTTGGGACAGTGCCTGGCACTCAAATGTGTACTGGATGAATTAAACAAGACACATCTACAGAGAATACAAAATGTTTTCAAGCAAACAATTCAGCACTCTGAATCTGTCTGAAATTAACAATTCCTCAGTTCTAAGAAATATACATGTACAAATATACATTTTTCACCAACTTTCTAAAACTAGTCATTAACATTGTGGCATCACATTTTAGAATATTTATAAATTACATTGGTTTATATAAGTGCTGCTCAAAATAAATTTAACCAAATCTCTCTAAATATTCTGCTAAATTTAGTAAAATAAGGACTGGAAAATAATGGAACATTAAAGTAAGTATATATTTAAAACATCTATTTTAGGAAGAACAATAAAATAAGAAAATATTGAAATGTATAATCTTGAGATTAGTGTTAAAGGCTTTGAAATAATTAAGACATAAGTTTATTACAGTTCTACTATACTAGGCTTAAGCAATTTACCTATTTAGGATTAAGTTACATATAATGAACAAAAACTTTTATAACAAAAAGAAAAAATGTAAAAAATAATTCTAATAAAAATATGAATATAAGTAAAGAATGGAAGACATTCAAGCTTGGGAAAAATGCTAATGCACATTAAATAATAGGGTACTGAAATCTCTGAGCATCCTAACAACATAACATAGGAGATTTAGAAAACAACAGATGGGGGAAACAAAATAACAGTAGAGAAAAGTAACTACTATACAGATTTAGAAATCTGAATAGCAATCATTGTTGTAACTGTATACATAGTACCTTAGCTCCTTAACCTGCTTCTTGATTGAACTGACAAAATATTACACATACTGTTAAAATATCAAGTATTTATTTTCAGATCAAAAGTCATTATATAGCCTTTACAAAAGTAATACTGTATTTCAAAAGGCATATGTAATAAACATATGCCAGTCACTGTTATGTTGTTTGCTATGCCTGAAATCAACATTATTATGGAGATAGACTACAAAGTCTCATCTTCACTCTAAGTTGTAAACACAGAACACAGACAGTGTCCCAGATACAGGTAAAAGTTCTCATTAGATTTAAAAAATCAGTCATTAATAAGCTGTTGATTACAGTAAGCTAGAAACTCAATTTTATACTGCTAGAGACTGGTAGCTAAACATATAAGAAAAGAAGTTGTAGACTCTCAGTGCTTTAGAAACCAGGTTCTCTGACCAAAGCAGTGATTTAATTTCACGGCTGCTCAGTACAGATAGCTGACATTACTAAATGCTACTCTAATATCAACTTGTTAAATGTGAATCCGGACTCAGCATATCAGAATACTAACCCAGACTAACTGGAGTCATGGGAAATATTTTGGGAGCTGTTTATTTATAAGTGAGTTACAATATACCACTATAATTAGATTAATATATAATTATTGATAAACACAAGATTATTTCTAAAACCCATTATTGTTGCCACTGCTATATTTAGAAAAAACAACACTAGAATCTTCTCCATAAAACAAGCCTTTGATTTATCAATTAGATCTATTTAGATATAGCATAAATTAAATTTAACTGTCACTATATGGTTTACAATGCTTTTATAAAGAGAAGTCTAATAAACATTAAACGGGGGGACAATTTAAATCTCCAGCAAACTGCACACTTCTGAATTATTTTATAATCCAATAATCTACCAAAAGATAGAATCTGCACAAAGTTATACATTTGATTGTCACAAAAAATATTTAAGTTAGCTTACCTAAGCATAAATAAAACCAGTAACAGTGGATATTTTTAACAATGCAAAAGGCATTTGATCCACATTTCATTAAAAAACACATTTAAAATACTCTTCTCAAAAGCATCCACAACAAACTATAATTATTACCACAAAATAAACTATTTTAAGGTATTTCTACAAATATTTCTACATGAATTATTCCTTTCAGATTATTTCATTAAGTGTAAAATAAATTTATAAGTAACATTAATTCAACTAGCATACTATTAACGTTTCTTCTCAGTGCCACTTCATTTCTTTCTTTCAGGAAGAAAAACAGTTGATTAGATTATAATCTCCTAAAATCTGGTTTTAGAAAAGTTTCCTAAATGGAATTTAAAATTCTAAATTATAGATCAGAATTTGAAATCTGATCTTTTTTTATCCTTAGTAAAGTAGTGGCTTATATTAACATCTGGGCATTGGTAACAATTATTATATTTACCAGATTTCAGAAGAGAGAAAATAAACTAGCAATTACTATTTTATTCACCTAAAGTTACTTATCCAGAAGTTTTTTTTTTTAAAACAATCTTTAATAAACATAATGGATGTTACAAAAACACAGATTAAGGTTTTTTCCCCCCAAAACTATGATGTACTGTCATGTAAAATTGCTTTAGTTAGAAAATTTTTTAAATTTCCTGGAATCTGGTAAAACATTCCAAATACAGAAATTTAAAAAATCTATTTCAGTTCAAACCATTTTAAATACTTTGGAACGGCCAAATTACATAAAGAACTTTTGGCTAAGATTCATAAGAGTTAAATTACTAATATAATAAAGCTGAATTGTCAAAAAAATGAAAAGGTAAATAGAAAATTGTGGTAAATGCCTAGCAATTTAAACCAAATTCAAAAATATTAAAACTTAGAATTCAATATTGTTGAAAGAGTGAGTTACATTTTAGAGGGCAGTATTAACTCGTGGCTAAAGAAAAATAGGGTGGAAACAAAATTCCTGTGGTTAAGGGTATATACAAATACAAATGCCATTTATTTTTCCTCTGCTTTAAACATGCAGCATAATAGTTTTTATGAATGATCTTATAAACACATGTATTTGAGATATAGTTTCTCTATGATAATTTATAAAAAGATCTTTACACTTTGATATGGGTTTTTGTTTAATATTTTAAATAAGCATTCTAAATTTTACTCTATTTCATAATGATTAAGAAGAGGAGAAAACAAAATGATCATTTGAAAATAGGAATAAAGTATTGAGCTACACAAAAGAATACTATATCATTTAAAGGAAAAATATGCCAAGATAAAATGTTATGAAATAGACTGTTATTCAAAGTTTGTTTTGTTGTAGAAAGTTTTTTATGTTGTAGAAAAGTTTTATAGCTTAAATCACTTAGGAAGATTTTTAAAAATATACATTTTGTACACTGGTAAAATAACAAATAGAGTAAAAAACTATACATAGAGTTCTTCAGATTTACAAATATAAAATTTATGACTACAAAATACTGCTAGCTAAGGACCAGGAAAATATGTAAAACTGCTTGGTTACAATAAATGTTCTCCAAATATTTCATTAAGTTATTCTCATATAAATTAACATTTACCAAGACCAAAGGAAACTTACCTTGCAAGAATTAGACAGTTCATTTGTGCAATCTCTGTTGCTGTCTCTTGATAAATTATCCACTTTACCTTCATTTCCAGATGCAAACTTTATGAGTAACTGAGATGGTCCCCCTTTAGAACAATTGTGCTTAAGGCTGGATAGACAGGAAATATTTGGATAAGCTCCTCCCAATGAAATACTTCTTCGTAAAATACCATGGTTTTTGTTCATCTGTGAATGTGGTCTTTCCAATTCTCCATTGATATTTATTTGACAATCTACATTTTGGGAGGATGGCAAACATGCAGATGTCCTATGCATGAGCTTAATATACTCTGAATCAGAATTAAGCTTAATTTCTGACATTTCTGGTTTACAATCACCATTTGTTGTTTCACAGTCTAATGTAGCTGCTTTTCGTTGGGTGAAATGCACTGAAACACAAGAATATCCTTCAGATGACTTTTCACAGACAGTCTGTCTGGGAGTATTATTCGAAAGAACAATTTTCTTCTGTAACGAGCCCTTCCTGTGAAGCGGCCGTATGTCTCTTACTTCTCCGGGGGTACAAATTGTTTTAGATAACCGAAGTCCATTGACAGCTGTTGAAAGAAATCCTTTAGCACTAGTGCCATCCTCATTATGTGCAATTTCACTAGGAGAAATAATAAACTGGTGTGAAGTTTGATAGGATCCTTTGCTCAGAAGAGTACACAGACTTGTTGGAGAAGTCGGTCGGGTAGTTGAAGGACTCCTAGGAAAAATGACTAAGGAGGAGTAACGTTTTAGTGGAATTTTTGTGTTCCTGCTCACTGGCAATTTCATAATCTCTAATCCATGTTCCAAGTCATCCTGGACAAAAGGATCTGTACTTGTACTTCTTGAAAAAATTTCACAAGGAGTAGTATTCCTGTTTGGCACACTTCTATTGGAGGTGCTGTCAGAAGGTAAGTTTCCACCCAAAAAAGTATCATCACTTGGTGGAAAAGTATAACTACTACTGTCACTGATGACACTGTTAGTATATGAACCTCCACTTGTGATACTTGCACATGACCCAAAATCACTACCGTTGCTGCTGTAAGACCCATTATCACTGGTTGAAAAGTTACTAAGGCTACCACTACAAATGGCTGGACTGCTTACAAGGTGACCATCATTCACAGCATTCAATTCATTATCGACCACAGCACTACTGTAAATACCATCCTTCAAGATACAAGTAAACGAAGCATCATCACTATCAGCTAAGACATTGCTAGACTGAAGATATCCACTGTACCTTGTTGGCTGTAGTGAAATCTGTAGACAGCTGCTCTTTTTATTAACATTTTCAGATGAGGGAACAGATGATCTTTCTTGAGACTGAACGTTTTCCTTTATTAACGGAGCTAGTGCAGTCTGTCTGGGAGTCAGCTTCATTTGAACAACGTTAGACGTTGAAATCCGTGTTGGTCTTTTGAAGCACATGTGAACATGGCTATCCAAGTCATCTCCGGAGGTTTCTGACAAAGGGTAAGTATTGCTTCTTCTGGCTGCAAAGTGCAATCGTAAGCTTTGTGCCATTTGTTCTCATTTCCAAACATGTTAAGGGCTGAAAGTCATAACAAAGATCTCTGTCCGTAGACAGGCTAGAAGCAGCTGCACTGCATCAAAAGAAAAAATCATTTGTGGTGCCTAAAAGAGCTATTAAGTAGTAGTCTTTATCCTAAGTAAAACATTAGATACCAGATATCATAGAAAGAAAAAGACGACCCATTCCAGAGACTGACGTTTCCAAAATGTCTTGAATCGCTTGTAGTCAAAATGCCTTCACTTACAAAGCACTTGATTTCCAGCGACCTTTAAGCTGAGCTCAGCTGCAGCACACTGACTCAAACACAGCCAACCTTGTTTCAATTATACCTTCTCCAATTTGCATGAATGAGTAACACAAGAACAACAATCTTCTAACATTTCAAGTTGAAACAGTATTTTTTCACCCCAGCTCTACTAAATGAACATTTAACTATGTGAATCACAGTGCCTATACTTTCTCCAGCCGACTTTGCCCACTAATATTTTTACCCATAGGTATAGAATTACAGGAAGTTGGTAGGAACAAAACCCCATGTAATTAAGCATCAAATCAAAGATTGAATTTCCAAATAGTAGCCATACTAGGAATCTAGTCAAGTTAGTTAATATAGGGACTGTTAATTTTTTTTTTTTAATGTGTGAATTCAAACAGTTAGGTAAATTTGGAAATACCAAAACTTTACAATGAATTAAAACTTTAGCACTACATCAAATAGATACATATTTTAGCTTCCAAAGTGCTAGTTACATAAAAAGTGAAAGCTTAAGGACAGAACTACAAAATTAACCTAGTAATACCATTGCAAAACTGAAGCATAGGTTCAAGAAAAAAAGTTTAAGAGAAGCTGTCACTAAGCATTTTCTCCTGTAATTTTAAGGCCTTTTCCAGCCAAGTAGAACAGTCTTTAAATGATGCCATTTATATTTTGACTATTAAAACTGCCAAGAAATAGCCTAAGCAAACATTCCAATAAAAATATATGCAGATTAGAAAAAAAAAACTATACCCCAAGATAGTTTGAACACACAGGATATTTTATTCCACTGTCTCTGCAATTCATTCACTTAAGAGAGTGTTGTGGTAAGTAAAGAAGTCTAAAAAGGATTTAGCACATCAAATAAACATGTCTCAATGCCAATTCTGTTCTGAAAAACTCTAAGAGCTCTTTGCTGGCCCCTGCTGGTACTTTGAAACAATCCATTTAGCTGTTTGATATCTATAAAGAAATACAAACCAAGCTGCACATTTCTTTATATAAACGAAGTACATACTTGTTTACATTTTTGAGAGCTAGCCCTACCCTAGAGGTGGAATTACTCACCAGTGCTGATAAAGCTCCCACAGTAGAGAACAGTGGACTGTTTGTCCTTTTAGAGGTTGTGATTTTGTATATATATTTTTTCTGCTTTGTATTTATTTAACCTTTATTTTCAGTTTACTAGGCAATCAAAATTTAATATTTTAATTTCTCTCTCAAATGCCATAGACCAAGGTTGGTATTCTATTTGAAAGAAACAAATTTATTTTTAAATAATACTCTAGGGTATATTTAAACCCCTCACCTAAATTTTATAGCTGGAACTCCAGTAATAAATATATACTGGCTCATTCATAGGAAAGTAAAAGGTAAAATAGTTCCGTTGTTTATACCACATGCTACTACACCCAAGTTGTATTTTGCTAAGTAAGTTTTTTTTCCTAAGTAAAAGCAAATATGTAAAACATATACTCATACTTTGTTAAAAAAAAAAAACTGCTTAAGATAGATCTGTTTTTGATCAGAATTTTCTAAACAGATTTTTAATCAATTAAGACACAAAACAGAATTATGGGAATTCATTGCATTTCATTTGACTAGAATGAAACAGCCCTGTTTTTGAATGCGTACAATAGTTGAAAACTTAGTAATACAATTATTATGTTATTTTTGCTTTTGTATAAACCACCTCCTTTATGATTTTACAGACTTCAGTCAATATTCTCTTAACATCTTTTTCTTTTAAATAAGGAGGAGTCCTGTTTTACTCTGCCTTCAAATGACTTCAGCGTTCTTTCTGGGATTAAGTGTGGGGTCTAATAACTCAAAGAATGAATCCCTTCTAATAGGCTAATCAATGAGATCTAATTGTTCATGTCTGTGGCCTAAAACTTCCAGGAAATAAGAAAAGCTCCTCTCATTATTAACATATAAAATAATGAACTCCAAGTATTTGGTCAGATAAATGTCTTCTCTTTGGTAAGCTTCACTATAAGCATCAGTTCCATGTCCCCTAACTAGATTTTAACTTTCCAGAGAGCATGGGCCATAACTACACATTTCTTCTGATGCTCCTGAGCTCATCCTGGGCTCAAAGTAAGTACCAGAAGACACCAGATAGAAGTCTGGATGGAGAGATGGATGGTGTCATCACAGTCACTCTGAATGCCTAATGCTTTCTTTCAGGATTTTTCTTGTTGTTGTTGAAGTTGATCCAGCCGCCACTTTTAAAGAAATATCAAAAAGCACTGCAGGTGGACAAGAAAGAATGACGTTTGAAAAATTTACAGAGAGGGTTTCAGCCAAGGAAATGTAAGGTAAGAGAATCACATGCACTTCCTAGCACTCTAGTCTGAGTTTAAATTCTAGGGAGGCTGAACAATTTGCATTGCTGGCTGAGGTCTGAAATTGCATAGGATCTATACTGCTATTATAGCAGTTACATGGGAAATCGGGGAACTTGCTATAAAATGTAGTCTCTCAGTCCAGCAAATACCAAAACAGGAGTGTTAATCCTAACCTTAAGTGTAGAAGAACTGGAGGGACATGGCAGCCCTCATCTGGAAAGAATCCATGCAAGTCCTACATAGAATTTCATATTCCGGAATGAAACAGATAACGTCTTAGGATTGAAGCTAAGAACCTCACATTCAGAGCTGTTGGTTACTGATCATCTACATGGAAAATAATGTGATTATCTACATGGTATGGATAGGCTCTGGGTAATCTTAATCATTGACTGAACTTTGAAGGCCAAAGTCAGCTGCGGTGGTTAATTGTATGTATCAACTTCGATAGGTTATGGTACCCACTTGTTTGGTCAAACATCAGTATAGACATTGCTATGAAGACATTTAGACATGATTAGCATTTAAATCAGTAGACTCTGAGTAGAGCACATTACCCTCCACAATGTGTGTGGGTCTCATCCAATCAGCTGAGGGCTTTGAAAGCAAACACAGGTTGTGTAAGAAGCAGCAATTCTGCCTCAAGACTACAATGTAGAATCCCTGCCTAAGTTCTCAGCTTCCTGGCCTGCCCTGCAGATTTCAGATTGAAGTCTTCACTATATATATATTGTGTGGAAATATATATATTCATATATTATACATAATTTCATATATAAAATATATGAAAAATAAATAATACATAAAATATATACACAATCTATTGTTTCTGTTTCTCTGGAGAACCTTCACTAATACAACTGCTAAACGTGAGAAGCACAGGGTCTCCACCCAGAATATAGGTGGCTCCTAAAACCGGTGGCTGAATGTGTACAGGTGTATATCTTAGACTGGTGACACAGTGCTAACTTTTGCATTGGTGGGTAGAGTTTTTTTAAGACACATCATTCTGAAATGTTCTGTCATTATTGCCACCACTACCACCACCATCACCATAATGAAACGACAATATTTTATAACACTCAAGTCTTAAAATTGGCTGGAAAAAAGTGATATAAGCCTACTCTTTATTGAAAGCAAATATCACTTACATTACAAACGTTTTCCAGATGACTAAAGTTGTTTCTGCTTAATATTATACTTGTGTTCTTCACCCTCCATTTTCCAAGAGAATTTGCTAGGAAAATGGTACATTTTAAATTTAGTTGTGAGTGCCTCAGCAGAATAAAGACGGAATGACATTTATAATGACACAGGTCATTTGTTGCTATACAATCAGGTCTGTTACTCCACCAATGGCTATAGGTTCTATAACATCTCAGGTCATCTCTATACCTCCCTTACCTGCTAAGACTAGCAACAAATCAAGAGGACTAGAATGACACACACCACCATGTTCTAATTATCTTTGGCTCTTTGTTTTGCTGGTAAACCGAGTTTCTCAAGAAAAGCTGTATTTCCCACTCATAGAAGAGCATCTAACACAGTAGATATACTAAATGGTATATCTTAGCTAACACAAGATATACCATATCAGAGAGCTACAAACGCGTTAAGTCTACGAATGTTAAATGACATTTTATATTTGTATCATGATAAAGAATTTTCCAAGTATTTTCATCGTCATTGTCTCATTTTATCCTCACAATATGCTTATGAGATAGGCAGGGCAAATATTGTTGTCCTCATTTTTTAAATGTGAGAAGGTATTTTTAGAAGGATTGAATAATTTGTTTAGGGTTACAAGCTAATACCCCAAAAGAAAGGCAGGATTATAATAGAATTTCTTAGTCCTTAGTGTGGGGATCTATAATAACTTTTTTTTTTTTTCGCCGAGACGGAGTCTCACTCTGTTGCCTAGGCTGGAATGCAATGGTGTGATCTCAGCTCACTGCAACCTCCACCTCCTGGGCTCAAGCAATTCTCATGCCTCAGTCTCCAGAGTAGCCGGGACTACAGGTGCGCACCATCAGGCCTGGCTAAATTTTGTATTTTTAGTAGAGACGCAGTTTCACCATGCTGGCCAGGCTGGTGTCGAACTCCTGACATCAGGTGTTCACCTAACCTCAGGAACACCTCCTGATCCACCCGCCTCAGCCTCCCAAAGTGCTGGGATTACAGGTGTTACAATATTTTGATTAATGTGTTATTTGTTTTTTCATATGGTTAAAAGTTTTAAAAATTTTGTCATATTTATCCATCTATAAATATCCAACTGTTAATATCAAAGGCAATACTTTTTTCTTCCAACCTATCATGACACACTTTATAGTATTATATACACAGTAAATGCTTAAGGAATGTTAATTCACTGATTAGTGTTTGACAAACAGCCATTCTGGCCATTAAGAAAGAGTCACGCAAATACTAAAGTTACTGGCAAAATGGACCAGACAATTAAGCATGGTGGAAAGCACAAATGTGAGCTGTCCCTCCTTGTGGACAACATGCAAATAACGCAAATAAAATAGTTCACCAATAATACACTCAATGATCAGGCAAAATTCACATCGGTATCAGTGGCAACAGGAAAAATAACAGTAATACCATGATCTAGCAATTCAACTCTAAAACATATCTCTTAGAGATAGACTCAGACACGTACATAGGGAGACATAAAAATGTTTATCAATTTGTAAGAGCAAAATACTGGAAATAACACTAATATCTATTAAGGAGGTTAAATACATAAATTATAGCATTATGATTTTTCAGAATATAGAAAATTATGCATCATTGAAATGTGTAATCACAGATCTCACAAATATAATGTTAAGCAAAAAAGCATATCAGAGGAATGTCTATAGAGATATACTATTTTTACAAATTAAAAAATATGCAAAATAAACAATGTGGGTTTTTGCTTTTTTGGAGACAGAGTTTCGCTCTTGTCACCTAGGCTGAAGTGCAATGGTGTTATCTTGGCTCACTGCAACCTCCACCTCCTGGGTTCGGGCAAGTCTCCCAACTCAGCCTCCCAAGTAGCTGGGACTACAGGTGCCCACCATCACGCCTAACTAATTTTTGTATTTTTATTACAGACAGAGTTTCACCACGTTGGCCAGCCTGGTCTTGAACTCCTGACCTCAGGTGATCCACCTAACTCGGCCTCCCAAAGTGCTGGGATTACAGGCATAAGCAACCATGCCCGGCCAACAATGTGTTTTTTGGGGATATATATACATGTGATAAAAGTATTTTAAAAAGCAAAGAATGATAAAAACAAAATTGAGGACAGTGGCTAGTACTTGTGGAGGAAGAAAAGAAGATGCTACTAAGGAGGGATCTAGGGAGGGTTTCAAAGATTTTGGTAATGTTCTAGTTCTTAAGCTGAGTAACGTGTATACATATTTGTCTTATTATTTAAAATATTTATATTATGTGGGCTTTTTTGTATGTATATTTCATGAGTTAAAAACAAAACACACACAAAAACTCCACCAATACAAAGTTTAATTTGTTTCCATCTAGAAGGGACCAGCCTGGCCAACATGGTGAAACCCCGTCTCTACTAAAAATACAAAAATAAGCTGGGCAAGGAGGCGGGTGCCTGTAATCCCAGCTACTTGGAAGGCTGAGGCAGGAGAATAGCTTGAACCTGGGAGGCAGAGGTTGCAGTGAGCTGAGACTGCGCCACTGCACTCCAGCCTAGGCAACAGAGTGAGATTCTGTCAAAAAATAATAATAATAAATAAAGGAAAACAGGTCTATAGATTCAGAGGGGAAAAAAAGGAAAACATTTTATATTCTTTTAAACAAGCAAAAACACAGACAGAAAACAAATAGCTCTGTAACTAACCATATCTGATAATCAAATCAGCAACATCTGTCACTTAGCCTTAAAAATTAGATGGCCAGGCTGGGCATGGCAGCTCATGCCTGTAATCCCAGCACTTTGGGAGTCAGAGGCAGGCGGATCACGAGATCAGGAGATCAGGACCATCCTGGCCAACATGGTGAAACCCCATCTCTACTAAAATTCACAAAAATTAGCCAGGTGTGGTGGTGAGCGCCTGTGGTCCCAGCTACTAGGGAGGCTAAGGCAGGGGAACTGCATGAACCCTGGAGGCGGAGGTTGCAGTGAGTTGAGACTGAGCCACTGTGCTCCCACCTGGCGACAAAGCGAGACTCCATCTCAAAAAAAAAAAAAAATATATATATATATAGCAAGTCAGTGATAGTCTTCTTTGGCAGCAATAATGTACTTTTGCTTAGTATGATGTTTATTAAAGATTTCATTGGCAATATCTTTAGTTGCCAGTATAATTACCATTTCTTGAGGGCAAAAAAAACATGAATGTAGTTTAACACTAAAAACAGACTTTTTTTTAAAAAAAAAGCTAGTTTCTCTGTTAGCTAAAAAATGAACAAAACTGTTTAATTTTTCTGGTGCTTGTAACTGATAAGCTTTGCACACATAACACTGTTTCTATACTTACCTGTTCAAATCTTACAGGTTTAAAATATAGATGTAAGATGCTAAGATGAGGGTTTGAGATTGGATCCTCAGAGACAAAATTAGGAAAAGGATAGGACTTTAAGAGAGTCTTTAGGAATTCAGAAATCAGAACAATCATTTTATAAAAAGAACATCAGGTTTAACTTTGCTTTTTGCTTCTGTAAGAGCTGGCCATCTTTGAGAAGACTTTATTTGCTCATTCCTTATCAGTGTAAAAAGGACAGATTTCCTCTGTAGAAGAGTGGGGATGAGAGAGTGGATAGGATGTCCATTGGATACAGGTAACCCTAAGAAAGGCCACTGTAGTGAGGAGGCGCAACTGAAGGATACCCTGGGAAGATTCCCAGAGCCATGGAGTAGGAACCAGGGGTCATGGGCGAGTGAGAGGGAAGGCAGGACAAAGAGGTTGGTTTTCTGTCCTCTCCTGTCACAAGAGGTCTTGAGTAAGACCTTATAATATGTTGGCAATCAGAAGAGGTGCTTGGGAGGAGAATGGAAAGGGAGCGAGTAGGACCAGGAGGAAGAAAACAAATTCTATCTCCCTCACCATTTTGCCCAGAGTCTCCATAACCACCCCCAAGCCATCACTCAAATCCCAGACTGCTTACCCACTTCCCCTGGCTGCTCCACTGAAATGTACCCTTACTTCATATTTCATATAAGCACAATATAACTTACCAATCGGTTTTCGTCAAACACTTCAAAAAGAAGCCGGTGCTGCTGAGGATGAACCTAAGAAAAACACAATCTTTATTTAAAAACAAGTAAACATCAACCCACAGATACTCAGAAATAAATGCTTAAAGATGCTGCCATTTGGTCGGGCATGGTGGCTCATGCCTGTAATCCCAGCACTTTGGGAGGCCGAGGTGGGTGGATCGCCTGATGTCAGGAGTTCGAGACGAGCCTGGCCAACATGGTGAAACCTCGTCTCTACTAAAAATACAAAAATGAGCCAGGTATGGTGGCATGTGCCTGTAGTCCCAGCTACTTGGGATGCTGAGGCAGGAAAATCGCTTCAACCTGGGAGGTGGTGACTGCAGTGAGCCAAGACTGTGCCATTGCACTCCAGCCTGGGCGACATAGAGAGACTCCATCTCAAGAAAAACAAAACAAAACAAACAAACAAAAAGAAGTTGCCATTTTCTAATTCCGATTATTTGGAATGCATTTTAAAATTACATGAAATAAGAGCAGACTAGTCATGTGTCACTCATTTTCTAGTAGTTTCACAACAACAACAAAGTGAATCTGGTTGTTTATTTTTCAGATTTTTCTAACAGAACGAAAGGAAGTAAAAGAAAATTTCAAAAGATTACTTAAATGTTTGCAAACGCTTATAAATACAGATTAGATTTTGACACCTTATGATCAGTTTTATTTACTTGCTTTTTATTAATCAGTTTAGAGCCACCCAAAGTGGACATTTTTCAGAAACTAGTGTTGTGAATCCTTTTATTATTGACTTAATAAAATTACATGTTGCTTTTACTATATAAAGTACATAGCAGTCAAAAGTATACACTGCGTTTTCACTTAAGGTTTAAGCTTTGTAGCACATGAATAAAAATTACAAGCAATATTTTGTTTTTCAAAGCCAATGCTTTCATTCTTGTGGGAATGTTTCGATATCAAAATAAAAATCGCCTACTATATATATTATATTGAACACTGTGATATCTTAAAACATTGGTGTACATGTCAAAACTATTGATAGAAAAAAGTCCTATGCTTGTGACAAAGATATCTAGATACCTAACTCAGTGTCTACTTTTCCCTCTGAGAACATAATCCTAGTTTTACCTACAGCCACGTTCCCAGGCTCATCACACTGCACACCTCTTGAGGAAACCACTAATTTTTGAAAACTGAAGTACAACACATATTCAATGAAGTATAAAGTATACTAATGTTGGGATGAGGAAGAAAAAAGTATACTAATCTTAACTATATAGCTTGATAACTTTTTACATATACATACTGTATCATACAGTATGTATATGTAAAAATACATATACATATGTATCATATACATATACAGTATGTAAAATACATATACGTATGTATCATATACATATACAGTATGTAAAATACATATACGTATGTAAAAATACATATACATACTGTACATGTATATGATACATACGTATATGTATCAAACCCAGATAAAGATATTGAATACTCTGTTCTATTCTATATATTGTTTTTTTGTGAATGGTGTCCTATGGAATTGTTTAACATGGAGACCCTGAATATGTCTATCTAGAAATGTATCCCTTGTACCTACGGGCAACCAATGAAGCCAACCTAGTGCCAGTCACTCCTCAGGAGAGCTTTTCAGAGGTGGCTGACTCAGCTGGGAGAGATGTCCCTTTTGCCCCTTGCATTTATCTTTCCTGTCTGAAATGTTGTTAGGATAGCTGGCACTCCTGCAGCCGTATTGTGACCATGGAGTAACTGAGGATAGACATGCCAAACATAAGGCTAGACAACATGGGGAGGGAAAAATAGTGTTAAGACGGCCGGATGTGCTGGTTCACACCTGTCATCCCAGCACTCCTAGGCTGAGGTGGGAGGATCACTTGAGCCCAGGAGTTGGAGACCAGCCTGGGCATCATAGGGAGACCATCTCTACAAAAATAACAAAAATTAGCTGGGCATCATGGCACATGCCTATAGTCCCAGCTACTCAGGAGGCTGAGGCACGAGAATCGTTTGAACCTGGGAGGCGGAGGTTGCAGTGAGCCGAGATCGTGCCACTGCACTCCAGCCTAGATAACAGAGTGCAAACCTGTCCCCTCCCCTCCACCACACCCCCCAAAAAAAGGGTGGGCATGGTGGCTCACGCCTGTAATCCCAGCACTTAAGGAGGTCAAGGAAGGCAGATCACTTGAGTTCAGGAGTCTGAAACCAGCCTGGCCAACAGGGTGAAACCCTGTCTCTACTAAAAATACAAAAGTTAGCTGGGTGTGGCGGCAGGCACCTGTAACCCCAGCTAGTTGGGAGGCTGAGGCAGGAGAATCGCTTGAACCTGGGGGACAGAGGTTGCAGTGAACCAAGATCGTGCCGCCGCACTGTCCAGCCTGGGCAACAGAGTGAGACTACGTCTCAAAAAAAAAAAAAAAAAAAAAAGAAAGAAAGAAAAAGAAAAACAGTGTAAGATGATTTTTTTTCAAAGAAGATGTAGAAGAACTTTTGAGGAGATGTAACTGAGCTAAGACTTGAAAGTTGGGAAGAATTTAAATGAGAAGGTATAGAGAACATGCACAGCAAGGTCACATGAGAAAAGAAGGCATGGGGGCAGAATGAGCGTGCTCTAAGGAAATGAGACAGACAAAGACGACAAGATTCTTTTTTTTTTGAGATAGAGTCTCACTCTGTCACCCAGGCTGGAATGCAGTGGTGCGATCACAGCTCAGTGCAACCAGGCTCAAGCAATCCTCCCACCTCAGCCTCCTGAGGGTCTACAGGCATGCACTACCATGCTCGGCTAATTTTTTAAAAATTTTTGCAGAGACAAGGTCTCACTGTGTTGCCTAGGCTGATCTTGAACTCCTGGGCTCAAGTGTTCCTCCCGTCATGGCCTCACAAGAATATTTTTGCATTAGACACTGGCAAGAAAAGTTTGGTTAGTTAGGGTAGAGCCAGGATGGGGACACTGACATCCAGAAGAAGAGTTAAGACTTGATTGGTAGGGGGATCAAAGCAGTTTTAAAAGGAGAAATGACATAATTTAGGTCACATCTGAAGATTATTTTGTCAGTGGTGCACAAAATGAATTGGACTGGAGACAGACCCTGGTGTCTACAGGAGCTGGAGCCCTAGTAACTCAGGCAGGGAGTCAGCAGAGCTTTGCTTAGGATGGCCCCAGTTGGAGTAGGGAGGGAGACAGGGCTATAGAAACCATTTTGAGGAAAAACCTCCAAAGTATCAATGTCTATCAAAATATCTAGCAGACACTGCAGATGTTTAATGAATATTGCTAAGAAACTAATCTGCTGTCCTGGTTCAGACTGTAATTAATAGCTTATAACAGGATTCACTACCTCAACTATCTTTTTTTTTCCCTTCTCACTCTGTCACCCTGGCTGGAGTACAGTGGTGCAATCCCAACTCAGTGCAACCTCCGTCTCCTGGGTTCAAGCGATTCTCCTGCCTCGACCTCCCAAGTAGCTGGGACTACAGGGGCGTGCCACCAGGCCTGGCTAATTTTTGTATTTTTTTAGTAGAGACAGGGTTTCACCGTGTTGGCCAGGCTGGTCTCGAACCCCTGACCTCAGGTGATCCACCCACCTCGGCCTCCCAAAGTGCTGGGATTACAGGCGTGAGCCATCACGCCTGGCCTATCTTATCTTTTTAATCTATCTTTCGTACTGTAATCGGACTTACCTAGAAGACATTTAAGCCATCTTTACACCCTACTTAAAAGTTGTCCCCAATGGTCTAAATAACAAAATCCAAAAGCCTGAGTATGGAATGATCCTTCATGATCTGAGTCCAATTTCCCTTTCTGGCCTTGTGTCCTACAAATGTCCCCCTGCCCAACCAAATATGCATCTACCCTATACTGTAATCACACTGGAAACTCACTACTAATTGCTTCTTGCATTTTCTGATTTGTACTTCTGAGCATGTTAAGGTCTATCCACTTGCAACACCTTCTCCACTCTACATGTCTACACTGTGCTCATCATTCAAGCCCAGCTCAAATGCCAACCTCTCCCTAGAGCCTGACCTCCCCATTCACTACCACTCCTCTATTTTCAAAGTAGTTGATCAGATTTACTACATTTTTTCCTTTTATTAAAGTTAATTTGGCATATGTGTGATATCTCCCTACTGAGTTATAAACATCACAAATGACTTATTCATGTTGCTTTTTGTATTTCAGAAGCATATAATAAATGCAAAAATATAGTTTAAAATGTGTAGTGAGAATACTAATTAAAAATTAAAAATACTAATTAAAACATGAACATAAACAGCTATCTTCTCTCTTGGGAGAGTCTATTTAAATCATAGGTAATAGTTTGTAAAAGATATAAAACCATTACAGCAAAGAAGATGAGAGGGCCATCAGCAGCTGAGTAATTTCAACAGTTACCTAGCAGACAGATGAAGCAGGGATGGAAGTGATGATGGAGGGCAGAGGAAGCTGAAAACCACCGAAAGAACAGAGTGTCAAAGCAACAGGGGCAACTGCCCTAATGACAGAATGTCTCAAATACCACCTTAGCCTCCAGATGGTACATGTACACACATGCACGAGCACGCACGCACACACACCCTCTTATTAGAGATTTTCTCTTTATGTCTGATTTCAGGAGGAGATTTAATGAAAATATAAGCATCAGATTTTTTTCCTTTTTTAAAAAAATTTATTTTAGTTTTGGGAGTACATGTACAAGTTGGTTCTATAGATAAACTGTGTGGTATGGGTTTTTTTGGTACATATTATTTCATCCCAGGTAATAAGCATAGTACCCAACAGGCAGCTTTTCTATCCTCACCCTCCTCCTCTCCTCTACCCTCAAGCAGGCCGCGGTGTCTATTGTTCCTGTCTTTGTATCCATGTGTACTCACGTTTAACTTCCACTTATAAGTGAGAACATGTGGTGGTTGGTTTTCTGTTCCTGTAAGCATCAGTTTTAATATATAAAATATAAATGGTAACTAAAATTGTAACATATAATTGTTAAATGTTTATGCATTTTACCTAGAGAAACAACAGATGATTTTTCTGTTTTATCACTGTTAAGTATGATAGATTACCAGAGATCACGAACGTACAAATTAGAAAAACTGTCCTCAAAGGAAAAAGAGATAATTTAGGAAACAAAAGAAAAGAGTTTTAAAAACTATAAGGAGTATCCTTAGAAACATTTAGGAATGTCTTGCATCCATAAAACAAAAACAAGATACTAAAAAAGGGAACTGGAAAACAAAAAAGAAGTGCTGGAATGAAAAACGACTGTTGAATTAAAATAGAAGTGCTTTAAGAAAAATTTGTGGAAATCTCCCCAAAGGTAAAATAAAAAACTAAGTTGAAGGGAAATGAGTGAAAATAAAAAAGAGGATTTTCTGAACAGAGTCAGTGAAAGAATTAACCCCTAATGCCCTAAAAAAAGAGGCTGGGCAAATTATGGCTTGTGTGCTAAATCCAGCTAGCCATCTACTTTTTAATTTAATGGCTCACAAGATAAGAATATTTTTTATATTTTTAAATGGTTACATTTCAGATAGGTATATAAATACCTACACCATAGCCTTGATTTTGCCTCCCAACCTACAACACCGAAAATATTTACTATCTGTCCCTTTAAGAAAAAGTTCACTGACCCTCGTCCTAGACAATCACTGTATGTTATCTATTAATTTCTCTCATGTATCTAGAATGGTACTGGTTAAGACTAGCCTTGGAAGATGTGAGAAAAAAGTTAGTCAAACCATTTTCTGAGTCTGTGGTTCACATGAGGAATTCTGATTGAGAAGAACAGAAAATCACTCTAGGTGACCTTCCATTCAACTAGTTGGAATCCCCAAATGATAATACAAACAGAGGGAAGAAAATTATTGAAGAAATTATTCACACAATTTCCAGAGTTGAAGAGAAACAGTATTCATTAGACTGAAATGCTTACTGATATGGTTTGACTGTGTCCCTACCCAAATTTCACCTGAATTGTAATAATCCAAATGTGTCAACGGCAGGGCTAGGTGGAGATAATTGAATCATGGGGGTAGTTTCCCCCATACTGTTCTCCTGGTAATGAATAAGTCTCAGGAGATCTGATGGTTTTAAAAATGGGAGTTTCCCTGCACACACTCTCTTGCCTGCTACCATGTATGATATGCCTTTGCTTCTCCTTTGCCTTCCGCCATGATTGTGAGGCCTCCCCAGCCATGTGGAACTGTGAGTCCATTAAACCTCTTTCCTTTATAAATTATCCAGTCTTGGGTACGTCTTTACTAGCAGCATCAGAATGGACTAATTCACTTACCAAAGGCCAAACACAATGGATTTTAAAAACTGTACATACAAGGCATATAACTGTGAAATTTTAAAACACGGGCGTAAAGATAATTATTAAATTTTTCAGAGAAAGAGAAGGAAAGAGGGAGAAAAAAGGAACAAGTATATCTTTCAACAGGAATACAAAATACAATTGTAAAAGATGATAAAGCAATGTCTTCAAATTTATGTTCACCCAAGAATCCTATGAACAGCCAAACATAAGTTGGCTATTTATTCATCTATCACAGTTGGAAATCAACTTGGAACATGCATGCATGAGCTTTTTAATAATATGGGAAATATGATCAGAGTAACAAACAGAAACAGTTAAAAAGTGGGTAGCAGGAATAGGAGGGAGGACAGAACACCAGAATTTGTTGTTTTTCATTATAAGCCCTTTTATACTATCTCATTTTAAAACTATGTGCAAATTCTTTCACAAGATTTTTTAAATTTATTGAAGATAGAAGTAAAACTATGCTCACAAAAAATAGAGTTTATAAGATGATATTTTAAGGAAAGGCAAAAGCAGAAAAAAAATAAAAATATCAGTGACAGACTTATTGAAAAAAAGGATAACTATGTTAGTCTATAAATGCATAAAACAACAGAGGAAAAAAGTTGCCAAAAAATATCCAGTTTTCCAAAAAGAACAAAGGTGTTGGTAAGTATATGATTCTATTGTGTTCATAAAGAAACTGAAGCAATATTCTTGAAAATTCTGCCAGTGGTTGTGGGAACAAACAATACAGATACATCTTTAAAATAGCTTTACTAGCTATAATTCACATAGCATACACTCATCCCTTTGAAGTATACAATTCAATGGTTTTTAATATATTCAGAGAATGTGCAACCATCACCACAATTTTAGAACATTTTTACCATTACAAAATGAAACCTTATGTCTTTTAACAGACACTCCCCATTTTCCCTCAACCTTCCCAGGAAACCACTAATCTACTTTCTGTCTCCATAGATTTGCCTATTCTGGACATTTCATGTAAGTGGAATCATACAATATATGGTCTTTTGTAATTGGCTTCTGATATGGTTTGACTGTGTCCCCACCCAAATCTCATCTTGAATTGTAGTTCGCATAATCCCTTTGTGTAGTGGGAGGGACCTGGTGGGAGGTAATTGAATCATGGGGGCGGTTACCTGCATGCTGTTTTCGTGATAGTGAGTGAGTTGTAATAAGATCTGATGGCTTTACCTGCATTGCCAAGACAATCCTAAGCCAAAAGAACAAAGCTGGAGGCATCATGCTACCTGACTTCAAACTATACTACAAGGATACAGTAACCAAAACAGCATGGTACTGGTACCAAAACAGAGATATAGACCAATGGAACAGAATAGAGCCCTCGGAAATAATACCACACATCTACAACCATGTGATCTTTGACAAACCTGACAAAAACAAGAAACGGGGAAAGGATTCCCTATTTAATAAATGATGCTGGGAAAACTGGCTAGCCATAGGTAGAAAGCTGAAACTGGATCCCTTCCTTACACCTTATACGAAAATTAATTCAAGATGGATTAAAGACTTAAATGTTAGAGCTAAAACCATAAAAACCCTAGAAGAAAAGCTAGGCAATACCATTCAGGCCATAGGCATGGGCAAGGACTTCATGACTAAAACACCAAAAGCAATGGCAACAAAAGCCAAAATTGACAAATTGGAGCTAATTAAACTAAAGAGCTTCTGTACAGCAAAAGAAACTACCATCAGAGTGAACAGGCAACCTACAGAATGGGAGAAAATTTTTACAATCTACCCATCTGACAAAGGGCTAATATCCAAAATCTACAAAGAACTTAAACAAATTTACAAGAAAAAAAAATCAAACAACTCCATCAAAAAGTGGGCAAAGGATATGCACAGACACTTCTCAAAAGAAGACATATGCAGCCAAAAGACACATGAAAAAATGCTCATCATCACTGGCCATCAGAGAGTTTGCATAAATGCAAATCAAAACGACAATGAGATACCATCTCACACCAGTTAGAATGGCGATCATTAAAAAGTCAAGAAACAACAGGTGCTGGAGAGGATATGGAGAAATAGGAACACTTTTACACTGTTGGTGGGACTGTAAACTAGTTCAACCATTGTGGAAGACAGTGTGGCGATTCCTCAAGGATCTAGAACTAGAAATACCATTTGACCCAGCCATCCCATTACTGGGTATATACCCAAAGGATTATAAATCATGCTGCTATAAAGACACATGCACACGTATGTTTATTGCAGCACTATTCACAATAGCAAAGACTTGGAACCAACCCAAATGTCCATCAATGATAGACTGGATTAAGAAAATGTGGCAGATATACACTGTGGAATACTACTCATCCATAAAAAAGGATGAGTTAATGGCCTTGTAGGGACATGGATGAAGCTAGAAACCATCATTCTGAGCAAACTATCACAGGGACAGAAAACCAAACACCGCATGTTCTCACTCACAGGTGGGAATTGAATAATGAGAACACTTGGACACGGGAAGGGGAACATCACACACTGGGGCCTGTCGTGGGGTGGGGGGAGGGGGAAGGGGGAGGGATAGCATTAGGAGATGTACCTAATGCAAATGACGAGTTAATGGGTGCAGCACACCAACATGGCACATGTATACATATGTAACAAACCTGCACGTTGTGTACGTGTACCCTAGAACTTAAAGTATAAAAAAAAAAATCTGATGGCTTTATAAGGGGTTTTCCACCTCTTTCTTGACACTTCTACTTGCTGCTGCCATGTGAAGAGGGATGTGTTTGCTTCCCCTTCTATCATGATTGTAAGTTTTCTGAGGCCTTCTCAGCCATGCTAAACTGTGAGTCAATTAAAACTTTTTCCTTTATAAATTACACAGTCTTGGCTGGAGGCAGTGGTTCACACCTGTAATCCCAGCACTTTGGTAGGCCGAGGCAGGCAGGTCACCTGAGGTCAGGAGTTCGAGACCATTCTGGCCAACAGGGTGAAACCTCGTCTCTACTAAAAATACAAAATTAGCTGGGTGTGGTGGCACACGCCTGTAATCCCAGCTACTTGGGAGGCTGAGACAGGAGAACAGCTTGAACCCAGGAGGTGGAGGTTGCAGTGAGCCGAAATTGCGCCACTGCACTCCAGCCTGGGCAACAAGAGTGAAACTCTGTCTCAAAATAATAATAATAATGATAATTTAAAAAAATTACCCAGTCTCAGGCATATCTTATGAGCAGTGTGAGAATGGGCTAATACAGCTTCTTTCACTTAGTATAATGATTTCAAGGTTCATCCAAGTTGTAACTTGTATCAATACTTCATTCCTTTTTATTGATGAATGATATTTCATTATATGTGTATATCTCATTTTGTTATCAGTTGATGGACATTTGTGCTGTTTCTAATTTTTGACTATTATGAATAATGCTGCTACGAACATTGGTGCGCAAGTTTTCTGTGCATATATTTTAATAACACTGTAAAAGTGTAAAAAGTTAAGTGAATTAGACAAGTATTTTCATAAGCATAAAACAATATATGAATAGAAAGTATTCCGGCATTTTAATTTAAATGTTTTATGTCTTTCCACTTTATTTCTTTATGCAAATAGTTTAATCAATAAATATAAAAATAAACTGTAGATATACGGCCACGGAGAAAAAACCCAAACAGTAAAAAAGGATATATAGTAAATTATAAATCTCTGTCTTACCTTTGTCCCACCCCCAGAGCAAATACAGTAAACAGTTTCTTAGGTCCTTCCAGAATTATTTTCTAAAAATACCAGCATATAAGAAATTTTATTATTATTAAAATTTTATTTTATTAAAAATTTTTCTGGTTTTACACAAATAATATATTCCTATATACAATGTTCTGCTTTTTTTTTTTTTTTTTTTTTTTTTTGAAATGGAGTCTCACTCTATTGCCCAGGCTGGAGTGCAGTGGCACAATATCGGCTCACTGCAACCTCTGCCTCCCAGACTCAAGTGATTCTCCTGCCTCAGCCTCCCAAGTAGCTGTAATTAGAGGCACCCACCACCATGCCTGGCTAATTTTGCATTTTTAGTAGAGATGGGGTTTCACCATGTTGGCCAGACTGGTTTTGAACTCCTGGCCTCAGGTGATCCACCCTCCTCGGCCTCCCAAAGTAGTGGGATTACAGGCATGAGCCACCATGTCTGGCCTTGTTCTGCATTTTTCTTGCTTCATTTAGTATAATCTGAAATGAATTATCTATAACAACATATAAACCTGCCTCTTTTTAAACAGTAGATTAGGATTTCGTTGTATGAATGTATCATAATTTACTTACTGCTCCACTGATGGGGTGTCCTGCCTTCTTCCTAGCTAAAAGAATTATAATTTTATTCAAATATTGGGTGACTATGTCTGTCAGGGATAGACAGCAACTCCTCTCTCCCAGGGGCTGAATTTTGATTCCTCTAAGCCTTAGGGTAACACCATTTTCCTCACCAACAATGGGGTAGGAAATATGCACATTACACAATTCTGGCCCAAGAGAAAAAGATCCAAAGTCTTCTGGAAAAAGGTTTTTTACTTTTTTAAAGGGATACTCAGCAAAGGCTGGGCGTGGTGGCTCATGCCTGTAATCCTAGCACTTTGGGAGGCTGAGGCAGACGGATCATGAGGTCAGGAGATCGAGACCATCCTGGCTAACACAGTGAAACCCTGTCTCTACTAAAACTACAAAAAATTAGCCAAGCGTGGTGGCATGCGCCTGTAGTCCCAGCTACTCGGGAGGCTGCGGCAGGAGACTCATTTGAATCCGGGAGGCAGAGGTTGCAGTGAGTTGAGATCGTGCCACTACACTCCAGCCTGGCGACAGAGTGAGACTCTGTTTCAAAAAAAAAAAAAAAAAAAAGATACTCAGCAAAAAGCTCTCCCTTTTCAGCCTCTGGACATCATCATGTCTTTGGAACTGCTGTAAGTATCTGTGACCACAGAGAGAAAGCCAAGAGAATCCCAGAGAAGCTGGGTCAAGCATGACTTCTTTCACCTGCTGCAATGACCAACCTTCTTCTATGCTTCTTATGATTAAAGCTAATCAGTGTGCTTATTGTGAAGGCAGTTTTCATTGCTACTTCAAGTCTATAACTTGAAGCTAAAAGCATCCTAAATGATACACTTTGTCAGAGGGGTCCCTCCTAAACCTCCTAGACTAAGTGATCCCCCAACCCTGTATTTACTCTCCGGTATCATTGTTTTCCCTTCCATAAAGCTCAGCACACTGGTAATAATTATGAGTTACCTGTTCACACTGGTCCATACTAGACAGTAAGTTTCATTGAGGGTAGGTACTGTGGCCATCTCATTAACAATCATAGCAAAGTGCCTGAGAAATAGGTATAGAAAAAAATCACGCCAAATTTGTGTGCGTATGTAGGTAAGTTTTTTCCCCCTATCCATAAAAATACAAAAGAAAAAAAAACACATAGGAAATCCCAGAAAAGCATATTATCAGTGGTGGTTTATCGAGATGAAATTATGGCTGATTTTCATTTCTCTTTATTAAAAAAACTATCTTGCATAAGTTATATTACTTCTATAACATAATATAAACATACACTTGCATATATATACATTACATAAATCTAATATATTGAGTATGAATGCTAAAAATATACACAGAGCACCTGCAGAATGTAGGAAATGGGGTGAGGCTTTTTCAGATGCCCAAGCACAATTCTTATGCACAGAGTAAATAACATGTGCATTGCACCTAATGTGTTGCACTTTTTTCCCTCTAAGCATGTAAAGTGTAGATTTTAATTATAATTTGCTATTTCTTTTCTTTTTTTTTTTTTTGAGACAGAGTTTCACTCTTGTCACCCAGGCTGGAGCACAATGGTGTGAACTCGGCTCACTGCAACCTCTGCCTCCCAGGTTCAAGTGATTCTCCTGCCTCACCCTCTTGAGTAGTTGGGATTACAGGCATGCGCCATGATGCCCAGCTGATTTTTGTATTTTTAGCAGAGATGAGGTTTCACCATATTGGCCGGGCTGGTCTTGAACTCCTGACCTCAGGCAATCCACCCTCCTCGGCCTCCCAAAGCACTGGGAAAACAGGCATGAGCCACCGTGCCTGGCCATAATTTGCTATTGAGCACTAACTTCAACTTGGAGTTTCCCGTTTGTGTTGTCAATAACAGTTTTTCACAAAAACTTTTTTTGAACTTCATGTTTTCTCAAAGATATAAAACTGCCTTCAACTTCTGACCACAATTTCCATTTGGCCGAATGCCCAAGAACCAAGTTTTTGCTGTAATATGTTATCTCAACAGACATTTTTATGGCGAATACATTCAGTTCAAAACATTCTGGGCTATATAAAAATGATGATATAAATGACAAAGAGGAAAATAGAGGACCACACATAATAATGTCCTTTGCACAGAAGATATTTCACCGTATGTTTTCAGTTTTTTTCTAAGCATAATGAATTAGCATTGATCCACACAAATTTATCTAGTTATCCTTATAATAAAATAGCAGAATTTCTAATTGAAACAAATGTGTAGCCTGTGATCCCAAAAATGAAGTAAATATTTGGTAAATGTAACTAGCTAAAACATTTGGTAATAGGGAAGTTATAGAAAATAAAATAAAAAATAAGGAAATGGCAGTAGAGTCCTAATCCTGATTTGTCAATTACAAATAGCCTTCTTTCAAGACAAAAATAAATGGAAAGACATCCTGTGTTCATGGATTGGAAGAACTTAATATTGTTAAAATGTCCATACTATCCAAAGTAATCCACAAATTCAATGTTACACTCACCAAAATTCCAATGGTACTTTTTAAAGAAATAGAACACATAATCCTAAAATTCATACAGAACTACAAAAGACCCTGCATCTTGAGAAAGAAGAACAAAGCTAGAGGCATAATAGTTCCTGATTTCCAAATATATCACAAAGCTACAGTAATTAAAACAGTATGACACAGGAATTAAGACAGACAGAGACGGATGAAATAGATAGCTCAAAAATAAACCCAAGAAATACAGTCCACTGATCTTTGACTCAGGTGCCAAGCATACACAAAGGGGAAAGGACAGTCTCTTCAACAAATGGTGGCCAGGCGCAGTGGCTCACACCTGTAATCCTAGCACTTTGGGAGGCTGAGGTGGGCAGATAATGAAGTCAAGAGATGGAGACCATCCTGGCCAACGTAGTGAAACCCTGTCTCTACTAAAAATACAAAAATTAGCTGGGCATGGTGGCGTGTGCCTGTAGTCCCAGCTACTCAGGAAGCTGAGGCAGGAGAATCATTTGAACCTGGGAGGTGGTGGTTGCGGTGAGCCGAGATCGTGCCACTGCATTCCAGTGAGACTGTCTGAAAACAAAACAAAACAAAAAACAAAACAAAAAAACAACAAATGGCTTGGGAAAACTGGATATCCATACGCAAAAGAAAGAAATTGACCCTTATCTTAAAACAAACACAAAAATAAACTCAAAATGAATTAAAGACACAAACAAGACCCGACACTGTAAAACCCATAGAAGAAAACAGAGAAGAAGCTTCTTGACTTTGGTCTTGACAATGACAATGATTTTTTGGGTGACACCAAAAACAAAGGCAATGAAAGCAAAAATTGACAAGTGCAGCTACATTTAACTAAAAAGCTATATGACAAAAGAAACAATCAACAAAGTGAAAAGGCACCGTACAAAATGGGAAAAATATTTGCAGACCATGTATAAGATAAAGAGTTGATCTCCAAACTTCAAAATTACATACAAAAGGAACTCCCATAACCCAATAGTAAAAAAAAAACAAGCATCAACAACAACAACAATAACAAAATAAAATAAACTCCCAGGCACAGTGGCTCATGCCTGTGATCTCAGCACTTTGGGAGGGCAAGGCAGGAGGATCACTTGAATCCAGGAGTCTGAGACCAGCCTGGGCAAAACAGTGTGTCACTACAAAAAATAAAATAAAATAAAAATGGTGGTGCGTGATGGTGTGCACCTGTGTTTGCAGCTACTAGGGAGGCTGAGGTAGGCCATCATTTCAGCCTAGAAGGTTGAGGCTGCAATAAGCCATGATTGTGCCACTGCGCTCCAACCTGGATAATAGAGTGAGACCGTGTCTCGAAAACAACAACAACAACAAACAAAAAAACCCACCACCAACAATAATATGGTTTGGCTCTGTTGCCCACCCAAATCTCATCTCGATCCGTAATCCCCACGTGTCAAGGGAGGGAACTGGTGGGAGGTGATTGGATCACGGGGGCAGTTTCCCCCATGCTGTTCTCATGACAGTGAGTTCATTCTCTGGAGATCTGACAGTTTTACAAAGGGTTCCTCCCCCTTCACTTTCTCTTCTGTCTCCTACCATCTTGTGGAGAAGGTGCCCGCTTCCTGTTCATCTTCTGCCATGACTGAGGCCTCCCCAGCCATGTGGAACTGTGAGTCAGTTAAACCTCCTTTGTTTATAAATTACCCAGTCTCAGGTAGTATCTTTATCATAGTGTGAAAACGGACTAATACAAGCAACAAAGAACCTAATTTAAAAAATGAACCAAGGACTTCAACAGACATTTCTCCAAAGAAAACAAACAAATGGCCCACTCTTTATGTAAAAAGGTGCTCAAAAATCACTAATCATCAGGGAAATGCAAATCAAAACCACACCTGTTAGGATGACTATTACAAAAATTTTTAGATTTTTTTAGTTAACAAGTTTTGGTGAAGATGTGGAGAAACTGGAATCCCTGCACATGTTGGTAGCAATGTAAAATGCTCCAGCCTCTACAGAAAATAGTATAGCCTCTATAGAAAACAGTATAAAGGTTCCCCAAAAAATTAAAAAGTAGAACTACTGGATCATCCAGCAATCCCACTTCTAGGTATGCAGCCAGAGGAAATAAAATCACTGCAATTAAAGTTATCTGCCCTCCCACGTTCATTACAGCATTATTCACAGTAGCCAAGATATGGAAATAATCTAAATACCCATTGAAGGATACATTAAGAAAATGTGACATATACATACAATAGAATATTATTCAGCCTTCAAAAAGGAAACCCTGCCATTTCCAACAAAATGGATGAACCTTGAGGACACTACCCTAGGTGAAATAAGCTAGTCCCAGAAGAACAAATACTGACTATCTTACTCACAAAAAGTATCTAAAATAGTCAAATTCATAGAAGCAGAGAATAGAATGGTGGTTTAATACTATATTATACACCAAAACCTTTGTGAAGAGGGTACATATCAAGTGTTCTTACCACAAAAAAGGGGGTGATAGGAGGAAACTTTTGGAGGTGATGGATATGTTTATGACTTTGATTGTGGTGATGGTTTCACAGCTGTATGCATATGTTTAAACCTATCAAACTGTATGAATTAAATATGTGCAGGCTTTTTCTATATGAACTATACCCCCAATAAATCAGTTAAAATTTTGTTTAAATGGCTTATTTTTCTCATTAACATCTCTAATTCCAAAGTAGTCCTTCCTCCCTCTCTCCCTCCTTCCTCCTTCCCTCCTCCCCCTTCTCTCTCTCTCTCTCTCTCTCTCTCTGCCTCTCTGCCTCTCTCTGTCTCTTTCTTTTGGGACTGTCTCACTATGTTGCCCACGGTATCCTCGAATTCCTTGGCTCAAAGAATTGTCTCCCATGTCAGCCTCCAAAGTAGCTGGGTCTATAGGTGTGTGCCACCATGCCTTGTGAAGAGGGTCGTTTTTTTTTGGTAGAGATGGGGTCCCACTATTTTGCTCAGGATGACCTTAAACTTTTAGGGGGCCCACCCTGGCCTCTCGAAGTGCTGGTATTATAGGCATGAGCCACCATGCCAGGCCAAACATTCTTTCTAATAAAAGAATAAGATCATCAAAAAGAATGGCAATATTTTTAAATTATAAGCACCTTAAATTTTTTAAAATAAAAAATAAATTATAACATTAATTCCTCTAACAGATATCCATATTTTCTGTTTCTACTTATATTGGTTTTAGTATATTTTGGCTTATAAGAATTTATCCATTTAAACTGAGTTGTTAAAATTACAGGCATAAAATTAGTTACAATATTACCTTTTAAAAAGTATCTGTAGGTTCCCTCCTCTGATTCCTAATATTGGTCATCTGAGTACTCTCTCTGTCTCTCTCATATAAGGCCAGCTGTTGTATATCAATTTCATTAATTTTTTTGAAGATCCATCCTTGGTTTTATTTATTTTCTCTACTTTTTGTCCATTTTCTTGTCCATTGATTTCCACTCTTATTTCCTTCCTTCTTTTTCTTTAAAGAACTTAAGGTGGAAGCTTAGATCATTGATTTTGAATATTTCTTCATTTATATACAAGTATTTAAAGGTATAAATTAATCTCTAAGCACTGAAATAGCTTCATCCCACATTTGGTATGTTATGCTTTAACAATCAATCAGTAAAAATGCTTGTTAATTTCCCTTTTATTTTCTTTTTTGATCCATGGCTTATTCAAAAGAAACTTGTTTAATTTCTAAACATTTGTGATATACATACGTGTGTTACTGAATTGTAACTTAAATCTGCTGTGATCAGAGAACATACCCTGTTAAATTTCTTTTTTTTTTTTTTTGAGACAGAGTCTCACTCTGTCACCCAGGCTGGAGTCCAGCAGCACAATTTCAGCTCACTGCAACCTCCGCCTCCCAGGTTCAAGCGATTCTCGTGCCCAGTCTCCCAAGTAGCTGGTATTACAGGTGCGCACCATCACACCCAGCTACTTTTTGTATACTTTTTTTCTTTAGTAGAGGCGGGGTTTCATCATATTGGTCAGGCTTGTCTCAAATTCCTGACCTCAAGTGATATGCCTGCATCGGCTTCCCAAAGTGCGAGGATTATAGGCGTGAGCCATTGCGCCCAGCCAATCCTGTTGAATTTCAATCCTTTTAACTGTACTGAAACTCGGTTTGTGGCCCAATATGTGGTCTATCTTGGTAAATGTTCCATGGGCATATAAAAAGAATATACACTTGGGTATTAGCTGTAGTGTACTATACATGTCAAACAGGTTAACATGATTGGTAGTGTTGTTCAAATCATCTATATATTTACTATTTTTTTTTTGTCTAGTTGTTGTATCAGTTACTAGAAGTGGTAAAATCAACTATTGTGGATTTGTTTATTTATTTAGTTCTGTCAATTTTGACTTCGTAATTTTAAAGATTACTAGGTCCATACACATTTCAGATTGTATGTCTTCTTGTTGAATTCACTCTTTATAATCATGAAATGCCCTCTTTATCTCTGGCAATACTGTCCTGAAGTCTAATTTGGCTAATGTTAATACAACCATTAACATATTTTTTCTGGTGTTTGTATGGTATCTCATATGGTTTGGAATTATGTCTCTGCCAAAATCTCATGTCAAATTGTAATCCCTAATGTTGGAGGAGGGGCCAGATGGGAGGTGACCGGATCACGGAGGCAGACTTCCCCCTTGCTGCTCTGGTGATAGTAAGCGACTTCTTATGAGATTTGGTTGCTTAAAAGTGTGTAGTACTTCCCCCTTCATTCTCCTCCTCCTTCTCTGGCCATGTTAGATGAGCCTGCTTCCCCTTCACCTTCTGTCACAATTGTTAAGTTTCCTGAGGCCCCCTCATCCAGGCTTCCTGTACAGCCTGTGGAACTGTGAGTCAATTACAGCCGTTTTCTTTATAAACTGCTCAGTCTCAGGGAGTTCTTTATAGCAATGCAAGAACAAACTAATACAGAAAATTGGTAATGGGAAGTCAGGCATTGCTATACAGATACCTGAAAATGTGGAAGCAAGTTTAGAAGTGGGTAATGGACAGAGGTTGAAACAGTTTGGAGAGATCAGAAGAAGAAAGGAGGATGATGGAAAGATAGAATTTCCTAGAGACTTGTTGAATGGTTGTGACCAAAATGCTGATAGTGATATGAACAGGAAAGTCCAGGCTGAGGTGGTCTCGAAGACAAGGAATCTTTTGGGAACTGAAATAAAGGTCCCTCTTGCTATGCTTCTACAAAGAGACTGGCAGCATTGTGCCCCTGCTCTAGAAATCTGTGGAACTTTGAACTTGAAAGAGATGATTTACGGTATCTGGCAGAAGAAATTTCTAAGCAGCAAAGTGTTCAAGAAGTGGCCTGGCTGCTTCTAACCATATGCTTATATGCATTCACAGAAATGATCTGAAACTGGAACTTATATTTAAAAGGAAAGCAGAGCATAAAAGTTGGGAATATGTGCAGCCTGATCATGTGGTAGAAAAGAAAGCCCCATTTTGTGGGGAGGAATTCAAGCCAGCTGCTGGAGCTGAATGTTCATAGCCAAGACAATGGGGAAGATGCCTTGAATGCATTTTAGAGATCTTTGTGGCAGCTCCTCCTATCACAGCCCCAGAGGACTAGAAGGGAAGAATGATTTCATAGACCAGGCCCAGGGCCCTGCTGCCCTACACAACCTTGGGACACTGCTCTCTGAGTCCCAGCCACTCCAGCTCCAGCTGTGGGTAAAAGGGCCCAGATATGTCTCAGGCCGCTGCTCTAGAAGGTTCAAACCGTAAGTCTTGGTGGCTTTCACATGGTTTTAAGCCTGCAGGTGGGCACAGGGCAAGAGCTGAGGCTTAGGAGCTCTTCCTAGATTTCAGAGGATGTATGGAAATGTGTCGATATCCACACAGAAGTCTGGATATTGCAGGGGCAGAGCCCTCATGGAGAACTTCTATTAGGGCAGTGTGGATGGGAAATGTGGGACTGGAGTCCCCACACAGGGTTCCCACTGGGACACTGCCTAGTGGAGCTGTGAGAAGTAGGCCACTATCGTCCAGACCCCAGAATGGGAGATTGACTAACCGCTTGCACTGTTTGCCTGCAAAACCCTTAGGCACTCAACACTAGCCTGTGAAAGCAGCTGAAGGGATTGTACCTTGCAGAGACACAGGGGTGGAGACACCCAAGGCCTTTCGGAACCCACCCCTTGCATCAGTGTGGCCTGGATGTGAGACACAGAGTCAAAGGAGATTATTTTGGAGCTTTAAGATGTAATGATTGGAAGATGGCCAAATAGGAACAGCTCCTGTCTGCAGCTCCCGGTATGATTGACGCAGAAGACGGGTGATTTCTACATTTCCACCTGAGGTGCCTGGTTCATCTCATTTGGACTGGCTGGACAGTGGGTGCAGCCCACAGAGGGCAAGCCGAAGCAGGATGGGGCATTGCCTCACCTCGGAAGTGCAAGGGGTCAGGGGATTTCCCTTTCCTAGCCAAAAGAAGCTGTGATAAACTGTACCTGGAAAAACAGGACACTTCTGGCCAAATACTGTGCTTTTCCCATGGTCTTATCAACTGGCAGACCAGGAGATTCTCTCCCATGCCTGGATTGGCGGGTACCATGCCCACAGAGCCTTGCTCACTGCTAGCGCAGCAGTCTGAGATCGACCTGCCAGTCTGCAGACTGGTGGGGTAAGGGGTGTCCACCATTGCTGAGGCTTGAGTAGGTAAACAAAGCAGCCGGGAAGCTGAAACTAGGCAGAGCCCACCTCAGCTCATCAAGGCCTACTGCCTATATAGACTCAACCTCTGTGAGCAGGGCATAGCTGAACAAAATGCAGCAGAAACTTCTACAGACTTAAATGTCCCTATCTGACAGCTCTGAAGAGAGCAGTGGTTCTCCCAGCATGGGATTTGAGCTCTGATAACAAGAGACTGCCACCTCAAGTGGGTCCCTGACCCCCGTGTAGCCTAACTGGGAGACACTTCCCAGTAGGGGCCAACAGACACCTCATACAGGCAGGTGCCCCTCTGGGACAAAGCTTCCAGAGGAAGGATGAGGCAGCAATATTTGCTGTTTTGCAATATTTGCTGTTCTGCAGCCTCCACTGGTGATACCCAAGCAAACAGGGTCTGGAGTGGACCTCCAGCAAAATCCAACAGATGTGCAGCTGAGGGAACTGAGTGTTAGACGGAAAACTAACAAACACAAAGGAATAGCATCAACATCAACAAAAAGGACATACACACCAAAACCCCATCTGTATGTCACGAACGTCAAAGATGAAAGGTAGATAAAACCACCAAGATGGGGAGAAACCAGAGCAGAAAAGCTGAAAATTCTAAAAACCAGAGCGCATCTTCTCCTCCAAAGGATCGCAGCCCCTCGCCAGCAACAGAACAAAGCTGGAAGGAGAATGACTTTGATGAGTTGACAGAAGTAGGCTTCAGAAGGTCGGTAAAAACAAACTTCTCCAAGCTAAAGAAGCATGTTCTAACCCATTGCAAGGAACCTAAAAACCTTGAAAAAAGGTTAGCCCAATGGCTAACTAGAATAAATAGTGTAGAGAAGACCTTAAATGACCTGATGGAGCTGAAAACCATGGCACAAGAACTTTGTGATACATGCACAAGCTTCAGTAGCTGATTCAATCAAGTGGAAGAAAGGCTATCACTGATTGAAGATGAAATTAATGAAATAAAGTGAGAATACAAGTTTAGAGAAAAAAGAATAAAAAGAAGCAAAGAAAGCCTCCAAGAAATATGGGACTATGTGAAAAGACCAACTCTATGTTTGGTGTAGCTGAAAGTGACAGGGAGAATGGAACCAAGGTGGAAAACACTCTACAGGATAATATCAAGGAGAACTTCCCCAACCTAGCAAGGCATGACAACATTCAAATTCAGGAAATACAGATAACACCACAAAGATATTCCTCGAGAAGAGCAACCCCAAGACACATAATTGTCAGATTCACCAACGTTGAAATGAAGGAAAAAATGTTAAGGGCGGCCACAGAGAAAGGTGAGGTTACCCACTAAGAGAAACCCATTAGACTAACAGCAAATCTCTCAGCAGAAACCTTACAAGCCAGAAGACAGTGGGGGCCAATATTCAACATTCTTAAAGAAAATAATTTTGAATGCAGAATTTCATATCCAGCCAAACTAAGCTTCATAAGAAAAGGAGAAATAAAACCCTTTATAGACAAGCTGAGAGATTTTGTCACCACCAGGCCTGCCTTACAAGAGCTCATGAAGGAAGCACTAAACATGGAAGGGAACAACCAGTACCAGCCACTGCAAAACCATGCCAAATTATAAAGATCATCGATGCTATGAAGAAACTCCATCAATTAACGAGCAAAATAACCAGTGAACATCATAATTACAGGATCAAATTCACACATAACAATATTAACCTTAAATGTAAATGGGCTAAATGCCCCCATTAAAAGACACAGACTGGCGAATTAGATAAAGAGTCAAGACCCATCAGTGTGCTGTATTCAGGAGACCCACCTCATGTGCAGAGACACACATAGGCTCATGAGAATAAAGGGATGGAGGAAGATCTATCAAGCAAATGGAAAACAAAAAAAGCAGGGGTTACAATCCTAGTCTCTGATAAAACAGACTTTCAACCAACAAAGACCAAAAGAGACAAAGAAAGCCATTACATAATGGTAAAGGGATCAATTCAACAAGAAGAGCTAACTATCCTAAATATATATGCACCCAATACAGAAGCACCCAGATTCATAAAGCAAGTCCTTAGAGACCTACAAAGAGACTTAGACTCCCACACAATAATAACGGGAGACTTTAACACCCCACTGTCAACATTAGACAGATCAATGAGACAGAAAGTTAACAAGGATATCCAGGAATTGAACTCAGCTCTGCACCAAGTGGACCAAACAGACATCTACAGAACTCTCCACCCCAAATCAACAGAATATACATCCTTCTCAGCACCACACCACACTTATTCCAAAATTGACCACATAGTTGGAAGTAAAGCACTCCTCAGCAAATGTAAAAGAACAGAAATTATAACAAACTGTCTCTCAGACCACAGTGCAATCAAACTAGAACTCAGGATTAAGAAACTCACTCAAAACTGCTCAACTACATAGAAACTGAACAACCTGCTCCTGAATGACTACTGGGTACATAACGAAATGAAGGCAGAAACAAAGATGTTCTTTGAAACCAATGAGAACAAAGACACAACATACCAGAATCTCTGGGACACATTTAAAGCAGTGTGTAGAGGGAAATTTATAGCACTAAATGCCCACAAGAGAAAGCAGGAAAGATCTAAAATTGACACCCTAACATCACAATTGAAAGAACTAGAGAAGCAAGAGCAAACACATTCAAAAGCTAGCAGAAGACAAGAAATAACTAAGGTAAGAGCAGAACTCAAGGAGAGAGAGACATAAAAAACCCTTCAAAAAATCAATGAATCCAGGAGGTAGTTTTTTGAAAAGATCAACAAAACTGATAGACCGCTACCAAGACTAATAAAGAAGAAAAGAGAGAAGAATCAAATAGACGCAATAAAAAATGATAAAGGGGATATCACCACCAATCCCACAGAAATACAAACTACAAACTACCATCAGAGAATACTATAAACACCTCTATGCAAATAAACTAGAAAAGCTAGAAGAAATGGATAAATTCCTCGACACATACACCCTCCCAAGACTAAACCAGGAAGAAGTTGAATCTCTGAATAGACCAATAACAGGCTCTGAAATTGAGACAATAATTAATAGCCTACCAACCAAAAAAAGTCCAGGACCAGACGTATTCACAGCTGAATTCTACCAAAGGTACAAGGAGCTTATCCACCATGATCAAGTGGGCTTCATCCCTGGGATGCAAGGCTGGTTCAACATACGCAATCAATAAACGTAATCCAGCATATAAACAGAACCAAAGACAAAAACCATATGATTATCTCAATAGATGCAGAAAAGGCCTTTGACAAAATTCAACAGCCCTTCATGCTAAAAACTCTCAATAAATTAGGTATTGATGGGACGTATCTCAAAATAATAAGAGCTATTTATGACAAACACATAGCCAATATCATACTGAATGGGCAAAAACTGGAAGCATTCCCTTTGAAAACTGGCACAAGACAGGGATGCCCTCTCTCACCACTCCTATTCAACATAGTGTTAGAAGTTCTGGCCAGGGCAATCAGGCAGGAAAAAGAAATAAAGGGTATTCAATTAGGAAAAGAGGAAGTCAAATTGTCCCTGTTTGCAGATGACATGATTGTATACTTAGAAAACCCCACCGTCTCAGCCCAAAATCTCCTTAAGCTGATAAGCAACTTCAGCAAAGTCTCAGGATACAAAATTAATGTGCAAAATCACAAGCATTCTTATACATCAATTACAGACAAACAGAGAGCCAAATCATGAGTGAACTCCCATTCACAATTGCTTCAAAGAGAATAAAATACCTAGGAATCCAACTTACAAGGGATGTGAAGGACCTCTTCAAGGAGAACTACTCAAACTACTGCTCAATGAAATAAAAGAGGACACAAACAAATGGAAGAACATTCCATACTCATGGATAGGAAGAATCAATATTGTGAAAATGGCCATACTGCCCAAGATAATTTATAGATTTAATGCCATCTCCATCAAGCTACCAATGACTTTCTTCACAGAATTGGAAAAAACTACTTTAAAGTTCATATGGAGCCAAGAAAGAGCCCACATAGCCAAGACAATCCTAAGCAAAAAGAACAAAGCTGGAGGCATCATGCTACCTGACTTCAAACTATACTACAAGGCTACAGTAACCAAAACAGCATGGTACTGGTATCAAAACAGAGATACAGACCAATGGAACAGAAAAGAGCCCTCAGAAATAACACCACACATCTACAACCATCTGATCTTTGACAAACCTGACAAAAACAAGAAATGGGGAAAGGATTCCCTATTTAATAAATGGTGCTGGGAAAACTGGCGAGCCATATGTAGAAAGCTGAAACTAGATCCCTTCCTTACACCTTATACAAAAATTAATTCAAGATGGATTAAAGGCTTAAACGTTAGACCTAAAACCATAAGAACCGTAGAAGAAAACCCAGGCAGTACCATTCAGGACATAGGCATGGGCAAGGACTTCATGTCTAAAACACTAAAAGCAATGGCAACAAAAGCCAGAATTGACAAATGGGATCTAATTAAACTAAAGAGCTTCTGCACAACAAAAGAAACTACCATCAGCATGAACAGGCAACCTATAGAATGGGAGAAAATTTTTGCAATCTACTCATCTGACAAAGGGCTAATATCCAGAATCTACAAAGAACACAAACAAATTTACAAGAAAAAAACAACCCCATCAAGAAGCGGGCGAAGGATATGAACAGACACTTCTCAAAAGAAGCCATTTATGCAGCCAAAAAACACATGTAAAAATGCTCATCATCACTGGCCATCAGAGAAATGCAAATCAAAACCACAATGAGATACCATCTCACACCAGTTAGAATGGCGAACATTAAAAAGTCAGGAAACAACAGGAGCTGGAGAGGATGTGGAGAAATAGGAATACTTTTACACTGTTGGTGGGACTGTAAACTAGTTCAACCATTGTGGAAGACAGTGTGGCGATTCCTCAAGGATCTAGAACAAGAAATACCATTTGACCCAGCAATCCCATTACTGGGTATATACCCAAAGGATTATAAATCATGCTGCTGTAAAGACACATGCATACATATGTTTATTGCAGCACTATTCACAATAGCAAAGACTTGGAACCAACCCAAATGTCCATCAATAATAGACTGGATTAAGAAAATGTGGCACATATACACCATGGAATACTATGCAGCCATACAAAAGGATGAGTTCATGTCTTTTGTAGGGACATGGATGAAGCTGGAAACCATCATTCTCAGCAAACTGTCGCAGGGACAAAAAACCAAACACCTCATGTTCTCACTCATAGGTGGGAATTGAACAATGAGAACACTTGGACACAGGAAGGGGTACGTCACACACTGGGGCCTGTCATGGGGTGGGGGAAGTGGGGAGGGATAGTATTAGGAGATATACCTAATGTAAATGACAAGTTAATGGGTGCAGCACACCAATATGGCACGTGTATACATATGTAACAAACCTGCACGTTGTGCACAGGTACCCTAGAACTTAAAGTATAATTAAAAAAAAAAAGAAAATACATATGTTTCTAAGAAAAATGTAACAAAATAAGTAAAATAAAACAAAAGTATAAATAAATAAATAACTCAACAACTTGGGAATTTAAAAACACTCTCCTAACCAACACTTGTGCCAAAAAAGCAATCAAAACCAGACATTATCAAGTCTGGAATTTATTCTGGTTAAATAGTAAAAACAGAAATTTAGCTTCATTTTTCTTCATTTGACGATCCAATTGATTCAATACCATTTCCTCAAGAATCCAAAATTTCCAAACCGATTTAAAAGGTTGTTTTTATGTCATACTACATAGAGTGGGGAAAATCTTACTCCAAACCAAAAAAACAGAAGCAACTTAATTGATGCCTTTGGCTGGATCTTCAGCAACAGCTTCCTTGCCCTTAATGTCAGCAATTTCTTCCCTTCAAATTCACTTTATTAAAATTGAACAAAAGAAGACAAACAAAAAATCTTTAAACATGAAGTACAGAAGAACGGCTTCTGTTTTCCTTACTGAAATCAAGTATGGTACCACAGAAGCCTCCAGAGAGGCTGGTGTTTCAGGAATGATCTGCCATGTCAAATGCTGCAAAGAGCATGAGTAAGATGAGATAAGATGAACTTGGCAGCAGGGAAGTCACTGGTGACCCGAATAACAGCAGTTTCATTTGAGTGATGGGGATTTAGAGTACAGTGGGTTAACGAGCGTCCCGGAGAAGCAGAAATGACGAGGGCAGACAACTCTCCCATGAATGTTCCTTATTCAGGTGAACAGAGAAACGACTCAACAGCTAAAGGGGAATATGGGGTCAAGGAAGAACATTTTAGGGATGATACAAGTGGGAATAATCCAGAGAGGGGAAATTCCTAAAATGCATCTCTACCACTGCTCTGGTAGGGTTTCGATTCTGGCAACAGTAAGTACTCTGATATTAAATAGGTACAAGGAGACACTGTCAGTCTGAGGGCCTTGCTGAGGAATTGGAAATAACTGCTGATTGGAATTTGCTTTTATGGTAAATGAGGCAGATGGGGTGGAAAGGCAGCAATGTCAATGACGTGTGGATAAAAAGAAATGCATTCACTTGATAGGCCCTAATCTGTTTAATAATAAATGACTGGGGAGACATAAATATAATTTGCATCATCTTTATGAGAAAACACTGAATCTGCTCAACTGGAGTAAGACTACTGTACAGTCTCTAAATCAGTTTTACTAGAATAAGATAATTCTAGTCTTTTACCTCTCCATTATCTTACATTTATGTTTTTTATAAGACAAAATTTCAATTCCTTTTGTATTTTCACAACTTTAGGCAAATTCTGAGATACATCTTCAAATATTAAAAATGAGAATTTATCATTCTAACCTCCTAAGAAAAAAACTTACTTTTTCCACTTTAGTAAAATAAAATATATACTTACTCTGAATAATATTTCTTCATTCCACTTTGGATTCAAACTCTAAAAAATAATAAACATAGTATAACTAAATAAGGTTTTGTCTTATAAAAATAAAACAAAGTACATTAAAAACTTTTGAATATTGCTAAGTCTAACCTTTTTAATGGTTTTTGTTTGCACACTTGTAAGAACTCCATTCATTGGGTCATATAACGTCACTCTCACGTAAGGATCACTGTTAAAAAAAAAAAAAAAAAGAAAGAAAAATTTTAATTATTGCTTACCCCAAGCTCAGATTACCCAGACTATAAAATTCACAGTTTTCCTTGTTAGTTATATCTACAATTATTTCCTGAATTTAAAAGTCAGGATTCTTAGGCAGGTAAGCAATTAAAGTAATTTTTGCATCTCGTTAAAAACCTGAAGTACCATGTTAGTGAAAGACACAAAGAACTAGAAAGAAAACCTTTTAATCACAGGCCTAATGATTATAAGCTTCCTAGATTTTTAAAATTTTGTTTGATTTTTATTACATTCTTTCTTCTTTTGAGATAAGATGGTTAATTCAATGATTCTGACGCTGGTTTTGTAAGACTTCAGGTTGTCTCAAGTTATCTCATGGGTGTAAACTCTTCTTATAAAGTAAAGGCAAACTGCTTTCACTTAAAAAAAAAAAAACAAAAACTAGGTGTGGCCGCGCACGGTGGCTCATGCCTGTAATCCCAGTACTTTGGGAGGCCGAGGCGGGCGGATCATGAGGTCAGGAGATCAAGACCGTCCTGGCTAACATGGTGAAACCCCGTCTCTACTAAAAATACAAAAAAAAAAAATTAGCCAGGCGTGGTGGCAGGCACTTTTAGTCACAACTACTCGGGAGGCTGAGGCAGGAGAATGGCATGAACCTGGAAGGTGGAGCTTGCAGTGAGCCAAGATCACGCCACTGCACTCAAGCCTGGGCGACAGAGCAAGACTCCGTCTCAAAAAATAAAATAAAATAAAATAAAATAACTAGGTGTTATGTAACCACTTCTACAAGGAGACATGGAGAAGGAAATTCTTGTGATATATAGGGTTGTAAACCACAAGACTTTGGACACTTTACTTGTCCATTGTTAAATTTCTCCTGTTTTCCTCGGGTATCCAAAGTACTCACCATTCTCCACGAAGTACCCTCCAAACTAATCCAAACTATCCTTCCCCCAACTCCATTTCCTCATACCACGTTACCTCTTAATTGGCCAAACTCGAAGGCACCAGAACACTCGCAACATACTGGTATTTATCAGAATCCATCCTTACCCCTAACCTAGTGAGTCAGGAGTCCTCTTGTTTTGAGTCTCATCCCCCTTGTTCAGTTCTCTGAACTTTGGAGCCTTGCGTCATCTGTTCTCACTGCTCTCTTTTAGACCTTTGGCTTTTTCTTTGATCTAGGTTTCTCTAGGCATATAAATGTTTTTAAACTCCTCCTCCCCTTGACTTTCCCTCCCTTCTCCAGCAAAGCAAAATACATCCTTTTCTTCCATTCCCAGTCAAACCTTTTCAGAGGCAGTTTTTAATAATAAAAACAAGAACACTTATATAGCAATTACTCAGTGCCAGACACCACTGTAATCACGTTTCGTGTATTAATTCTTTTTTTTTTTCTTTTTTTTTGAGACAGAGTCTTGCTCTGTTGCCCAGGCTGGAGTGCAGTGGTGCAGTCTTGGCTCACTGCAACCTCTGCCTCCTGGGTTCATGCCATTCTCCTGCCTAAGCCTCCCGAGTAGCTGGGACTGCAGGCGCACACCACCACGCCCGGCTAATTTTTGTATTTTTAGTACAGACAGGGCTTCACCATGTTGGCCAGGATGGTCTTGAACTCCTGACCTCAGGTGATCCGCCCGCCTTGGCTCCCAAAGTGCTGGGATTACCCACGTGAGCCATAGCGCTGAGCCCGTATATTAATTCTTTGAATCTCTATAACCACCTGTGAGGTAGGTACTATTCCTTTCTTTATTTCATACAGATCACACAGCTAGAAAGCGGACAGCCAGGATTGAAACTCCAGCACCTGGCTCCAGAGGCCATACTCTTCTTTTTTTATCTTCTTTTTTGTTTTTTTTTTTGAGATGAAGTCTCACTCTGTAATCCAGGCTGGAGTGCAGTGGCGCGATCTTGGCTCACTGCAGCTTCTGCCTCCTGGGTTCAAGCTATTCTCCTGCCACAGCCTCTCAAGTAGCTGGGATTATAGGCACACGCCACCGCACCCAGCTAATTTTTGTATTTTTAGTAGAGACGCGGTTTTGCCATCTTGGCCAGGCTGGTCTCAAACTCTTGACCTCAGGTGATCTGCCCGCCTTGGCCTCACAAAGTGCTGGGATTACAGGCATGAGCCAACATGCCCGGCTTAAACTCTCTTGCTCTGTCGCCAGGCTGGAGTGCAATGGCACGATCTCGGCTCACTGCAACCTCCTCCTCCTGGGTTCAAGCAATTCTCCTGCCTCAGCCTCCTGAGTAGCTGGGACTACAGGCGCCTGCCACCACGCTTGGCTAATGTTTTGTATTTTAAGTAGAGATTGGATTTCACCAAGTTGGCCAGGATGGTCTCAATCTCTTGACCTCGTGACCCTCCTGCCTCGGCCTCCCAGCCTATACTCTTAACGACTATAGCATACCACCTCCTTTTCTTCATTTCCTTAATTCATGTTACACTTCAAAACCCTACAGTCTGGTTTCTGTCTCTTCCCTTTAGATCCACTCCTATGAAAAGGCTGTTGTAAAGTCATCAGTCTTGTTAAAGTAATCAACATTTTCCAGATACTTCTTTTTTTGGCCCTCTTTATGTTTTTAGATACTACTGACCATTTTCTCTTTGAAACACTCATCTCATTTTGCTTCTACGACACATCTCTTCTAGTGCTCCTCATACCACTCGAACTGTTCCTTCGGTGGCTTACTTAGGCACCTCTTCTACTATCTGCCAGTTAAATACTGATATTCCCTAAGTATTGCCCCAGCCCTCTGTTCTCTCTACATTTTCCCTTTCCAGTCTTATCCATGGTTTTTTACAACTAACTATATACTATTAAATATAAATACAAAATGTAAATGTAATTATGTATCTATCCCTAATCTCACCATCCAGCTAAACAAATACACTTGAACAATACACAGACACTGTGTTCAAGAGTTTTGCCTTTTTTTTTTTGAGATGGAGTTTCACTCTTATTGCCTAGGCTGGAATGCAATGGCGCGATCTCGGCTCACCGCAACCTCCGCCTCCCAGGTTCAAGTGATTCTTTTGCCTCAGCCTCCCAAGTAGCTGGGATTACAGGCATGCATCACCACACCTGGCTAATTTTGTATTTTTAGTAGAGATGGCATTTCTCTGTGTTGGTCAGGCTGGTCTTCAACTCCCAGTTTCAGGTGATCCACCTGCCTTGGCCTCCCAAAGTGCTGGGAATACAGGCGTGAGCCACCGTGCCTAGCCGAGTTTTGCCATTTTTAATTGGCTTTTTAATTATATTATTACTGAGTTGTAAGAGGTTTCATATATATAGGGGGTTAATGGCCTTCTTCAGATATCTTTGTTTAATTGTTTCTCTTGTGGTAAGAATATTTAACATGACCTCTACCCTATTTTGCACTGCACTGCATTGTATTGCATTGCACTGCACTGCACTGCACTGCATTCCAGCATTTTTTGAGACAGAGTCTTGCAACGTTGCCCAGGCTGGAGTGCAGTGCTGCAATCTCGGCTCACTCGAAACCTCTGCCTCCCGGGCTCAAGCAATCCTCCCACCTCAGCCTCCCAAGTAGCGGGGACTACAGGCGCACACCACCATGCCTGACTAATTGTTGTGTTTTTTTGTAGAAACAGGGTTTCACCATGTTGCCCAAGATGGTCTCAAATTTGCAGGCTCAAGTGATCCACCTGCCTCAGCCTCCCAAAGTGGTGTGATTATAGGTTATAGGCATCAGCCACCATACCTGGCAGCTCTACCCTCTTAAATTTTTAATTGCACATACATTAATGTTAACTTTAGGCACAACATTGTACAGCAGATCTCTAGAGCTTATTCTTCCTGCTTGACTCAAGTTTAATGCCTGTTAATTATTAACTTCCATTTCTACTTACCCCTCACCCCTCACCCCAACACAGCAACCAGCATTCCACTCTTTGATTCTATGAATTTGACTATTTTAGATATATAAATGTAAACATGCAGTATCTGTCTTTCTGTGACTGTCTTATTTCAGTTAGTGTAATATCCTAATGATTAATCCATATTGTCACATGAATTTCCTTCTTTTTAAAGGCTGAATAAACACTGTATGTATATACATTTCTTTTTTTTTTCTTTTCATGTGAGATTGGTAATCTGCCCATGTTGTAACAAGCTTCAAGAGTGGCACATCTTACACATGTGCATGGACACCCCATCATGACACTTAAAAACTACAAAAGGATCTATACTACATTTTTTTTTTTTTTTTTTTGAGGCAGGGTCTCGCTTTGTCACCTAGGCTGGAGTAAGGTGGCACAAACACGGCTCACTGTAGCCTCAACTTCCTGGGCTCAAGTGATCTTCCCACCTCAGCCTCCTGAGTAGCTGGGACCACAGGTGTGCATCACCACACCTGGCTAATTTTTCAAAAATTTTTTTGTAGAGACAGGGTCTTATCACCAGGCTGGTCTCGAACTCCAGGGCTCAAGTGATCCTCCCACCTTGGCCTCCCAAAGTGCTGAGATTACAGGTGTGAGCCACCATGCCCAGCCCACATTTCTTTTTTTTATGTTTTTAATTTTTGTGGGTACATAGTAGGTGTATGTATTTATGGGGTACATGAGATTACCCATTCATTTGACAATGGACATTTAGGTTGTTTCCAGATATATGTCTAAAGATACTTTTTCCCAATCTATGGCTTGCATTTTCCGTAACCTTGTTTCTTAAAGAAGAAAAGTTTTAATTGTGTTGAAGTTCCTTTCAACATTTTTCTTTTATGGCTCATCCTTTTTGGTACTGTTCACGTAAACTTTGTGTAACCCAATAGAGCAAAGATTTTTTTCCTATGTGTTCCTATAGAAGTTTTATCATTTTAGCTCATACTAATTTTCTGTATGATGTGTGGTAAGGACCAAGATTCATTTCATTCTATACAGACCAGTTGTTCTAGTACTGTGTACTGAAAGACTACCCTTTCCCTTGAATTACCTCAGCATTTTTTGTTAAACAGGAGCTGATCATATATATGTGTATATATTCTCTCTCTCGCTCTCTCACACACACATGCGCATGTATTTTTACACTCTCCATTCCACTGAACAATATATCTATTCTCATGCCACTGCCACTCTGTCTTATTATAACTGTGTAGCAAGTCTTGAAATGGGGTAATGTAAGTCTTCCAATTTTGTTCTTTTTTGAAATTGTTTTGGCTATTCTATGTGCCTTGACTTTCCATACAAATATTGAAATCAGCTTATCAATTTCTCTGAAAAAACTTGCTGAGATTTTTATTGGGATTGTGCCAAATCTAATCAATTTGGAGAAAAATGCCACCCTAACACTATTGAGTCTTCTAATGAAAACAGCATATGTATCCATTGATTTATGTTGTCTTCGACTTCTCTCAGCACTGTTTTATAGTTTTCAGTGTCCATTTATTACAAATCTTTTGTTGTATTTATTTCTAAATATTTAACTTTTATACAATTGTAAACACGTTTTTAAATTGTATTTTCCAATGGCCCAATGATAGGATACAGAAATATAACTGATTTTGGGTTATACAAACACTGACTTTGCATTTTGTGGTGGTGTTAAATTCATTTATTAGTTCTTCCAGTAGTTTTTTCTGTAGATTCCTTGGGGCTTTCTACGTACAAACCATGTTGTCTGCAAATAAAGACAGTTTTACTTCTTCCTTTTTGACTGTGTGATTTTTTTTTCTTTGCCATACTACATGGCTAAAATATATAGTACAATGTTGGATAGAACATGAAAGCAGACAACTTTGCCTTATTCCTGAGTTAAGTAGAGGGGCTTCAAACTGCCACCATTAAGTAGGTGGTTAGCTACTGGGTTTTTTCATAGATACCCCTGATGAGGTTTAGGACATTTCCATCTATTCCTAGTTTGCAGAGAGTGTCTATTATGAATGGGTGTTGAATTTTGTCAGTTGTGTTTTCTGCTTTTATTAAGATGACTGTCTTCTCAGTGTGGCGATTCCTCAAGGATCTAGAACTAGAAATACCATTTGACCCAGCGATCCCATTACTGGGTATATACCCAAAGGATTATAAATCATGCTGCTATAAAGACACATGCACATGTATGTTTATTACGGCACTATTCACAATAGCAAAGACTTGGAACCAACCCAAATGTCCATCAATGATAGACTGGATTAAGAAAATGTGGCACATATATACCATGGAATACTATGCAGCCATAAAAAAGGATGAGTTCATGTCCTTTGCAGGGACATGGGTGAAGCTGGAAACCATCATTCTAAGCAAACTATCACACGGACAGAAAACCAAACACCGCATGTTCTCACTCATAGGTGGGAACTGAACAATAACACCTGGACACAGGGTGGGGAACATCACACACCAGGGCCTGTCGTGGAGTGGGGGAAGGGGTGAGGGATAGCATTAGGAGATATACCTAATGTAAACGATGAGTTGATGGGTGCAGCACACCAACATGGCATATGTATACATGTGTAACAAACCTGCACATTGTGCACATGTACCCTAGAACTTAACGTATAATAAAAAAAAGATGACTGTCTTCTTTTATTCTATTAATACAGTGTATTACATCAGTTAATTTTCAGATGTTAAGCCACCTTTGTATTTTATGTTAGTTTGCTGAGAGGTTTTATCATGACTGGGTGTTACATTTTGTCAAAGGCACATTCCATGCCAAGTGAAATGACCATGTGTTTTTTCTACTTTACTGTATTAATACAGTGAATTGCATTAATTAATTTTTTTAATGTTGAACAAACCTTGCATTTGTAGGAAAAATCCTAAGTGGTGATATATTGCTACATAATGTTTAATTTCATTTTTGCATCTATGTTGACAGATATTGGTTTTAAGTTTTCTTGTGATGTCTGTGTCTGGTTTGGGGATCAAGATAATATTAGCCTAATAAAATGAGTTGGGAAATGCCCTCCATTTTCTGAACGTGTTTGTGTAGAATTTTTATTTTTTTTTCCCTAAATGTCTGATAGCTGCATCCAGTGATATCATGTGGGCCTGGAGTTTTCTTTGTGGGAAGGACAAATTCAATTTAATTAACAACAAATTCAATTTCTTTTAACAACAAATTCAATTTCTTTCAATAATAAACATCTATTAAAGTTTTGTATTTGTTCTGTGGCTAGTTCTGAAATCTGTGTCTTTCAAGAATATTATCTACTTCACTAAATTGTGTGTACTTCTTTACTGATACAAAATTGTACAAAATGTTTTCTTTTTATCTTTTTCATTTCCACAGGGTCTATAGCAATGCCCCAGTTTTCATTCTCATTACCAGTAATTAGTGCCTTCTCTCTAACTCTTGATCATTCTAGCTAGAGGTTTAAAACTTTAATTGATGTCTTCAAATAACAAGCTTTTGATTACAATAATTTTTTTTCTACCATTGTCCACTTTCTCTTTCACTGATTTTGGCCCTTGTCTTTATTATTTCTTCCCTCTACTTATTTTAGAATTCATTCGCTCTTCTTTTTCTAATTTATTAAGGTCAGAACTCAAAACATTCATTTATATCTTGCTCCTTTTCTAAGTTAAGCATTTTAAAGACATAAACTTCCCTCTGAATATAACTTTAGCTGCATTCCACAATTGTGATATTGCTGTATTTTCATTTTCATTCAGTTCAAAATGTTTTCTTCTTTGACATATAGATTATTTAGAAGTATACTAATTAAATTCCAAATATCTGCAGTTTTTCTAGATCTTAATATTATTGGTTTCCAATTGAATTCCACTGTTCTCAAAGAACATCCTCTATATGATTTCAATCTTTTGAAAACCTCTGAAACTTGTCCTATGGACCCACACATGGTCTATCTTGATTAACGTACCATGTGCATTTCAAAAGAATGTGGTTTATTGTTTCAAGGCCCGGAATATTGTGGCATCCAGACACTAGGGCAGCTCCTATTATCCCCACCTCCTAATATTCATGTTCTTTGTGTTCCTCTCCTCTTAAGCATGGGACAGATCTATATATTCTAACCAACAGATTATGGCAAATGTGACAAAAAGTATGTGATTACATTACATAAGATTGTAATCCATCTTGCTAGGAGACTCTTGCTAGCTTTGAAGAAGCAAACTGGCAGCTTGTGAGCTGCTGAATGGCAAGAAGCTGAGACGGCCTCCAGCTGACAGCTAGTAAGAAATGGAAACGCTCAGACTGGCAGCATGCAAGGAACTGAATGCCACCAGCAACCACATTAGCTTGGAAGTGAATCCTTCCCTAAGCAAGCCTCAGCTAAGACCACAGCCCTACCAATACCTTAATGACAGCTGAAGTGAATTCCTATAATTTTATGTTGCCTCAGCATCCATAATGAATGTTAAGTTGGACATTTTTATACCAGAAGCAGGTCTTAGTCACCCTTAGCACAGTTTCCAGTTCTCTACCTCCTCTCAGCTCCTCAATGTGGTCAATCCAGATAACTACCTTACACAACTGCCTCCTGGTAACCATCTCCCTAAGAAACAACCAGATTCAACCTACTTGACTTGCTCCACTGACCCCATACCCCCAAAGGACTGCAGAAATAAGCCACAGTAACCACCTCTCTGTGATGGGTAATATTGAGTGTCAACTTCATTAGACTGAAGGATGCAAAGTATTGTTCCTAGGTGTGTCTGTGAGGGTGTTGCCAAAGGAGATTAACATTTGAATCAGTGGACTGGGAGAGGCAGACACACCCTCAATCTGGGTGGGCACCATCTAATCAGCTGCCAGGGCAGCTAGAATAAAGCAGGCAGAACGTGGAAGGACTTGACTTGCTGAGTCTTCTGGCCTTCATCTTTCTCTCGTGCTGGATGCTTCCTGCCCTCGAACATCAGACTCCAAGTTCTTCAGCTTTTGGACTCTTGGACTTACACCAGTGATATGCTAGGGGCTCTTGTACCTTCAGCCACAGACTGAAGGCTGCATTGTTGGCTTTCCTATTTTTGAGGTTTTGGGACTCTGACTGGCTTCCTTGCTCCGCAGCTTGCAGATGGCCAATAGTGGGACATCACTTTGTGATCATGTGAGTCAATTCTCCTACTAAATTCCCCTTCATATATATATCTATCCTATTAGTTCTGTCCCCCTAGAGAACCCTAATACTGATTTCTCAGACACAGCATGACTCCATGAAATTTATGCCTACTTGCTCTAAACCCACCAATTACAACTCCCTGAGGGAAACCTGCTTGGAAAATGCCCTGGACCCCAGTAAAAGCCTCAGCCCACAGGTCACTTGTACTCTTTGCCCTGTTCCCCACCCACTAGTTGACTGTGCATGTCCTAGATGGCTCCCCACTTCCTGTTGGCCCTGGGAGGCATGCTGCCCTCTTCTCTCTGGCATCTGTAAGTAATAAACTGCTGTTATTTCTTGTGTTTTGTTGAGTTGCCTCCCGTGTCTCACCTGACTGATACACTCGACCCTAACTTGTTTGTCAGGATTCTCCTAGAGAGTGGCTATCTGCTATTTTGGTAGGAACAAACTGGACACAGACAAGAGCTATAAGAGCATCTGCCAGGATATGCAAGTTTGCTGTGAGAGGGACATCTGGTCATAGGTCAGACACTTAGGCATGAGGGCACTTGCCTAAGAATACCCATGAAAGGCACACTGTAAACATCTATGTCCAAATTCCTAGAGTCTCATCAGGGCAGGGCTAGAGTTTACAGCCACTCTCATGTGAGAGACTTCAAGACTGCAAAATTAGAAAAAATTAGAAAAAAAGTAGAAAAAAAAATACAACAGCAGCTTTCCAAGACCCTGTAGCAGAGGACCCAGTTAAACAATGCAGGAACTTCTGAACCACAGAAACTGTGAGACAATAAATGTACGTTCTTTTAAGCAACTAAGTTTGTGGTATTATTATTATTATTATTATTTGAGACGCAGTCTCACTCTGTCACCCAGGCTGGAGTGCAGTGGCCCCATCTTGGCTCACTGCAACCTCCGCCTCCCGGGTTCATATCATTCTCCTGCCTCAGCCTCCCGAGCAGCTGGGACTACAGGAGCCCACCACCACACCCGGATAATTTTTTGTATTTTTAGTAGAGACAGGTTTCAAAGTGTTAGCCAGGATGGTCTCAATCTCCTGACCTTGTGATCCGCCCGCCTCAGCCTCCCAAAGTGCTGGGATTACAGATGTGAGCCACCGCGCCTGGCCAGTTTGTGGTAATATTATTATGAAGCAATAAACTAATACAGCCCATGTGTGGTCTATGCTAGTGAATGTACCATGTACACTTGAAAAGAATGTACATTTGAAAAGAAAGTTGTTAGAAATAGTGTTCTTTAGGTCAAAGTTATTCATAATATTGTTTAAATTTATGTTTTTGATTTTTTTATTTAGTTGTTTTATCAACTGCTGAAAGAGAAGTGTTAATGCCTCCAACTATGACGGTGGGAGTTTTAAAAAGTTCCCCTTTAATTCCGTCAAATTTTGATTCATATTTTTCTAAGTTCTTTTAGCAGGCACACACACATTTATGATTGTTATATATTCCTGATTGACTTTATTCTTTATCATCATGAAATGTTTGAAAATTTTTGTGTTGAAATCTATTTTACCAGATACGAATATATCCACTTCAGTCTTTTTATGCTTACTGTTTGCATGGCATATCTTTTTGCGTCCGCTTTCTTTCAAATTAGCTATGTCTTTATATTTTAAGTGCATCACGTAGGACAGTATATAGTTGGGTCTTGTTTTTTAATTTATCCTAACAACATCTGTCTCATATTTATTTTAATCCATTAATGTTCCTTGTAATTATTGATATGATTGGATTTAGTCTACAGGTTTATTGTTTGTTTTCCATTGTCACTGCCCTTTACGTTGTTTTTTTGTTTGTTTTTGAGATGGAGTTTCACTCTTGTCATGCAGGCTGAAGTGCAGTGGCATAATCTTGGCTCACTGCAACCTCCATCTCCCAGGTTCAAGCAATTCTCCTGCCTCAGCCTCCTGAGTAGCTGGGATTACAGATGCCTGCCACCACACACAGCTAATTTTTGTATTTTTAGTAGAGATGGGGTTTCACCATGTTGCCCAGGCTACTCTCGAACTCCTGACCTCAGGTGATCCACCCGCCTTAGCCTCCCAAAGTGTCGGGATTACAAGGGTGAGCCACCGCACCCAGCCTCTTTTACTTTTTTTGTTCATTTGTTCCTCCTTTTCCGACTTTTATTTTTTTTATTTTATTTTTTTGATGTTTAGCTCTTTTGCCCAGGCTGGAGTGCAATGGTGTGATCTCAGCTCACTGCAACCTCTGCCTCCTGGGTTCAACTGATTCTCCTGCTTCAGCCTCCTGAGTAGCTGGGATTACAGACACGCGCCACCATACCCAGCTAATTTTGTATATTAGTAGAGATGGGATTTCACCATGTTGGCCAGGCTGGTCTCAAACTCCTGTCCTCAGGTGATCCACCAGCCTCAGCCTCCCTAAGTGCTAGGATTACAGGCGTGAGCTACCACAACCGGCCTCCGTTACTTTTTTAAATCATTTGCTTCTCCTTTTCTGGCACTCTTTTTTATTTTTTTTTTTTTTGAGACAGGGTCTCACTCTGTCGCCTAGGCTGGAGTGCAGTGGCAAAATCATGGCTCATTGGAGCCTTGACCTCCTGGGCTCCAGCGATCCTCCAACCTCAGCCTCCTTTGTAGCTGGGACCACAGATGCATACAACCATACCTGGCTAATTTTTTGACTTTTTCTAGTGACAGGGTCCCACTTTGTTGCCCAGGCTGGTCTTGAACCTCTGGGCTCAAGTTCCTGGCTTTTTTATTTAGTTTTTCAACAACTTCATTTTAAAATTTCTACTGTTTTTTATCTATAATTCTTTGCATTATTTTTTATTGGTTTCTCTGGATATTACAATATACATCATTAATCTTTTATTCAACTTATACTTAGTATTGTACCATTCTACCAAATAGGTCTATAACTTATACCTGCTCCATCCTTTATGTTATAGTTGTTTTATGTATTCCATTCACCAACAATATAAATCCTAAAAAACAATGTTTTAACTTGTGATTTCAACAGGCATATGTTTTATTTTAAAAAGGTATGATGAGAAAAGCAAAACATGTTTTGTATATTCCCAGATATTTACTATTTTTGATACTCTTTATTCCTTTCTAAGGACCTGAGTGTCTATCTGGTTTCAATTTTCTTCAGCTGAAAGGACTTTAAGATATCTTACAGCACAGGTCTGCCAATGATGAATTATCTAGGTGTCTTTTTTTGGAAAATGTTATTTTGTCATCTTCCTTAAAGGATATTTTCACTGAATATAAAACTATGGATTGATGGTTGTTATTTTATTGTTCCATTTTCTCCTGGTCTCCGTAGTTTTGGGTAGGAAGTCAGTAATTAATTGAATTGTAGTTCCCCCATATATAAAGTGTCATATTTTTCTCTTTTTGTCAAGATTTTTCTCTTTATACTTGGCTTTCAACAGTTTGACTATTATGCACTTCATTGTGTTCTTAATGTTTATTATCCTGCTTGGTGTTTTTAAATACTATATAAATTTAATCAAATTTGGAAAAAAACTTGGCCAATATTTCTTCAAAAAATATTGTGCCTTCTTCTTTTCCCTCCCCTTTCTGTGTTAGACTGTAAGATATTATATAATGATATCCATGTTAGACTTTTATATATTAGCTAACAAATCCTCAAGGCTCTGTTGTTGTTGTTGTTGTTGTTTTTCTCCAATCTTTGTCTCTCTCATCTCTCTCATCTTCCAACTGCGTAACAATTTCTACTGATCTATCTTTAAGTTCAGTTAATCTTTCCTCTTCTCCATTTGGCTGACAAATCTACCCAACAATTTTAATTTCAAATGCTGTATTTTTCACTCCTGGAATTTTCATTTTTTTATGGTTTCCATTTCATTTCATATTTTTAAAATTTATTGTGGCCATATTTTCTTTTCTCTACTAAAAATGCCTTCCATTTTCCTGGTTCTTTTTAGATAAGTAATTTTGCATTATATCCTGGACATATATTATAAATGTTAAGTTTTGGAGACTGAATTTTGCTGCTGGTGTGTGTGTGTGTGTGTGTGTGTGTGTGAATTTTGCTGCTGGTGTGTGTGTGTGTGTGTGTGTGTGTGTGTGTGTGTGTCTGCTTATCATTCTATGGTTTGGATATTTGTATCCTTCAAACCGCATGTTGAAATTTGATTTCCAATGTGGGAATATTGAAAGATGGGTCTCGGTTGGAGGTATTAGGGTCATGGGAGCAAATCCCTCCTGAATAGATTAATGCCCTCCCTCGGAAGTGAGTGAGTTCTCATTCTATTTGTTCCTCTCGATTTGTCAAAAAGAGGCTGGCACACCTCCCCCTTGCTTCCACTCTTGCTATGTGATTTCTTTGTGTACGCTAGGTCCCCTTCCCGTTTCTGTCATGACTTGAAGCAGCCTGAGGCCCTCACTAGATGCAAAGGCCCAGTCTTGAACTTTCCACTCACCAAATCAACCTCTTTTCTTTACAAAATACACAGTCTTAGGAATTCTGTTATAGCAACACTAAACATAATAAGACTATCATGCAACTAATCATCCTGTTTGGACAAGAGCCACAAATCCTGTTTTTGGTTGTTTGTTTTTTGAGACACGGTCTCACTTTGTCACCCAGGCTGGAGTGCATTGGCACAATCTTGTCTCACTGCAGCAGCCTCAACCACCCAGACTCAAGCAATCCTCCTGACTCAGTCACCCATGTAGCCAGGAGTACAGGCATGCGCCACCATGCCCAGCTGATTTTTTGTACTTTTTGTAGAGACAGGTTTCACCATATTGCCCAGGCTGGTCTCAAACTCCTGAGCTCAAGCAACCTGTCTGCCTCAGTCTCCCAAACCCCGTTTCTTAGGCAGTGACTGTGATCTCTGTTCAGATCTTTTGTCTTCAGATGAGTTGCTGAGCTCTTCAGCTCTCTCTCTTCCAGAATCCTTACCACTGCCATGTTTTCTTCAGATTCAGAGATTCAGTAAATCAACAATTGGAAATATTATTCTACTTTCCACAACAACTTACTAATACTATTTGGTATGTATGTATGTATGTATGTATGTATGTATGTATGCATGCATGTTTGTATGTATTTTTGTTTTTGAGACAGAGGCTCACTCTGTTGCCCAGGCTAGAGTGCAGTGGCACAATCTTGGCTCGCTGCAACCTCCGCCTCCTGGGTTCAAGCGATTTCTGGATAATTTTTGTATTTTTAGTAGAGACAGGGTTTCACCATGTTGGTCAGGCTGGTCTCAAACTCCTGACCCTCAACTGATCCGCCTGCCTCGGCCTCCCAAATTACTAAGATTACAGGCATGAGCCACCATGCCTGGCCCTATTTGATTTTTAATTGAACCAAAGTTTGGATTCTGCTATGTTCCCAGGCCATGAAGACTACAATTTTTCCAGGTTCTGATTCTACCTGCCCTCAGACCAATTCATAGTATCAGGAACTCACTCAGTACAATTCCCTTCTTCCAAACATGAACTCCCCACCAGAATCTGCCTGCTCTGTTCACTCTCCACTGCCTTCAGGTTGCTGCTTTTTGTATTAAGTCCAGAGTTTATGGTTGTTATCTGCTAAAGGATTAGTCTGTTAGAATTTTGCAAATTTCCAGAAGCAGAGCTCAATAATGTATCTTGTGACTATTGCTATCATTTGTACTTCTGCCTAATTTCACAAATTTAGTAATTCAGATACCAAGAGATTTAGTAAACCACCAACTGGTAATATTATTATTATACTTTCCACAACAATTTACTAATACTATTTGATTTCTAATTTAACCAAAGTTTGGAAAAAACTAATTAACAAATGCAAAGTTTTAAAATTATAATCCAAATAGATATACTTACCTAGCTCCCAATATATCCTTCTTGGCAAGGCCTATTCCGGCTATAACTCTTACTCTCACAATTCGTGAATTTTCCTAAAATACAAAAATTTAGATTTCATTTTCATGTACTTATAAGTTAACTAAGACACAATTTTTTAAAAAATATATATCAAATAAAGTAATTAGGATATTAAAATTAATTGAAGAATCTTTTTCAATAATTAATTTTATTAAAAGTTACACGGGAAAAAAAGAAAATTATTTGTAGATGACCTGATTATTTACAAAGATAAGCAAAAACTTGAGTCAACTTATTACACTGAATAAGAATTTATCGCTGCGCTCAAGAAAATCTAAAGCCAAAGTATTGCAACTAATAGGAATTTCCAATTATTGCTATATATGTACACAAAATCGAAAGTTCATAACCATTTGGCTTTTGGTTTTTTTTTGAGACAGAGTCTCACTCTGTTGCCCAGGCTGGAGTGCAGTGGTGTGATCCTGGCTCACTGTAACCTCTGCCTCCCGGTTCAAGCGATTCTCATGCCTCAACCTCCTGAGTAGCTGAGATTACAGGCATGCGCCACCATGCCCAGATAATTTTTCTATTTTTAGTAGAGACAGGGTTTCACCATTGGCTGGGCTGGTCTCGAACTCCTGACCTCAGGTGATCTGCCTGCCTCAGCCTCCTAAAATGTTGAGATTTACAGGTGTGAGACACTGCACCCAGCCCATAATAATTTGTAATAACTACTTAGAAAAGGTTATTTTTTTAAATCCCATTCAACAGACAACAGAGTATATAATAATGTGTGGCTATTATAATGTATCAAATATTAAATATCTTTGATATGATGGCATAGAGGTTTTATAAAGAGTGTCTTAGATTTAAGAGACACATATTGAAGTGCTTAGGAATAAAGTATCATAAAGCTTGCAACTTATTTTCAAATAACTTAGCAAATAAAAAACTGAACATAACTATGCTGTGTGTGTGTGTGTGTGTGTGTGTGTGTGTGTGTATGTGTGTGTATACAAATAAAGGGGAATAAGCGAAACGTTACCAATTTGTGGATCTAGTTCTTGGGTATACAGGTGTACACTGTACTACTTATATTACTCTTTTAATGGTTCTGTAGGTTTGAAATTGTTCAAAATAAAAAGGTAAGAAAATATTATAAAACATGTATATTTTTTAAAAAATTCACAAGTTACAAAACTATTAGAACAGAAATAAAATTAATAAGAAATATAAAAAAACTTCATAGATAACATTATAAAATATTGCCAGTTATGCCGGCACACACCTATTATCACAGCACTTTGGGTGGCCAACGTGAGAGAATTGCTTGAGCCCAGGAGTTCAAGACCAGCATAGGCAATATAACAAGACCCCATCCCTCCAAAAAATAAGCCAGGCATGATAACTTGTGTCTGTAATCCCAGCTACTAGAGAGGGTGAGGCAGGAGGATTGCCTGAATTTGAGGTAACAGTGAGCTATGAACACCACTGCACTCCAGCCTGGGTGACAGAGCAAGACCTTATTTTAAAAAATTTATAAAATATTGAAGAATGTAAAGAAGCCTTCAATAAATGGAGAAATCCACTATGTTTACGTGTGAAAATATTTAATATTATTATCTTTTTTCTCCAAAGTAATCTATAAATTTAATACTATTCCCATTCTCCCTTCAAATTTTTTCATGGATCTTTACAAATAATTCCAAAATTCATAGAGAGGAGTAAAAATGAGTAAAGAAGTAAACAATAACATTCAATCACTATCTTATACTAAAACATAAAACCAAATTCCAGATAAAGTCTAAAAGTGAAAAGAAATTTTTAAAAGTTCATTTAAAATTTTAGAATAGTTCTTTAGCATGTGGAAAGATTTAAAAAATACAATCTTAATAGCAAAAATTATTAAATTCCACAATAATAAAATTATATACCTTTAGTATGAGAAAAAATATCATGTGCAAAATGAAAAAAACAAGGGGATATTTTAGATACTTCTTCCTGTAGACATATCTAAAATATCTACAGAAGTATCTAAAATATACATCATTGAGACAAATGATAATTATCCAGAATATGTGAATAACTCCTAAAAATCAATATGTAAGATATAATTAACCTAGTACAAGATACCATATAGAATGGCTAAGAAATACATGAAAAGATAATCTCACCGGTCAGCAGAAAGAGTTCTAAATGCACTGTTGGTGGGAGTGTAAATTGATGGATCATTCTAAAGAGATGTTTGACATGCTTACTAAAGTTCTAAAATAAAAACCCAGGAACTGTATTTTTAGATGTTTCCCTAGATAAATGTACATCTATGTACACAAGGACTTAAGTACAACAGTATTTACAGGAGCATTTTTTAAGATCAACAAATATGGAGGAGGAGGCGGAGCAAGATGGCTCATTAGAACCCTCCAGTGAGAGTCCCCACCAAGGAACATCAAATTAAACAATTATTCTAACAAGAAAGCACCTACATAAGAACCAAAAATCAGGTGACTGATCACAGTACCTAGTTTCAACATCGTATCAAGGAAAGAGGCACTGAAGAGGGTAGGAAAGACAGTCTTGAATTGCCCACACCACCCCTCCCACATGCCCTGGCAGTGCAGTGTGGTGGCTGAGAGAGAATCTATGCCTTTGCGGGACGAAGGGCAAAGTGATTGTGGGACTTTGCATTGGAACTCAGTGCTGCCCTGTCGCAGTGGAAGGCAACAGAGGGCAGAAGTCAGCTTGCACCCATGGAGGGAGTATTTAGACCAGCCTCAGCCAGAGGGGAATCATCCATCCCAGCAGTTTAAGGCTAAGTTTGGGCAAGCCTTGCCCCTGTAGGCTAAAGCACTCCAAGATCCTAAATAAACTTAAAAGGCAGTCTAGACCATAAGGACTGCAGTCCCTGAGCAAGTCCTGGTACTGTGCTGGTCTTGGAGCCAGTAGATTTGGGATGCACATGAACCAGTGAGACACCAGACGGGGCGGCCAAGGGTGTGCTTGTGTCACCCCTCCTCCAACTTCAGACAGCACAGTTCATAGCTCCAGGAGGAGAGGTAAGAGTAGAGGAGACTATGTTCTCCAACTTGGATACCAGCACACCCACAATAAAATAAAGCAGCAACCAGAGTCCTGAAGCCCCCATTCTAGGTCATAACTCCCAGACACTTCTAGACCCATCCTGGGCCAGAGGGGAACCTGCCACCCTGAAGGAAAGGACCCAGTCCTGCCAGATTTCACTACCTGCTGACTAAAGAGCTCTTGGGCCTTGAATAAACATCGGGGTAGCCAGGCAGCAGTTGCCACAGGCCTTGGGCAAGACTCAGTATTATGCTGACTTCGGGTGTGATCCAACACATTCCCAGCTGTGGCGGCCACAGGGAGACTCCTGCTTAAGGAAAGGAGAGGGAAAAGTAAAAAAAAAAAAATTGTCTGCAACTTGGGTACCAGCTCAGTCACAGTAAAATAAAGCACCAATCAGACTCCTAAAGTCACTGATTCCTGGCCTTAGCTCCGAGAGGGCATTTCTAGACCCACTCTGGGCCAGAAGGAAACCCACTGCCCTAAAGGGAGAGACCCAGGCCTGGCAGGACTCACCATCTACTGATTAAAGAGACGTTGGGCCCTTAATAAATATCAGCAGTAGCCAGACTATAGTAGCCACAGGTCTGGGGCAGTGGTGGCCATGGGCAGAGACTCTGTCTGCTTGAGAAAATCAAAGGGAAGAATAAAAAGGACTTTGTCTTGTAACCTGGGTACCATGACAGCCCCAGTGAAATAAAGCACCAAGCAGATTCCTAAAGTCCCTAATCCCAGGCCCCAACTCCTGGACAGCATTTCTAGAACCACCGTGGGCCAGAAGGGAACCTACTGCACTGAAAAGAAAGACCCAGTCCTGGCAAATTCATCTCCTGCTGACTGAAGAGCCATTGGGTCTTAAATAAACACAAGTGGTAGCCAGGAAATAGTCACCACAAGCCTTAGGCAAAATCCAGTACTGTGTTGGCTTCAGGTGTGACCCAACACAGTCCCAGTGATGGTGGCCACAGGATTGTGTCACCCTTCTGCCAACTCCAGGCAGCTCAGAACAGAGAGAGAGACAGAGAGAGGGAGAGACTCCAATTGGTTGGGGGAAAATAAGAGAAGAGAACAAGAGTCTCTGCCTGGTAATCCAGGGAATTCTCCCAGATCTTACCCAAGACCAGCAAGTTGGTGCCTCTATGAGACTACAAGAGTCATATCATTACTGGCCTTGGGGTACCCCCTAATATGCTCACATATGGCTTCAGTGACCAAAGACTTAAGATTCCCTCTGAATACTTGGAAAGCCTTCTCAAGAAGGATGGGTACAAACCAGCCCAGACTGTGAAGATTAGAATAAATACCTAACTCTTTAATGTTCAGACATTAGTGAACATCCACAAGCATCAACATCATCCAGGACAACATGATCTCACCAAACAAACTAAATAGGGCACCAGTGACCAATTCCAGAGGGACAGAGATACGTGAACTCTCAGATAAATCAAAATAGCTGTTTTGAGGAAGCTCAATGAAATACAAGAAAACTCAAAGAAGGATCTCAGGATCCTATCAAATAAATTTAACAAAGAGATTAAAAACCTCTTTGATTCTTATAAAGAATCAAGCAGAATTCTGAAGTTGAAAAAATTAATTGGCAAATTAAAGAATGCATCAGAATCTCTCAATGGCAGAATTGATCACGCAGAAGAAAGAATTAGCGAGCTTGAAGATAGGTTATTTGAAAATATACCGTCAGAGGTGTAAAAATAAAAAAAGAATAAAAGTAACAAAGCATGCCTACAGGATCTAGAAAATAGCCTCAAAAGGGCAAAGTTAACAGTTATTGGGCCGGGCATGGTGGCTCATGCCTGTAATCCCAGCACTTTGGGAGGCTGAGGCGAGTGGATCTCTTGAGGTCAGGAGTTCGAGACTAGTCTGTCCAACATGGTTAAACCCCGTCTCCACTAAAAATACAAAAATTAGCCAAGCATGGCAGCGTGCACCTGTAATCCCAGCTACTCAGGAGGCTGAGGCAGGAGAAATGCTTGAATCTGGGAGGCAGAGGCTGCAGTCAGCAGAGATTGCGCCACTGCACTCCAGCCTGGGCAACACGGTGAGACTCTGTCTCAAAAAAAAAAAAAAGACTTATTAGCTTTAAAGAGGAGGTAGCAAGAGAGATTGGGGTAAAAAGTTTATTCAGAGAAATAATAACAAAGAACTTTCTAGGCCTAGAAAAAGATATCAATATTCAGGCACAGAAAGGTTATAGAATATCAAGCAGATTTAACCCAAAGAAGACTACCTTAAGACATTTAGTAACCAAACTCCCAAAGGCCAGAGATAAAGAATGGATCTTAGACGCAGCAAGAGAAAATTAAAAACAAAACAAAACAAAACAAAAAACAAAGCAGCTCCAATACATCTGGCAGCAGGTTTCTGAGTGGACACCTAATAGGCAGGAGACAGTGGCATGATTTATTTGAAGTGCTGAAGGAAAAAATTTTTATTGTAGAATAGTATATCCGGTGAAAATACCCTTCAAACATAAAGGAGAAATAAAGACTTTCCTGGACAAACAAAAGCTGAGGGATTTAATCAACATCAGACCTAGCCTTCAAGAAATGCTAAAGGGTGTCCCACAGTCTAAAAGAAAAGGATATTAATAAGCGATAAGAAATCATCTGAAGGTACAAAATTCACATGTAAAAGTAAGTACACAGACAAATACAGAATATTATATCACTGTAATTGTGGTGTGTAAACTCATATCTTGAGCAGAAAGACTAAAAGATGAACCTATCAAAAATAATAACTACAACAATTTCTAAAGTCATAGACAATATAATAAGACAAAAATAGAAACAATAAAAAGTTAAAAAGCAAGAAGGATAAAGTGTAGAGTTTTTATTAGTTTTCTCTTTTCCTGTTTGTTTTTGCAATCAGAGTTAAACTGTTATCAGTTTAAAATAATGCATTGTAAGATGTTAATTGCAACCCTCATGTAACATCAAGTTAAAAAATCTACAACAGACATACAATAGATAAACCAAGAAATTAAAGCATACCACTAAAGAAAACACTTTCACAAAAAGGAGCACAAAACAACCAGAAAACAAATTAAAAATGGCAGAAGTCCTTACTTATCAATAATAACAATGAATGTAAGTGAACTAAACTCTCCAATCAAAAGACATAGAGTGGTTGATGGATTAACAAAACAGTACCCAACAATCTGTTGCATACAAGAAACACACTTCACCTATAAAGACACACATAGACTGAAAATAAAGGCACACAGAAAATATTCCATGCCAATGAAAACCAAAAAGAGCAGGAATAGCTATATCAGATCAAATAGATTTCAATACAAAAACTAAAAAAAGAGACAAAAAAGGTTATTACACAATGATAAAGGCATCATTTCAACAAGAAGATACAACAATTGTAAATACATATGCATCCAACACTGAAATACCCAGTTATATAAAGCAAATATTGTTAAAGTCAAAGAGTCAGCTAGACTTCAATATAGTAATAGTTGGAAATTTCAATATCCCACTTTCGGCACTGGATAGATCATTCAGACAGAAAACCAACAAAGAAATGTTGGACTTAATCTGCACTGTAAACCAAATGGACCTAATAGATATTTACAGAACATTTCATCCAATGGCTGCATAATACATATTCTTCTCCTGGCATATGGATCATTCTCAAGGATAAACCACATGTTAGCCACAAAAGAAGTCTTTAAAAATTCAGCTAGGCACAATGGTTCATGCCTGTAATTCCAACACTTTGGGACGCCAAGATGGGAGGACTTCTTGGGCCCAGGAGTTTGAAACCAGCCTGGGCAACACAGTCAGGCCCTATCTCTTAAAAACAAACAAAAAAACAACAACAAAAAAACAGGCAGAGTGGTACTCCCAGCTCATCAGGAGGCTGAGGTGGGAGGATCACTTGAGCCCAAGAGTTGAGGCTGCAAGGAGCCATGACTGTGCCACTGCAGTCCAGCCTGGTCAACAGAGTAGCCCTGTCTTGAAAAAGAAAAAAATTTAAAAAATTAAAATCTTAAAAGTATCTTCTCTGACTACAACAGAATAACACTAGAAATCAATAACAAGAGGAACTTGGAAATTAATACAAACAAATGGAAATTAAACAGTATGCTCCTGAATGATTGGCAGATCAATGAAAAAACTAAGAAGGATATTAAATAATTTCTTGAAACAAATAATAATGGAAACACAACATAGCAAACCTATGGAATAGAGCAAAAGCAGTACTAAAAGAGAAGCTTATAGCTATAAGTACCTACATGAAAAAGTAGAAAAACTTCAAAAAAAAAAACAACCTAGCTATGCATCTTAAAGAACTAGAAAATCAAGAGCAAACCAACTCCAAAATTAGTAGAAGAAAAGAAATAATAAAGATCAGAGCAGAAATAAATCAAATTGAAACAGAATATAATACAAAGAATCAACAAAATGAAATGTTGGTGTTTTGAAAAGATAAACAAAATAGAAAAAACTTTAACTAGACTAAGGAGAGAAGGCCCAAATAAATAAAATCACAGATGAAAAAGGAGACATTACAACTGACACCACAGAAACTCAAAGGATCATTAGAGACTACTGCGAACAACTATATGCCAATAAATTATAAAACCTAAAGGAAATGGATAAATTCCTATACACATACAACCTTCCAAGATTGAACCATGAAGAAATCCAAAACATAAAAAGACCAGTAACAAATAATGAGGTTGAAGCTGTAGTAAAGTCTCCCAGCAAAGAGAAGCCTAGGACCTGATGGCTTCACTGCCAAATTCTACCAAATATTTAAAGAAGAATTAATACCAATCCTACTCAAACTATTTCAAAAAATAGAGGAGGAGGAATACTTTCCATACTGATTCTATAAGGCCAATATTACTCTGATATCAAAACCAGACAAAGATCCATTGAAAAAAGAAAACTACAGGCCAATATCTCTGATAAACATTGATGCAAAAATCCGTAATAAAATACTAGCAAACCAAATTTGACAACACATTGAAAAAAAATCATTCATCGTGACCAAGTGGGATTCATATCAGGGATGAAAGGATGGTTCAACATACACAAATGAAAGTCAAATGTCATATCAACAGAATGGAGGACAAAACCCATATGATCATTTCAACTGATGCTGAAAAAGTATTTGATAAATTTCAACATCTCTTCATGATAAAAAAAAAAACCCTCAAAAACCTGACTATAGATGGAACATAGCTCAACACAATAAAAGCCATATATGACAGACCCACAGCTAGTGCCATGGTAAATGGGGAGAAACTGAAAGCCTTTCCTCTATGATCTGGAACAAGATAAGGATGTCCATTTCTTTTCCTTTCTTTTTTTTTTTTTTTTTTTTTGAGATGGAGTCTTGCTGTCACCCAGGCTGGAGTGCAGTGGCACGATCTCAGCTCACTGCAACCTCTGCCTCCCAGGTTCAAACGATTCTCCTGCCTCAGCCTCCCGACTAGCTGGGACTACAGGTGTGCGATACCACACCCGGGTAATTTTTGTATTTTTAGTAGAGACAGGGTTTCACCACGTTAGCCAGGCTGGTCTCAAACTCCTGACCTCAGGCAATCCACCCACCTCGGCCTCTCAAAGTGCTGGGATTACAGGCGTGTGCCACTGTGCCCGGCCGCCCACTTTTACCACTATTATTGAATATAGTACTGGAAGTCCTAGCTAGAGAAATCAGATAAGAAAAAGAAAGGGAAGCTAAATTAGAAAGGAAGACATCAAATTTTTCTTATTTGAGAATGATATGAACTTATATTTGGAAAAGCTAAAGACTCCACCCAAAAGCTATTAGAACTGATAAGCACATTCAGTAAAGTTGCAGGATACAAAATCAATACACAAAAAATCAGTAGCATTTATTTTAATTTAAGAAACAAGGTATTAAATCAGTAGCATTTTTATATGCCAACAGTGAACAATCTGAAAAAGAAATCAAGAATGTAACTCCCAGTTACAATCCCTACAAATAAAATTAAACAACTAGGAATAAACTTAACCAAAGAAGTGAGAGATCTCTACAATGAAAACTATAGATGAAAGAGATAGAAGACGACACCAAAAAAAAAACAAAAGGGAAAAATATTCCATGTTCATGGATTGGAACAATCAATATTGTTAAAATGTCCATACTACCCAAAGCAATCTACAGATTCAATGCAACTCCTATCACAATACCAATGACATACTTCACAGAAACAGAAAAAACAATCCTAAAATACATGGAATCACAAAAGACCCAGAATAGCCAAAGTCATCCTGAGCAAAAAGAACAAAATGGAGTCAAATTAATTACTGGACTTCAAATTATACTACAGAGTTATAGTATCCAACACAACATGGTATTGGCATAAAAACAGACGTACAAACCAATGGAACAGAATAGAGAACCCAGAAGTAAATCTATACATCTATAGTGAACTCCTTTTTGACAAAGGTGCCATGAACACACAATGGGGAAAGGACAGTCTATTCAATAAATGGTGCTGGGAAAACTGGATATCCATATATAGAAGAATCAAACTAGACCCCTATCTCTTGTCATATACAAAAATCAAATCAAAACATTGAGGAAACTCTCCAGAACACTGGTCTAGGCAAAACTTTCTTGAGTAATACCCAAAAGCACAGGCAACCAAAGCATAACTGGACAAATTGGATCACATCAACTTAAAAAGCTCCTGTATAGCAAAGGAAACAATCAACAAAGTTAGGAGACAGACCACAGAATGGGAGAAAATATTTGCAAACTATCCAACAAGAGACTAATCACTAGAAAATATATGAAGCTCAAACAACTCAATAGGAAAAACTCCAATAATCTGATATTAAAATGGGCAAAAGATCTGAATAGATATTTCTCAAAAGAAGACATACAAATGGAAAACAAGTATTTGAAAAGGTGCTCAAATCACTGATCATCAGGGAAGTGCAAATCAAAACTACAATGAGATATCATCTCACCCCAGTTAAAATGGCTCTTATCCAAAAGATGGGCAATAACAAATGCTGGCAAGAACGTGGCAAAAGGGGTACCCTTATCCAATCTGGGCAAAAATTTTTTTTTTTTTTTTTTTTGAGACGGAGGCTCGCTCTGTGGCCCAGGCTGGAGTGCAGTGGTGCAATCTCACTTCACTGCAAGCTCTGCCTCCTGGGCTCACGCCGTTCTCCTGCCTCGCCTCCCTAAGAGCTGGGACTACAGGCGCCCGCCACCACACCTGGCTAATTTTTTTTTTTGTATTTTTAGTACAGACGGGGTTTCACCGTGTTAGCAAGGATGGTCTCGATCTCCTGACCTCCTGATCCACCCGCCTTGGCCTCCCGAAGTGCTGGGATTACAGGTGTGAGCCACCGTGCCTAGCCAACATTTTTAAAATTTTAAAAGATCAACAAATATGAAATATTATAGCACAAGAGATAGCAAATTAACTGATTCTATTCTAAAATGATTCCACTGGCAAGCAGTAGCTTGTATGCCTTTCTCAGAAGAAGTCTGAGTGGGAGAAAATATGCATATCATAGATTATTTATTTTAACCTTCTTTCTTCTAAAGACTTACAAACATCCCTGTTCCAGGAGGCCTCGCTAAATAAGATAGTCATGGCTGCAGAATGATATTTTGGCCAATGATGGACAGCATATATGATGGTGGTCCCATAAAATACCACATTTTTACTTTTCCTTTTCTATGTTTTGGTACACAATATTTACATTGTATTACTAATGCATACAGTATTCAGTACAGTATCATGCTGTAAAGGTTTGTAGACTAGGAAGAATAGGCTATATCACACAGCCTAGGTGTGTAGTAGGCTATACTTTCTAGGTTTGTGTAACTACACTCTATGACATTTGCACAATGATGAAATTGCCTAATGACACATTTCTCAGAATGTATCCGTTGTTAAGCAATGCATGACTGTAAATATTCTACTAATTCTAAAAATCCATATGGTAAATTAACACAACACAAAAAACTCTGACTGGAGATGCTAGATAAAAATAACTTTCTTCCATCACCAAATAAAATTAAATATATAGCTGATCTTTCAAGAAAGAAGGGAAATCCTCAGGTATCAGAAATAAAGATGGAATTGAAAACCAGAGAGGAAATTTCAGTTTTCTGAGGGGAGGGATTCACAAAAATGGGAGATTTTATTTAATCTTGTTTTTTTTTTTAATTTAAAAAGATTATCCTTTTTTTCTGGAAGGTCACTGAATAAACAGGCCAACTGAAATATTCCATGGGCCCTGATGGTCAAATTCTCACTATACCAGTTTACTGGAAAGTAGCCATACTACGTTACACAGGTAGGAATCTCCAAAACTGAATTCTGCCAATTAAAAATCTCTTCTGTGATGACTTAATTAACAAGTACAATTTCTCTCAAGTGGTAAAGTATAATTGAAAGTGACAACAGCAAATAATGTTACTTATCTTATTTTTTCTAAGTTCAGGTAGCAGTTATAATTTATATGACCTTAACTGAGAAAAGAGATTACCATCTATCTCTAAAAAGTTAATCCATATTTGTGGAGCTCCTGATATTAAAAACCATCCATGTTAGCCTCGACTGAAACACTCCCCAGCCTCCTGGGGAAAATGTAACAAGCATTAATCAAAAACAATTCCAGGGGAATTATAAATAACACAGCTATCCCAGATACATTTAACTTTTAACCTTTCTCCTTGCATTTCCCAACACAAAAATCAGAACTAGTTATTTTAAATGCTAAGATTAATTGATAAGCTATACTGATTAAAAACTTCTTTCAAAATTAAGTGCCATTTATTTTAATATTTGCATTGGTTTTAACTTCATTTTATGATTTTATTCTAGAGAATTGTCAAATTAGTCTTTTCCATCACTTTCATGTGTTGAGATTGTAATCTCTCACATGTTTGAAAAGGAGGGAAAGCAGCATAAATGCTGCAACTATAGAAAAATCTCTTCAATAATTTTAGAATTCTGATCCTGAGCACTATTAACAGAAATCTGGATAGTGCTTAAATAAATAAAAAAGTAACAAAAGTTAAACACCTTTTCCGTAATCAAAACAGGGACAAAATTATACCAGACCAGGGCTCTTCACTAAAGCTTGAAACTTCCCTCTTCCAAACTCATGAGTAAAGAGAGCTTTATTGTTTTTTGAAAATAAAATAGAAAGTTGCAAATTACAGGCAAAGAGATGTGGCTTTTTTGAATGACAAGGAGAAACAAATTGGTAATGTGATGTAATGTGTTATCTATGCGGGCAGCGTCAATAATTAAAAGGTAGCTTCTTAAGGCTGAGATTTTCTCCACAATTCATGAAGACATCTACTAACTGCTCTTCAATTTCTTGACAACGCAAAAAAAAAAAAAAAACAAGAACAGAAAACACAGGGCTGCACGTCTTTCCATTTCTCACAAGTCTTGAGAGATTTTATCTTTTGTTATTCTTCATCCTTCTCCCATTCCTCTGTTGTCCCCCACCCTAGTAAGTCTATTTTTAAAAATATATATATATACCCCATTTTTACTTATCTCTGAGTTTTTATACAAGCTGGATTCCCTTACTAGTTCACTATTAAAATCCTATATCATCTAGGCAGAATCCTTTGAAGCCATTCAAAAAGTAATTATTATTATAACAGAATAATTATATTAATTGAAAAAATAAGAATGCTGAAATCTATGACAACTGTAAAAGCACACACAGAAAGATTAGAAGGAAATATGCAAAAATAAAGTTATTAAAGTAATAAGATCATGAAAGTTTTTACCTCTTTTTTTTTTTTTTTTTTTTTTTTTGAGACGGAGTCTCGCTCTGTCGCCCAGGCCGGACTGCGGACTGCAGTGGCGCAATCTCGGCTCACTGCAAGCTCCGCTTCCCGGGTTCACGCCATTCTCCTGCCTCAGCCTCCCGAGTAGCTGGGACTACAGGCGCCCGCCACCGCGCCCGGCTAATTTTTTGTATTTTTAGTAGAGACGGGGTTTCACCTTGTTAGCCAGGATGGTCTCGATCTCCTGACCTCATGATCCACCCGCCTCGGCCTCCCAAAGTGCTGGGATTACAGGCGTGAGCCACCGCGCCCGGCGAAAGTTTTTACTTCTTAAACATTTTGTAAATTTTACATTCTATTTTTTCTTTAAAGAAAGTTCTGTCCTTTCTTCAAAGCCCAAATGCCATCTTTTCTAAAAGCCTTAGATGAAATTAATCTTCTCATTGTCAGAGGCTCATTTATGTAGCATTTATCACATACTATCTTGTATCTGAGGCAATAAACTTTATGCCTTTCTCCACTTTTAAAACTGAGATTTTGGAAACTTTCTTTTCATTAACTTTTATAATTATAATTATTACTTTTTTTTTTTGAGATGGAGTCTCGCTTTGTCGCCCAGATTGGAGTGCAGTGGCGCAATCTCGGCTCACTGCAACCTCTGCCTCCTAGGCTCAAGTGATTCTCCTACCTCAGCCTCCTAGGCTCAAGTGATTCTCCTACCTCAGCCTCCCAAGTAGCTGGGATTACAGGCGCGTGCCACTATGCCCAGCTAATTTTTGTATTTTTAGCTTTGCCACGTTGGCCAGGCTGATCTTGAACGCCTGACCTCAGGTGATCTGCCTGCCTTTGGCCTCCCACAGTGCTGGGATTTCAGGCGTGAGCCACTGCACCTGGCCATCTTTTCATTAACTTTATACCCCTCTGTAGAAACAAACAGAATACTTGGCGCACAGTAGGGGCTGACAAATTCTGGATTAACAAGAAACCTTTCTAAAGTAGCTGAAAATAGAAGCCTCATCCCCCAACTTGGGTCTGAGAACAGCGGCTGCTGTACCCACTAAACAGAAGATTGAGCGAACTGGGTGATCCAAGGGAAAAAAAAATGCTATAAATCCTGATATGTGAGAATCCCACAGTGAAATGGTAGGTTCAGATCATTCTACTGTGAGAGGCTCCAGTCAACAGTACCCGCCCCTCGTACAGAGGATGTAAGCCACCAAACAAAGGAATAAATTTGGAAAGAAGAAAACAAGAAATTAAAGAAACAGTAGATTCAACACAGAAAAGAGATCGAGTGAATTCTCACAATGATGGCAAATGGAAGCCCACAGATGATGGCTACACAACAGGTGTACAGAACAAACAGTCCAGATGGAATGCAACATAGCAAGAGGCTGTCTTCAACAAGAACAAGGAAAAGGAAATGGCTAGCATTCATTTTTAGTGTGTGTGTAGGGGTGTGTGTGTGTGTGTGTGTGTTACATTTTTACCGCACTGAATGGTTTTAAAGCTCTGTCCAACAGCTTGCAATTAAATTTGTGACAGACATACAGAAAACTAAACCAAACAAAAAATGTGAAATAAATAATTATAAACATAATATAGTGATTCAGATGTGAATAATACTGTATTTATATAGGGTAATAAGGTAAAAACAAAATATTCAACAAAAAAAAATTGCTAGGGAGGGATGCATATTTTTTCCTTTTTTTTTTTTTTGAGACGGAGTCTCACCTCTGTCGCCCAGGCTGGAGTGCAGTGGTATGATCTCGGCTCACTGCTCGCAATGTCTACCTCCCAGGTTCAAGCAATTCTCCTGCCTCAGCCTCCTGAGTAGCTGAGACTACAGGTGCCCACCACCACACACAGCTAATTCTTGTATTTTTAGTAGAGACATATGTGGGATTCTCATATATCACCTCACCACCATGTTGGCCAGGCTGGTCTGGAACTCCTGACCTCAGGTGATCCACCCGCCTCAGCCTCCCAAAGTGCTGGGATTACAGGTGTGAGCCACCACGCCCGGCCTCCTTTTTTTTTCTTTTGAGCAACATGCTACATCACTTACGGTGACCGTATTTTCCAAACTAAACACTGGAACCTATGGATTGACAGCAGTTTTCTTCCTCTGGTATGTAAATTTATTTGAAACGATCTATAAAAATATAAGTGGAAGATCACCCATAACTGAGAAATAAAATCAATTAGAAGTGTCCTTGTAAAGCTGGAGTCTATGATACCCACATGCATGAGTCAGAATTCTTCAAGAGTTTTTGACAGTAATAACCATAATAAAGAAGAAATATCCAGAATCCTTGGATTTAGGAGCAAGCAGTAGTTCTCAAAGTGGATTCCATGGACTAGCAGTATGAACATCACATGGAAATTTGTTACATATGCAAATGTTGAGGCCTGCACCTACTGAATCACACACTGTGGGGTAGTCTGTATTTTAACAACTCTTCAGATGATTCAGATGGACACTAAAGTTGACAACCACAGGTACAGAACATGGGGGTAGGAAAGAAAACTGCTGCAGTTAACGTGGTTATGGAAGTATTCCTCATTTAAAATACTAGACTTTATTCAATCAATACTATATAATTTCTAAGAAAGAACAACTCATCATTACTTTACATCTTATCACTACTTTTAAGTGTGATAACACCATATCTGTTTTTTATACACAAAGTATCACTGGAAGGATACAGATGGAGCTGATAACCTAGGTTACTAGAGAAGGCTGGGAGACAGGAGTAGGAGGAGGGCTTTGGCTGAAACTTCAAATGTTGCTGAAACAATGTGCAGCAACTAGAACTTTCACATATTACCAATGGGAGATTAAAATGGTACAATCGTGTTGGGAGACTGTTAGGCAGTTTCTTATAAAGTTAAACACATATAACCCTATGACCCAGAAATTCCATTCCTAGGTATTTACACAAGAGAAATAAAAATATACTTTTATGAAAAGATTTATAGATGAATGTTCACCGTAGGTTTATTCATAATAGCCCAAAGTTGGAAACAATCAATGTGTCCATCGAAGGAGAATGGATATATTCATACAACGAAATACTATTCACCAAGAAAAAGAATGAGCTATTGATACAAACAACCCCATGGATGACTCTCAAAAAAAGAATCAAGACACAAAAGAGTACATAATGTACATTCCATTTACATGAAGTTCTAGAACAGACAAAAGTAATCCATGGTGACAAAAGGCTGCCTATAGAGAGTAGACGGGCAGAATTGACTGGAAGAGGGCCCAAGGGAGCATTCTGGAATGATGGGAATATTCTGTATCATAATTGGGTCATTGGCTTTACATGTTGAAAATCATCAAATTATACATTTATAATCTGTGCATTTCACTCTTTGTAAATTTCACTCTTCCCCACCCCCATTCCATAAAAGAAGGCAAAATCAATACATTTTCAGACAAAAACAAAAACTGAGAAAGTTCAATTCCAACAAACAGTCAGTAAAATAAATTCTAGGGCTGGGGGTGGTGGCTCACACCTGTAATCCCAGCACTTTGGGAGGCCAAGGTAGGTGGATCACCTGAGGTCAGGAGTTCGAGACCAGCCTGGCCAACATGGTGAAACCCCGTCTCTACTAAAAATACAAAAATTAGCAAGGCATGGTGACTGGCGCCTGTAATCCCAGCTACTCGGGAGGCTGAGGGAGGAGAATCACTTGAACCCAGAAGGCAGAGGTTGCAGTGAACCGAGATTGCGCCATTGCACTTCAGCCTGGGCAACAAGAGTGAAACTCCATCTCTTAAAAAAAAAAATTCTAGGTGATATATTTTAGGCAGAAAAAGTGATCCTAGATGGAAAGGTGAAGAAGCAAGAAGAAATAAAGAAATAACTAGCAAACAAATGTTAAGCATATGAGGAACAAATATTAACTATGAAAAATAATGTTGATGATGACGACAATGGTGTGTGTGTGTGTGCGTGCGCGCGCGTGCGTGCATTTGATTTCCATGCTACTTGGTATACAATTCCAAATCCTTAACACGGCATGCCAGGCTTGCCTGATCAGGCTATCCTCTCCAGCCTCATCTGCTGACGTTGTGCCTCTTGTTTTAGCACTCCAACCTTCCTGTTCGTCTCCATCCCATCTTTTGCACATGTGGTTCTATTTACTCAATGGGGTTCTATTGCCCCACTCTTCACCTGCTAACTCCTATTCATCCTTAGTTTCAATTTCCTTGATATTTTCTCCCTTCTCCACACCATATAAAATTAATTAATTTTTAGATATACTTTTTTTTTTTTTTTTGAGACAGAGTGTTCTTCTGTTGCCCAGACTGGAGTGCAGTGGCGCAGTCTCGGTTCACTGCAACCCCCACCTCCCGATTCAAACAATTTTCCTGCCTCAGCCTCTCAAGTACCTGAGACTACAGGTATATGCTACCATGCCTGGCTAATTTTTGTATTTTTGGTAGAGACAGGGTTTCACCATGTTGGCCAGGCTGGTCTCGAACTCCTGACCTCAAGTGATCCACCCATCTCAGCCTCCGAAAGTGCTGGGATTACAGGTGTGAGCCACTGCGCCCAGCCTGTTATAAATACTTTCATCTTACACTGTTTTCCTTAATAACACTTATAAAATATTGATGTGTGATAATTTATTTAATGTTTCTCTCTCCCTCTTGGCTATAAAATCGGTAAAGTATATTCTATATCATTATACCTCATGCCCTGACCCACGTGCCTGATACATAGTGTTCATCAAATATTTGTTAAGCAAATACAGAAATCAAGTACTTCAGAGGTCCACCTAAAAGCTTTATCAAGAAAAGACAGAAGATGTGGAAATGAGAGCATAACAATTACAAGTTAATTTTGCACACATTCCATTCACATTCATCATATTCCTGAGAAAAAGTCTCTTCTGTTAAATTATTTTATTTGCGTATTAGTAGCAGGAAAGTGGAAGGACCAAGTGTTTGTTATGAATATAACACTTCTCCCTACTGGGAGAAGGTTCTTGAACAAATCAGAATCTCATATTCCTTATCTCTAAAATGGGGGTAATACTTCCTACTTCTGCAATAATGTTGTGATGATTACAGCTAAAGTATGAAAAAATCTAACCTGGTGCCTGGCACAGAGTGGGTATTCAGTTAAAGGCAGTTGCTATTTATTTAGGTTGACTCTTTTTCCCAAAGGAGAATACTTTCACTAAAGCATCTTTATTGACGGCCATGATTGTTTGTTCATATTACTCTCTTCATTGCCCCAACATGTCTCGCATCAGTTGAAGCCAGACATTTGAGTCCAGCCATGAGTTATAATAATGGGCTACAGACATATTTACTCAACTTTCAGAAAAGCCTTATCAAAATGCTTTTTGTTTGTGCTGTGCCTTTCTCCCTGCATTTATCTCCAGACTTCTCCTATCCCCTCCCCATTCATTTATCCTCTTAAACTTTGATACTATTGGCAAGGAGGCCAGAAGAAATAGAAGTCCTAAAGAAGAAGTAACATCAATTGCCACAGAATTCAGCAGAACAATGGGTTCAGCAATTCAAATCAGCTATCTGACTTAAAGATTCAGCTCTGGAGTAGATAACCATGATAGATTGAGAAGCAATTGTGTTCAACTGGTTCCTGCATGTCTCCAAATGCTATAGAATATTTCTGAGACAGCAAGGGGATGGGAGAATCAGCAGACTTAAATATCCTGCTCTGACTGATGTTTAATTATGCAAGATTCACCAAGTAAGTGACAGGGCCAGAATTCCAACACAAAAGAATCCCATTTTCTATACCCCTGCTCACCCTAAATGATTTATTTACAAGGTCTCTTCCAGCTCAAAGATTCTACTCCTATGTGATATATGAATTCCTAATTACCTATAAAAGAAATTATAGTTCCTTCTCCTTTTCTGTTCCTGGCGCAGAGCAGTCAATCACAGGCCACTACAGAAAATGTCTGTGGAGTGAGGGTGAATTTCACAGAGGTGCATGGTTGGCATGCTCGCCAGCACGGGGCACTGAGGGGAGGAGGGAGATACCATACAGAGATGCATCAGAAGGGTGCCCACTGGCAAGGGTACTGAGGAGGGGAGGACGGCGTTGCACAGGGATGCTGCATAGAGAATAGCAATATTCCCACTGGCATCCAAGGATGTGAAGAGCTGAAGTGGCAGAGGAGATGTCTGCGTGGTCAGGAAGTTAGTTACACTGAACACATAAGTCAATGAACAAATATATTAAGGATAATAAAAGTCAAATTTTTTCACTGTTAGAAAAGGTACTTATGGCTATAAAGGAACTCAGGTATTAGGTTTGAATTGGAAAAAATCAGTATGAATTCATGATTTTTAAATTTATGTATTTACAGATTGATATAGAAATAGCTATAGATCTTTGTGTATACTTATATATGTGTGTAGAGTACACATACACACACACACACACACACACACACACGCTTAACTGTTCAGAGATGGTCCAAGAGTATATCCCAGTAACAATGAGCACACCAAGTACCCAAATTGTAGCATGTAAAAACCATTTTATACTAAATAGGACCAGTGCTTCTAGGGAAAATGGCTGATTGTAGATAGCTGAGCCAAGCAAAATACAAGAGAAGCCTGGAACAACTTCTGCCAGAAAGTGTTCAAAGAATGATGGGGACTTGTTACGAAGACCTAGGAACCTCCTTGAAAGGGCTCCCACTGGACAAACTGGGACAGTATGAGCAATAAAATATTTAATGACAGTAACTGATTACAACCTGCTGAATAAAGTGGGATTTTACAAGTCTATGCTGATATAAATAAATGACAGGAAAAGGAAAGCTCTTCTTACATAGAATGCCAACTAACAGAGATGGAAATAAAACAAAATAGTGGTGTTTGGTTCAGATAGAATTCATCAATGGATGCTAAAACTGAGGATGAAGACTTGACGAGAAATAGGATATTGGCATAATCTTACGATATGTCCCCTGAAAATACTATCAATTATAAAGAGAAAAAAGGTGACATTACAGAGAAGAAACCTGGCAGACACCAAGGTGACCAAGTGATTAAGGTCACTGACAGTGTTGGGACAAGTCAGCATCATGTGTCCCCTGGTGTGATGCATGCGAAGAACACAGCATCATTTCTATGATTCCTGCCAAGAGAGCGTGACCTGAACATGGTCATCAAGAAACACTAAACAGACCCAAACAGACCCAAAATGAGAAACATCGTAGGATGTAAGGCCTGTCCTTGCTTTTTTTTTTTTTTTTTTTTTTTTTGTGAGACGGAGTCTCGCTCCGTCGCCGAGGCTGGAGTGCAGTGGCATGATCTTGACTCATTGCAAGCTCTGCCTCCCAGGTTCACGCCATTCTCCGGCCTCAGCCTCCCGAGTAGCTGGGACTACAGGCACCCACCACCACACCCGGCTAATTTTTTTTTTTTGTATTTTTAGTGGAGATGGGGTTTCACCATGTTAGCCAGGATAGTCTCAATCTCCCGACCTCGTGATCCACCCGTCTCGGCCTCCCAAAGTGCTGGGATTACAGGCGTGAGCCACCGCGCCCGGCCAAGGCCTGTCCTTCTTAAAACTGTCTAGGATAAGAAAAACTGTGCATGTGTCTTTATAGCAGCATGATTTATAGTCCTTTGGGTATATACCCAGTAATGGGATGGCTGGGTCAAATGGTATTTCTAGTTCTAGATCCCTGAGGAATCGCCACACTGACTTCCACAATGGTTGAACTAGTTTACAGTCCCACCAACAGTGTAAAAGTGTTCCTATTTCTCCACATCCTCTCCAGCACCTGTTGTTTCCTGACTTTTTAATGATTGCCATTCTAACTGGTGTGAGATGATATCTCATAGTGGTTTTGATTTGCATTTCTCTGATGGCCAGTGATGATGAGCATTTCTTCATGTGTTTTTTGGCTGCATAAATGTCTTCTTTTGAGAAGTGTCTGTTCATGTCCTTCGCCCACTTTTTGATGGGGTTGTTTGTTTTTTTCTTGTAAATTTGTTTGAGTTCATTGTAGATTCTGGATATTAGCCCTTTGTCAGATGAGTAGGTTGCGAAAATTTTCTCCCATGTTGTAGGTTGCCTGTTCACTCTGATGGTAGTTTCTTTTGCTGTGCAGAAGCTCTTTAGTTTAATTAGATCCCATTTGTCAATTTTGGCTTTTGTTGCCATTGCTTTTGGTGTTTTGGACATGAAGTCCTTGCCCACGCCTATGTCCTGAATGGTAATGCCTAGGTTTTCTTCTAGGGTTTTTATGGTTTTAGGTCTAACGTTTAAATCTTTAATCCATCTTGAATTGATTTTTGTATAAGGTGTAAGGAAGGGATCCAGTTTCAGCTTTCTACATATGGCTAGCCAGTTTTCCCAGCACCATTTATTAAATAGGGAATCCTTTCCCCATTGCTTGTTTTTCTCAGGTTTGTCAAAGATCAGATAGTTGTAGATATGTGGCATTATTTCTGAGGGCTCTGTTCTGTTCCATTGATCTATATCTCTGTTTTGGTACCAGTACCATGCTGTTTTGGTTACTGTAGCCTTGTAGTATAGTTTGAAGTCAGGTAGTGTGATGCCTCCAGCTTTGTTCTTTTGGCTTAGGATTGACTTGGCGATGCGGGCTCTTTTTTGGTTCCATATGAACTTTAAAGTAGTTTTTTCCAATTCTGTGAAGAAAGTCATTGCACACGTATGTTTATTGCGGCACTATTCACAATAGCAAAGACTTGGAACCAACCCAAATGTCCAACAATGATAGACTGGATTAAGAAAATGTGGCACATATACACCATGGAATACTATGCAGCCATAAAAAATGATGAGTTCATGTCCTTTGTAGGGACATGGATGAAATTGGAAACCATCATTCTCAGTAAACTATCGCAAGAACAAAAAACCAAACACCGCATATTCTCACTCATAGGTGGGAATTGAACAATGAGATCACTTGGACACAGGAAGGGGAATATCACACTCTGGGGACTGTGGTGGGGTCGGGGGAGGGGGGAGGGATAGCATTGGGAGATATACCTAATGCTAGATGACACGTTAGTGGGTGCAGCACACCAGCATGGCACATGTATACATATGTAACTAACCTGCGCAATGTGCACATGTACACTAAAACTTAGAGTATAATAAAAAAAAAAATTAAAAAAAAAAAAAAAAAAAGAAAAACTGAGGAAATGTTACAGATTAGAAGAGACTGCAAAGACATGCCACGTAAAAGCAATATATGTTCCCAGATAGGTTCTTAGACCAGAAAAGGAAAAAGAGAAATTATTAGTAACATTTATCAAAATTTGGATGGTATCTGTGGATTGAATGGCATTGTTGTATCAGTGTCCATTTCCTAGCTTGGAAGGGGGTATGGTTGTTATGCAGGAAAGTATTCTTGTTTTAGAAAAATACACACTAGAGTATTTAAAGATGATGGGGCATTGTGTCTGCAGCTTGCTCTCAAGTGGTTCAGAAAAAGATTAATGAAAATGGCAAAAAAAGGTGATGGAACAATTGCAGTGAAAAGGTTAACAGTTGCAGAATCTGTATGAGAAGAATACTGGAGCTCTTTGTGTTGTACTTTCAACTTTTCTGATGGTTTAAAATAATTTTAAAATAGGACGGGCGCGGTGCCTCACGCCTATAATCCCAGCACTTTGGAAGGCCGAGGCAGGCGGATCATCTGAGGTCAGGAGTTCGAGACCAGCCTGGCCAACATGGTAAAACCCCATCTCTACCAAAAATACAAAAATTAGCTGGGCGTGGTGGTGCGTGCCTATAATCCCAGCTACCCTGGAGGGTGATGCAGGAAAATCGCTGGAACCTGGTAGGCAGAGGGTGCAGTGAGCTGAGATCACGCCATTGCACTCCAGCCTGTGTGACAGAGCAAGACTCCGTCTCAAAAGTAAATACATAATTTAAAAATAAATTATTTTAAAAATACACTATATTTATTCACTTCTTTAGTCCCTGCTCCATGAAAAATACTTTACAATGATCCTGGAATTAAAGAGTTGCAAAAAAGCACTAATGGCAAAAACAATACATGAAAGATTGGGAGAAATTACTAATACAGCTGCTGCTTAACCTATGCTTCTCCTCCTTTGTGTGTAGTACATAAAGGTTTGGGAAGTTTGTTCCCAGACTGAGTAAGGGTCAGTTTCTGCTCAGCCTTAGTGGGTCCAGAAGTATCAGAATATGCCCTTCTTACCCTGCTACTTATGCACTGTTGTGGCTGCTGCCACCAGGGGCATCTATTATTCTGTATGTGCAAACTGCACTCTCCATACCGATAGCGGAGACTCTGAACTCTTTCCTCTTTATTTCCTTCCTTCTTTTCCTTGCTTCAGTCAGCCTTTCTTATAGGAAACAGAAATCATTCTAGATGCTTTAAGAAGAAAGAAGCTAATACAGGGGATTAGATGCTTACAAAATTTTTGGAAGAGCTGGAAGAGTAGGTGCTAGGCTGGACTTCTAGAGCAGGGGTCCCCAACCTTAGGAACCAGCCACACAGCAGGAGGTGAGTGGCAGGCCAGTGAGCAAAGCTTCATCTGTATTTACAGCCACTCCTCACCGATCACATTACCTCCGGAGCTCTGCTGCCTGTCAGATCAGCAGCGGCATTAGATTCTCATAAGAGCATGAACCCTATTGTGAACTGTCCATGCAAGCGATCTAGGTTGTGTACCCCTTATAAGAATCTAATGCCTGATGATTTGTCACTGTCTCCCTGTCTCCCATTACCGTCACCCACACTTGGGACCATCTAGTTGCAGGAAAACAAGCTCAGGGCTCCCACTAATTCTACATTACGGTGAGCTGTATAATTACTTCATTACATATCACAATGTAATCATAATAGAAGTAGAGTGCACCATACATGTAATGTGCTTGAATCATCCTGAAACCACTGGACCGCATCCCCGGTCCATGGAAAAACTATCTTCCATGAAACCGGTCCCTGGTGCCAAAACAGTTGGGGACTGCAGTTCTAGAAGATCAGAAACATGGCAGAACTGACCCATCCAGGAAGCTACTACCTCTCCCAGTCAGAAAGGTAGATGATCAGGAGTCATCACCAGAACTGATGACTTCAAGAATATAATCAATCTTGACGTCTGGAAGCCACTACCACCACTACTTCGGTGACTTCCTATCAATATGTACAAAGCAAGTTACCAGATACTGGAATACTTTCGCAGAAAATTTAGATGTTTACATGACTGTGCTTATCAGCAGAAAAAGCCAAAGAAACAAAACAATATGCTCCACCTCATTTCCACTCTGCAAATCTCAAGTAAGTGCACTTAACTGGGGAGCCTACTTTGGATCCAGTCCATTAATTTCAATGGAGTGTGGGAAACAGTGTTTAGTTTTCCCACCTCCATATCACAGGGAGGTGCATGGGAAGGAGGTGGGAAGTGATGCTCAATTCCAGTCCCCGCATCCACCACACTGCTCTCCAATAAAGATCAGTGCATGTTATTCTCTACTGTGAATCTCAAGTGACCAGAGCAAATCTGGTATAAATTATACTACACTTCCTCCTTTGTTTGTTAACACTTTAAAGGTAAAATCCTGCACATGCAGCCAGGGTGATCTCTTACTATAAGTCACTTATATGTGGAAGAAGAGCCAAAACTCACTGAAAAGTGAGAGAAAGGTATTATGATCTACATTTTAGCATACTTCAGTGCTAATATGCTCAGACACTGACTCAGCGACTATTCACTATATACTGATTAAATTACAATTCTTTCACTATCTTCTATCCCATTTCAAATTATTTTTCTCCCTGTTTTAGTTTCAAATTTAAAATAAGAATCCTCTCCTTTTGTTGTAATGAAAAAGCACTTTACTTTTAATCAACAGCAGAGGGCTGCCTATTTCCAGACTAGTCTGTGAGTTTTAGAAGTGACATAGCTGCAATGCTTTCTTCCTTTAACAAAAGGGGTGTTTGGGGGTGGGGAGGATGGGGGAGTGTGGTTTCAATCCTTCTTTTACTTTTGTGATAGACCAGAAAATAAATGGCAAATGATAGTGGAGAGGGCAACCTCCACAAGAAAAAAAGTGACTTTTATCTTTCCCTCAGTCCGAGGCTGAGACTGTCTTTTTTCCCTCTCTATCCCTGGTGCCTAGCACAATGCATGGTACAGAGCAAACAGTAAATGAATGTCTGTTGAATGAATAATCCAATTACAATGGAAGAAGTGGAAGACTCTTCATCATCATGTCTCTTATCTTCCTATCTCACTCCCTTCCTCAATGTGGACAAAATAGAGCGGGGACAGAAGCAAATTAGAGTCATGGAACTGACAGCCAGAACTCCCAGAATGTGAATGGGATAGGCCACAGTCCATGAAACTTCCTAGAAGTACAAATCCTTCAGCAAGTTCAGGAAATCCACATTTCAAAGGGTGGAGTTTCTGGCCTTTGGCCCCAGTTCCTTACCGACCACCCATTAACTGCCACAATTAGTTTTATTTCAGCTGGGCAGAGGGGTGATGATTGAAAACAGAGAAATTACTAAAGTAGATAATTAAAAACACTGATCATGTACCAAGAGGGAGAAAACAGATGGTGAATGATACCTTTGGCACTATTTTCTTTAAGATCAACTGGCTCTGCTGGAAGGCGGTGAGATGAGAAATCTGCAATTAGCAGGGCCTACCTGTGAATATAGCAGGGAAAGAAAGTCCAAGGTCAGCCTGATTGGGTTGGACACCACCTTGAAGTCAACTGCACTGGGCAGTCTACGTAGCAAGCAGGGAAATCTGACTGATAAGAAAGCGACCACAGGTGAAGTGCTGTATTATCTTCTGATCTCGTCTACAGAATAAAGGTGCCATTAGCTAGAATGATATCTTTAGCTGTAACACATTGACTATTGTTTCTGAGGGACTATGAGCCGCCACCATTTGTCCATCATCACTTTATTTCTCTTCTGGCAGCAATAGCTAGGAAATTAAATTCTAATCGCATCACGTAAGCATTCTCAAAATATCCTGAAATAACTGCATTAACAAATTGCCCACCCTTTATAAACAAAGAACTCTCAAGAGAAGTGTAAAATGTTTGACGACACCAAGGTACTAAGAGAAGGAACTATACAACTTAAATATTACAATACTTAAGCAAGCAGTATAAATTAGGTTGATGGATTTTCAGTTAACTGGGTCTCATCTTGATAAAAGGTACATGTGGCAGCTTAGTCAGCCAACAAGAAAGCAAAAAACTTGATTTTTTTCACTCGGAACCAGTCACTGTTAGACTACATGCAGCCTTTTCATCTCCCACCCATTTGCATTTTTGAGACAATCTCCAAGAACACACAGAAGCCACATATCATTTACGACGGAACAACCTTTCCAAATGGTCGTACAATATTTTTAATAAGCATAGGCATAATCAGCATTAGTTATTTAGCTGAAAAGAAACAGCTTTGCCTTCTTCAAATCCCAGAGCTTAATCTAGTTTTCAAAGGGAACAGATGTGGTAACTTCTTTATAAAGTATTTATACTTTTTTGGCTTCACTTTTTAACATCAACGACGACCGGTGAAATAAAGCATGAACTTCTCACACTAGACACTTGTTGCTAAAGAGGAGGAGGAAAATTTATGTTCCTGCTCTCCCATCCCTGTCTCTAGTTAGGGGATTAAAAAGGATTTCAGATAAAGAAGAAAAAAACAAACCAGCGAATGACAATTCACTTGGAACTCTCCAGACCGAAGTCCGTAAAGTTAAGTCGGCCCGGCCTCCGCCAGAGCAAGCAAATCAACAGCGGGGATGCTGCGACCGTCTCCCAACGCCTGGGAGCTCCGCACACCCGGCGGGGGTGGCAGGAAGGGGCTGGCGCGGTGATGTGGGTCCCCCGCCGACCGCCTAGCCCCCTCCTCAACACTTCCTGAAGGAAACTGACAAGTAAGGCGGCGGCCGCTCCGGGAAGGGGCGGGTGTGGACCCGACAAGCTTGCTCCCTCCAGCGAGCCCCCAGCGCCCGCGCGCCGAGCCGCCCCCACAGTCCCCGCGGCGCCTCGCGCGCTCCCCAGGCTCGCGCCGAGGGAGGAGGGGCTGACAGCAGAGCCTCCGGTCGTGGCCGCCGCCGCTACCTCCCCGGGTCCGGCTGCTGAATAACCCGAAGGGAAGCCCGCCCCGCAGCCCCGCGGTCCCCGCACCTCGTCCTCCAGGAGCCCGAACACCTCCACCGCGCAAGTTGCCATTTCCGAACGCTTCCAGCAAACCGGACGCGCTCGCCCCCGCCCAGGGCAGGCAACTGTGGAGGAGGAGGAGGAGAAGCGGGAGGAGGCGGGGAAGAGTTGGAGGAAGAGGAGGAGGCGCTCCCTCAGCGACAGCAGCGCCTCCCGCGGCGAGCGGGCACTAGCGGCACCCGGCAGCGCGGCGGGAAAAGGCCGGCGGCGCGCGCTCCTGGGGCTGGGCGGGGGCGCGCGTGGCGGGGCTCGGGGAGTGGGGAGGGCGTGCGGCGGGGCTCGGGTGGGATGAGCGCGCGCGGCGGGGACCATGGCGTGGGGAGCGCGCGTGGCGGGGCGCGCCCTCGGTCCCTTCCCGGGAGGTGGGTGGTTGACGGGCCCGCCGGGGAGCCAGGGAGCGCCGGGAAGCGCCGGGAAGCCAAGCTGCAGTGTTCCTCAGCAACAAGTCTCGCTGAGATCCGACCCAGAGTTCGGCCTCTGACTAGACGCCTGGGAATCCGTGAGCTTAATCCCCGCTTAAATCCCAAACGGAAAATCATAGCGCTTTCTTGTCGGTTAAGGGTGTCATTCCCATAAGAAGCTGGACCTGGGGACCGCCAGGGAAAGCCTGAGCGTGGCAGCAAATGGGGAGGCCTGGAGGGATCGCAGCAGTCTTGGACTCGGGATCTGAAATTCTCTCCCTAGGATTTGTAAACAGTGCCAGTTCCTAAGCTATTTGTTGTCCTATGGTCTGTCCATCTTTAAATCCCACCAGTAACAATCCAATCTCCAGGCTGACCCTCTAAACCTGCTTTAGCTGGGCGTTGATCCGCAGCACCACCAGAAGGCAGTGACGAAGAGGGAAAAATAAAGTGAACTAGGACCTCCTGTAGAATAACTCCTCCTGTGGAATAACTCCTCCTGTGGAATAAGGTTATGGAATAATCATGCTTTTTAATATTCCTGTCTGATGGGCTTTATAATTCCATAATTACAGGAAGACCTCCACCAAATAAGGCATCCATAAAAGAGTCTGGGGAGAATTATGAACACCCAGGCCACAATTTATATCATGTTGTTTTTATACATTTGCAGAAATTTGCAGAATTCTGCAATCTCAAAATCTAATTTTTATTTTCCTCAATGATTTCAGAATAACTCTGATTTATTTTTAACAGTTTAAGATGCTACGTGGGAACAAGGCTATAGCCCATATTACTGGTTTGTTACGTAAGATTTTTCTCGTACTTGGCCGGGCGCGGTGGCTCACGCCTGTAATCCCAGCACTTTGGGAAACCTAAGGCGGTGAATCACCTTAGGTCAGGAGTTCGAGCCCAACCTGGCCAACATAGTAAAACCCTGTCTCTACTAAAAACACAAAAATTAGCTGGGCGTGGTGGCGGGCGCCTGGAGTCCCAGCTGCTTGGGTGGCTGAGGCAAGGGAATCGCTTGAGCTTGGGAGGAGGAGGTTACAGTGAGCCAAGATTGCGCCGTTGCACTCCAGCCTGGGCGACAGAACAAGACTCCACCTCAATTGTCGTACTTTATGATTGGTAGGATCCATTTCATTCATATAATATGTATCAAAATTCTGTTAATACACAATTCAGATTTTATCCGTATTAGGGGGAAAGAGATGGCACTTAATCAAACATGACTACAAAATTACAGAATGGTCAGGAATTGTTGGCTTACCTAAATCGAAAAAGCCATGAGAGCATTAATTTGTTTTTTAAGTTGTCACATATCTGTGGGATTTGTGGGTTAAGAATAAAATAATCTGAAAATATTGTGTGCCCTTCTATTTTGCGAATATTTCCCTCATCTCTCATGATACACATTTTTATGTTTAATTTTAAGTTAGTTAAGTCATTTGAATTTAAGTTAATTCAGTGTCATTTCAGGGCACAATTACAAACGTGTAAAAACAGCTTCCGTTACTGCTACTAAAATTTAATGAATATATGAGAAGTATACACAGCCTAAAACTGGTAATTAAAAAAAAAAAAATCAGTAAATCCCCAAGGGATTATAAAGTAAAGCAAATTGGCCATTTGATGTATCCAATAGGTATTAGTGATGATACTTCTAAAGACCACTGATTTGACTCATGATTTCTTATTCTGTCTTTCCGAATATGAAATCATGAAGAATTAAACAGCTACCAATACAAGATGAACTAGAGTAATTATTGTATCCCGGTCAACAGCTAGGAGGGGCACCTGAAATTAAAGGAAGCTCAAATCGGGATGGTGATATCAGCTGGTGGTCCAATAACCAACCACCACTGAGAAAGCTGTTTAGAATGAAGAACTCCTCTACATATCACTCAACTGCGCAGAACTCTCATGAAGGCGTTTTGTCTACCTAGGCTGCCTTCAATTAGGTTCATGTTGATTTGGTTTGAGTGTGTGTATAACCATGTGAGGCACGTGTGAAGAATGTGACATGGTGCATAACAATTGATTCTGTGCCTCATACCTGTGCTAGGGATCATCCCAAGCCAAAATCCAGGCAATTCTAGCAACCTCCAATAGCATCACCCCTTCTATCTCTTGTTCTTGAGTCTTTTCTCCCTTCAAATCTGCCTTTACATGAGCCTCCAAACTGATTAAGAAGCAAGAAATGAATGAAAACCAGTAAACCTGGTCTAGACTTTCTAGTAGTCTGTATACGTAAACCTCTTTAACTCTGCCTATAGATTTCACTGTGATGCAGAAATTGTTTCTAGTTTTTAAAATATCACCCCCTGGGATCAAAATTGGATGTGGAATGTAACAATATGAAAGGTAATGATACGAAATGCACTTTAATGTTGGTAATTAATTCCCTAAGGGATATAAAAAAGTCTTGTTCAGAAGTTCTCCTTTAATTCTCTCTTACTCTTAATATCCCCTGGCTGCTTCCTTTCTAATAGTTAATGTTTGAGATTTTTAAGGTTCATTTTTTCTTCCACTGGAAACTCCCTGGACCTCATCCATTGCCATTGCCATTACCATAGTTTCAGCTACTTTCTTCATAGAGCCCATCTCAGATCCAGAGCTCAGTAGTGCAAGAAATGTTTATTTGATTTTCTGAAATGAACTAAGTTTCTGCCTCCAGTAGTAGAATACATAGTCCCAATCAATTCATTGGTCTTGCCTGACCCTCTTTTTGCTAAGCTGGATTCTGACTTCTAACAGGCTGTTGTGCTCCCTCATCTTGGTGATAAAGGTTCTCATCACTCCCTCCTGGAATTAGTAGATGTATCTGTGTTCCCGCTGGCCTCTAGCTGTGGACATCTTTATCAAGTAGAATTACATTTGGCTGTTACCTAAACTAATAAGATTTAAAGATTCATGTTATATGGCTGTCATGTAAAAGTCTAGACAGTGGGCAGGGCAGGGTTAATATGGCTAGTTTGCTCTGCCAAAGGGTCAGAAATTCAGGCACTTCACAGCTCACTGCTCTGATGTTTGTAGGTGTGACCCTTATCCTCATAGTCCAGAGAGTGGCTCAAGCTTCAATCATTACGTCTATGTTCCAGGTTACAAGGCAGAGGAAGGAGTAAAGAAGAGAGTTCAGGTATCATGGTCATCTTTTAAAATGCCCTCCTCACCCCACAAGGGGTGGGAGGTAGTGAGAAAGACGGCCAGGTGCAAGGCAGTGGGACCCAGGTGTGTTCAAGGAAGGGTTTGCTTGGTGGACTGGTGATGGCAGAAATGGGAAATTAGTTACTTGTAGAGACAAGTGATCCAATAAGTGAATATATGAATGATAATGAGAACCACATTAGTCACTGTTGAAGAAGTTACAAGAATGGAAAGAGAAAACTTGAATGAGTCTTGTGTTGTTATAATGAAATTGGTGGTGTTGATATGAACTCAAAAGTTTTTAACATATATATATAGTATATAAATAAATGTAGATGTAAACCTCTGCTGCATACACACACACACACACACACACACACACACACACACAAATATTTTCTACATTTGTATTCTAAGAGGGCCTGGGAACAATGACACCCCAAAAGCAATGAGCATATCTTGCATCCATATTTTAACTTTTTACTAAAAGAAACCAGGGCTCCTTGGAAAAATGGCTGATTCCAGGACTAGGACAAGGCAAATAAAAGTTGAGCCTGAAACATCTTGTTATCCCAGAAAATAATGAAAGTAATGATGGAGACAGAATAAAAGGACACAGGAACCAACCTGAAAAAAGCTCCCACTGGCCAAAGATGGCCTAACTTGAGCACTAAAATAAATTATGATAGCAACAGATTATAATCCAATGAATAATTCTGGTACCATGTGTTCATTACAGATATAAATTATAATAAATGAGTACATTCAAAGTTCAATGAAAAATGAGATTTTTACAGGGTTCAACATATATTTCCAGAAAGTACTTAGTTACATAGATTAAAAGGCTGAAATATACCACCTTAATCAAATGATCAAAGTGAACATTTGATAAACCAAAATCTTGCAACCCATTGCTTTTCCTCCATAACTTGGATCTAATCATGAGAAAACAAATCCAATTTAAGGAACGTACTACAAAATATCTGCCCTGTAATCTTCAAAAGTGTCAAGGACATAGAAGTCAAGAAAGTTGGAGGAACTGTTCCAGACTGACAGATTAAAGACCCTGTATTATGGTTCCCTAGAGAAACAGAACCAATAGGATGCAGATATATAAAGAGATTTGTTATGGCTGGGCACGGTGGCTTACGCCTATAATCCCAGGTTTGGAGTGCAGTGGTGCTATCTTGGCTCACTGTAACCTCTGCCTCCTGGGTTCAGGTGATTCTCTTGCCTCAGTCTCCTGAGTAGCTGGGATTACTGGTATGTGCCACCATGCCTGGCTAATTTTTCTATTTTTAGTAGAGATAGCGTTTCACCATGTTGGCTAGGCTGGTTTTGAACACCTGGCCTCAAGTGATCTGCCTGCCTTGGCCTCCTAAAGTGCTGGGATTACAGGCATGTGCCATCATACCCAGTGTCAACATATTTTTTTCTACCAGGAGTTTCAAAGCTCTATTTTAAAACTTATAAGCTGAGCATTGACTTATCTTTCTCTTTTCATTTCTGTAGTAACAGTTCTAGCCTGAGGGCAGTAATCAGAAAACCTCACTGCTGTCTGACTGGAGCCAGAGGAAGGGCGGCAGGATATTCCAGGAATATAAGTAGTTATCAACAATAAAATTTCACAATACCTTGCTATAGCTTCCACACCCTTATCTCTTACCTAAGCTTCAGACCTGTATTTCCCACTAACTGTCTCTTTCTTGGTATCATGAAAAAAGTCTCAAACTAAATAGATCCCAAAATGAACTCATTATAATCCTGTATTCTGTGTCTCTGGAAATAGCATTATTGTCTATCTAGTTGCAAAGGCTAGAGACTTCTGAGTATTCTAAAATTCATACCCCCTGCCCATTCCTACAACTTCTTCCTATCACCAGTTTGTTATACAATTGAAATTCTTTCCTCTTCTACCTAAGATTTTTTTTCTCTTCTTATTGGTATCCATGGCTAATGTCGGTACACCCATCATTGTCTGGTAATTGGCTCAGACTGGTAGCTTTTTGTCTTTTTTTGTTTCACCCTATATCTTCTGAGACAAATGTTTGCATGCAGTAATTTTTTTTGAGACACACTCCCAAGCAGTAGTGTGCTGGACTCAACTCATACTGGCATCCAAGGTACAATTGTGTACACCTCTATCCAACTGCAGATTTGGTGATGTCATGTTGGTAGCTTGAAATTATGGTGTATTTATATCACAGAAATAGGCAAACACTACAAACCAAGATCATTTTATTTTCCTGGAGAGGCAGTTATTAAACATTTATCGGAACGCGACTGAGCCTAGGAAACATGAGTGAGGGACTGAAAAGAGTAAAACAAGGAATGGCATAAGACCCATGCAGTGATTTTGTAAATTTTTTAGTTTCCTTTACATGATTAACCTGATTTGGGCTCGATATCACTAAGGACCCTTCAGGAGTCATATAGAATGTACCTCAGAATTGTTCTACCAAGAAGGGAGTATTTATTCGTTAGTTTCCATTCCCTATTGGACAGGGGTTATTTCATAGGATGTTAATATTTGCAGATTTCCTTGTGTATAGAATGGCTGAATTGGCTCCTACAGGTATGTCCAACAGCAGTGGCAGTGAGGCACAGGGGCAGAAAGTGAAATATACATTAAACAACTAAAATGAGTTGCTGTCTGGTTACATCTCTACATCTTTGGTTGCTGCAGCAAGGACTGGAGTAAAGGTTAGTTGAGAGGGTATGAGTCAGAGTGCAAGAGGAATCTAATACATGTGCAGATCTGCCCCACACTTAGTCCATTCTGCCGTAGGGTCTTTGAGGTGTGTCCAGTATTTACCTCTCCAAAAGACTTGATAGACAAGGGTTTCTAGGATAAGCTGCAGCATCTACTGTGTAACTGGTCTCAGGGTCATAAATGATATGCATTATCTCTCTCCTATACCACCCACTCTCAATTTTCCCATTCTTGGCCAGTACTTCAGCAAATTTAGGTTATTGCCTGGTGGGGACTCAGATTTTCCTCCCCAAGAGGTATGATTTGTCAGTTGTGTTTAACTTATTGGGTCATGGTTCTAGTAATTGCCCATTTAGAATTGTCATTGGACATGCAAGTACTAAAATATGCGGTGGATCCCCTGAGTTCCAAACATACGCTTTCTTGTCTTTCTTGTGTAACTCAACCATAGCTCCTATACCTCCCTGCCAATACGGTAATTACTATGTTTGTCTATTGGTCCACTAACATGAGAAGCTCAAAAATGACCAAGTGGTGGTCATAGCTTCCAGTACAGTGGGACCCTTGCTGTGTCTCCTGGAAGAAGCATCCCTTCTACCCCATAGTAGGAACTAGGATTCCTATGCAGCAGTACCTAAATTGTCTTGCAGCTCTCCCTGAATTAGTCTGGGAGTTCTTTGAATATAGGAACTGTATTTATCTTCCCATTGGACACATAGAAGCCAGTCAACAGTTATATGAATGAAAGATTATATTTGCCAGAAACGGGGAAAAATGTATATGTAACACTGATTTTTTCCCTCATAAAATCTTATTTATGGATTTTATGCTGTTTCTTATTGCATATGACTCAATTCTGCAATAGATAAACCATATCTGTACCATTAATATGCCATAGTTCAAAACCTTTAAGCAAATGCTGTTGTTTATTTTAGCTCCCAAATATAAAATAAACTTACAAAGAACATTCCATTTCAATTATTAGCAATTTTTGAGTGGTAAAATGAAAAAGAGGTTAAAATATCAATATTACAAAAGTGTTGCCTTTCTACAATAACTTGAGCTTTCAGCTAAAATGAGTAGCATTTAGAATTTCTCTGATTATATTTGCCTGAATTATTAAAAAAAGAAAGATAATAATTTGAAATGCAAAATGCTTTATATGGTTCCTAGGAGAAGAAAAGACATTATTTGTGGGTTCTTTTACCCTAGCTATTTTTTTTTTTTTTGAGAGTCAGTCTTACTCTGTCACCCAGGCTGGAGTGCAGTGGTGCGATCTCAGCTCACTGCAACCTCTACCTCCAAGATTCAAATGATTTTCCTGCCTCAACCTCCTGAGTATACACTAGCTATTCTTAATTCTGAATAAGAGAATCTGCCTATAAAAGTGATTTTTAGTTAAACATTTAAGATATTTCTTCCATTCTATTTTAACATGTAGAGTAAAAGCATTATAAATAAGGATTCCTACTAAAGGTCTGGTGTTTCTACACTATTATTTAAAATGACTCAAATGTGTGAATGAAAATAAGATTATCTCCTTATAAGATCAAGAAGAGAAGTTGGCAAGCAATTAGAAGTGCTCAATATTATTCTATAGGTAATGTAATGTGTGTGTGTAGTTTTGTCTTCTTTCTTTATATGTAATATTTCTGCGGCAAATAAGTAGTTTTAAGTTACATACAGCTTCATATGTCTAAGCCATTTGATAAAATGGTCTCCAACTTTTTCTACCAAAAATAGATTAACATTCCAGTTTTGTTTTTAAGAGATGATGAGTGATAAAATGGCTTGAGGGCTTTGCAGGAAGCCGTTTATAAATTAAGCTAAAGGTCTTGTCTACCTGTACAAACTTGTTTAGCTTTTGGTTGAAGAAACTGAAGAGCAGATAAATACTTTGTAAGCAACTTTTACTATAAATTTGTAGCATGTGAATTCTTCCTTTTTCTTCTGACTCATTTCTGAGGCCAAAACTAAAGTAACTTCTGCTATGGTTTGAATATGTCTCCCAAAGTTTATGTGTTGGAAATTTAAACCCCAGTGCAACAGTGTTGAGAGGTGGGATCTTTAAGAGGTAATTATCAGCTGGGCGTAGTGACTCATGCCTGTAATCCCAGCACTTTGGGAGGTTGAAGCAGGAGGACTGCTTGAGGCCAGGAGTTTGAGACCAGCTTGGACAATATAGCAAAACCCTGTCTGTAAAAAAAAAAAAAAATTAATAAAATTAATTAGCCAGGCATGGTGGTGCGTGCCTATAGTCTTAGCTACTTGGGAGGCTGAGGTGGATAACTTGAGCCCAGGAGTTCAAATCTCTGTCCATTTAAAATTACCCAACAGATATTCTGTTATAGCAGCACAAAGTTTGAGGCAGATATTTTTGAGTTTAAAACACTATCTGTCACTGGGCACAGTGCTCACGCCTGTAATCCCAGCACTTTGGGAAGCCAAGGTGGGTGAATCACTTGAGATCAGGAGTTCGAGACCACCCTGTCCAACGTGGTGAAACCCCATCTCTACTAAAAATACAAAATTAGCTGGGCATGGCGGCACATGCCTGTAATCCCAGCTACTCGGGAGGGTGAGGCAGGAGAATCGCTTGAACCCAGGAGGTGGAGGTTGCAGTGAGTCAAGATCACGCCGTTGCCTTCCAGCCTGGGCAACAGCTGGGACTACAGGCGTGTGCCACCACATCCAGCTAATTTTTTGTATTTTTAGTAGAAATGGGGTTTCACCATGTTGGCCAGAATGGTCTCGATCTCTTGACCTTGTGATCCACCTCCTCAGCCTCCCAAAGTGCTGGGATTACAGGCGTGAGCTACCGCGCCCAGCCAACACCCTTATTCTTAAAGGGGTGTACAACCAGGGTTTCTTTGTTGTTTATTTTTTTTCTGCCCATTTCTCCCCACATAATCCCTAGCTTCCTGTCATCCTTTTCCTTTCTTTTCTCCACCCTCCATTCCCTCACTGAATATACCAGGAACTCCAATATCTTCTTTCCTTAAACTGCAGAACAATTCAACTCTTCAATCCCAAATTTAGCTCTAGGCTCATTTTGCATACCTAAACCTATCAAGGTATTCAGCAGAACAAAAGGGACTTTCTTATAACAGAATGCACCCTCTTTAGAAGAGAACTGTCCTTATAAGTTAGCAATTTTAAACATTCTTCATTTTTTTTTTTTTTTTTTTGAGACGGAGTCTTGCTCTGTCGCCCAGGCTGGAGTGCAGTGGCGGGATCTCGGCTCACTGCAAGCTCCGCCTCCCGGGTTCACGCCATTCTCCTGCCTCAGCCTCCCAAGTAGCTGGGACTACAGGCGCCCGCCACTACGCCCGGCTAATTTTTTGTATTTTTAGTAGAGACGGGGTTTCACCGTTTTAGCCGGGATGGTCTCGATCTCCTGACCTCGTGATCCGCCCGCCTCGGCCTCCCAAAGTGCTGGGATTACAGGCGTGAGCCACCGCGCCCGGCCTCTTCATTTTTTTTAATTTTTTTATTTTTTTACAATGTTTCCCATTTTTATTTTTTCCTTCCACATTTAACTATTAAAAAAGTTTGTTATTAATAAATGGGCTTCTCTGTGGTTCATATACAATCATAAGTGAACTTTAAATTCCATTTTATACAAACATCTCCAAAAATATTGGGAGTGAAGTATGGTAGGAAATATTGCTTACATTGCTAATTAACATGCATATATGAAGGAGGAAAATGTTTTGTTAATGCATATACCTCCAGAGCAGAAAACCCACCCAAAACAAAAGATCTAAAATAAAACATACAGTAGCTGATTACAAAAAAAGGTAATGTCCACAAAATTAAGTTTTTCATGCTATTCTACTTTCTAGTACTATGCTTCAGGTAATCAATTTGCATGGCTAGATGTTGGATACTTGAGGTATATAAGAAGGGAAACCTGCATGTTGAGGAAAATCTGTCATCTTAAGGGTTGTTTCTTTTTGTTTGTTTATTCTGGTACTTTAACATTTTTAAAAGATATTTTATTTACATCAAAATTCACTGAACTACAATGACATTCCAATTATAATAGATGACAAACAACGCCTCTATCACTAGGCACTTTTAAAAGGGAGTTCAGGCTTTACAGAACCCTTCTGATGCAATCCCATGTATGATATGACATCATCCCACCACCCTCCTCCAACTAAAATTACCCTCTGGGGAAATATTACCTTATATAGCCTGATTAATTTACTATGGAAGAAATTAGCATAAAATGACTAAAGTAAATGCATCATTTAAGACTAATAAAACAGTTTAAGATGTCAGGTTTGAAAGAGGAGACAAATTGTGTATATTTAAAACTAATTAAATAATTTAAATTTAACCTGTACTTTATATATTAGTGAGACACAAATATAGGCTATTGTCTTTTAAAATTTCATTCACATAATGGAAAATTTCTTGTTTATTAAAAATATCACATTTTGAGACTAGAAACAGTAAAGTGCATGAAAAGTTTAAAATATAAATTTCAGAAAACTCTTATAGCAGCAAAAAAGCAGAATAAAGAAAAACTTAAAAACACAGACACAACCTTTTCCTGTTACTGTGCCATAATTAACATCAAGTAGCCAACAAATTTTTCCCCAGAAAACAGTATTCTGTTCACTGCCTCTTGAGTCACAGATTTTCAACTGGCTCCTCCTAGGCAAAAAAAAGATTCCAACATACCTAAAGGCATCAACAATTGGGAATAAACCAGTAGCTTCTTAATTAAACCCTGACAGACAACTGAAACAAAGATTAAAAGCATATGATGGCCATTTGGCAGCTAGAGTCAGGAAAATGACCCAACGTTTTCAACTACTGCCCCAAATTTGTTCTCTCTCCCAAATCCTTTGCACTGTCATCTCAAAAAACCAACAGCCACATAATCTGTGTTGGAAACACATAAAATATCTGTATGATTTTCCCCATCTGAAACTCTGATCAAGGCCTTTTTATTCAGCAGATTTTTTTCTTCTTTTAACATTTGACTATAATGGCAAAAATGATATAGGTCATATAACATCTGTTTTCCTGGCACAACCAGACAGAAGGTTGAATTGGAATAAGGAAAAATTCATTCTGTGGGCATCCTAAACGTACCGCATTCTATTTTCAAGGTATGTGGCAATACAGATTACTTACTCTTTCTCTATAAATAAACTTGAGAGACAGGCTTAGAATTAATACTTCCAATAAGGTTATATAGAGAGGACAAAAAAACCAAAGTGATTCCTCAAAAAAACTCCAAACCAGCATTTGGCCAACAAATTGTCATGTGGTGTTACATGCTTGATTATGAAAGCATACTGTGCAACCATCTTTAACTTTTCAAATTTTCTTTCCATGTATAGAGGCTATATCATAGTTTATGTACTGAACAAGTAAATTTAAGTACTCTGTTAATGTGCAAATGACTTGGGAATCCAAAAGTCAGTTATAAAGGAAAAATTCAAGGTTTTCCCTGGAAGGCATATCATCATTCAGTTTAAAATACTGTATTTATAGTTTTTAAAAATTGCCTTTTATAAAATGGTTGGCTCACTGAAACCATTCAAAAGAAAGTATTTGTTTTGGAAAAACAAATACACTGTTGTTGGGCCTCAAATTGGTAATTTATCAATTTTGAATGCTGGCTGTTAATACAATATAAAGAAGGTCCAATTTAAAAACATGTTAAATTAAAATTTTGGAAAGAGAGTAATACTTTGGTTCCAGCCCTACTGCCAAATGATACCAATATGCACAAAAATGTACAAAGTCTTACAGCAAACACATAAAGAAAGAAACGTGAAGAAGCAGCTTAAGGATGGCCATACTTCACTCCTACATACTTTGATTTACAACTGTACAGGTCCATAGCAACAGATCCCCGTCTTGGCGGGGCAGTACTCCACCACCTCCGATTAGGCAAGTGAACACCATTGACAAGAGGCAGGAGTGGAGGGTGGAGTTCAAGTTGTGTTAACAGTGAGAAGTGGTCTGAAGGGATGTGAGGGTGTGGACACCCAGTGATGTTGTTCTCAACCAGCCATTGAGGATCTAAAGGCCCCAGGACACCAAGCACATTCATATGAGTCTTGGAATAGAAAATGTAGTCAATCACGCCTTTGAAATCAAAGGTGTAATTGGTGTAAGGCATCAAGTTATTTTCGTAGGCGCTCTTAAGTTGGAAGCCATGTGTGATTCTCCCTTCTGAGCTTCCATTCTTTCCATTGCAGCTGAAGTTCATAAGACACTTATTGTACCTTAGTTCCTTGAAGTCTTTATGGTTGTCAGCTATTCCTCCATTGCTTAAGTATTCCACAACACCTGAATCTGGCAATGAGTTAAGATCTGCACATAGCACCAGCGGGATGGAATTAGGATCTGCAGTTGGGCTGCCAGACCTACTAGAGGCTTTCTCCAGAATGGTTTTAACCTCTGAGACAAACATCATGGTCTGGATGAGCTTCACATCAGAATACTCTGGGTCCCAATGCATGTGGGCATTTGCCACTATAAGCAGCTGTTTGTCTGCAGCATGAATAGGCTTCATACCTGCTCCAAATAGTTCTTTGTGGACCTCTAATACCACAGTGACACCAATGTTATCTTTTGTCATCACTCTGTTCAGCATAGCTTCGGATCCATCTGAATTAGCCATTGCCACTTGGTTAAATTCCACTGCATGCTTCTGCACCAATGTAAATTTTTCTCTTTTGAAAAATATTGCACAACCATCTACATGCTTTCTCTCCTGCTCAGACATGATTTTGGCACGTGACTTTGGAGAAAAAAATCCATCATATTCACGCTCCTTCAATGCTGGCAGAAAGAGAGTGAAGTATTGCTCTGTTTCCACTTCCTGAAGACTAATGATATCTGCGTCACAGTTAACAATTTCTTCCATAATTCCCTTTTTCCTGTATTCCAAGTTTAATGCCCAGGATGGGCAATAACCATATAGCTGCCGGGTAGCGTATTTATCACATAACACATTGTAACAGATAACCGTGAATGATGCTGATGGCAGAATTTGGTCTCGTTCTTTTAATGTAATCCATGGCCTCGGAGGAAGCTGCTCTGGATGAACTGCGAGATTGTCAAGCATGAAGTTCAGTAGATTTCGGGTTCCATCTGGGTCCTGGTATAAGTTGAGAATATCCTGTGATAAAGGATTGCCTTTCAAACCTAGAGTTTGTAGCTGGAAGAGCCCACCAAGTTCATAAGGCAAAACCCGTAACAAGCAATTCCCCGAGATTTCTAATTCTGCCCAGTGAGATTTTTTCCCATTGGCTACCTCCTCTGCTGACATGATGGTATAAATTCTGCGAGGATCTGGAGGATCATATTTTTCCTTTGGCATCCCTGTTAGTCTGCATTCAGCGCGCCAGGATCCGGGCGGCGGCGGCGGCGGTGGCGATGGGGCGGCTGGTGCTGGTGCTGCGGCGGCTGGTGCTGGTGCTGCCGCGGCTGGTGCTGGTGCTGCGGCGGCGGGGGAGGCGGCGGCGGCGGGGGAGGCGGCGGCGGCGGGGGAGGCGGCGGCGGCGGGGGAGGCGGCGGCGGCGGGGGAGGCGGCGGCGGCGGGGGAGGCGGGGCTGAGGGCAGCAAAGACATCAACATTCTTCTTTAAACATTCTAGCGTTTTTGGTTGCACTAAGGATATTAAGGATCATGTTTGATCAGTGTGCCCTAGAGGAGTAATTGGCAAGAGACCCCCAGTCTGGATGCTCTTGCCACTGTGGATATGATTCTTTTAATTCTGATCTTAGACCTGGATTTTATTGCTATTAAGTCTGAAGGCATTCCCTTGTAGTACAGATGCCAGTTATATTAATTTCTTGCTTACAGTCAAACATTCCATTGTACTCAACTAGGGTTCTATCATGTATAAGGGAAACACATTTTTTTCTGCCACTTTACATATAAGGTATTTGTCTTTTTTATAAAAGGCAGTACTGGTGGCTCATGCCTGTAATCCCAGCACTTTGGGAGGCTGAGGAGAGCGAATCATGAGGTCAAGAGTTCAAGACCAGCTTGACCAACATGGTGAAACCCTGTCTCTACTAAAAATACAAAAAATTAGCTGGGTGTAGTGACAGGCGCCTGTAATCCCAGCTACTCAGGAGGCTGAGGCAGGAGAATCACTTGAACCTGGGAGGCGGAGGTTGCAGTGAGCCAAGATCGCGCCACTGCACTCCAGCCTGGGCAACAGAATGAGATTCTGTCTCAAAAAAAAAAAGCAGTGCTGTTTACCTCAAGAATAATGTCAATTTCTTCCTGAATCTCAAGTGGATGTCAGTAAGAAACTAATTATTATTATTTTGGGGGAGATTTTTATTGTAAGGATCAAGAGAATAAAAAAAAAAGAACCAGTTCTCAGGAAGGAGAGAAACTGGAAAAGCTCTCAGGGCCTCAGAAGGGGGAACTCACAGACAATCTTAGGGGCCACCCTTGGGATAACTTGGCACTAACTGCCTTGTCTCCATGTGACTCTGCTAGAGATTTTATTTTATAAACATTTTATTTTACTTTATTTATTTGAGACAGGATCTCACTCTGTAGCCCAGGCTGGAGTGCAGTGGCACGATCTTGGCTCACTGCAATCTCTGCCTCCCAGGCTCAGGCAATTCTCCTACCTCAGCCTCCCAAGTAGCTGGGATTACAGGCAGATGCCACCACACCTGTCTAATTTTTGTATTTTTAGTAGAGATGGGGTTTCGCCATGTTGCCCAGGCTGGCCTCAAACTCCTCTGAGCTCAGGGGATCCTCTGTCTCAGCCTCCCAAAGTGGTGGGATTACAGGTGTGAGCCACTGCGCCCGCCATTAAAAATATTTCAAATTGAAGTACAACACACAAAAACTGAACAGGTCTTAAGTATACAGCTGAAGGAACTTTTGCCAAGTGAACGCACATACTAACTGGCACCCAGATTAAGACTCAGAACATTGTCCATGCCCCAGAGTCTTCATGTCATCTACTAGTCATTGCCTCCCACAAGTATTCACTATTCTGACTTCTATCACAAATTTATTTTGCTTATTTTTGAACTTTATTGAAATGAAACCATACAGTATGCTTTAATGTCTGCCTTCCTTTGCTCAACATTATGCCTGTGCAATTGTCATGCCAGACTCCCATTGACCCCAATAGGGATGGCATCCTGAGAGGCTGAAGAAGTGATGTGGAGACAGCAACTGAGACATAGGGTTTATTGGAAGAAATTATACACAGGGATGGTCCAGTGGCAGCGGCTGGACAGGAGAACCACTCCCGTTTGTAAAAAGCATGCAGTTTTTATAGCATTTTTGCTTAGCACCCTCCATCTAGCAACCTCTACCTAGCAGTTTTCATTTAACCCAAAACAAAGGGCCTCAATCCCATGTACAGCCTGCATTCCGAGGGATGGACTAGGGGTTCAGATGTCCTTCATAGATAAGGAGGGAAACTCTGGGTTGACCACTCCCAGGTTCCTTAGCTCAGAACTCTGAACACACATTCCTCTTAGACCATAGGTTCATTCTTAAGGGTATACTTAAATTATTGCTGTCAGGTGCATCTGTCATACAGCAATGTATCCTACTGTTGCATACAACAGTAACTTGTTCTGATTGTTATACAGTATTTCACTCTATGAATACTATACCCTTGATATACATTTGGGTTGTTGCCAATTTGGAGATATTATAAACAAAGCTACAAATGAACGTTCTTGCACATGTCTTTTGGGTCACCCATGTTTTCATTCACCAAGAGTGGAATTGCTGGGGGATAAGGTAAACGCATATTCAGATTTAGTAGACTGTTGCCAAATGGCTTTCCAAAGTGGCTATGCCAATGTACATTCCCAACAGCAGATGATTACTTTCAGTTGTTCCAGATCCTTGCTAACATGTGGTATTGTCATTTTAAAATTTTGTATCCTTTCTGATACGTGAGTAGTGCTATCTCATTGTGTGCATTTCCCTGATGACTAATGATAGAGCACCTTCTCCTCATATGTTCATTGAACAATTAAATATCCTCCTTTGTGAAGTGCCTATTTAAGTATTTTGCCTGTCTTCTTATTGGGTTGTCTGTCTTTACATTATTTAGTCCTTTATTAGAATTCACACCTAAAATTTAAATTTCCAGAAAAGCCTGGGCACGGTGGCTCATGCCTGTAATCCCAGCACTTTGTGAGGCAGAGGTGGGCAGATCACTTGAGTCCTGGAGTTTGAGACCAGCCTGGGCAACATGGCAAAACTCTGTCTCTACAAAAACTACAAAAATTAGCCAGGCGTGGTGGTGTGTACCTGTAGTCCCAGCTACCTAAGAGGCTGAGGTGGGAGGATCACCTGAGCCCAGCAGCCATGATCACACCACTGCACTCCAGCCTGAGTGACAGAATGAGACCCTGGCTCAAAAAAAAAATGAAAAAAGAAATGTTAAGTTATCCTAAAAAGCTCTCTGGTTCTTAATAATTCTAAAATTGTTTCCCTGCAATATTATTATCAAATAAGAATCAGGAGTAATTTTGGTTAAATTACTCCTGATAAATATGTAACACAAAACATATAAATATGTTACATAACAGATAAATATGTTTGGTAGAATATAACATATTTTTATTCCAACAAATATAATCTAGTATTCTATGTGTTTTATTAAAATCTTATATTAATGTAGTAACAGTATTTTTCATTAATTGATATGGTTAGGCTGCATCCCCACCCAAATCTCATCTTGAATTGTAGTTCCCGTAATCCCCACATATTGTGGGAGGGACCCGGTGGGAGGTAATTTAATCATGGGGGCAGTTACCCTCATGCTGTTCTCGTGATGGTGAGTGAGTTCTCATGAGATCTGATGGTTTTATAAGGGGATTTTCCCCCTTTTGCTTGGCATTTCTCCTTGCTGTTGCCATGTGAAGAAGGACACGTTTGCTTCCTCTTCTGCCATGATTGTGTTTCCTGAGGCCTCCCCAGTCCTGTGAAACATTGAATCAATTAAACCTCTTTCCTTTATAAATTACCCAGGCCAGGTGTGGTGGCTCATGCCTGTAATCCCAGCACTTTGGGACGCCGAGGTCAGGGATCACCTGAGGTCAGGAGTTTGAGAACAGCCTGGTCAACATGGTGAAACCCCATCTCTACTAAAAATAAAAAATTAGCCGTGCGCGGTAGTGGGTGCCTGTAATCCCAGCTACTCGGGAGGCTGAGGCGGGAGAATCGCTTGAACCCGGGAGGCAGAGGTTGCAGTGAGCCGAGATCACGCCATTGCACTCCAGCCTGGGCAACAACAGCAAAACTCTGTATCAAAAAAAAAAAATTTACCCAGTCTCAATATGCAATCTCTGCCTCCCAGGTTCAAGCGATTCTCCTGCCTCAGCCTCCCAAGTAGCTGGGATTACAGGCGCCTGCCACCATGCCTGGCTAATTTTTTGTATTTTTAGTAGAGACGGGGTTTCACCATGTTGGCCAGGATGGTTTTGATCTCTTGACCTCGTGATCCGCCCGCCTCAGCCTCCCAAAGTGCTTGGATTACAGGCGTGAACCACTGTGCCCGGCTAGCACTATTCTTTTAAAAATTAATATATTATAAATAAGGCTAAAGTCATTTTTTATTTGAATTCCCCAAATCCTAGTACCCTCCCCTGTGCCAGAAGTAGCCGTTGTTTTAAGTTTGATGTGCACAATTCACTACAGTAAACAGTATATACATTGTTCTACAACTTGCTTTTTCCCTTCCACACTTTGTCTTGTTATGCTGTGTTGCATACTCATCTAATTAATACATTTCAGCAGCTTTAAGAAAAAATACAATATCAATATAGCACAATTTATTAAAGCTATTCCCCTATGGATGTCAATTGGGTTGTATAGAGTTTACATTGTTTCATGTGACTTTTTCACATAATAGGGAAGACATTTCTATACACAAAATTGATCAAAAAAGCTCAATGTTTAACACAGAGAAAAAAATTACATTTGCAGTCAATACTTTTGTATCTATTCTGCAATAAAAACTTTTATATCCTTTGGCATCACCTAAAACATATGGTGAGGGAATGCCCTCTTATTCTAAAATTCTGTGATTCTCTAAGTATTCCCAATAGGCTATGCCAAGTTGTTTTTTGTTTTCTTATCATACACTGGATAGGTAGTGGGTTTTGTTTATTTGTTTGAAATAGGCCGGGCGCGGTGGCTCAAGCCTGTAATCTCAGCACTTTGGGAGGCCGAGGCGGGCGGATCATGAGGTTAGGAGATCGAGACCATCCTGGCTAACACGGTGAAACCCCGTCTCTACTAAAAATACAGAAAATTTGCTGGGCATGGTGGCGGGCGCCTGTAGTCCCAGCTACTCGTGAGGCTGAGGCAGGAAGGAGAATGGTGTGAACCCGGGAGGCGGAGCTTGCAGTGAGGTGAGACTGCGCCACTGCACTCCAGCCTGGGTGACAGAGTGAGACTCCATCTCAAAAAAAAAAAAAAAAAAAAGAATAAGGGTGTTTAACATTAAATTTCTTGGCATTTTTACAATATAAGTCCCTTATCTGTCCCCAAAATATTTGATCACATTTATTAAACATAAATATCTCTTTCATGTATGTGTGGATCTTGAATAGAAGGGTATGTTTCATGTAAAGGTTGGTATGATGTTCAACAGACAGCATAGAGTTCAATATACACTAGAGAGTGAGATGACCCATAAACTGAACCAGAGCTAGTAGTAATGAACATATAAACATGAGCACATGTAGAGTTCAAAGAAATCTGAGGGATTGCTTTGAATTTCTCTAGAGCCTGGAATAATCATTAAAGTCACTCTCAGTATAATCTCATGGGCAAGGAAAACTTCAATTGCTCATGGTGTACACAAGTCTTTACTGGGTTAGGTGCAGTGGTTCAAACCTGTAATCCCAGCATTTTGGGAGGCCAAGACAGGAGGATCACTTGAGCCCAGGAATTTGAGACCAGCCTGGGCAACATAGTAAGACCTCATCTCTACAAATAATTTTTTTAAGATTACCTGACTGTGGTGGTGTGCATCTGTAGTCCCAGCTACTCAGGTGAGGTGGGAGGAGTGGTTGAGCTCAGAGGTCAAGGCTGCAGTGAGCTGTGATGGCAACACTATACCCCAGCCTGGGCAACAGGGTAAGACCCTGTCTCCAAAAAAAAAAAAAAAAGACTTTACTAAAGGCTAGGCAATAACGAATAACCAAAGGGAAATAAACACAACATGTAACACCAAACTAGATTGTCTGGTTGTTACATGACTGTAATAGGTCTGTTGCCTGATGTGCATGGTAAGCCAATTTGCCAAGACACCAGGTTGCAGCAAAGAAAGAGTTTTAATTGTAGGGCTGCCATATGAGGAGATGGAAGGAAACTTCAAACTCCCTGAGGAGTTTGGGGCTAGAGTTTATAAGGGTTTTGGAGTGAGCCAAGGAGTGACGATTGTTGCTTGGTTGAAGAGTACAAGATGAAGTCATGGTACAAGATGAAGAAATGATATTCTCATGTTGATGCTGATTGAGTTACCCTATGAGGGTCTTGAACTGCTTGGCATCAGCTGTTCTGCTGGAATTCAGGATCTGCTTAAGCAATTCTTAAAGTGTTAGGACTCTAATGTCAGAAATCATATCTATCTTAAACAAAAGCTGTATGATTCTAGGGCCAGGAATCCTATTTATAGGTATAATGGGGGTGCAGATGGCCAGTATCTAGTGTGATATGACTTTCAGTAACAAGGAAGTGGGTCAACATGCAGACTGATTACCGCTTGATTATAATTATTTCTGTCCAGATTTCTTGTAAAGCCCCTGAGGGTGGTATATTAGTCTGTTTTCATGCTGCTGATAAAGACATGCCTGAGACTGGGAAGAAAAAGAGGTTTAATTGGACTTACACTTCCACATGGCTGGGGAGGCCTCAGAATCATGGCACGAGGTGAAAGGCACTTCTTACATGGTGGGAGTAAGACAAAAAATGAGGAAAAAGCAAAAGCGGAAACCCTGATAAACCCATTAGATCTCATGAGACTTATTCACTATCATGAGAATAGCACTGGAAAGACCAGCCCCCATGATTCAATTACCTCCTCCCACTGGGTCCCTCCCACAATATGTGGGAATTCTGGGAAATAAAATTCAAGTTGAGATTTGGGTGGGGACACAGCCAAACCATATCATTCCACCCCTGGCCCCTCCAAATCTCATGTCCTCACATTTCAAAACCAATCATGCCTTCCCAACAGTCCCCCAAACTTAACTTATTTCAGCATTAACCCAAAAGTCCACAGTCCAAAGTCTCATCTGAGACAAGGCAAGTAAGTCCTTTCCGCCTATGAGCCTGGAAAATCAAAAGCAAGCTAGTTACTTCCTGAATACAATGGGGGTACAGGTATTGGGTAAATACAGCCATTCCAAATGGAAGAAATTGGCCAAAACAAAGGGATTACAGGGCCCATGCAAGTCTGAAATCCAGTGGGGCAGTCAAATTTTAAAGCTCCAAAATGATCTCCTTTGACTCCAGGTCTCACATTGAGGTCATGCTGATGCAAGAGGTGGGCTCCCATGGTCTTGGGCAGCTCTGCCCCTGTAGCTTTTCAGGGTACAGCCTCCCTCCTGGCTGCTTTCACAGGCTGGCATTGAGTGTCTGCAGCTTTTCCAGGTGCACAGTGCAATCTGTCAGTGGATCTACCATTCTGGGGTCTGGAGGATGGTGGCCCTCTTCTCACAGCTCCACTAGGCAGTGCCCCAGTAGGGACTCTGTGTGGGGGCTCCAACCCCACATTTTCCTTCTGCACTGCCCTAGTAGAGGTTCTCCATGAGAGCCCCACCCCTGCAGCAAACTTCTGCCTGGGCGTCCAGGCATTTCCATACATCTTCTGAAATCTAGGCAGAGGTTCTCAAACCTCAATTCTTGACGTCTGTGAACCCGCACGCTCAAAACCATGTGGAAGCTGCTAAGGCTTGAGGCTTTCACCCTCTGAAGCCACAGACCAAGCTCTGTGTTGGCCCCTTTCAGCAATGTCTGGAGCAGCTGGGACACAGAGCACCAAGTCCCTAGGCTGCAACACAGCACAGAGACCCTGGGTCTGGCCCACTAAACCATTTTTCCCTCCTGGGCCTCCGGGCCTGTGATGGGAGGGGCTGCTGTGAAGTCTCTGACATCAACTGAGAGACATTTTCCTCATGATCTTGGGGATTAACATGAAGCTCTGTGCTACTTATGCAAATTTCTGCAGCTGGCTTGAATTTCTCCTCAAAAAAAAAATGGGTTTTTCTTTTCTGCATTGTCAGGCTGCAAATTTCCTGAACTTCTATGCTCTGTTTCTGTTTTAAAACAGAATGCTTTTAACAGCACCCAAGTCACGTTTTGAATGCTTTGCTGCTTAGAAATTTCTTCCACCAGGTACCCTAAATCATCTCTCTCAATTTCAAAGTTCCACAAATCTCTAGGGCAGGGGCAAAATGCCACCAGTCTCTGCTAAAACATAACAAGAGTCACCTTTGCTCCAGTTCCAACAAGTTCCTCATCTCCATCTGAGACCACGTCAGCCTGGACCTTATTGTTCATATCACTATCAGCCTTTTTTTCAAAGCCATTCAACAAGTCTCTAGGAGGTTCCAAACTTTCCCACATTTTCCTGTCTTCTTCTGAGCCCTCCAAACTGTTCCAACCTCTTTGTGTTACCCAGTTCCAAAGTCGCTTCCACATTTTTAGGTGTCTTTTCAGCAATGCCACACACTACTGGTCCCAATTTACTGTATTAGTCCACTTTCATGCTGCTTATAAGACATACCCTAGACTGGAAAGAAAAAGATGTTTAATTGGACTTACAATTCCAAATGGCTGGGGAGGCCTCAGAATCATGGTGGGAGGTGAAAGGCACTTCTTACATGGCAGTGAAAAGAGAAAAAATGATGAAAAAGCAAAAGCGGAAACCCCTGATAAACCCATCATATCTCATGAGACTTATTCACTATCATGAGAATAGCATGGGAAAGACCAGCCCCCATGATTAAGTTACCTTCCCCTGGGTCCCTCCCACAACACATGGGAATTCTGGGAGATACAATTCAAGTTGAGACTTGGGTGGGGACACAGCCAAGCCATATCAGGTGGCTTCAATAACTTGCTCACCAGAGCTCCCAATCCGCCATCCAGTTGCATTCATCTTAGATGTATCACTTAGGGGACTGAACCTGGACACCTATTGTTTTAGTTAAGAGGCTTTCCACCTCAATTAACAGAAAACCAACTCCACTCCTTAAACAGTGAAGGTGGCTTATATAACCAAATGTCTTGATATATGCAGACTTCAGGTACCATATAGTCATTGCCGGACAGGTTCTTCCTCTCCACTGCACAGACAAAATCAATCCACTGAGATGGCAGCACTGCAGTAGAGAAAGAGTTTAATTGACATGAGGCAAGCCCATGAGGGAGAACTGGGCTCAAATCAGTCTCTGAAGATTTGGAGGTTGGGAGTTTTTAGGGAGTAGGTGCTGCTGATTGGTTGGGGATGAAATCGTAGGGGTGTGGAAAATAGTCCTCATGGGCTGAGTCTGCCTCTGGGTGGGGCCACAGGATTCATTGAGTCATGAGTTCAGGTGGAGTCCATCTGAAAAACATCTCAAACTAATTATAGGTTCTGTAATAGTGATGTTATATAGGAGCAATTGGGAAGGTCACAAATCTTGTGACCTCTGGTCACATGACTCCTGAGCAGTAAGGGATTAGAAACTATGCCTACATTTTAGCAGAGTTCAGCACCCTCTCATAATCCGAAGCTTGTGGCTTTTTATTCGTTTTACAGATGCAGTTTAGTTTTGGGAAGGGCTGTTATTATCCCTGCTTTAAGGTTAAACTATAAACTAAATTCTCCCCATGGTTAGCTTGGCCCACACCCAGGAAAGACCGAGGATAGCTTGGAGGTCAGAAGCAAGATGGAATCAACTATGTCAGATTTCTCTTACTGTCATAATTTTGCAAAGGCAGTTTCAACATAATCAAAGTTCTAGCCTGATTTTCTTGCAGTGTTTGCGAGTCCATTCTCCACGTGTAGGTTTTGTTCTCAGGCTGGCTTCCCTCAAGGACACAAATTAAGCAACAGGTTTCTTTGCTTACATTCAATATGGAACAGTGAGATCTACTTTCCATTATTATCACTCAAATATAAAGAACTTTCCCAAAAGCTATTAGTAGCTCAAATTTTATTGGCCAACACTGAGGTACATTCCCATTCCTAAACCATTTGCTGGCCAGGGATGAGATTACATGGTTAGTTTACCTTAACCAGTCCTTACTTTGTGAGCTGAGGATGGTGTTAGCTTTCCCTAATCCCAAAGGTTGGATAAGGATGGATACCAGAACAAAATTGGGGATCTATGAGAAGGAAGGTGTGGGAAATTGATTACAGGTAGGCACCAAGAATATCCACTATATATATATTTTTTCTACCTTCTTTAAATTCTCACATTATTATTCCCTTGATTTTTGTGGTCCAACTGCACTGGCTTTCTTTTGGATCATCAAACATGCCTTGCTCCTTGTCACCCTAAGATCTTTGTTCAGACTATTTTCTTAGCCTGGAATTCTCTTCTCCCACTCTCTTTCCTGGTAAAATGCTACTCACTTAAAAGTCATTTCTTTCATAAAGCCTTCCCTCAGCCCCTTACTACATTATGTGCCTCTTCTTCCAACTCAAACTAACTTAAGCAAAAGGAGAATACAGTCAGTTTTCATTACGTGCAGTAGTTATGTTCTATCAAGTTGCCATAAACACTGCATTAGTGAATACTGAACCATTACTCCCAGAAGACTTAAAAGGTTAGGTTCCAGGGAGCCTCCGGTCACAATATTCTCATCAATGGATCAATACATAACCTTGTTTTATGTGTGTTTTGGCTTAAAGACATCTCATTTAATGCGTATTGTTGATTCATTAACACTGAACTACCAACATGCTAACTCATGCCTGAACAAAGCTTATCTAACCCATATATTTTCTCTGTAAGGCACATCTCAGCCTAGTATTCAGGAACGCTAACCAAAACAGCACTTTAGCACTAAGCTCCAGGGCCATTTTAAACAGTGAAAACAACGAAAAGCACAAAATGTGAAAAACGTGGCACTAAATAGATTGCAAAAAGGACATTTGTTTACAGTGTGAGAGGTGAAGCAAGACAGCAGACGTCTTGTTGAACCTCAGCTGGAAACATGCACATCAGGTGACTCAAATTTTTCACTACTCTGTACATACATGTCAGTGAATGATTGTGAAAGCACTGTTGGGGCTCAGAAAACAATACCCCATAGTATGGCACTGTGGCATGCTGAGTGCTTTGAACTGAAGTTGAACCAAGGTCTCACTGACTTTCTCCTGTGCTCTTGTCTCTTGTCCTTCTCTCCTGAAGAGCAAGAGGGAGCTCTCTCTGAATTTCCCTTACTTGCCTAAAAATGGATCCTCCAAAAGGGACTCATTTGTCCCCTCTCTGCAATCTCATTAGCTAGGGAAGATTAATTATATCACAGGAGAGGAGACTAAAGGTTGGTACCTTGCCCAGATAGACTTTGTCAAAAGTTGCCACCTATTCTTCTTCTTCCTGTATTTTTTTTTTTTTTTTTTTGAGATAGGGTCTCATTCCTATCACCCAGGCTGGAGTGCAGTGGCACTATTGTGGCTTACTGCAGCCTTGAGCTCCCACGCTGAAGGGGTCCTCCTGCCTCAGCCTCTTGAGTAGCTGGGACCATGGCATGTGCCTCCACACCCAGCTATTTTTTTTTTCTTTTTTTGTAGGCATGTGGGGTTTTTCCATGTTGCCCAAGCTGATCTCAAACTTCTGACCTCAAGCGATCTGGCTGCCTCAGCCCCAAATGCTGGGATTACAGACATGAGCCACTGCCCCCAGCCCAACTGTTCTGAGGGTTGCTACTTGAGATATTTTCTCTGTATAACAAGACAACTTTGTTCACTATAAATTTCCTCCTCTCACCCTCTCATAACCTGTCACCACCTCCCCACAGAAGCCTCAAGCCCCTATTTCCTTCTATAGCTCAGGATGCTATAAAAACTTTGACCATCTACCCCTTCTTTGAATCTTATAATTTGTGAGGCTCCCACGTGCATGCACATAATAAAACTGTATGCCTTTTCTCTTGTTAATCTGTATGCTGTCAGTTTATTCCAGAGACTCAAATTATCAAACCTTCAGAAAGTAGGGGGAAGGTTTAAAACTCCCTTATAGTTTCAAGAGTATTAATCTGGGGGTTACAAATACGCTTTAGTAGGTAAGTAAATTTGCAAATACAGAATCCATGAATAATGAGTGTGGTGGTTAATATTAGGGGTCAACTTGATTGAAGGATGCCTACATAACTGGTAAAGTATTGTTTCTGGGTGTGTCTGTGAGGGTGTTGCCAGAGGAGATTAACATTTGAGTCAGCGGACTGGGAGAGGAAGACCCACCCTCCATGTGGGTGGGCACCATCCAATTGGCTGCCAGAGAGGCTAGAACGAAGCAAGCAGAGGAAGGTGGGATAAGCTGGCTTGCTGAGTTTTCTAACTTTCATCTTTTTCCCATGCTGGATGCTTCCTGCCGTTGGACATCAGACTCCAGGTTCTTCGGGGACTCTTGGACTTACACCAGCGTTTTGCCGGGGGCTCTGTCGGCTGCACTGTCAGTTTCCCTACTTTTGAGACTTTTGGACTCGGACTGAGCCACTACTGGCTTCCTTCTTTCTCAGCTTGGAGACAGCCTATCATGGACTTCGCATTGTGATCGTGTGAGTCAATTCTCCTTAAGAAACTCCCTTTCATGTATACATCTACATCCATCCTATTAGTTCTGTCCCCCTGGAGAACCCTGACTAATACAATAAGAATCAATTGTATGTTGCTGGATATACCTGGAAAGTCCAAGGAGGTAAATCTGATTCCAGGAATGACTAGATCTGAGAGTTTCAGGTCTCTCTTTTTTCCATCCCTCTGTTGTCTCTTCATGGCTTTGTTCTTGAAGAGGTTCTCTCTACTCAGCAGCACAACAGCTACCAGTAGTCCCAAGTCTATGTAATTCTTAGTTTACCCCCAAGCCCATAAGATAAACCCTTTATCTCCCAAGCTCTATGTATTTAATCTAAGAGAATAGTCTGATTGGGCTTTCTTGTACCCATTCCCTCATCTAGGGCAGGTGCAAGCGTGTTAGCCCCACCTGAACTGCATGAACAGACTCCTTACTGCGAAGAGGGGCGCTGTAATCAAAAGAAAGGAAAAGGAGCACAGTTGAATCTAATTAACAGCTGTTAATTATACCTGGCACATTTTTAGAATTCCGTGAAATGAAAAATGAACATTCTTTAAAAAATAATTTAGTTTTTCAACCATTGTCCACTCCCACCCCAAGTAGTCCTGTTTGTATTGTTGCCATCTGTGTGTCCATGAGTACCCAATATTTGGCTCACACTTATAAGTGAGAACGCGGTATTTGGCTTTCTGTTCCTGCGTTAATTCACTTAGGATAATGGCTACATCCATGCTGCTGCAAAGGACATGATTTCATTTTTTTTTATGACTCCGTAATGTTTCTGTTGTGTATGTACCACATTTTCTTTATCCCGTCCACCACTGATGGGCACCTAGGTTGATCCCATGTCTTTGTTATTGTGAATAGTGCTGCGATGAACATATAGATGCATATGTCTTTTGGTAGAATGATTTATTTTCTTTTAGATAGATACCCAGTAATGGGATTGCTGGGTCAAATGGTACTTTTGTTTTCAGTTTTTTGAGAAATCTCCAAACTGCTTTGCACACTGGCTGAACTAATTTACATTCTCATCAACAGTGTATACATGCTCCCTTTTCTCTGCAGCCTTGTCAGCATCTGTTATTTTTTGACTTTTTAAGAATAGCTATTCTGACTGGTATGATATGGTATTTTATTGTGATTTGATTTGCCTTTCTCTAATGATTAGTGATATGGAGCATTTTTTTCATGTATTTGTTGGCTGCTTGTGTTTTTTTTTTTTCTTTTTGGAGAAGTGTCTGTTCATGTCTTTTCTCCGTTTTTAATGGGGTTATTTGTTTTTGCTTGTTCAATTGTTTAAGTTACTTATAGATTCTGGATATTAGACCTTTGTCAGATGTGTAGTTTGCAAATGTTTTCTTCCATTCTGTAGGTTGTCCATATAATTTGTTAATAATTTATCTTGCTGTGTGGAAGCTCTTTAGTTTAATTAGGTCCCACTTGACAATTTTTGTTTTCGTTGCAATTGCTTTTGAGGACTTAGTCATAAATTATTTCCCAAGGCCAATGTCCCTAATGGTGTTTCCTAGGTTTTCTTCTAGTAGTCTTATAGTTTGAGGTCTTAAATTTAAATCTTAATCCATCTTGTAATAAGATAGGTGAAATGTAGGGGTTGAATTTCATTCTTCTGCATATTGCTAGGCAGTTATCCCAGCACCATTTATTGAATAGTAAGTCCTTTTTCCATTGCTTATTTTTGTCACCTTCGTCGAGATCAGATGGCTGTAGGTGTGCAGCTTCACTTCTGGATTCTGTATTCTGTTCCATTTATCTATGTGTCTGTTTTTGTTGTAGCCTTGTAGTATAGCTTGAAGTCAGGTAATGTGATGCCTCTGGCTTTGTTGTTTTTGCTTGGAATTGCTTTGGCTATTCAGACTCTTTTTTGGTTCCATATGAATTTTAGAATAGTTTTTTTCTAGTTCTGTGAAAGATGACATTGGTAGTTTGATAAGAATAGTGTTGAATATGTAGATTCCTTTGGCAGCATGGCCATTTTAACAATATTGATTCTTTTTCCATGTTTTGTTTTGTTTTTTCTTTTTTTTGAGATGGAATCTCCCTCTGTTGCTCAGGCTGGAGTGCAACCTCTGCCTCCCAGGTTCAAGTGATTCTCTTGCCTCACCCTACTGAGTAGCTGGGATTACAGGCATGTGCCACCATACCTGGCTGACTTTTGTATTTTTAGTAGAGATGGGGTTTTACCATATTGGCTATGCTGGTCTCAAACTCCTGACCTCAACTGATCTACCCGCCTCGGCCTCCCAAAGTGCTGGAATTACAGGCATGAGCCACCATGCCCAGTGATATTTATTCTTCTGATCCATGAGCATGGAGTGCATTTGTGTCATCTATGATTTCTTTGAGCAGTGTTTTGTAGATCTCCTTGTAATGATCTTTCATCTCCCTGTTTAGATGTATTCCTAGGTATTTTGTGTGTGTGTGGCTATTGTAAATGGGATTGTATTCTTGGTCTGGCTCTCAGCTTGAATGTTGGTATATAGAAATGCTAGTGATACTTGTACATTGATTTTGTATCCTGAAATTTTACTGAAGTCATCTATCAGTTCCCTGAGCCTTTTTGTAGTGTCTTTAGGGTTTTCTAGGTATAGAATCATATTGTCCGTGAAGACTGATATTTTGACTTATTTTCTGATTCGAATGCCTTTTATTTCTTTCCTTTGCCTGATTGCTCTGGCTAGCAATGTACTATGTTGAATAGGAGTGGTGAGAGTGGGCATCTTTGTGTTGTTCCAGCTCTTGAGGGAAATGCTTCCAGTATTTTTTGCCCATTCAGTATGATGTTGGCTGTGGGTTTTACATAGATGGCTCTTATTTTTGGAGGTATGCTCCTTAGATGCCTAGTTTCTTGAGGGTTTTTAGCAAGAAGCAATGTTGGGTTTTATTGAAAGCTTTTTCTGTGTTTATTGAGATGATCATATGGTTTTTGTTTTTAATTCTGTTTCTGTGGTCAATCACATTTCTTGAATCGTGTATGTTGAACCAACCTTGCATCCTAGGAATGAAGCCTACTTGATTGTGGTGAACTAACTTTTTGATGTGCTGTTGGATTTGGTTTGCTAGTATTTTGTTGAGGATTTTTGCATCTATGTTCATCAGGTATATTGGCCTGGAGTTTTTTTTTTTTTTCTGTTGTGTCTTTGGTAGGTTTTGGTATCAGGGTGATGCTGGCTTTGTAGAATTAGTTAGGGAGGAGTCCTTCCTCCTTGATTAAAAAAAAAATAGTTTCAGTAGAATTGGTATAAGCACTTTGTACATCTTGTAGAATTTGACTGAATCAATCTGGTCTAGGGATTTTTTGGTTGGTAGGTTTTTTGATACTGATTGAATGTCAGAACTTGATATTGGTCTGTTCTGAGTTTCAATTTCTACCTGATTTGATCTTGGGAGATTGTATGTTTCCAGGAATTCATCCATTTCCTCTAGATTTTATCCTTTGTGTGCATAGAGGTAGTCATAATAGTCTCTGAGCATCTTTTGTATTTCTGTGGGATCGTTTGTAATAACCATTGTCATTTCTGATTGTGCTTATTTGGATCTTCTCCTTTTTTTCTTCGCTAATCTAGCTAATGGTTTATCAATTTTGTTTATCCTTCGAAAAACCAACTTTTCGTTTTGTTGACTCCTTTTTTTTTTTCCCACACGGAGTCTCTCTCTGTTGCCCAGATTGAAGTGCAGTGGCGCAATCTCAGCTCACTGCAACCTCCGCCTCCCAGGTTCAAACAATTACTCTGCCTCAGCCTCCTGAGTAGCTCGGATTACAGGCATGCACTACCATGCCCAGCTAATTTTTGCATTTTTAGTAGAGATGGGGAGGGTGGCACTTCACCACATTGGCCAGGCTGATCTTGAACTCCTGACCTCAAGTGATCCATCAGCCTTGACCTCCCAAAGTGCTGGGATTACAGGCATGAGCCACTGGTCTCAATTTCACTTAGTTTTGCTCTGATTTTAGTTATTTTTCTGCTAGCTTGGGGATTAATTTGTTTTTGTTTTTCTAGTTCCTCTAGGTGTGATATTAGGTTGTCAATTTAAGATTTTTTCAAGCTTTTTGATGTAGGCATTTATTGCTAAAAATACTACTCTTACCACTGTTTTTGCTACATCCCAGAGATTTGTTATGTTGTGTCTCTAGTTTCATTTATTTCAAAGAATTTTTTGATTTCTGCTTTAATTTTATTGTTTATCCAAAAGTCATTCAGGAGCAAGTTATTTAATTTCCATGTAATTTTGTGGTTTTGAGAGATTTGGGTATTAATTTCTATTTCTATTCCACTGTGGTCTGAGAGTAAGGTTCCTATCTTTTTGAATTTACTGAGGCTTGCGTAAGTATATCTTGTTATTTTGCTACTGTCATTTGAAAGCGCACTCTAAAAAATATTATAAATATGGCAAAGCATATTGCCCTGCTCTGGCCCTGTTTCGTCCTCTTCTCTTCTAGAGGCAACCACAGCTTTTTTTAAATACAAATATATAACTTTTAGTGTATATGCATGTATCCATAAAGAATATATGAATTATTGTTTGTATTTCTAAATTAAACATAAATAGCATCATAGTTTATAGGTTCGTTTTCAACTTGCCTTTTAAAAGCATGTTTTGAACTATACAATCTGATACATGGAAATCGAGTTTTTTCATTTTATCTGTTTATTATTCTGTTGTATCATTGTGGGAAGTCAGGGACCCCGAATGGAGGGACCAGCTGAAGCCATGGCAGAAGAACATAAATTGTGAAGATTTCATGGACATTTATTAGTTGCCCAAATTAATACTTTTATAATTTTTTACGCCTGTCTTTACTGCAGTCTCTGAACATAAATTGTGAATATTTCATGGACATTTATCACTTCCCCAATCAATACTCTTGTGATTTCCTATGCCTGTCTTTAATCTCTTAATCCTGTCATCTTCATAAGCTGAGGATGAATGTCGCCTCAGGACCCTGTGATGATTGCATTAACTGCACAGATTGTTTAAACAATATGAAATCTGGGCACCTTGAAAAAGGAACAGTATAACAGTGATGTTCAGGGAACAAGGGAGATAACCATTAGGTCTGGCTGCCTGAGAGCCGGGAGGAACAGAGCCATATTTCTCTTCTTTCAAAAGCAAATAGGAGAAATATCACTGAATTCTTTTTCTCAGCAAGGAACATCCCTGAGAAGGAGAATGCATTCCCAAGGGGAATTCTCTAAAATGGCCGCTTTGGGAATGTCTGTCTTTTATGGTTGTAGATAAGGAATGAAATAAGCCCCAGTCTCACTTAGCGCTCCCAGGCTTATTAGGACGAGGAAATTCCCGCCTAATAAATTTTGGTCAGACCAGTTGTCTGCTCTCAAACCCTGTCTCCTGATAAGATGTTATCAATGACAATGCGTACCCAAAACTTCATTAGCAATTTTAATTTTGCCCTGGTTCTGTGATCTCGCCCTGCCTCCATTTGCCTTGTGATATTTTATTACCTTGTGAAGTATGTGATCTCTCTGACCCACACCCTATTCGTACACTCCCTCCCCTTTTGAAAATCACTAATAAAAACTTGCTGGTTTTGTGGCTTGGGGGGCATCATGGAACCTGCCGACATGTGGTGTCTTCCCCGACACCCAGCTTTAACATTTCTCTCTTTTGTACTCTTTCCCTTTATTTCTCAGACCAGACGACACTTAGGGAAAGTAGAAAAGAAACTACATGAAATACTGGGGCCTGGTTTCCCCCGATATTGTATGAATAAAAGAGAATTTATCCATTCCTCTACTAAGGGAGAGTTAGAATGATTTTGATTTTTTTTAAAATTTTTACTAAACTACTTAATTGCTATAGTTTTATAGTGCATGTTGACATCTGGATGTCTGGGTAGTGCAAGTCCCCTTCAATTCCCCTTCAAAATGTCTCTATTCTTAGGTCTTTACTATCTGAATCTTAGGATTACCTTTTCAGATTACATAAAACCCAGCCATGAGTTTGATTTTGATTGGAATTGTATTGCATATGCAGGTTAATTAGTGATGAACAACATGTTGATGAGGTTAAGTATTCCTACATAAGAACATGGCTGCCAGGTGTGGTGGCTCACACCTGTTATCCCAACACTTTGGAAGGTTGAGGCAGATGTATCACTTGAGGTCAAGAGTTCAAGACCAGCCTGGCCAACATAGTGAAACCCCCCTCTCTACTAAAAATACAAAAAATTAGCCAGGCGTGGTGGCATGCACCTGTAATCCCAGCTACTTGAGAGGCTGAGGCAGGAGAATCACTTGAACTCAGGAGGTGGAGGTTGCAGTGAACCGAGATCACGCCACTGCACTCCAGCCTGGGCAATAGAGTGAGACTCTGTCTCAAAAAAAAAAGAAACATGACAAACCTTTCCATTTACTTAGGGTTTCTTTAAACTTCAATCAATATCAGTAATAGAGTTTTTGCATATCTTTTGTTGGATTTATTCATAGCTATCTAACCAGCTTGGTTGCTTCTATGAGTGGGATCATTTCTCTTTAATATCATTTTCAGATTGTTTGCTGCTACACTGTGGAAATGTTTGCTGCTATTTTGTGGAAATGCAATGAATTTTGTATATTGCGCTTAAACCCACATTGCAGGACTCTTTCGTTAGTTATCATAGTTGTATTATCTTGGATTTTCTGTGTAGATAACCCTGTCATCCATGAATAGTTACCTTTTGCTCTTTCCTTCCAATCCTTATATTTTTTTCTTGTGTTACTACATTGAGTAGGTCTTTCATGACAATATTGAATAAGAATAGTGATGGTGGGCATCACTGTTTTCTTCTTGAGTTTGAACGTATTATTTCTACTATTTTGCCATTAAATATGGTGTTTACTATACATTTTTTATAACTATGTTTTACAAAGGCAAGCAATTTTCCTTCTATCCCAAGTTTGCCTAAGCTTTTTTTAAAACTTTGCCTAACTTGCCATCTTTAAATTTAGTAATTGGATTTAAATTTTTTTTTTTTGAGATGGAGTCTTGCTCTGTTGCCCAGGCTGGAGTGCAGTGGCGTGATCTCGGCTCACTGCAAGCTCTGCCTCCCAGGTTCATGCCATTCTCCTGCCTCAGCCTCCTGAGTAGCTGGTACTACAGGTGCCCGCCACCACGCCCGGCTAATGTTTTTTTGTATTTTTAGTAGAGATGGGGTTTCACTGGGTTAGCCAGAATGGTCTCGATCTCCTGACCTCGTGAGCCACCCGCCTTGGCCTCCCAAAGTGCTGGGATTATAGGTGTGAGCCACCGCACCTGGCCTAAAAAATATATTTTAAATATCCTTGAGAAATATCCCCCCCATCATTTGCTCATTTCCTATCAACCAAATCACAGACTGTTCAGTTGGCTAATAAGCATAGTACATCATTTCACTTGAGTCAATTAGTATTTTTTTCTGCATCTATAAGAGGATTATATTGTGCTTCTCCTTTAATCTGCTAATTTGGTAAACAACATTATTAGGTTCTCCTTGCATTCCTGATACAAACCCTATTTGATCTAGGGTAACTTATAATCATTTGTAATCACTCTCATAACACACATCTATTCTATTAAATCTCTTAGCAGATCCTATTGGCTCTTCCTTCCTTCAAAATATACTCTGCATCTGACAACTTCTAACCATCTCTGCTACCTGAATTTAAGTCATCATCCTCTGTTGCCTGGATTGAGTCACTGATCCCTTCCCAGTCTCTCTGCTTCCACACTTGCCTCTCTATAGTTGATTCTCAAATTGCAACTGTAATGATCCTTTAAAAATGTAAGTCTGATTATGCCCCTTCTCTACCTAAAACCTTCAGAAAAATTCCCATCTTCCTCCAAGTAAACACTACAGTCCTTTCAAGGGCCCACATCTCCTATAGCTCTTCCTGCTCCTGCTCACTCCAGGCACACTCCCACCTCAGGGCCTTTGCACTTGTTCATTCCTCTGCCTCTGCCTGGGTAGTTCTTTCTCACAGATGTCGACGTATATCCCTATGTTGACATAGTTTTGTCTACATATGTACTAATAGATCTCCACATATATACATGTCTACATGTAGATTTTATGAATATACGTATCTACATATAAACACATCTATATATGTAAACCTACACACATATGTCTACATATACCCCTCAATTCCCAGGTCTTTGCTCAAACATCACTTTCTGCATATTTCTGATAACACTATGTAAAACTACAGTCATGTTCCTCTGTTCCTTTACCTCCTTCCCTGCCTTATTTTTCTCCATAGCAGTGATTGCCATCTGACATACTGTGTATTTTGCTTATTTGTTTGTTGTGTTGATCCCTAGTTTGAATATTATCAGTAACTTTAAGGTGGCAGAGATGTTTGCCTGTTTTCTCCATTATATCCCTGGTATTTGTAACAGTGCCTGGCACAACCCAGTTACTCAGTAAATAATGAATGAATGAAGCGACTATTGTTTGATGCTCTGTTGGCCTCAAAATCTGCCTCCATCCCTCCTCATTGCTGGGTTCAGTTTATTAATATTTTATTTAGGATTTGGGGAGCTGTGTTTCTTACTGTGACTGGCTTATTGATTGAACATATTTTGTTTTGTTTTTTTTTCCTCATTTCCCCTCAACTGTTTAGGAAGTTATACATCTTATTTTTGTTTTTGTTTTTGAGACAGAGTCTCACTCTGTTGCACAAACTGGAGTGCAGTGATGTGATGTTAGCCCACTGCAGCCTCGACCTCCCAGGCCCAAGTAATCCTCCCACCTCAGCCTTCTGAGTAGCTGGGACTATAGGCACATGCCACCATGCCCAGCTAATTATAAATCTTATTTTTATTCCTTTGATAGTTACCTTTAATACATTAACATGTATTATATACTTAAAATACAAAAGTAACCATTTTTCTACTCTCATTCAGAATAACACAAGGACCCTGATATCAGGCCCTCCCACTTCACATGTTCTGGTTGCTGGTAACGTTGGTTCTACCTTGTAGATTGCTGATGTGACTCACATCCAAGGAGTGTCCTAGAAATATTATAACGTAGACACATTCCTTGACTCTTCCTCTCCTTTCTGCATTCTTGCATACTTTCTCCACCTGAGTAGAGTTTCATCTGAATATGTACAATCTGGTTTTAATGCCTGTAAACACTTTGCTATCAATACCTACTGTCTATCACTTAGTGTCTTGAAAAAATCTTACTAGCCTAGTCACAATAACCAGTATGACTTACAGTGTTACACCACCCAGGAGTATTTACATTTCACACATATCATAAATGAGGAAGCTTTAATAGAATACTTATTTATCTTGTCAAGGGCTCTCTTGCCACTCCTAAAAATATGTGATATGAAGCCTGGACAACATAGACACCATATTGACAAAATAAAAAATAAAAAACAACTGGACATGGTGGCACTTGCCTGTAGTCATAACTATTTGGGAGGCTGAGGCAAGAGGATTGCTTGAGCCCAAGCATTTGAGGCTGCAGTGAGCTATGATCATGCCACTGTACTCCAGCCAAGGCAACAGAGTAAAATCCTGTAGAAAAAAAAAAAAAAAGACAGGTGTTGCTAACTTCTTTTACACAGTGTTTTTGTTCCATCAATAAGAATCATGAAAAACTGATTTGACCTTCTCAAATTATTTTTCCCCTTTACTATTCTTACCCTTCACTGCTTTTCTCAGTAATATTCTTTCTGACATTTGCCAGCATTCAAAATATTCTCTATTATCTCTGCATTTGTAATACAATATGAAACCAATATATCTTGCCTTCTTAATTAATGTTGATATGAATTGTGTCAAACCTGCAAATATTTAATTCCAAACAGCTGAGCAGCAGCAGATGCTTCATTTTTGTACAATAATGTTTAAATATCTAATGTCCTAATTTTTTAAAACATTGCTTAAATATTTTGAGAAAACTGACACAATCTTAAAACTGCCTAAGCTAATTAAAAATGACACAGTGCTTAAAACTACCTAAGTTAATGATTAAAATTTAGTATTATTTTACTTATACTTTTTCATGTAGCATAAGCTATCTATTGATCATGTAAAGAGCACCCTAATATGTATTTATTTGTTTCTTGCTTTGTTTTTTGAGAATGGGTCTTGCTATGTTGCTCAGGCTGGATTGCAGGGGCTATTTATTCACAGGCGTAATCCCACTACTGATCAGCACAGGAGTTTTGACTTGCTTCATTTCTGACTTTGACTGGTTCACCCCTCCTTAGACAACCTGGTGATTTCCCTATACCCGGGAGGTCACCATATGATACCAAACTTAGTGTAGACCTCCGGTTGGTATAGCCTCCTATAGCCTGGAACTCCTGGGCTCAGGTGATTCACCTCAGCTTCCAAGTAGCCGTGACTATAGGTGCATGCCACTGCACCCAGCAAGCTTCCTAATATTAATCTAGAATAGTTCATTTGATATTTTTCAGATTTTTTCATCCTTGTATTGTTTCCATATTTTCTCCATTATGAATCAGTAGCTCTGTGTGGTTAACTTTTTGTTCTGTATTGAATTATTCCCCTTGAACATGTTTTTGAAAGTGAGATTGTGAGAATAAAAAAGTTCTGAATGGTTTTATGACTTTTGGGGCGACCACATTGATGCCCAGTTCCAGGAGGCACCCTTCATATAGGATGCAGCATAAATGGTGCTCCCTGGAATTCTGCAACAGAGCTGCCTTGTTGCTCCTGTGTCTGCTTTTCTCAGTGCCAGAAAAGTCTCATCATTTACTGTTAACGATGCCTATCTCCCCATACACTTCAAAACAGTTCAGTTTTAGCATTTTGTTTACTTTTGCCAAATTATAAAGTGTATAGAAGTATGCAAGATTTTAATTTGCATTATTTAATTAGTAAGTATTGGAATGTCTTTTGGTTTACTTTTTTATGTTTTGAGCTGTTAAGACCCTTTAACAAATGTCTGCACATGACAGCACAAACATTGTGAGTATTGATTTTGGGATTACAAATAAATCTGCCAGATTCTCAAATACAGAATTCATAAGTAACGAGGCTCAACTGTGCCTCATTGGAGTAAAAAATATTTTTGTAAGCCTAACACAAAAAATATAAAACAAAAAGATTAGTTATTCTCTAAGCTCCTGTGGCCTTCTCTGCGTATTTGTGCCTGTGCTCCTTATTTTGCTTTTTCTTCCTGTTGCTGTGGGTGAACCATCCTTGCTCCTAGTCAAGGGAACCACTCCATTCAGGATCCGGATTCCATCCCTTCACCTGCAGTAGCATGTTTCAGCAAATCCTACCTTTATTTCTTGCATTATTAGATTTTCCCTGTCTACTGGGTATTTTCTTCCATCAGCACACAAAATACGATTAATGTCTCTCAAGAAACAACCACACAACAAAAAAGTGTCCTCACTTCAGTCTCCTCACTTTGCACTTCTCCTTTACAGTGAAACAAAAATAAAAAACAAAAACAAAAAATGAAAAAACCCAAAACAAAACAGTCTACGCTTGTCTCCAAATGCTTTCATCTTCTTTCTTTCCAAATCTCTTTTTAAGCTAATTGTGAATTTATTTCAAATGGTAAATATTTATGGAACAAACTTTTTTTTAGAATTTTAATTTTTTTAAAATGTGGGGTAATAGTGAAATAAGATTTAACAAAAACGTGTATTGTTGCTGAAGCTGCCTGTATTCTTTTTATTTTTATATGTATTTGAAAGTTTTCCACAATACAGTGTTACAGGAGTATGCTTTGAAGTCTCTCTAACACTCTTGCCCCATTCACCTCATCTCCCCTGTCTTCTACATGGAATCACTTTAGTTTCTTATGTATCCTTTCAGTGCAGATACAAGTAAAAATGAATGTGCCTTGTTTTCCTTCCTATTTGACACACGAGGCCTCACTCCACATGCAGGCTTCTGCAATTTGCTTTCATCATGTTACAATGTATGTTAATATGCTACATTGTTTGAGGTGTGTGTGTGTGTGTGTGTGTGTGTGTGTATAGTACAAAGGGTCATGCACAATGTTTCTTTGCTTTTCACTGAGACAAAGTACCAGCTATAAGAAGTCATGTTTGCTCATTTATCCTTGCCAGCGTAATTTCACAGAGCCCCTGACTCTGTGACTATGTGTAGCTCTCCAAAGGGATGCTTTATTTTTATTTTCATTTTTTTTTGAGACCGAGTCTTGCTGTGTCACCCAGGTTGGAGTGGAGTGGCATGATCTCGGCTCACTGCAACCTCCGCCTCCCAGGTTCAAGCGATTCTCCTGCCTCAGCCTCCCTAGTAATTGGGATTACAGGTGCCCGCCACAACACCCAGCTAATTTTTGTGTTTTTAGTAGAGATGGAGTTTCACCATGTTGCCCAGGCTGGTCTCAAATTCCTGGGCTCAACCGATCCACCCGACTCGGCCTCCCAAAGTGCTGGGATTACAGACATGAGCAACTGCCCCCAGCTAATGCTTTGAAGACTAAACGGGATATGGCACATGGCTCCCAAGTCTCTTGCCTGAGTCAACATATTCCTTAAAAGATGAATGACCCTATTCTTTGCCTTTTCCTACACATAAGATAACATCTGAAGGGTTAATGGTATGCCTTTGTCATCTATAGCCACATGTACTCTTACCCTCAGACTCGGATGTGATTTTGTCTTAATGTAACTTTGGAGCGCATACTAAATCTTACTACCTGTAGGTAAGCTGTCAACTGGAGCACTGCTTCAGCTGTCCTGCAGACCCTCTCTGACTCTCTCTGCGCTGTGGTCCTCAGTAAGACTTCTGAATAAAATGAACTTTAATTCTTCAAAAGCTTGATTTTTTTTTTCTTTACTTGACAATGTTGAATCATCTTTTAGTCCGGAGTCTACCTTGGATGAACATCTAGAACTTTGCTTCTTTGCCCTCTGGCCTCCTCTTCCTCCACCAGGAACCCTGGTTTTTTCCCTCTCAGGCTTCTCCCTCAGGCCCAGGCATTGTCCTGGAATGCTGGAGTTTGATCTCTGAAGTCCCTGGTGCCCCTGCAGCAGCAGTGGCCACTGTGGTAGAGCTTTTGCATCTCAGGAAGGTTTCATTTCTGCAGGTCCTCAGGAGTGAAGCTTCTGTGAGATGAAGCTTTCCTTTGCTGAGAGTGACCACTTCTCACAGCAATCTTTGGTGCAAAGTCTCACCAAGGAATTCTTTCCATTTGAAGGGCAGTGGGGACAGGGAGGGGTGAAAAGGAAATGAGGATATAAAGAACACAGGAGGACAGAGAGTCAAATCCAGCCGCCCATTTTAACCTTTGAAATGTTTGGATCAATTTTTGCATTCTATCATTAACTTCTGTTTATAGGGAATTTTATAAACATGTAATTGTTTTGTAACTAAAAGGCTACTTTTTCACTAAAACCAGAGTCTGGAATTACTTTTTTCTTTTCTTTTTTTTTGAGACAGGGTCTCACTCTGTCGCCCAGGCTGGAGTGCAGTGGTGTGATCACGCTTCATTCAGCCTCAACTTCTTAGGCACAGGTCACCCTCCCACCTCAGTCTCCCAGGTAGCTGGGACTACAAGCATGCACCACCACACCTGGCTAATTTTTGTATTTTTTGTAGAGATGGGGTTTCGCCATGTTGCCCAGGATGGTCTCCAATTCCTGGGTTCAAGCAATCCTCCTGCCTTGGCCTCCCAAATGATGGAATTACAGGCATGAACCAGTGCACCTGAACACTTTTTTTTTTTTTGTAAATGGTTTGCTATTTTCTGTAGGAGTTTCTATTGGTATTTTAATTGCACTACCTTAAATCTATGACTAAATTTGAAAAGATGCCATCTTTCTCACTATGTTAATTGTTTTCAACCCGAATGTGATACGTTACTGCTTCTGCTCAACTCTGTCTTTACTGTAATATTGTTTTATTATATCTAGTTGGCACTTTGTTAGGTTAATTGTATAAATGCCTTAGCATCTTAGCATGGCTAACATATACTGGATTGTTTAAAATAAATTTGATAAGCAAAGGAAAAAAATGAGAATCAGAATAATGTATGGATAGAAAGCTTGGAAAGCATCAAGAGAGTTTGAGTAATGATGCTAACAATCCTGACCAGCTTTACTGGGTTGAAGATTCCCATGTCCTCAGAGAACACCATTCTGTTAATAGATGACTGGCATGAACAGGCTCCATTAGGACCCCTTATCTTGTGGTCACGTATCTTGGTGCACATGTAACTTGTTTCACTGGCCTAAGACTATCTCTCCTCTAGGCTCAATTATTTTGTGTTTCAAACCTACTTAGGTTAGGGCTTGGCTGGGCACGGTGGCTCTCGCCTGTAATCCCAGCACTTTGGGAGGCTGAGGCAGGCAGATCACCTTAGGTCGGGAGTTCAAGACCAGCCTGGCCAACATGGTGAAACCCCATCTCTACTAAAAATACAAAAATTAGCTGGGCATGGTGGTGGGCACCTGTAATCCAGCTACTCGGGAGGCTGAGGCAGGAGAATCACTTGAACGTGGGAGGCGGAGGTTGCAATGGGCCGAGATCCCACCATTGCCTGGGTAACAGAGTGAGACCTTGTCTCAAAAAAATAAATAAATAAATAAATACATCCATAGAAATTTAAAAATACCTACTTAGATTAGGGCTGCCACATAAAATATAGAACAGTTAAATTTGAATTTCAGATAAATAGTATATTTTAATAATAAGTATTTTCAAGTATTACATATTTGAAGTTTATCTGAAATTCAGAGTAAACTAGAGATCTCCAATAATTTTCCTAAATTTGCCAACCCTACCCTAGGTACTACCATTCAGTTTTATTTTCTGGTCTGAGGGTTACACCTACTTGAGAATTAATGTGCTGGTCAGTGAAGAACATTTTGTGGCTGGTCAAGTAATAAAAATTGTATCTTTGAAGCATTCAGTGGCTTTCAGTCTGCACCTTCTTGGATGTGACAGATCAGCAAAGAGACACGAGTCCCATCTTCACATCAATGGTACAAACATATTGAACTGATTGCCCCCATTCTGCTATACTAAGCAGCCTGGTTTCTAGTAGTATCTCTGCCTAAGAACTCATCCTTTCCTGTTTCCATCTGATTTTCTCAGTAGCTGTCCCTCACCAGTGCTCTCCTGGTTTGTGTGAGACCTCAGAGCTCTGGTTTGTGTGAGACCTCAGACCAGCTTACTGTCTGTGGCTTTCTGCCATCCTCCCCGACTGCTGGGCTCTCTTACACTCCTTCCAGCCAAAGTCTTGTTCTCATTTGCCCCTGTGATCTTTAAGAGCTCTGTTCCTCCCCCAAATTTGACTATGAGAAAGAGATAAGAAGCCCCTGACACTCAGGAGCTGCCCTGGCACCCACAGTCAGGCCTAGGCATTTTCCTGCTGAACATAAATCATTTCACAGAACACCAGTAAGGCCATCCGAGAACCAGGATGAATCAAGAGAGAAACGAGACCACTTTGTGATCAGGTTTGAACATGGACAAAACATGGATGTTTTCCTAGCCACAAAAATGACCAAACAAGCCCCTAACCTGGCTAATATGAGTGCCTACTGCTGCTTTACCAATGATCAATTTAGATTTACTCTAGTCTTCCCTCCTTCTAGATGAGATTCATTAAGATGCCCAATCATGGAATTACCTCTGTCTCCTGACAGCCTCCAGTCCAGAGCAAACTCCTACTCCCCTAAACTCTACAATTGCCTAGCAAGAGCCCAAATCCTATAGAAAGTCTTTTAAACACCCCATGGTGACAGAGGCATACCCCAGGGTGTATGGTCTCCCCTGTTGCTTGGAGCACTAAACCCAATTGTTCAGCTGCAGGGGTGTTCCTGGGGGTCCTTGGCTGCAGAGCGTTGACAACACCCAGCAACCCATGATTCAGCCTCCATAGTTGTTGTGCCAAACCCCTATTAACCTCAGTAGGGAAGGCACCAGGTTCCAGAGACCAAAGAAGAGACCCAGAACCAGCATGGGGTTTCTATTAGGGGCTTCCATACAGGGGAAAGAGCCCGGTGGTGGTGGGATAGTCCAGATAACTGCACAGCCCAGTGGCAGCAGGCTGAGCAGGAAAATCACAACTGCCTGCAAACACCATGCAGTTTACATAGCATTTTCATTTAATACCCTCCCCTTAACAATCTCCACCTGGCAATCTTCATTTAACCCAAAACTTAGGGCCTTAATCCACTGCATGGCCTGTGCTCCTTGGGATGGGATGGAGGCCTAGATGTTCCTCCTAGACAATGAATGAATCTCTGGGTTGGCCACTCCTGGATTCCCTAGCTAGGAGCACACAGGCAGGTGTATGTGCCATGCAGGGTCGGTCTCAGGGTATGCTCAAGTTATTGCTGTCAGGTGTGTTTACCCTAAAATAGTATTCAAAGCCACTCCCAGGATTGAGCAAATGCTGAAGGCATTTTGTGAAGATGTAGGCTGTGTGGTGGTCCCCGCAGTTACCTTAGCTCCTGCTCCTGCCTCACCAGTAGGGGTTTATAGCTGGCTTAGAGGTGAGCTGCATGTCTGCCCACCTATCAGAGGTCAGCATGGAAGATGGCATCACCATCCCTCTCACCCAGCACCACCTGGCTACTGGGGGCTGCTCCCCACTCTCAACACTGCTGGTTTCACTATGATTGGGTGGGGCAAATAATTCTAGAAGAACTAAGTGCACTGTGGGCATTAACCATGTCATTTAAGAACAGTGGTTTTATACCTCTGTCCTCATACTCTAGAGTAACAGACTTTTCCTTGGTGGAAGCATCCACTTCTCTATCAGTGATCAAGTAAGAGTAAGAAGATGATTAGGCTCAGTATACCATCAACTCAAAGTGGGCACAGGAGCATCTATATTATTAAAGTTCAGGAGGGAGGAGTCCATGTCTAGGTTATAAAACTGAAATGGACAGCTTCAAATACCCACCAAAGTCCAGAATTTCACCATGGTGATATGATAGTCTTTAAAAAGAGGAGATGCCAGACTGTCCTGAGAATCAGTTCTGATTAATATATCTATGAGGCGACTCCTCTCTCTGGCTCCAAACATACACCTACCAGAAATCATCACCCTACACCTAGCAGTACTGGTTGGATTTCATTTTTAAAAAATTACTGTTGGCTGCTGTCTTGTACCTCCCCTATCTGAGAACTTGAGCCCTCAGCCTGTGTTGGGGGATGTGCTCGCATGGCTTCTCCTCAGTACACCAACACGGGTCTGTCTGTCTGGAAACAGCTTCCAGCTGGTTTGTTGCTGGCAGCAGTGTCCAGCTGCCCTGATCTAGAGAAGCCGCTCTCCTATCCATGGTTTTGTCCCCGTGGCCCTTGCCCTTGTCTACACAGACCTGGCTCACCTGCTTTCTTGGCAGGACCTACCCAGTAGTCACCCACAGGATAGTACTCACCTTTTCTCTCTATTTTCTGTGTACCAGCCTCTCCTTTGCTCTCATCTTCTTTCCTACCCAGTTTAGGTTTTCTCCCCCTTTGCCATATCTTTTCCTCACCTCACTATTGTTTCATCTGAATTTTCTAGTGTTAGTAACATTCACCTTTGGATGGGAAAATAATCAAGTCACGACATTACTCAGAATTAAACTAGATATCTCTAAGTTTTCTTTCAACACTATAATTTCATGATTCTTTGGAGCTACTGTTCTCCCCAACTTCTACCTGCTAAATAAATAATCCAGTTAGAACTTTCACTTTAGTCTGTACTTGACTCTATTTAGAGTTAATTTAGGAGACAGAATAATGGCTCATAAGTTTCTCAACCTCACTAATAAGCAAAGAAATTCAAATGAAAGAGGATTGTTTTCAATCCACCAAACTGACAAAAATGAAAAATATCAATTCCCAGGGTAGGAAAGTTGGTTGGCTGGTACTTTGGGATATATCATTCTGGAAAAGAATCTGGTAACATGTATTAATATTTTAAATATGCATATTCCACATTTGGGAATTTATCCTAAGGCCAAATAAGCAAAGATGTATATAAAATAATGTTAATTGCAGCACTGCATGTAGTAGAAAAATTCAAAACCACTTAAGTGTCCATCAGTAGGAGAGGGTTAATATGATACATGCATAATACTATGCAGATTAAAAAATAATCAGATTGATAAGTGATTCTCAACCCTGACTGCACTTGTGAATCCAGAAACACTTAAAAAACTCGTAATTCCAGGATCCACCCTCAGAGGTTCTGATTATCTGTTTGAGAATGAGGCCCAGTATTTGCACTGTTTTAAAGTGCCCCAGGTAATTCTAATGTGCAGTCAAGTTTGAGAACCACTCAACCCTTAATATGCGAGATGTTTCTATCAGCTCTAACAAGAAAGATGCCCATGATACACTGCAAGTGAAAAAATTAGGTTACTTAATTTGTTGATTATGATTTGTTAAATTGAGCTAAAAATGGCCTGAGAAGGACTCTGTACTTCTATATTTGAGTCCTTGTGGACAAACTGTAATCTAACTTAATAGGTAGACAAGATTGAAAACCTAACTTAGGAGCATGTGCCTGTAACAAGAGCTGAGTCTTGGCCAATCCCAACAGCCATACTTCAACCACTCATACACTGCTGAGTGTTCAAACTGTGTTCACGTAAGGCAAATGTCGAGCTGTAACCAATCCAGCTGTTTCTGTACCTCACTTCCAATTTCTGTACATCACTTCCTGTTTTTTAATCTATAAATCTTCCACCACGTGGCTGTACTGGAAACTCTATGAATCTGCTGTGATTCTGGGGACTGCCTGATTCATGAATCATTTATTGCTCAAACTCCTTTAAATTTAATTTGCCTGAAGTTTTTATTTTATCAGATTACATTTATTAACAAATTATACATGTGCATTAAAATATAAAAGTTTACACACAGTTATTTCTGAAGAGTGAATTACATATTTGCAGTCTGTTTTCAACCATTATCATATATTTCTCTTTTTTGAAAAAATGAAAAGGCTGTACAGGCTGAAAATGCAGAGAAAAAATGAAAACTGGCCTTCAGATGGCTTCTGAGTGCCAACAGGGACTTCCATCCTAAACCTGGTTTTATTTCTGTGGCTGACAACAGCAAAGTGTGTACTTAGAGATAATATGGTCATTGTATTAGTTTGTTCTCACACTGCTAAAAAGAACTACTTGAGGCTGGGTAATTTACGAAGAAAAGAGAGTGACTTGACTCACCATTCCACAGGCTATACAGGAAGCATGGCTAGGGAGGCCTCAGGAAACTTACAGTCATGGCGGAAGCAGGCACATCTTCACATGGTGGAAGAGAGAGAGAAAGTGCTAAGGTGGAAGTGCTACACACTTTTAAACATCCAGATCTCGTGAGAACTCACTGACTGTCATGAGAACAGTAAGGGGGAAATCCACCTCCATGATCCAATCACCTCCCACCTTCCCCCAACACTGGGGATTACAATTCATCATGAGATTTTGGTGGTGACATAGAGCCAAACCATATCAGTCATCTTAGCTCAAGTCAAAAATACTGGCTTGGCTAAATAATTCATTATGGTTCCGTTCACCATGAATTTATGTTCTGCAGAAAGAAATAATGAAATGGAATATGTGCATCATCTTGTATTTTAGAAACAAAATGTTTAGGCAATCATTTCTAAATTCATACATTAAAAAAGTGTGTGCATACTTGAAGAGTTAAACTTTGTAGAAAGTATCTCGTAGGTGAACTGGCTTCAGTGGGCTTTACTGAAAATCATGATTTAGAGTTTTACCACATAGTAGAGTTCACTAAAAAATATTACAGCTCTCCAGGCATGGTGGCTCATGCCTATAATTCCAGCACTTTGCAGGCTGAGGCAGGAGGATTGCTTAAGAACAGGAGTTCAAGGCTGCAGTGAGCTGTAATCATGCCACTGCACTCCAGCCCTGTCTCAAAAAGTAATTACAACTCAATAAAACTGGTGTGTGTGTGTGTGTGTGTGTGTGTGTGTGTGTGTGTATCATTGATTGTAAGTCTGATATTTCTCTCTCCCTTCCTTCCTTGCTGTCTCCACCCTTGTAAACAAAACAAAACAAAAAAACTCCAACCAGTTTTCCCAGGGTCAGTCTACTGAAGAGCTGATTTCTACGTATTGCATAAACTATACTATTCATGAATTTTAAAAAATAACTTAAACTCTCAGGTGATATCATCATTTTCTTTGTTATTTCTTTCTATTGCATACCACCTTCAGAATGATAAAGAGACTGAGGCTCTAGTCACAATTATATTCAGCTGTCAGGAATGATTAACTATCTTCCTTCTCCCCATGAAGTGCATGAGAATGCAACCATGCAAGTTAGGCTGATAATGTCCCCCATCAGATGCTATGGCTCCTCTTGCCTCAGAAGAGAAAAACAGCATGGTTTTGTACTAGGTTATGGAATGAAGTCTGGGATGAATTTTCTGGTTTGTCTGGGGTCAGTCTTCTAGCAAGACTTACTTTAATTTTAAATTTTTTTAATTTAATTTTTTTTGAGACAGTCTCAGTCTGTTGGCCAGGCTGGAGTGCAGTGGCACTATCATGGCTCACTGCAGTCCTGACCTCCCAAGCTCAAGTGATCCTCCCACCTCAGCCTCCTGAATAGCCAGGACCACAGGCATGTGCCACCACGCCTAGCTAATTTTTAAAAAAATCTCTTTGGTAGAGATAGGGTTTCACCATTTTGCCCAGTATGGTCTCGAACTCCTGGGCTCAGGCCATCCACCTGCCTCATTATCCCAAAGTGCTGGGATTACAGGCATGAGTCACCGTGCCTGGCGAGCAAGACTTACTTTGCTTCAAGTTTTGTTTCCAGAACATTTAGGTACCAATTCTCAATATAGAATTCTAACTACAAAAGTCACAAGTTATAAGGCATTTTTGAAGCAGTCACTGTTCATGTCCATCTGTGTCTTTCTTTCCCTCCACTAGCATGGATAATTTGGAGTTAACTGTAGAGCAAATACTTAGGAAATTAATCCCACATGATTTTCAGGTTCAAGGTGAGAAAAAAAGGAGAAAGTACAGTTCTTGTACCTTGACACACTTTATTCCATCTGCAGAAGTGGCTGCAGCTCACATGTGTGACTCACGTTGGAACAGCGGGCTCACATAATAGCATCACGTGCTGGCAAAGTGTTCAGATGACAAGCCAGTTACCTCATTCGGCTGATGCAATCCTGGAATTTCCTGAATTGAAATACAATTTAGGACCAGAAGGGAGAGACCCTGGGCTGTTTGATTAGGGCATCACCTTTAGCTAATTCTAACCACCCCCACCTTTTTTTTCCCATTTGTCTATTTCCTTCTTTCCTTAGGTGTGAGGTAATAATACTAATTGGTAACAGTTAAACTGTGCTGTGCACTCATCTAAGAGTTTTACTCTTAATTGTCAAACAATCCTAGGAGGCAGGCATCCCATTTTTTTCAGATAAGGCAACTGAGGTGCAAAAATCCCATGTCATTGCTTTAGGTCACACAGGAGAAAATGTAAGGCTCTTCTCTTTGAGATGTATACCTGAGGATCTTTGCTTTTAGTGATCAGATTGTGTGTAAGTTTTCCAGGGAGTCCCACTCGTGGAAAGCCCACGACTGCTGTGAGCTGTGACTGAAGATGTTGCCACCTCAGTGTGGTCAATGGCTCTGTCATCCAGTTTTAACCTCCATATCAGAACTTTCTTTAAATTATATGTAGAATTTTTTATTTTTCTACTATTGTTTCAGATTTTTCTTAGTATTTTAAGATGGTTTTTAGTGTTTTACCAGAAAAGGGTCACCACTTAAGATTCCCCTACCCCTGCTTTTTAGGATTTAAGGAGTGGGATATAGTTATTTATTATTTAGTGTGTTAAGATTATTTTCAGATAATAGCAAATGGTCAAGTCTTAATCATTTTTATACCCCATTATTTTGTTCTGGATATAATACCAATATTTATATAAATAGACCAAGGTAGAAGGATTGCTTGAGGCCAGGAGTTCAAGATCAGCTTAGGCAACGACATAGCAAGACCCCATCTCTACAAAAAATTTAAAAAAATTAGCTGGGTGTGGTGATGCATGCCTATAGTCCCAGCTACTTGAGAGGCTGAGGTGGCAGGATCTCTTGAGCCAGGAGTTTGAGGCTGCAGTGAGCTATGATTGTACTACTGCACTCCATCCTGGGCAGCAGATCGAGACCCTTTCTTTAAAGAAAAAATAAACAGGCAAGGAATATATTAGCTTGATAATTATCTTTAGCTGTGACACAAAAAGTGAATACATCCTTCACATTCTGTCATCATGTAGGAATGGAGAAAACTATAAATATGTAAAAATCTTTGAGACCATATTAATGATGGATTCCATTAAGCCCTGGACATTTTGGTGTAACAGTTCCACCTGACAGCTACACCAATCCCAACCACACCATGAAGGGAAGAAACACAGATCCAGTACAGATTGATGGTTCAAACTTACTGCCTGGATGCAAGGTGCCCAGAACAGGCATTTCTAACTCCTTCTGGCCAGGGATGAAATGTGAGACCTTTTGTTACTTTTGAGACACAGAGTTCAACTCTTGCTCTCACATGTTCCTGCAATTGTAGAATATTTTAAAGATTAAAGTCATGGTTCTTTAACATCACCTGTAGTTCAGGGGCCCAGACCTGTCCTGTTAAATCCCCTGACACAAGGCAAGTGCTGCTTCAAGATTCCTTTCTTATCTGTCAAGGTAAACAAAACAAAACAAAACCAGACTTGTCACGCCAAGCTCATGGAGGATAGACAGAACTCTATAGACAAATTAAAAGTCTATTTATAATCACAGATATGCAATGAACCCAACACAATTGATGCTTTATTGCTTATTTGAAGATAAATTCCTATTTCTCCCACCTCTCCCTCTACCCAGTACATTTTAAATGTAATCAGTAGACTTAACAATTTAAGAGTACCCATAAATGAGGATACTAATAGGAATTAGCTGATTCGTCCCACAGAATCCTGAAAATGCTCATGAATTGGAAGTGCCAAGTATCTCAGAAGGTAGGGTTGTGTGTGTCAATGTGTGTGTGTGTGTGTGTGTCTCTGTGTTTGTGTGTATGTGTGTTAAATGCACCTGATAGCAATAATTTACGCATACCCTGAGAATGACCCTGTATAGCAGGTGCACCTGAATGCGGTTCAGAGTTCCAAGCTAAGGAATGTGGGAGAGGACAACGCAGAGATTCATTCCTTATCTATAAGGAACATCTAGGCCCCATCCTGTCCTGTGGAATGTGAGCTGTACAGAGGATTGAGGCCATTTGTTTTGGTTTAAATGCAAGTTTCCAGGTGGAGCTTATTAGGAGGCAGGGGCTAAGTGAAAATGCTGTAAAACCTGCATGCTTTTTGCAAGTGGTTGTGATTCTTCTGCTCAGCCTACTGCCCCTGGGTCGTGGGGTTCTCCTGTTCCGCCCACCACCACTGGGCTCTCCCCTGTGTTTAGCCCCCAGTACAACCCCATGTCTTGTTTGCTGGCTCTGGGTCTCTTCTTTGGCCTCTTGAACCTGGTGTCATCCCCATTGGAGTCTATAAAGGTTTGGTGCCACAGTGTGTAAAAAGCAAAGTCGAGGGACTGTTTGAAAGCCTGTATAAGCAACAGTTAGATTCCCAGGTTACTATCCACACTGTAAGGAGTCAGGTCCTACGTCTTCCCAGTACTAGTAGTGGAGGAGATACTTTGAAACTGAACTAGGAATAGAGAAGAGTGAAGATGAGATGACCCATTTGAAACAGAGTCAGTGATCTGCATTTGAAATTGTAAAGCCTTTTTCAAGTTCCCCTACTGAATTTCAGAATAACAATAACCAATCATACAACCACAAGCAGGATGTGGGGAGATGAACCACCTCAGAAAAAATACAGCGTCTCTCTAGAGACATTTGACGCAAGAAAATAGGGTCTGGAGGTAGGGAACCTAAGGCCAATTCCCACTGACTTCCTAGAACTGTATCAAAAGGAAAACCCCGACTTTCCACATCTAAGTAACAAAGAGACCACAGGCTACTCCCTTTGCAAACCACCCCCTCTTTCCTGCATGGCAGATGGAAAATTTAAAATACTTCTGATTGGTTGCTTTCCACAATCAGACTGATTGGTAGCCAAGTCTTCATTTGCATAGAAGTATAACTTTGTAACTTCACTTTAGCCTGTGATTGGTTGTTTTCCACAACCAATCAGATGTTTGCATAGAGTGTAACCGTTTAACTTCACTTCAGCCTTTGATTGATTGCTTTCTGCAACCAATCAGACTGATGTGGGCCACTACTTCATTTGCATGAGGTATACACCAAGTGGCCAATGGAAAACCTCTAGTGAATATTTAAACCCAGAAAATTATGTAACTAGGCTCTTCAGCTCCTGTGCTTGGGACGCTCCATCTCTGTGGAGTGTACTTTCGTTTTCAGTAAATCTCTGGTTTTGCTGCTTCATTCTTTTCTTGCTTTGTTTGTGCATTGTGTCCAATTCTTTGTGGAAGATGCCAAGAACCTGGACACCCTCGACCAGTAACGCATTGACCTTTGGGGCTACATGAAGAAAAAGCCAGCTGGCCACCTGATTTCCCTGGAGTGTACTATTCATTCACACTTCTTGATTTAGATGTAAATATATATACAGTCATAGCAATGAAAAACACTGAAAATGAATTTACCAAAATTTATGAAAAAACTGCATTGGAAGGATGGATTGGGGAAGCTAAGGGAGTGTAACTCCTCCTCTACCATGATAATAGATAACTTGGATAATTTCTAAAATTGGTGAATAAATAGCAAAGTTGCATATTTAGAAATATGAGGGTAAATGCTAGAACATGACAAAATTGAAAATAGTTACCTCTAAGGAGCAGAACAAGAAGATGAAGAAAGCAGAGGAATACTGTGTTTTATTACATACTTTTGATGGTTATATGAGTTTTTAAAACATTATGGACGAGTTATTACTTTGAAAGTGACGTGATAGTAGTACGTTAGATTATTGACTTTTCAATTAATACTTTAGAGGTTGCATACTTTAAACATGTCATAAATAACTCTGTTCCCTTCCAAAAGGAACCATATTGTTTTCTTTCAGGATGCTTCCTGAAAGTTAACTCTTTCAGGGAAAACAGAGATTTCCAGGGAGGAAATTCCAGGAAGACATTAGAACCCCAGAAGGGAAGTGGGAAGGCTGTCTTTCTGTAGACGCATCACTCTCTGTATATGAGCTGGGATACCTTTGCAGTAAATGGCTATTACCTTTCCAGAAATTGAAAAGCAAGTGCTTCGTTATTTAAGAATGTTGTTGAGATGTATTCTGAGGAGATAAACTGTGGAATACCCCACAAACAAAAAATAACTTCCTCATTAATTATGCACGGTGAAAAGACTCTTTAAACCTATTTTTAAAACAAATTATCTGTTCATCAATATTAGTTAATGCCCCTGGCAGAAATCAAGACCAGTTACAGATATTAAATAGAGAAAATCTGCCTGGTCAGGAGATATAGGTCAGGCTTAATTATCTGATTATTCAGTAGAAAGAGTAATATGGATTATTTAAAGACTCCTTTGAGGCAACACGGAGTTCTCTCTAGAGTCTTCTTCTAAAGAAGTAACTAAATATTATGACCTAAGTGGAGATCTGAAGAAACAAGCTGCTAAGCAAAGAAAGTCTTAAAGGTATTCCACTTCCTCATAAATTTACCAAAACAAGTTTTAGTTCAATGACTAATACATTCTTGTCTTTCCCTATAAAAGTGATTTCCCAGTTCAAGTAGTGATTCTCTTTAATAAGATCCAGACTATAAATGATCTTAAACCAGAAGAAATAACTAAATGTCATGAGGAAATCTCCAGGTCTAGCAATTTTGATAAAGTCTTGAAACCGTGACTTTGTCTAACATCCATCTTTCCACATTGGCTCTGTAAGACCTAACAGTAGGGAAGTGGCTCATCAAATATGTTGAAAGTCATGACAGTATTCCTGAAGAAATATAACAGGTAAAAACAAAACTGTATCATCAGCAATAATTTCAAAGCAAAACAATGCGTCAGCTTGTCTCTAAAAGTGTTCTGGGATAGTATTTAGAGATTTTGACCTTACATTTTTTATCTCATAAAATTATACTCTAGTTGTTTATGTATTGGATGATGGCATTTGCTATTGAGGGCAGACACTGTCTACAAAGAAATAATTTAATGGAAAGGCTTGTTTTAGTCCATTTTCTACTGCTATAATAGAAAACCACAAACTGAGTAGCTTATAATAAACATAAATTTAGAGGCATGACCTTGAAGATATTCCAGGTATCTGGAATATCCAGATATTTGTATATATCCAGACTGCTACAATAAAGTGACTATCACAATAAAGTGAGTCACACGTATTTTTTGATTCCCTAGTGTATGTAAAAGTTATGTTTACACTATACTATATTCTATTAAACGTGCAATAGCATTTTGTCCTAAAAGAGTACATACCTTAATTTTAAAATATTGCTAAAAAATGCTGATGATCACCTAAACCTTCAACAAGTTGTAATCTTTTTGTGGGTGGAGGGTCTTGCCTTGACATTGATGGCCGCTGATGGGTCATGGTTACCGAAGCATGGGGTGTCTGGGCAATTTTTTAAAATAAGACAACGGTGAACTTTGCCACATCAATTGACTCTTTTTATGAATATTTCTCTGTAGCATGTGATGCGGTTTGAAAGCATTTTCCCTGCAGTAGAACATTTTTCAAAATTGGAGTCAATCCTCTCAAATCCTGCCCTGCTTGATCAACTAAGTTTACGGAATAATCTAAATCCTTTGTTGTCAGTTCAGCAATGTTCATAGCATCTTCACCAGGAGTAGCTTTCATCTCAAGAAACCACTTTTTTTGTCCTTCTGTAAGAAGCAACTCATCTGTTTAAGTTTTATTATGTAATTGGAATAATTAAGTTACATCTTCAGGCTCCACTTCTAATTCTAGTTCTCTTGCTATTTCTATCACATCTGCAATTATTTTCTTTACTGCAGACTTGAACCTTTCAAAGTCATCCATGATGGTTGAGATCCACTTCCTCCAAGCTCCTGTTAATGTTGAAATTTTAATGTCCTCTCTATGAATCACAAATGTTCTTAATGGCATCTAGAATGGCAAATCTTTCTCGGCAGGTTTTCAATTTACGTACATTTCCCAGATCCATCAGAGGAATCACTATCTATGGCAGCTATAGCCTTGTGAAATGTATTTCTTAAATAGTAAGACTTGAAAGTTAAAATTACTCCTTGATCCATGGGCTGCAAGATGGATCTTGTCTCAGCAGGCATGAAAACAACATGAATCTCCTTGTATGTCTCCATCAGACCACTTGGATGACCAGGTACATTGTCAATGAACAGTAATATTTTGAATATAATCTTTTTTTTTTTCTGAGCAGTAGATCACAACAGTGGGCTTAAAATATTCAGTAAACTATGCTGTAAACAGATATGCTGTCATCCAGTCTTTGTTGTTTTATTTATAGGGTGCAGGCAGAGTAGATTTAGCATAATTCTTAAGGGCTCTAGGGTTTTCAGAATGGTAAATGAGCATGGGCTTCAACTTAAAGTCAACAACTGCATTAGCCCCTAGCAAGAGGGTCACCCTGTCCTTTGAAGTTTTGAAGCCAGGCATTGACTTCTCCTCTCTAGCTATGAAAGTCCAAATGGCATCTTCTTCCAAGAGAAGGCTGTTTTGTATACATTGAAAATCTGTGGTTTAGTGTGGCTACTTTCATCAATGATTTTAGCTAGATATTCAGGATAATTTGCTGCAGCCTCTACATCAGCACCTGCCACTTCACCTTGTACTTTTATGCTATGGAGATGGCTTCTTTACTTAAACCTCATAAACCAACCTCTGCTGGCTTAAACTTTTCTTCTACAGCTTCCTCACTGCTCTGAGGCTTCATAGAATTGAAGAGAGTTTAAACCAAATCAGAGGATCACAGTTTAGCTTTATAAAAGGTAACCATAGAGAAGGGAACAATACAGACTATGACTCATGGGCAGTTCCCCCATGTCCCTTCCAGGCAGGAAAACCAAAGAAACTTTTACCGAGCTGGGAGAGAGGAATGAGAGAAAGAATAAGAGGAGAGCAAGAGCTAATGTGCAGCCTGGTCCCAGGCTCCTGTAGTCAAACCCCTGGTAGGGGAACAGGTTGATGGAGCTTGGTTCAGTCATCAGAGCAGAAGGAGTGTATGCCCCACTTTCCACGCTGAACTGTAGGAGGGAACCCCGTGCACAGTGTCCCATGCCATGACGGGTAGCCTCAATAGAGGAGAAGTGGTGCCATAATATATTTGGTAGATGAAGAGAGCTTGAGTTATGCCCCACTGGTCTTGCATAACCTGAAAGAGACTTATGAGTTCCTGAGTCAGCCTCAAGTTGGGAGAAAAAACAGGGTACACAGACCCGTTGTGCTACCTGGAGGCAGATGAAGAATAGCTGGTGGAAGAAGAAATAAAGGAATGTGGAATACTATATTGAAGCCTTCGTTCTTGGACCCTGAATAGTTCAAAGAACTAAACCTCTTTTGAGAGAGATACAGACACAAAGCATCAAGCAAAGTCATAAAGTAACTCAGGCCATAAGTGTGGAGGCTTAAGGGACATTTGGAAAGACTGAGTTTTGGAGAAAGACAAGATTTTATAGCTAGGCTTGAAAGAGAACACGTTGTTAGTGATGCAGAAGCTGAAGCTGACTTGGGAGATATGGGCAGAGAGGAAACGAGGAGAGGACCACACCAGCCTAAGAGGGCCTCAGCACAGGATGTGTCCATAGCCAGCCAAGGAGCGTTCTGTCTCTAGCAGAGAGGAGAGGAGATTTCAGTTTAGGAATCAGCCTACACTTTTTTTTTGCTCTTAAAGATAGCTGCTTACCCCTGTTGATGTAAATCAAGGGCCACCACGCACACTGCACACTATGTACAACCCTGTGAGGGAGTGATGCATGCGCAGGGTAGGATAAAAATGATCCCCCTAGGGCTGTAAGATGCACTCTTCCTGCACAACTCTGCCTGAGGGCCTTGCCTAATGCATGCCTTGAACTCATCCCCCATCAAGGGAAGCTCTGTCTGCATCACGACTGAAGCTTCCTGAGGGTAGGGTCAGCAGGAGAATGAAGGAAAGCCACCAATGAAGGGATGTGAGAATTTTACTGAAGGCCAAGGCCCCATAGGTAACCCTAAAGGGATTGCAAAGAGATATATTCTACACAGAGGCCTTCTTGGAAGTGGGGACATCTAGATCAGAATAAACATCTTTGTGGGGATCACAGGTCCCCATAAAGGAAAATAAATGAATTTGGAATTTTGGATAACTTGGAAAGTTTAAACCAAGTTATCAAGTTATCTTTCCCAAAATGATATTTGTTGCCCAGTGATTGTTCACCCATTAGAATGGCATTCTTTGGCTGGGTGCAGTGGCTCACGCCTATAATCCCAGCACTTTGGGAGGCTGAGGCTGGTGGATCATGAGGTCAAGAGATCAAGGCCATCCTGGCCAACATGGTGAAAACTCCGTCTCTACTAAAAATACAAAAATTAGATGCGTGTGGTGGCATGTGCCTGTAGTCCCAGCTACTCAGGAGACTGAGGCAGGAGAATCGCTTGAACCTGGGAGGTGGAGGTTGCAGTGAGCCGAGATCGCACTACTGCACTCTAGCCTGGCGACAGACAAGACTCAGTCTCAAAAAAAAAAAAAAAAAAAAAAAGAATGGCATTCTTTGCTTCAGGGAAAGGCTGATTCAGCCTGTAACAAAGAAGGCAATTGAAGGGCTGAAAAACTGTGTGTGCATGCGTGTGTGTGTGAGTGATCTCTGTGTGCATGTGTGTGTGTGTGTGGTCTGTGTGTTTAAACTCAGAGCAGGCATTCTTGACCGAAACCCTGCACATGCAATAGGTTTGAAGTCAGATGCAAAGAAATGTAAGTTTATTTGTCGATAAAAATAGCCCCTAATTTCTACAAATGGTAGAAACATTTCATTCTGCCCCATGAAGATAAAAAACATCCAGTTTAAAACCTCATTTCTTTTGGAAAAATAACCAATTCAGAATTCAAATTTAATTAATTCGAAGTCAAACTCGATGCTTAGGCTTTAAAAAATCTCCTTTTCCCTTTGCCCCAGAGGTATGCTGTGAGTGCAGGTGGCAGGTGGCATGTATCCAGCACTGCACTGTGGAGAGGAGGGCCTGAGCCTCTGTGACCTCCACTCCTTGCTGGCCTCAACCAAGGTGTCTGTCTCTCCTGTGTGCACCACTGGCTACTGCTCCTGCCAGCCTGTGCTGTAGAGGCCTGTGGTGCTTGTGCTGAACTCCTGCTCAAGGTGTCTGCCCTCCTTAACTAGAATCCAGTTCTCGGGGCCGTGGCCCTCTCAGAGGCTGTGCCTCCTGCACAGAGGCACGTGGCCTCTGGAGCTCACCCATGATACACACAACACCAGAATCCCCATGGAAAACCACTGTCCTAGAGTGCTGCTCTACTTCATTCCCATGTCAGTGTGGGGCATTGTTTAAGGCAGGGTCCTTCAAAATTTCCAGATGGAAATGGTACATCACCCCCCAGAACCGTCCCCAGCCCTAACCTCTAGAGGAATAGCCAAAGTCAGATTCTCCCTCCCTACCCAGCCCCATTCACAGAGTTGGAGAGCCCTGTCCTCCTCAGACTCTCTCCAAACGAGAAAGGGTTTTTATTGCCTTTTTTTCTGTGACAGCAAGTGGCCATGACCTCATGTTCTCTACTCTATGGTTTACATTAAAAATTCTTAACTTAGCCCTCTATGCTTTGGATCTAGATATTTAAAAGCAATGTTTTGCAAGTGAAAAACAGAACAAAACCGTGTTCCATCTCAGTTGGCTGGCCTTTGTCATCGGTGTGCAGGTCATCAGCCTGTTCTCCAGTCCATCCCTACCCTGCCCCTGCCCAGCATTCTTGTCTGGGGACCCTGATGCTTGCAAACCCCATGGCAACTGGCTCTGGCTGGGATGGCCACTGGGAGATGCTAGCAGGAGATAAAGACAGGGGTGGCAAAGGAGAAGGCTGGGTATTTCCCTCTACCTCAGTGATAACTCTGCCGGAACTGACCCTGTGGATGCAGCTTCCTTGTAGGTTCACCATCTGCTCCCTTGTCTCTCCAGTCTTGGTGGTGGTGGTAATCTCTGGGTGACTTTGCCATCCACTCTTTGGTTTCTCACCTCCTCCATTTCCTTTTTATCCAGTTACCTATGTAATTTTTCTCTAAGTTCTTAGAGTGGTTTCTATTTTCCTGGTTATACTCTGATGATGTATCTAGCTTCCAAGACTCTTGATGCTTTTTTTTTTGAGATGGAGTCTCACTCTGTCACCCAGGCTGGAGTGCGATGTCATGATCTCGGCTCATTGCAACCTCTGCCTCCTGGGTCCAAGCGATTCTCTGGCCTCAGCCTGCGTAGCTGGGACTACAGGTGCACACCACCATGCCTGGCTAATTTTTGTATTTTTAGTAGAGAGGGGATTCGCCGTGTTGGCCAGGCTGGTCTTGAACTCCTGACCTCAGGTGATCCACCTGCCTCGGCCTCCCAAAGTGCTGGGATAACAGGCATGAGCCACCGTGCAGGGCCACAAATACTCTTGCTTCTGAAATGGGCTTCAGGAGTTCAACAGTGACCCTTTGTATTCCTGCTATAAAAATCCTAACTCTTCTTAAGACAAGGGATGGTAAATTAGGGGAAAAGTCATGACCAAAGAAGTACAAAAATAAAAAAGCATATTAATATATTTCAAACAATTTCACCACCAGAGCATCCACAGCACTGTATTGTTACGTGAATAGACATTTTTGCTGCCCAGAATATACGCCCTATATGCTCACAGGGCAGAGTTCTCAGATGTTCCTGTACTCATGTGATCTTTCTTTGATCCTACACCATGTCTCTTACCTCTTACTTTTAGCAGATTATATCCCATTCAATAGCATCCAAAAATCTTCTGCTAACTTTTTGGAGAACTCAGGTTAATGAAGTAATGGTGTGCATGTTCAGTTGTAACAAACCAGATTTTACACACTAACCAAAATGTGGATTCAGTAAAGAGTTTTAGAATATCAGTGTGTAATGACTGGTAATGGCTGGTTCAACAAATATACTAAAGTTTGAAGATCCAAATGAGTCCACACAGAGGTCACACAAATCAATTGTCTGTTAGGCCAGACAGGTAATGTACATGGTGAAGGTAGGTCCTATGTGTTACAAAGGGAGCAGAGGGACTGTGAAATCCAGAGAGGATGTGTGTGATCTCATAGGGAGATTCTCCACCCAGTGTCAGGTGATTCCAGCATCTGAGAATGGGGACCCATTATGATGCAATTTTTGAATTTTTAAAGAGAAGCCAGAAATCTAGACTGTATGTGAAAATCTCATGACTTGTAAAGTAATATCAATTAACTAAAATTTTTTTAAAACATTGTGCAAATTTAACAAAATCTGTCTTGAGCTACATAGGACCCCAAGTCAGCAGCTTGCAATCTCTATCCTAATTTGACATTTTACACTGCAGCAGTATACATGATATGCTGAAATAAGGCTGCCTTAACATTATAAAACTTGCTGACTGATGTTTTAGACTTACCTTCATAATATGGCATAGTTTTTGGAAGATTCTCATTAGTATGAAATCTATATCCTCTTTTCATGGTGGGCCAAATTTGTAAAAATAGCCAAAAAATAACAATAACATGTATACCTTTTATAATCAGAAAAAATTTAGCCCACCATTAAAGGAGGATATGAAAGCTAAATTTGGTAGGCCAAATTTTTTATCCAGAAAAGTATTCCAGTAACTTCCCATTTCTCTTGGCTCCCAAGCTACATGTATCTAGCACAATGCTAGAGATTCAAAAACATACTCAAAAAATCCCTGACTTCAAGAAATTCCCATTCTACTCCTTCCAATAGGTAGAAGGCCTATGACTGTGGCAGCAGGGCATTCCAACTGCCTGAGGGAGGGAATGTGGAGGAGCCTGGTTCATTTATTTAAAGCATTATAGCCCAGTACTACATCTCAGATCTTATCTCTGCCAAGAAAGCTGCACTGTCATGCTTTTCTGCCTGTGTGTTTGTGCATTACTCTCCACTTCAGCCTATTGAAACATCACTTTAACTTCAAATCTCAAATACACCATATCCAAAACTCTGCTAACTTTTTGGAGTTATTCTTTAAATTTCCATAGAACATTTTGTTTGTATTTTGACATTTATATTCTGCTTCGAAATACAGATTCTTCCATTCTTGTCTTATCCTTCATAGACCATAAAGCCACTTCAGGTATCATCTACATATGGTATTTCAGCACTGGCAGGGCCTAGCAGACAAAGTGGGCACTCTTAAGATTTGTTTTGAGTTGCTTAGAAGACGCATTCTCCATCTAGTGGTAAAACTGAAAAACTGCATGTAACTTTTGCCTTCTCTAACACAATTATGATATAAAACTGGAAGTAATACCAAATAATTTTTTAAAAATAGTACCTCATTGATACTACAGATTGTTCAAGTCTTAATCTATTTTGATAAAACTGTGAAAAAGTAACTATGTTACTTTTCAAGCTGACATAAATCTTTCTTACAGCATATTTGATTAAAACACTTTATCTAAGCTGGGAGTGGTGGTGCCTGCCTGTAGTCCCAGCTCCTCAAGAGACTGAAGTGGGAGGATCACTTGAGCCCAGGACTTCAAGGCTGCAATGTGTAGTCATTATGCCTGTGAATAGCCACTGTGCTCCAGCCTGGGTAACAAAGTGAGATCCCTTCTCTAAAACAAACAAACAAAACTTTGTCCAAGAAATTTCTCTAGATCAGGGGTCCCCAAACTCTGGGCCGTGGACCAGTTCTGGTTCATGGCCTGTTAGGAACTGGGTGGCACAGCATGAGGTGAGCTGCGAGTGAGCATTACCACCTGAGCTCTGTCTCCTGTCAGATCAGCAGCAGCATTAGATTCTCATAGGAGCACAAACCGTATTGTGAACTGCACATGTGAGGGATCTAGGTTGCATGCTCCTTATGAGAACCTAATTAATGACTGATGATCTGAGGTGGAACAGTTTCATTTTGAAACTCCATCACCACCCGCAAATGGTGGAAAAATTATCTTCTAAAAAACCAGTCTCTAGTGCCAAAAAGATTGGGGACTGCAGCTCTAGATGATAAAAGGTGAGAAACACAATCATCACAAGGTTCCTTTAAATAGGTAAGTTTACTTTTTATATCAAGTGTAGACATGGATTTGTCACTACTGATTTCCTTTTTTTTTTTTTTTTTTTTTTTGAGACGGAGTCTCACTCTGTCACCCAGGCTGGAGTGCAGTGGCGCAATCTCGGCTCACTGCAACCTCTGCCTCCCAGGTTTAAGTGATTCTCCTGCCTCAGCCTCCCAAGTAGCTGGGATTACAGGTGTGCACCACCACACATGGCTAATTTTGTATTTTTAGTAGAGACAGGGTTTCACCATGTTGGTCAGGCTGGTCTCAAACTCCTGACCTCAAGTGATCCACCCTCCTCGGCCTCCCAAAGTGCTGGGATTACAGATGTGAGCCACTGCGCCTGGCCTACCACCACTTATTTCTGACTCATGACTAAAGGTAGATATTCTCAGACTCTTCTAGTTCAGCAAACTTATATTTGTGGAATTCATGAACTAAAGGATTCTCTACAATATCTGGTTCTTAGTAGAATTCGAGCTATTAATCACTCAAGGTTAATTCCAGAGAAGTTAAGTCTAATTGTAAAAAATGTACATTTTTACAGCAGTGTTTACAGTAGGATTGGCAGTAGCTGGGGGCCTGCCCAGGAATCTAGGGGTCTTACCTGACTGATCTTCATGCATTTGCAGCTTTCGTATTCCAATTCCTCCTTACTCTCCATTTCCCAGGTTTAACAGGATTTCAGGGGAAAACAGTTCTTACCAGCAATGGTGTCTACCCTGGTTAGTTGGAGACCTAGCTTTAGCAATGGTATTTTTTTTTTTTTTTTTTTTTTTTGAGACGGAATCTCCCTCTGTCCCCCAGGTTGGAGTGCAGTGGCGCGATCTCGGCTCACTGCAAGCTCTGCCTCATGGGTTCACGCCATTCTCCTGCCTCAGCCTCCCGAGTAGCTGGGACTACAGGTGCTCGCCACCACGCCCGGCTAATTTTTTTGTATTTTTAGTAGAGACGGGGTTTCACCGTGTTAGCCAGGATGGTCTCGATCCCCTGACCTTGTGATCCATCCGCCTCAGCCTCCCAAAGTGCTGGGATTACAGGCGTGAGCCACCGTGCCCAGCCAAACATTGGTATTTTTTTTAAAACTGGCTTCCTAAAAAAAGAAAAAGAAAAATTAAGGTAGTTTTGACATTCAGGCTGAAATAAAATGATGATACAGTGCTGTCATGAGCTGAATTTTTAAATGTCATGTATTATGTAGACCAGCTATCCCCAACCTTTTTGGCATCAGGGACCAGTTTTGTGGAAGACAATTTTTCCATGAACAGGGATGGGGGTAAGGGGTGCGAGGGGTGGAGGTTGGAGGAGGGGTGGTAGTGGTGAATGATTTGGGATAAAACTGTTCTACCTCAGATCATCAGGCATTACTTAGATTTTCATGAGGAGCGCGCAACCTAGATCCCTCGCATGTGCAGTTCACAGTAGGGTTCACGGTCCTATGAAAATCTGATGCCTCGGCTGATCCTCACAGGAGGCGGAGCTCGGGCAGGTAATACTCGGTTGCCCGCTGTTCACCTCCTGCTGTGTGGCCAGGTCCCTAACAGGCCACTGACTAGTACTGGTCCACAACCCAGGAGTTGGGGACCCCTGATGCAGACAATCATTCTAGTTTTGTTCTGTGTAGCTCTTATATTCTTAAGCAAAAAATGTCTGGCATTAACTACAATTATTGTGGTACAGTTTGCCCATGGGTGATAGATTGAAAAACATGGCCACCATATTTTGCAGTTCTTCTCATCAACAGGTAGAGAAACTACTCAGTTTTCTACTAGTTCTCCATCTCTTGAACCTGGGTTGACCATTTGACTTGCTTTGACCAATAGAATGTGGTAGAAGTGACAATGTACAAGTTCTAGACACTCAGCTTCATGGTGCTTAAGGGCCCCTAAGGTCACTATGTAAGGAAACTGGTCTAGTCTACTGAAGACAAGACAGCATGGGGGAGAGAACCAAGATGCTACAGCTGATAGCTGGTGCCAACTCCCAGCCCTGTGAGTGAAGCTGTTTGGATCTTCCAGCCCAGCTTAATGCAGCCAACTAAGTGAGCCCAGGCAAGCCCAGCAGAAGAACTGTCCAGCTAACCGTCGAGCATGGGAAGTAAGATATTAGTCAAAGCTAAGCCATGGGGCCAGCCCAAATTCAAGGGAAAGGGAGATGGCCTGTATCCTTTGATATGTGGAACTCAACAGAATTTGCAGTAATTTCCATCCGTCATAGTATCTATGTTTATTTATCTATTGCTTTGTAACTAGCTATCCCAAAGTTTAGTGATTTAAAACAACCACCACCTATCTATCCACAATTCTGCAATTTGTGTTTGCTGGACTTAGGACAGTTCACTGCCTGCAGCTGGGAATTCAAGATAGTTTTACACATATGTCTGGTGTCTCACTGTGATGCCTGGGACATCTGGGGCTTGGCATCTTTCTCTCTGCACGTGCTCTATCCATCTGGGTAGCTGAACCTGTTTCCATGGTGGCTTGGGGTCTCCAAGAGGGCAAACGTGGAAGCTGCCTGGTCTTTTAAGGCCTAGACCCAGAATCTGCACAGTGTCACTTCTGCTGCATTCTGTTTGTCAAAACAAGTCACAAAGCCAGCCCAGATTCAAGAGGAGAGGAAATCAATTTCATGTGACAATGAGGGAGATAGAAAAGATTTTATGCTCATCTTTAATCTACCATAGTTTATTCTTTGGCCATTGATTGTTTGCATTTCTTCTGCATGTGAAATACATTCATATCCTCCCAAGAAGCCCCAGTTAGATCTCTCATTCAATATGGAAGCAGTTCAGTGTTCAGAATCTCACTATCTGTCTCAGGTCTAGATGTGAATTAGACTGCTTGGATGCAGCTTTTTCTCAATCTGGAAGTTTGTGAACTAATAATTCAAGTTATCTGCCACCATCACTGCCCTCGCCCAACCCCAGATATCATAGTGTGAAAGCGATGAGATAACTGTAAGAGATACTCCCATTCCCAAGGGGAGGAGATTGAAGGCACATGGCAGGCACAGATCCTTAGCAATTCTGAAATCCAGCCAGGCACACATTGCCAGTCCCCACGACTCCAGAGGCAGGACTGTTTCTCGATGAAGGCCTGTTTCTGCTCCCTGCAAATGGTTACTTAATTCGCTGTTATTTGGCTGTTGGCTCCATCCTGAGACCGTTTCCCTTTTCCATGACAAATGGTTCATTTTTGCAGCTGAGTAATTCCTCAGTTGGCGTCTCATGGTAAGTTGGGGATCCAGAGGTCTCTCTTCATTTTGAATTGCCTTGGTTCCTTTAGTCTGTGTACAACTTCTTTAAAGAAGTGGGTTTTCTATATATTAAATTATAGCCTATTCCATTAGACAAGTCACACACACATCTACACATCTCTTGGAGCAAGATCTCTATGCTTTGTGAGGTCTTATAACAGGTCTTACAGCCGCACCCTCAATTTAATTTTGTAGACTAAGGTCACATTTTGCCAGCAGCTTCCTGACACCATTTCTTACATTGAGAACCCCTGGGGAGAGAGTTTTATTTTCCGTCCCAGCAATCCATAGTCCAGAACTATTAACTCTAAATTCTCCTTGGAAATGGAATTGCTCTTCCTTTGGTTCATCTCTCCTTCCCATATTTTATCATAGGCAGCTAAAATAAACAAATTAGCCCCTTCGGCATTCAACTTGGAGATTTCCTTTAGCCACATCAAGTTTTCTATCTTCCGTGTAACTGTAGCCATCAGCTTCACTAATTGTTCCACTATCTTGAAACACAGATGACCATCTTTGCGGCCTCTAATAACAATTTCCATGCTGGCTTGCCATGCTTCCATCCTTCCCCATGGCTCAGTCTCAAAATCACCTGTGTTAGGCCGGGCGCGGTGGCTCACGCCTGTAATCCCAGCACTTTGGGAGGCCGAGGCGGGCAGATCACGATGTCAGGAGATCGAGACCATCTTGGCTAACACGGTGAAACCCCGTCTCTACTAAAAATACTAAAAATTAGCCGGGCGCGGTGGCGGGCGCCTGTAATCCCACCTACTCGGGAGGCTGAGGCAGCAGAATGGCATGAACCCGGGAGGCGGAGCTTGTAGTGAGACGAGATAGCGTCACTGCAGTCCGGCCTGGGCGAAAGAGCGAGACTCCGTCTCTAAAAAAAAAAAAAAATCACCTGTGTTAGGCTTCTGTTACAGCAGCACCCCACTTCCAAAGATTAATTTCTGTTTTAGTTTCTGTTTTTAGAAAAAAATCACCCCAAAATGTAATGGCTAAAAATAACTTTTTTCTTCCCTGAGACAGAGTCTCACTCAGTTGCCCAGGCTGGAGTGCAGTGGCGTGATCTGGTCTCACTGCAACCTTGGGCTCCCAGGTTCAAGTGTTTCTCATGCCTCAGCCTCCTGAGTAGCTGGGATTACAGGTGTGTGCCATTTCGCCTGGCTAATTTTTGTGTTTTTTTGTAGAGACAGGGTTTTGCCATGTTGGATAGGCTGGTCTCGAACTCCTGAGCTCAAAGCAATCTGCCTGCCTCGGCCTCCCAAAAGTGTTGGGATTAGAGGCATGAGCCACCGTGCCCCGCCCATGTTTTTAATGTATCATGAATGAACAAATAAATAAATGAATGAATGAAGTAACTAAATATTACTGTAAAGGAATTTATAAGTAAACACATTTACATTTACAGAAGCTATGTTTAAGTTTTAAGCAACTCTTGACTATTAATAACCAGGAATAATTAAAATTTGGAGGGGGAACTGGTCTTAACATTGGATATAGCTTGCTGAAATATTTAAAAATATGATATATTTAGGATTTGCTTCCAAATAATTTGGAGAAGTGGGAAAAATGGGTTGAGGTATAGATGAAATGAGATTGACTTACTATGAGTTGACAATTATTTAAATTGGGCTAAAGCTACATGAAGGCTCATACTCTTCTGTTCATTTTCATACATTTGAAATTTTTATAATAAAAAGTTTAAAAATTACATGTAGAATATTAAGGGACTGAAGCGCATTAGAAGGGTTGTGAATATTTTTTGCAATTATTAATTTATTAACATTCCCACTTTTCCTACTTTTCAAACGAGATTTCTATCTTCATACGATGGAAGGGAGGTATTTTAAAAGATCATCTGGAAACTTCTTTTTTATTATCTTCATTGACTAGTCAACCTGAGCATTATTTCAATGTTTCATTTAACGTGCAGTTGACCCCATTTTAAGATATTCCTGGAACTCTGGATGCATATCAAATTTTTGTAGCGCAAATCATTTCCCAATTGATTTTCATTCCATTTTGAAGACATGCTCTCATACCTCCTGTTGACTTCCCAGTCTGCTAATTATAGCTCAAGGCAGGAGATGGGAAGTGCAGAAGCTCATATAAGCCCTGGCATTTTGCCTTAATCTGAGGCTCAAGGCAGGTATCTGATGCAATGAGTTTTATGTTCTCTGCCTAGATCAAGAAGAAGCCAGGAAGGGCAGGAGTTTGCTCCAGCAGATGCCTTCCTCAAGCTGACAGCTGCTTCGCTGGCTCTGATAATCAGTCTGAGGAGTTGCTCAACTGCTGGTAGAATTCAATGAATAAGGGGCTTTTAATTATTACACATCTTCCATACACATCTTAATGCTGGGGAACATAAAAGAAATATAACTTGGTGCCTGGTATCAAAGAACCTAAAGACTTAAAGGGCCCAGGAACAAGTACAGCATTACAGCATAATCTAATATTCTCTACCCAAGGCAACACTGGATCTAGAAGAAAACCAATATAAGGCTGAGTGTATATCCTGGGCATTTGTTTAAAGAATCAGGACTATGGGCCCAAATCATTTAGTGATAAAGTCCTGCTCCTGAGTGAGCAATGGAATAGATGATGGAGTTGTTTGTGCAGAAGACCAGGCAGCTAGTTTTTGGCAGGCCAGAATGCTGCTCTTACCCTCCTAAATACCCCTAGAGTTATAACTAGGGAAATCCATTCAAGAAGAAATATTTTGTGGCATTTCTGCTCCTGGAGTAGAGACAAGGAGCCAACTGTGAATTTGTTTCAATGGAATTCTCTTTGTTAGGGGATTTGTCCTCATCCACAGTTCATACACACACCGCATAAAATGCTGTCTGATTACAAAAGGTGGTTGGAGAAAGGTCAAGAAATAAGAATGCAGGAGATCTGGTTTCTAGTTCCAAACGTAAAGAGCTTGGAAATTGCAACTTCATCCTATAACAAGTAAATAGCTAAACACATTGAAAAATTAGCTACTATTCTTGGATCCATAGGAGAGATGAAGACACAGGACACACTGCTGCTCCTAAGATTGGAGAGATAAACAGGTGGGTACAGGGAGTCATGGCTTACCAGGCGGAGACTCATGAGTGGAAACCACCACTGGAGCCAGTGCCAAGTTAGGAACACCTGAACTGTAATTGATGAATTGCTGGAGAGTCAGTGTGAACAAAACCTGAGAGTTAAAAATAACTCCAGGGGAACCCAGTCATAGGGGGACCCTCATGCTTTTATGAGTTTTATCTCTAGGAGCTCACCAGGTTATTACAGTAAATACTAGAGAAAAATCTCTTTGTGCTTCCGGGAAGGGATGGGAGGGAAGGAAGCATTTTGAAATATTCCAGAGCGCTCTGTTCTTCTTAACATATTCTGCTCTCAGGAGAAACCATTTAACTAGAGCCTAACCTGCTGGGGCTGCTGGGGTTTTATCAGAACATAACTGAGAAAAGGGACATATCTAACTCCAGTCTACTCCAGACATCGTGTTTCACCTAAGGGCAGGGGTAGAGGGGGAACTGAGAAGTACCTGTGAGGTTCACAGTCCAGAGGCATAGGCTCACCAAAAGACTGAGACCTAATCACAGGACTACACAATGCTTTCCTTTCCCCTGCACCACATCACCACATTATTATTTTATTTATTTATTTTTTTGAGATGAGGTCTCAGTCGCCCAGGCTCGAGTGCAGTGGTGCGATCTCGGATCACTGCAAGCTCCGCCTCCTAGATTCATGCCATTCTCCTGACTAAGCCTCCCTGGTAGCTGGGGCTGCAGGCACCTGCCACCACACCCAGCTAATTTTTTTTTTTTTGTATTTTTAGTGGAGACAGGGTTTCACCATGTTAACCAGGATGGTCTCGATCTCCTGACCTTGTGATCCTCCCACCTCAGCCTCTCAAAGTGCTGGGATTACAGGCATGAGCCACCGTGCCTGGAGCACATCACCACATTAGTAAGGCCTATTTACAGCTGTTCATTTTGCCATTTACATCATATACAGTTATGAAGAAAATAATTACACCAGCCTGGGTAACATGATGAAACCTTCTCTCTACAAAAATTACATAAAATTAGCCAAGCATGGTGGTATGCATCAGTACCTAGCTACTCAGGAGGGTCGCTTGAGCCTGGGTTGTTGAGACTGCAGTGAACCCTCTGGCCTGGGTGACAGAGCAAGACACTGTCTTAAAAAAAGGAAAAGAAGGCTGGGCGCAGTGGCTCATGCCTATAATCCCAGCACTTTGGGAGGCCAAGGCAGGAAGATCACCTGAGGTCAGGAGTTCAAGACCAGCCTAACTAACGTGGTGAAACCCTGTCTCTACCAAAAATACAAAAATTAGCCAGGCATAGTGGCGGGCACCTGTAATTCCAGCTACTCTGGAGGCTGAGGCAGAATAATTGCTTGAACCCAGTAGGCAGAGGTTGCATTGAGCTGAAATCGTGCCATTGCACTCCAGTCTGGGCGACAGAGCAAGACTCTGTCTTAAAAAAAAAAATTATGAGGCATTCTAAAAAGCAAGCAGTACAATTTGAAGAGACAGAGTAAGCATCAGAACCAGACATAACACATAACAGGGATGTTGGAATTAACTTAAAACAACTATGATTAACAGGATAAGGCCTCTAATGGATAAAGTAGGACAACATGCAAGAACAGATGAACAATGTAAGTAGAGAGATGAAAATCCTGAAAAAAAAAAAAAAGAAATGCTAAAGATAAAAAACATTGCAACAGAAATAAAGAATGTCTTTGATGTGCTTATTAGTAGACTGAACATGACAGAAAAGAATCTCTGGGCTTGAGGATATCTCAACAGAAATCTCCAAACCTGAAAATTAAATGGAACAATGAATAATAATAAAAAAGAACAGAATATCTAAGGACTAAAGGACAGCTACAAAGGTATAGCATATATACAAAGGGAAAACTAAAAGGAGAAGAAAGAGAAAAAGAATGGAAGAAATCTGTGAAACAATAATGACTGAGAATTTCCCCAAATTAATGTTAGACACTAACCCACAAATCAAGGAAGCTCAGAGGACACCAAGCAGAATAAATGCCAAAAAAAAAAAAAAAAAAAAAAAAATCCAAGTCCCCAAACAAACACAAATGACAAGTAGGCATATTATTTTCAAACTACAAAAAATCAAAGAAACAAATCCTGGAAAAGCCAGATGGAAAATAAGGTACATATAAAGGAAGAAAAACAAGAATTACATTTGACTTCTCAGAACCGTGCAAGCAAAAAGGGAGCGGAATGAAATATTTAAGGTGTTTAAAGGGAAAAAACCTGCCCATCTAGAATTGTGTACACTGCAAAACTATTCAAAAGTGAAGGAGAGGCTGGGTGCGGTGGCTCACGCCTGTAATCCCAGCACTTTGGGAGGCCTAGGCAGGCGGATCACAAGATCAGGACTTTGAGACCAGCCTGGCTAACACAGTGAAACCCCATCTCTACTAAAAATACAAAAATTAGCCGGGTGTGGTGATGCGTGCCTGTAATCCCAGCTACTCTGGAGGCTGAGGCAGGAGAATTGCTTAAAACCTGGGGGAGGAGGTTGCAGTGAGCTGAGATCGTGCCACTGCACTCCAGCCTGGGCGACACAGCAAGACTCCTTCTCAAAAAAAAATAAAAATAAAAATAAAATAAAAGTGAAGGAAATGTAAATACTTTCTCAGACAAACAAAAATGGAAAGAATTTGTTGCCAGTAGACCTACCTTGAAAGAAATGTTAAAAGAGGTTCTTTAAAGAGGAGAAAAATAATATAGGTCAGACACTTGGATCTACGTAAAGAGCCCTGAAGAGGAATTTGTGAAGATAAAATAAAAACTTTTATTTTTCTTATTCTTAATTGATCTAACAGATAAACAGGGTCTACATAAAGAAAGGAAGTGCATTGAAGAGGAATTTGTGAAGATAAAATAAAAACCTTTATTTTTCTTCTTCTTTATTGACCTAAAATATAAGTTCAAAGTAACAACAATGTATTCAATTATATATACTTATGCATATATTTATATGTATGTGTATCTATATATCTTGAGGAAAAAACAAATATAGGCTAGGCATGGTGGCTCACACCTGTAATCCCAGCACTCTGGGAGGCTGAGGCTGGTAGATCATTTAAGCCCAGGGGTGTGAGACAAGCCTGGGCAACACAGTGAGATTTCGTCTCTAGTGGTGCATGCCTATGGTCCCAGCTACTTGGGAGGCTGAGGTGGAATGTTCAGTTGAGCCTGGGAGGTTGGGACTGCAGCGAGCCATGGTTATGCCACTGTACTGCAGCCTGGGTGACAGAACGAGACTTTGTTTAAAAAACAAAAAACCCAAATATATATATAAACACGTACATATATATGTATATACATACATATACAGGTATATATGTATGTACATACAAGCACTTATATATAAGTGAAATACTGGTACAAGAAATAGGAGGGAGAAATTAGGAATATTTTGTTATTATCAGATACTTCTAATATCTGTGAAGTCATATAGTGTTATTTGAATGCAGCCTTGAATTAGTTGTAAATGTGTATCGCAAACTTGAGGGCAACCACTGAAGGAGCTTAAAAAGAAGTATAGCTAATATGCTAAGAAAGAAGAGAAAAAGGAATCATATAAAATGCTCAATTAAAGCCATAAGAGACAGAAAAAGAGTGAAGGCAAAAATAGGAAGAAAGAACAGGGGCAAAAAATAGAGAATGAAATAAATATGGCAAGTATTAATCCAACTATATCATTGATCACTTTGAATGTCTGTGGTCTAAATGCACCAATTAAAAGACAGAGATTGTTAGAGTGGATCAAAAAATGAGACCCAACTATATGTTTTCTGCAAGAAAACCATATTAAATATAAAGACACATATAGATTAATAGTAAATGGATGAAGTAAAATATGCCATGCCAACATAAATCAAAAGAAATCAGGAGTTACTGTATTAATTTTAAAGCAGATTTCAAAGCAAGGAAAATGATCAGGAATAAAGAAAGACATTGCTTAATGATAAAGGAGTCAGTTGTCCAAGGAGCCATAATAATCTTTAATATGTATGTGCCTAACAACAATTAAACTATGTGAGGCAAAAACTAATAGAACTGCAAGGAGAAATAGATGAATACATTATTGTAGTTGGAGACTTCAGCACTCCTCTATCAGAAGTGAACAGATCCCGCAGGCACCAAATCAGTAAGGACAGAGTAGAACACCATCAATCAACTGGATATAATGAAAATCTGTAGAGCACTTCATCCAACAACAGCAGAATACAGATTCTTCTCAAGCTTACGTAGAACGTTTACCAAGCTAGACCACATTCTGAGTCATAAAACACACCTTAACAAATTTAGAAGAATAGAAATAATACAATGTTTGCTCTTAGACCACAATAGAATTAAACTAGAAATTAAAAAAAAAAGAAAGAAAGAGGCTAGATGAAGTGGTTCACATCTATAAACCCAGCACTTTGGGAGGCTGAGGCAGGCAGCTTGCTTGAAGCCAGGAGTTTAAGACCAGCCTGGGAAATGCAGTGAGACCGCTACAAAAAAATTTAAAAATTAGCCAGGCTCCTATAGTCCCAGCTACTTGGGAGGCTGAGGCAGGAGGATCACTTGATCATCCAGAAGTTTGAGGCTGCAGTGAGCTGTGATCACATCACCGCACTCCAGCCAGGGTGACAGAGCAAGACCCTGTCTAAAAAAAATAGCTGGAAAACCCCAATATATGTATGTGGAGATTAAACAGCATATTTCCAAATAACACATGAGTCAAAAAAGAAACGTGAAGAAATTAAAAAATACTTTGAACTAAATGAAAATAAAAAACACAGCTTATCAAAATTTGTGGGATGCAGCAAAAGCAGTGCTCAGAGGAAATTTATAGTACTGAATGCCTATCTTAGAAAAGAAGAAAGATCTAAATTCAATGATCAAAATTTCCATTTAGAAAACTAGAAGAAAAAGGCAAATTAAATCCAAGTTGAGCATAAAAAATAATAATTGAGAGAAGAAATCAATGAGTTTTTTTTTTTTTAATAGAGATGAGGTCTCACTTTATTGCCCAGGCTGGTCTCAAACTCCTGGGCTCAAGCAATCAACCCACTTTGTGTTTCAAAGTGCTGGGACTACAGGCATGAGCCACTTTTCCTGGCCCAATGACATTGAAAATAGGAAATCAATAGAGAAATCAATGAAACCAAAATCTGGTTCTTTGAAAATATGAGTAAAATTAATAAGCCTCTAGTCAGGCTAAGGAAAAAAAAAGAGTACACAAATGACCAAATATCAGAAATGAAAACGGGAACATTACTACAGATCACATGGCCATTAAAAGAATATAAATATGAACAACTCTATGTTCACAGATTTGATAAGCTACATGAAATGAACCAATTCATTTAATGACACAGTCTGCAAAATTCATACAAGAATAGTCCATCTGAATAGGTCTATCTTTATTAAAGATACTAAATTAATAGTTGATATCAAAGCAACAGGCCCAGATGGGTTCACTGGCAAATGCTACTGCACATTTAAGTAAGAAATGATATCAATTATCTACAATCTCTTTCAGAAGATAGAAGCATAAGGAATACTTCCTAACTTATTTTATGAGGCCAACACTACCCTAATACCACCAGACAAAAACACTGCAAGAAAACTACAGACCAATATCTCTCATTCAAAAATCTTTAACAAAGTATTGGCAAATTCAGTCCAACAATGTATAAAAAGAATTATACATGATGACCAAGTGAGATTTATTCCAGGTATGCCAGGTTGGTTCAACATTTGAAAATCAATTAATGTTATCTATCACATCAACAGGCTAAAGAAGAAAAGTCTCATGATTGTATCAATAAATGCAGAAAAAACATTTGATGAATTATAACACCTATTCATGATAAAAAAAAAAAACTCTGAGTAAACTGGGAATAGAGAGAAGTTCCCCAGCTTGGTAGAGAATCTCTACCAAAATCCTACAGCTAACATCATATTTTATGGTGAGAAACTCAAATGTTTCCCACTAAGATTAGGAACAAGGCAAACAGGGCAAGGATGTCTCCTCTCACCGCTCTTTTTTTTTTTTAATTTAAGTTCTAGGGTACATGTGCACAACGTGCAGGTTTGTTACATATGTATACATGCGCCATGTTGGTGTGCTGCACCCATTAACTCGTCATTTACATTAGGTATATCTCCTAATGCTATCCCTCCCTGCTCTCCCCCACCCCATGACAGGCCCCAGTGTGTGATGTTCCCCTTCCTGTGTCCAAGTGTTCTCATTGTTCAAGTCCCACCTATGAGTGAGAACATGCAGTGTTTGGTATTTTGTCCTTGTGATAGTTTGCTGAGAATGATGGTTTCCAGCTTCATCGATGTCCCTACAAAGGACATAAATTCATCCTTTTTTATGGCTGCATAGTATTCCATGGTGTATATGTGCCACATTTTCTTAATCCAGTCTATCGTTGTTGGACATTTGGGTTGGTTCCAGGTCTTTGCTATTGTGAATAGTGCCGCAATAAACATACGTGTGCATGTGTCTTTATAGCAGCATGATTTATAATCCTTTGGGTATATGCCCAGTAATGGGATGGCTGGGTCAAATGATATTTCTAGTTCTAGATCCCTGAGGAATCGCCACACTGACTTCCACAATGGTTGAACTAGTTTACAGTCCCACCAACAGTGTAAAAGTATTCCTATTTCTCCACATCCTCTCCAGCTCCTGTTGTTTCCTGACTTTTTAATGTTCGCCATTCTAACTGGTGTGAGATGGTATCTCATTGTGGTTTTGATTTGCATTTCTCTGATGGCCAGTGATGATGAGCATTTTTTCGTGTGTTCTTTGGCTGCATAAATGTCTTCTTTTGAGAAGTGTCTGTTCATGTCCTTTGCCCACTTTTTGATGGGGTTGTTTGTTTTTTTCTTGTAAATTTGTTTGAGTTCATTGTAGATTCTGGATATTAGTCCTTTGTCAGATGAGTAGGTTGCAAAAATTTTCTCCTATTTTGTAGGTTGCCTGTTCACTCTGATGGTAGTTTCTTTTGCTGTGCAGAAGCTCTTTAGTTTAATTAGATCCCATTTGTCAATTTTGGCTTTTGTTGCCATTGCTTTTGCTGTTTTAGACATGAAGTCCTTGCCCATGCCTATGTCCTGAATGGTATTGCCTAGGTTTTCTTCTAGGGTTTTTATGGTTTGAGGTCTAACATTTAAGTCTTTAATCCATCTTGAATTAATTTTTGTATAAGGTGTAAGGAAGGGATCCAGTTTCAGCTTTCTACATATGGCTAGCCAGTTTTCCCAGCACCATTTATGAAATAGGGAATCCTTTCCCCATTTCTTGTTTTTGTCAGGTTTGTCAAAGATCAGATGGTTGTAGATATGCAGCGTTATTTCTGAGGGCTCTGTTCTGTTCCATTGATCTATATCTCTGTTTTGGTACCAGTACCATGCTGTTTTGGTTACTGTAGCCTTGTAGTATAGTTTGAAGTCAGGTAGCATGATGCCTCCGGCTTTGTTCTTTTGGTTAGGATTGACTTGGCGATGCAGGCTCTTTTTTGGTTCCATATGAACTTTAAAGTAGTTTTTTCCAATTCTGTGAAGAAAGTCATTGGTAGCTTGATGGGGATGGCATTGAATCTATAAATTACCTTGGGCAGTATGGCCATTTTCATGATATTGATTCTTCCTACCCATGAGCATGGAATGTTCTTCCATTTGTTTGTATCCTCTTTTATTTCCTTGAGCAGTGGTTTGTAGTTCTCCTTGAAGAGGTCCTTCACATCCGTTGTAAGTTGGATTCCTAGGTATTTTATTCTCTTTGAAGCAATTGTGAATGGGAGTTCACTCATGATTTGGCTCTCTGTTTGTGTGTTATTGGTGTATAAGAATGCTTGTGATTTTTGTACATTGATTTTGTATCCTGAGACTTTGCTGAAATTGCTTATCAGCTTAAGGAGATTTTGGGCTGAGACAATGGGGTTTTCTAGATATACAATCATGTCATCTGCAAACAGGGACAATTTGACTTCCTCTTTTCCTAATTGAATACCCTTTATTTCTTTCTCCTGCCTAGTTGCCCTGGCCAGAACTTCCAACACTATGTTGAACAGAAGTGGTGAGAGAGGGCATCCCTGTCTTGTGCCAGTTTTCAAAGGGAATGCTTCTAGTTTTTGCCCATTCAGTATGATATTGGCTGTGGGTTTGTCATAGATAGCTCTTATTATTTTGAGATACGTCCCATCAATACCTGATTTATTGAGAGCTTTTAGCATGAAGGGTTGGTGAATTTTGTCAAAGGCCTTTTCTGCATCTATTGAGATAATCATGTGGTTTTTGTCTTTGGTTCTGTTTATATGCTAGATTACATTTATTGATTTGTGTATGTTGAACCAGCCTTGCATCCCAGGGATGAAGCCCACTTGATCATGGTGGGTAAGCTTTTTGATGTGCTGCTGGATTCGGTTTGCCAGTATTTTATTGAGGATTTTACATCAATGTTCATCAAGGATATTGGTCTAAAATTCTCTTTTTTGGTTGTGTCTCTGCCAGGCTTTGGTATCAGGATGATGCTGGCCTCATAAAATGAGTTAGGGAGGGTTCCCTCTTTTTCTGTTGATTGGAATAGTTTCAGAAGGAATGGTACCAGTTCCTCCTTGTCTCTGGTAGAATATGTGCCACATTTTCTTAATCCAGTCTATCATTGATGGACATTTGGGTTGGTTCCAAGTGTTTACTATTGTGAATAGTGCCGCCATAAACGTACATGTGCCTGTGTCTTTATAACAGCATGATTTATAATCCTTTGGGTATATACCCAGTAATGGGATGGCTGGGTCAAATGGTATTTCTTGTTCTAGATCCTTGAGGAATCGCCACACTGTCTTCCACAATGGTTGAACTAGTTTACAGTCCCACCAACAGTGTAAAAGTGTTCCTATTTCTCCACATCCTCTCCAGCACCTGTTGTTTCCTGACTTTTTAATGATCGCCATTCTAACTGGTGTGAGATGGTATCTCATTGTGGTTTTGATTTACATTTCTCTGATGACCAGTGACATTAAGCATTTTTTCATGTGTCTGTTGGCTGCACATGTCTTATTCTGAGAAGTGTCTGTTCATGTCCTTTGCCCACTTTTTGATGGGGTTGTTTTTTCTTGTAAATTTGTTTGAGTTCATTGTAGATTCTGGATATTAGCCCTTTGTCAGATGAGTAGATTGCAAAAATTTTCTCCCATTCTGTAGGTTGCCTGTTCACTCTGATGGTAGTTTCTTTTGCTGTGCAGAAGCTCTTTTATTAGATCCCATTTGTCAATTTTGGCTGTTCTTGCCATTGCTTTTACTGTTTTAGACATGAAGTCCTTGCCCATGCCTATGTCCTGAATGGCATTGCCTAGGTTTTCTTCTAGGGTTTTTATGGTTTTAGGTCTAATATTTAAGTCTTTAATCCATCTTGAATTAATTTCTGTGTTAGGTGTAAAGAAGGGATCCAGTTTCAGCTTTCTACATATGGCTAGCCAGTTTTCCCAGCACCACTTATTAAATAGGGAATCCTTTCCCCATTTCTTGTTTTTGTCAGGTTTGTCAAAGAGCAGATGGTTGTAGATGTGTGGTATTATTTCTGAGGGCTCTGTTCTGTTCCATTGGTCTATATCTCTGTTTTGGTACCAGCACCGTGGTGTTTTGGTTACTGTAGCCTTGCAGTATAGTTTGAAGTCAGGTAGTGTGATGCCTCCAGCTTTGTTCTTTTGGCTTAGGATTGTCTTGGCAATGTGTGCCCTTTTTTGGTTCCATATGAACTTTAAAATAGTTTTTTTCAATTCTGTGGAGAAAGTCATTGTTAGCTTGATGGGGATAGCATTGAATCTATAAATTACTTTGGGCAGTATGGCCATTTTCACAATATTGATTCTTTCTATGCATGAGCATGGAATATTCTTCCATTTATTTGTGTCCTCTTTTATTTTGTTTAGCAGTGGTTTGTAGTTCTCCTTGAAGAGGTCCTTCACATCCCTTGTAAGTTTCTCACCACTCATTGTTAACATTGTGTTGGAAGTCCTAGCTAATGCAGTAAGACAAAAAAGGGAAATAAAAAGAATACAAATTGAGAAGGAAAAAGTAAAACTTTCTTCACAAATGATATGATCATCCATGAAGAAAATCTGAGAAAATCAACAAACAAAATGTCTGGAATTAATAAGCAACTCTAGCAAGGTTGCAAGATATGAGATAAATATGCAAAGGTCAACTGATTTCATATATATCAGCAATGAATAAGTGGAATTCGAAATTAAAAACACAGCGTTATTTACATAAGTACCCTTCAAAATGAAATGCTTAGGTTTAAATCTAACAAAATATGGGCAAGCCTCTATATGAGGAAAACTACAAAACTGATGAAAGAAGTCAAAGAACTACATAAATGGAGATATGTTCCATGTTCATAGATAGGAAGACTCAATGTTGTCAGGATGTCAGTTTTTCCCAACTGATCTGTAGATTCACTGCAATCCCATCACATTCTCAGCAAGTTATTATTTTGATACTGACAAACTGATAAAATTTATGCGCAGAGGCAAAAGTCCCAGAATATCCAAGACAGTATTGAAGGAGAAGAACAAAGATGGAGGCCTGACAGTACAAGGCTTTAAGTCTTACTCTAAAGCTGTAGTGATGAGGACAATGTGAATTGGTGAAACAATAGGCAAATAAATCAGTGGAACAGAATAGAGAGGCAAGAAATACGCAGAAATATAGTCAACTGGTCTTTGGCAAAGGAACAAAGGCAATACAATGGAGAAAAGATAGTCTGTTTAACAAATGGAGGTGGAACAACTGAATATCCACTGAATTGAGTGGAATATCCACTGAAATGGAGGTGGAACAACTGAATATCCACTGAATTGAGTGGAATGTCCACTGAAATGGAGGTGGAATAACTGAATGCAAAAATATGTAGCTAGACATAGACCTTATGCTCTTCAAAAAATTAACTCAAAGTAGATGACACACCCACATGTAAAATGCTAAACTACAAAACCCCTAGAAGGTAACATAAGAGAAAAACTCTAGATACCTTGGGTTTGGTGATCACTTTTTAGATGTAATACCAAAAGCGCAATCCTTGAAAGAAAGAACGGATAAGTCTGACCTTATTAAAATAAAAAAAAATTCTGTTATCTGAAAAAGATTGTCAAGAGAACGAAAAGGTAAGCCACAAAATGGGAGAAAATATTTGCAAAAGAAAATCTGATAAAGAGTTGTTATCGTCCTTGCCCGCGCCCTCCTGGAGCGAGCAGTTCTCCAAGCACCCAGCATCCAGCCAGACACGCTGCACACCGACGGAGGGGACGTGGGCAGAGCAGTGGTGGCCAGGCTTGGGCTGGGGCTGCTGCTGCTGGCACTGCTCCTACCCACGCAGATTTATTCCAATCAAACAACTGTTGTAACAATTTCAAGTAACTCCTCCCAGAGTACTTCGACTGCCCCAAATCCAGCTACTGCCACCACCAAGGCGGCTGTTGGTGCCCTGCAGTCAACAGCCAGTCTCTTCGTGGTCTTACTCTCTCTTTTTTTTTTTTTTTTTTTTTTTTTTGAGAAGGAGTCTCGCTCTGTCGCCCAGGCTGGAGTGCAGTGGCAGGATCTCGGCTCACTGCAAGCTCCGCCTCCCGGGTTCACGCCATTCTCCTGCCTCAGCCTCCCAAGTAGCTGGGACTACAGGCGCCCGCCACTACGCCCGGCTAATTTTTTGTATTTTTAGTAGAGACGGGGTTTCACCGTTTTAGCCGGGATGGTCTCGATCTCCTGACCTCGTGATCCGCCCGCCTCGGCCTCCCAAAGTGCTGGGATTACAGGCGTGAGCCACCGCGCCCGGCCTTACTCTCTCTTCTACATCTCTCCTCTTAAGAGACTCAGGCCAAGAAACATCTTCTAAACTTCCCCATCTTCTAAACCCAATCCAAATGGCGTCTGGAAGTCCAGTGTGGCAAGGAAAAACAGTTATTCATCGAATCTACTAATTCCATTCCTTTTATTGACACAGAAAATGTTGAGAATCCCAAATTTGATTGATTTGAAGAACATGTGAGAGGTTTGACTAGATGATGCATGCCAATATTAAATCTGCTGGAGTTTCATGTACAAGTTGAAGGAGAGGCAACATCCAAAATAGTTAAGACATGATTTCCTTGAATGTGGCTTGATAAATATGGACACTTAATACTACCTTGAAAATAAGAATAGACTGAGACTATTATGTATATAATGTGGGGTAAAGATATTGAGTAAATTATGGGATATGCTAATTACATCTTCCTTTGACTCTGAAAATCAGTATTCTTGATGCAGAAGAAAGGAGATATACATGTAACATAAGAGGTTAAGTAAAAACTTCTAATTTTCAAATTGAATTGGAAATGACAATATGATTCCTGAAGTATTTTATCTTAATATACACAAATAAAAATAAATTTATTAAATCTAAAAAAAAAAGAAAATAAGAATAGAAATAAAGGATGTGATGGTGGAATGGAGATTCAGTTTTCATTTGGTTCATTAATTCTATAATGCCATAAAACAGGTAATATAAAAAGCTTCCATGATTCTATTTATAAGTACATTAGAAGGAACTTTCAGGTGTTACTGTAATTCCTCAACGTATTGTTTCGACAGCACTAATTTAATGCCGATGTATTCTAGATGAAGTTTTACATTGTTGAGCTATCACTGTTCTCTTGGGAACTGAACTCACTTTCCTCTTGAGACTTTGGATTTGACATTGCATTTGACCTTTTATGTAGTAATTGACATGTGCCAGGGCAATGATGAATGAGAATCTACCCCCAGATACAAGCATTCTCAGCAACTCTTGATTATCCATATAGAGTCAAATGGTAGGCATTTCCTATCACCTATTTCCGTTCAACAAGAGCACTACATTCATTTAGTTAAACGGATTCCAAAGAGTAGAATTGCATTGACCACGACTAATTTCAAAATGCTTTTTATTATTATTATTATTATTATTATTATTTTTTAGACAGAGTCTCACTTTGTCGCCCAGGCTGGAGTGCAGTGGTGCAATCTCAGCTCAGTATACCCTCTGCCTCCCAGGCTCAAGCAATTCTCCTGCCTCAGCCTCCCAAGTAGCTGGGATTTTACAGACACCCGACACCATGCCCAGCTAATTTTTGTAATTTTACTAGAGATAGGGTTTCACCATGTTGCTCAGGCTGGTTTCAAACTCCTGACCTCAGGTGATCCGCCTGCCTCGGCCTCCCAAAGTGCTGGGATTACAGGCTTGAGCCCCTGCACCCGGCCATCAAAATGCTTTTTATTTCTGCATATGTTGAATACTTTTTACAATTTAAAAAAAGATCTGTTTTGAAGGCAAAATTACAAATCTTGAAATTAAAAAGGCAAAAATGTAAAGGAGTCAAAACTGTAAATCAAGTATTTGGGAAGTGAAGACTGGAAGCTAATTTGCATTAAATTCACAAAAACTTTTATAGTCTTTCTGTATATACTTTTTTTTTCCTTAAAAAACAACTATGAATCAGAATAGCTATATTTGGAACACTTTTTGTTATCAGTGAATATTTTTAGATAGTTAGAACCTGGTCCTAAGCCTAAAAGTGGGCTTGATTCTGCAGTAAATCTTTTACAACTGCCTCGACACACAGAAACCTTTTTAAAAACAGACACTCCCCGAAGTCTTTCGTTCGCATGGTCACACACTGATGCTTAGATGTTCCGGTAATCTAATGTGGCCACAGTAGTTTGATGACCAAAGTCATTTTTTTCCATCATTAGAAAACTACCTGAGAACAAACAGATTGAACAGATCTGAAGCTACTGTGTCTGTGAAGGAACACTCTTTTGCTTTATTCCAGAATGCTATACATCTATTTTGGATTGTATATTGTGTTTGTATATTTATGCTTTGATTCATAGTAACTTCTTATGTTATGGAATTGATTTGCATTGAGCACAAACTGTAAATAAAAAGAAAGAAATGGCAAAAAAAAAGAGTTGTTATCCAAAATATACAAAAAAAAAAAAAAAAAAACCCCTCTTAAAACTCCACAGTAAAAACACAAACAACCTGATTAAAAAATGTGCCAGGCCAGGTGCAGAGGCTCACACCTGTAATCCCAGCACTTTGGGAGGCCGAGATCGGCAGATATGTTGAGCCCAGGAATTCAAGACTAGCCTGGGCAACATAGGGAAACCCCGTCTCTACAGAAAATTAGCTGGGCATAATGGCACACACCTGTAATCCCAGCTACTTGGGGGACTAAGGTGGGAGGCTGGCTTGAACTCAAAGGTTGAGGCAGCAGTGAGCCAAGGTTGTGCCACTGCACTGCACTCCAGCCTAGGCAACAGAGTGAGACCCTGTCTCAAAAATAAAAAATGTTCCAAAGACCTTTACAGATACATCACCAAAGAAGAAATACAGATGGTAAATAAGCATATGAAAAGATGCTCTACATCATATGTCATTATGAAAATGCAGATTAAAACAACAATGAGCTATCTCTACACGCCTACTAAAATGGCCAAAATCTTGAACACTGACAACACCAAATGTTGACAGGAATGTGAAATGACAGGAACTCTCATTTCTTGCTGGTGGGAATGCAAAATGGTACAGCCACTTTGGAGGACAATTTGGCTGTTTCTTAAAAAATGAAACATATTCTTACTATACAGTCTAATTGGGCTTCTTGGTATTTACCCAAAGAAGCTGAAAACTTATGTCCACACAAAACCAGCACACGAATGTTCATACCAGCTTTATACATAATTGCAAAAACGTGGAAGTAATCAAGATGTTCTTTAGTAGTGAATGGAAAAATAAACGGTGGCACATCCAGACAATGGAATATGATTCAGTGCTAGAATAAATAAGCTGTCAAGCCATGAAAAGACATGGAGGAACCTTAAATGCATATTACTAAGTGAAAGAAGCCAATATAAAAAGGTTACATGCTGTTTGATTCCAACTGTATGACATCCTGGAACAGGCAAAACAATGAAGACAATAAGAAGATTAGTGGTTGCCTGCCAGTGGCTGGTGGGAGGATATGGGAGGAATGAATGGGCAGAACACAGAGGATTTTTAAGGCAGCGAAAATACTCTGTATGATGCTATAATGATGGATACATGTCTTTATACATTTGTCCAAACCCATAGAATGTACAACAGCAAGAGTGAACCCTAGTAAACTGTGAATTTTGGGTGATCATGATGTGTCCATGTAAGTTCAACAGTTATAATAAAGATACCACGTTAGTGGGGAATGTTTGTTGATAATGGGGGAGGCTATGCATGTGTGGGTGTAGGGGGTATATGGGAAATCTCTGTCTTCTGTAGATTTTGCTATGAACCTAAAACTGCTCTTAAAAAATAAAATATATGTATATATATATATTTTTTTTGACATGGTCTTTTTTTGAGATGGTCTTTTTTTTTTTTTTTTTTTTTTGAGACAGTCTTGCTCTGTCACCCAGGCTGGAGTGCAGTGGCGTGATCCCAGCTCACTGCAACCTCTGTCTCTTGGGGTCAAGCATTTCTCCTGCCTCAGCCTCCCTAGTAGCTGGGATTACAGGTGCACGCCACCACGCCCAGCTAATTTTTTTTTTTGTATTTTTAGTAGAGATGGGGTTTCACCACGTTGGCCAGACTGGTCTTGAACTCCTGATCTCAGGTGATCCACCTGTCTCTGCCTCCCAAAGTACTGGGGATTACAGGCATGAGCCACCATGGCTGGCCAAGAAATAAAATCTTTTGAAAAAAGTCAGCGTCAGTGAAAAAATAAATGAATAAATTCTACAAAAAAAAAAAAAAAAAAAAAAGAAAAGAAAGAGAAATGTGTGGAGGGGAGAAACCTAGGGTAAGGGAAGCCTATCAGTGTAGGGTGCTTTCTGCTGCAAGTGGTAGTGAACTGTAAGTGTAGATTGTTTCATATAGTCTAACCTCCCCACGTTCTTAGGGATGCCCTGAAAAAGCACTGAGTGAGAGACCGAGCAGCTTGAATATTGGCCTTGACTCATTACTTTCCTCACCTTTCCAAATCCCATTTCCCCATCCGAAGACAGAAGGGTATAGCCTAACTTCCGTAAGGTATAACCAGGTTCTAAAAGTCCAGAAATCAATACAGGCTGAGATGAAAATTTGTAGAATGTTGCAGAGGGACTTAGGAGAAATTTTGTATTTAGGGCCGATGGATAACCTAGGCCTCTTGTGGGTGGGTAAGGGTTCATCCAGAAGCGGGAGAAACTAGTTCCTTACTTTGCAATTAAGTTCAAAGCCTCAAATTGACCTTGGCTTTTTGCAATAGGCTAAAGGAAGTTATCTCCATAGTGTTCAATGACTATTTGTCTCCTGCCCTCTTCCTAAGGCGAATCCTTCCTTCCATGTGGAAGACCACCCCACACAGAGAAAACAGTGATGCACTTCTGATTTACAAATGCAAACACAGGCCTACTTCAAGACTTCCTTTAAAAGGTTTATTTAAAAAAATGTAAAAATACATTTGCATAGCATAATTTTACAAAGACTGTAGTAGACTGCAGTCACCAAATTAAAAATAAAAATATTATTTGCTTATTGAAATTAAGTTTGATTTGAGGCTGTTTCCATTTACAGACTCACATATCAAAATAGTAGCTTAATCAAAGATTAGTTTAATGCAAATATTTGGCATCCTACCAGAAATACCATAAGGCTATTGTCAAATCAGTTAAATTTCTGTTACAAGCAGCAAGGGTGGCCATCTGCTGTGGTTGGCAAAGAAATTAACATATTTCAAGATGCAAACACATCTCAGCCTCCCCTTACAGATCTCTAAGCAGGCGTCTTGGCTATATACAATTTGGGTCTGATATCTAGTCTTTAAACTGATATCCAATGTCTTTAGGCCAGAGATATCAGATAACGAATGTTTTATTTATTTGCTATTATGAAGGACAACAATTTCTTAGCTTAATGTTATGTGCCTTCTTGAGAAAACCTGTCTGAGAATCATTAACATTAATTCAATTCAGCAAACGAGGATTGTGCCCTTGCTATAAACAAGTCATTGGGCTTTGTGCTTTGATGGACACAATGAAAGGGGCCTTTAAGGAGCTTCTGGTTTAATGGGGGACGTGGATACATACGTATTTGCCCGTACAAGGCAAAATACTATCATAGAAGCCTGAATCAAGTGCCACCAGAGTCTTCTTGCTCTAGGCAGGGATTGGCAAGGGCTTCCCCTCAGATGGCATTTGTGGATTTTGAAGGAAAAGTATTTTTTAAAGAGCAGGGGACAGCCTGTGTGAGTCTGAGAGGCATAGCATTATGTGCTTTATTCAGGAAACAGCAAGTCGTTCTGTTTGGCTAGGTAGAAGACATTTTCTAAGATGAGGCTCACAAAGTTGTTGGGGAACAGAGTGGGATTTATTATGTTTGGCCTGACTTTGACTCCCCTTCTTCTGGAGACAGCACCCTGATTTTCCTTTAGGGGAACTATGCCTGCCCTCTTCTCAGCTCACATGACTTGAAGGAATCGATTGTGCATTGCTGTAAATACCCTCCAAAGGGGCTTGGATTTTGAGTTACATCTTCTAAATGGGAATCATAACAAAGCTGCTTTTTAATGAAAAAAATGTTCAAATGTATATAGACAGAAATAAAAAACAATACAAAATCCCAATTAATCCCCATAAACCCATTCCCAGATTAAACAATTAGCAAGATTTTATAAGACATTCTTCCTCTCTCCTCCCCTCTCTCTCTTATCAAAGTATTTCAGAGTAAATCCTGGACAGCCCGTGTTTTTCCCCTTCCATATATTTCAGTATGCATCTCTAAAAATTATGGACATTTTCTCACAAACAAAATACCATTATTAACCTAATGATTCCTTGGTATCAGTGAATAAGCCAGTCCTTATTCAAATTTCCTGATTACCTCGAAATTGTCTTTTTAAGCTGGATTGTTTAAATCATGTTCTAAACAAGGTCCACACATATCGTGTAGCTTTTATAACTCTTAAATCTATCTTAATCCAGAGCAGCCCTCCTCATCCCACTTTTCTTCCTTTATGCCATTGATTTATTGAAGGAAGCATGTCAGTTATCCCCTAGAATACTACCAAATATGAATTGGTTTGGTTCCTCCCCTGGGGTGTTATTTAAATTTTCCCTTTATTTCTTGTAAATTAAAATTACTCAATGCCTGCTTGTTTCACACTTAGTAATGCTAATGCACACTGTAAAATTTTCTATCCACCTATTGGTTTCATCCATTGATAGTCTTTGCCTGAATTGTCTATTTCATTGGGTCTCACAAAGTGGTGATTTTCTAATTTTGTCATTCTCTTCACACTTACTACCTGGAACTTTTTTTATTGTTAATTTTTATGGATATATAGTATTTGTACGTATTTATGGAGTATATGTGAGATTTTGATATAAGCGTACAGTGTGTCATGATCAAATCTGGGTAATTGGTGTGTCCATCACCCCAAGCATTTATCATTTCTTTTTGTTAGGAACATTCCAATTATTTTAGTTATATTGAAATATACACTAAATTATTGTTTTTATCTTGTTTTTTTGAGGCTGGGTTTCACTTTGTCACCCAGGCTAGAGTGCAGTAGTGCGATCATAGTTCACTGTAGCCTCGAACTCCTGGGCTTAAGTGATCCTCCCGCCTCAGCCACCCAAATAGCTAGGACTACAGGCACATGTTACCATGCTCAACCAATTTTTAAAATTTTTTTCTAGAGACAGTATCTCGCTATGTTGCCCAGGCTGGTCTCAAACTCCTGGGCTCAAAGGACCTTCCCACCACACAGCGTCCCAAAGTGTTGGGATTATATGCATGAGCCATGGTGTGCGGCCTTGGAATCTTTCATTAAAGAAAAATTTCCCTGTGTCAAAGTATTTGGTTATCCTAAAAACAGTTGATATAGAGAAAAGGCAAATTTTCTAATAATTGCCCATTTCTAGGATACCACTTCTCTTTTTAAAAATAACCTTTCAAAACGGCAAAATGTAACAGATAGAAAAAGCCACATAGAACAAATTACCTTAACAAATTATTGTAAGCAAACACCCTTGTGACCACCATCTAGGTGAGGGAACAGCACTGTGGTAGCCACCCCAGAAGCCCTCTGTGTGTCCATTTATTCTTTTATGGTAATCATTTATTTGCTTTTCTTCATGATTTGATCAATCAAGTGTGCATCCATAAACATTTTAGTTTGGTTTCACCTATTTAATATGAAATTTCACATAACTTTTAGTTAATTAATTAGTTTTTTTATTTGGGACACAGTCTCACTCTGTCACCCAGGCTGGAGTGCAGTGGTGCAATCTCAGCTCACTGCAACCTCCGCCTCCCGGGTTCAAGTGATTCTTCTGCCTCAGCCTCCCAAGTAGCCGGGACTAGAGGTGCGTGCCATCACTCCCAGCTAATTTGTTGTATTTTTAGTAGAGACGGGGTTTCACCGTGTTAGCCAGGATGGTCTCGATCTCCTGACCTTGTGATTCGCCCACCTCGGCCTCCCAAAGTGTTGGGATTACAGGCGTGAGCCACTGCACCCGGCCCACATAACTTTTTAAGTGTCTTTTAATCTACAGGTTCCTCTTCCATTGCGTTTCATTTTCTTGAAATTGGACTGTTTGCTCTGTAGAGTTTCTCAGACTCTGATTTTACTAATTGTACCCCCATGATACAGTGCATCCTTTTTGTTTTGTTTTGTTTTGTTTTGAGACAGAGTCTTGGTCTGTCACCCAGGCTGGAGTACAGTGGCATGATCTTGGCTCACTGCAGCCTTGATCACTGCTTGTGGTTTTGATTTGCATTTCTGTCATAACCAGTGATGATGAGCATTTTTTCATTTGTCTGTTGGCTGCATAGATGTCTTCTTTTGAGAAGTGTCTGTTCATATCCTTTGCCCACTTTTTGATGGGGTTGCTTGTTTTTTTCTTGTAAATTTGTTTGAGTTCTTTGTAGATTCTGGTTATTAGCCCTTTGTCAGATGGATAGATTGCAAAAATATTCTCCCATTCTGTAGGTTGCTTGTTCACTCTGATGATAATTCCTTTTGCTGTGCAGAAGCTCTTTAGTTTAATTAGATCTCATTTGTCAATTTTGGCTTTTGTTGCCATTGCTTTTGGTGTTTTAGACCTGAAGTCTTTGCCTGTAATGTTAGTAGGTTGGCACAAAAGTAATTGCGGTTGAGCTGGGTGCAATGGCTCACACCTGTAATCCCAGCACTTTGGGAGGCTGAGGCGGGTGGATCATCAGAGGTCAAGAGTTTGAGACCAGCCTGGCCAACATGGTGAAACCCCATCTCTACTGAAAAACACACAAAAATTAGCCGGGGTTGGTGGCACACACCTGTAATCCCAGCTACTCGGGAGGCTGAGGCAGGAGAATTGCTTGAACTGGAGGGACAGAGGTTTGCAGTGAGCCAAGATTGCACCACTGCACTCCAGCCTGGGCAACAAAGTGAGACTCTGTCTCAAAAAAAAAAAAAAAAAAGTAATTGTGGTTTTTGCCATTACACTCAATGGCATTATGTCATTCCTTCCTCATTCATTAGATAGAATATTTCTTTTCCTTTTCTTTTCTTTTCTTTTCTTTTTTTCTTTCTTTTTTTGAGACAGAATCTTGCTCTTGTCACCCAGGCTGGAGTGCAATGGTGCGATCTTGGCTCACTGCAACCTCCGCCTCCCAGGTTCAAGCAATTCTCCTGCCTCAGCCGCCGAGTAGCTGGGGTTACAGGTGCACACCAACACGCCCAGCTAATTTTTGTATTTTTTATTAGAGACGGGGTTTCACCATGCTGACCAGGCTGGTCTTGAACTTCTGGCCTCAAGTAATCTACCCATCTCGGCCTCCCAAAGTGCTGGGATGCTAGAATATTTATAACTAGAGCATCCCCCCTTATCTATTATTTCGTTATCCAGTGGTCCAGCTCACAAAGGAAAGGCAGGATAAATATTTGTTTCTTTCTCTTTATCAATTAAAATAAGTTGGTTACCTATCATCCTCAAAAGGTGAGCAGTTAATTTTTTAGGATCATTAAAACTCATAGACTTAAACATATTTTAAGTGTTTTGATCTGCTGAAGTTATCATCCTTATTGAGCTTACATTGTCCCATCTGTGTCCAGTGGCAGCTTCTGCAAGTTGGCTCTTGAGTCTTTTTGACATGACCTCTATAGTCTTTGGAAGCTTCCTTGCTATTGTACACCAAGATGTTCCATGAGTTCATGCTGATACTTGGAATTCAAAGTCAGGACTGCAGAGTTTTTACTTAAAACTTCTTTCTTACACAGGCATAGCCTTTCTTCTGAGAGTCCAGGTTCTCAGGGACCTAAGAAATATAAAACTAGAATATCACACAATTAGTTTGCATTGTCTTACATTACATATACAACAGTCTCAGTGAAATCACCTATTTTATCAACACACATCTTATTGAAAAAGTTAAAAAATTATTTGCATAGGCACTTTCCACGTTCTTTAGTTGTATGTACATTTTCAGATGATGTGTCCAGTACATAGTATATACTCTCTCCTCTTTAACCTCATGTAGTCTTAGTTTTACAATAGGTATTTAATGCTCAATGCCAGTCCTTAGGTTGACTTCTCTCTAGTCATTTGGATGTCCAAAATTTGTTGTCTAGAAAATTCCTAGGAAATGTGCAAGAAAACAATATAGAATGCCTGTGTCTCACAGTGTTTCCCACAGAGGATGGTGTCAAACTTAGATTTTCGCCAACCTAAGTGAGAAGTGGTATCTTGGTGTAGTTTTAATTGTATTTCTCTTATTATGAGTCAGACTGAACATTTTTTTTTTTCATGTCTAAGTGTTACTGGAAAGGAGTCCTGATCCAGACCCCAAGAGAGGGCTCGTGAAAGAAAGAATTAGGGGTGAGTCCATAGGGTAAAGTGAAAGTAAGTTTATTGAAGTAAAGAAAGAATAGCACTCCATAGACAGAGCAGGGTATTCCCAAAAGCAAGAGGAGGAACATGTTCGCCTTAGGTGCCATGCTTGTTTGTACATAAGATAACAAAGCAAAAAATCATGGGGAGATGTATTCTACTACAAGGGTTTGTCACAAAAGATTGCTAATCTTTGTATAACTGCTGTCTTCTGCGATAATCTATATTATTATGTTGAAAGCAAAACTTATTCTTAAACTAAAAGTGCTTTTGTTTTTAAGATATTGGGACACCAGGACATTTCCTGGGTCTGTTATATCCTGGGTCTGTTAAGTCCTGGGTCAATTCAGTAAACATTATTAACGTGTTCCTTTAACATTATTAACCTATTTCTTTTAACCGTAAACATCCTTTGGCTATGAATGGCTAACCTGTTGGGAATGTGGCCCAGCAGGTCTCAGCTTCATTTTACCCAGCCAGTCCATGTTCAAGATGGAGTTGCTCTGGTTTGAACACCTCTTACACAATGACCATTTCTTTTTCTGTGAGCTCTCTGTTAATATCCTTTACCCATTTTTCTATTAGATTTTGGCCTTCTGCCTCCCACCATTTTAGGACTTCTTTCCATATTAGGGATATTACCCCTAATACGAATATAAAGGGGTATGTATGTGATATAAGTTGCAATATCTCTTCCTAGTTTGTCATTTGTTGCCTGACATTACTTATAGGGCCTTTTTGCCATGTGACGCTATATGTAATACCTTGTTGGGCTAGCTCTTCAGACACTCCTTTCTTTTCGGATTTTTTGGGCTATACTTATCTGTGTTCTCATTTTAAATGTATATCCAATTTTCCAAGCTCTAGAAAAGAATTGGCATTTTTGTGGGAATCATGTTAAATGTATTAATTAACTTACGGGGCATTGATGTCTTTACGATGTTGACTCTTCTCATCTAAGTACGTTTTCCTGTTCCATTTGCTCTGGTCTACCTTGGACCTTTCAGTGAAAGAGGCTTTTGTTTTTTTTGAGACGGAGTCTCACTCTGTCGCCCAGGCTAGAGTGTGATGGCATGATCTTGGCTCACTGCAGCCTCCGCCTCCCGAGTTCAATTGATTCTCCTGGCTCAGCCTCCTGAGTAGCTGGGATTACAGGCGCCCACCACTGTGCCCGGCTAATTTTTATAATTTTAGTAGAGACGGGGTTTCACCATGTCGGCCAGGCTGGTCTCTAACTCCTGACCTCATGTGATCCACCTGCCTCGGCCTCCCAAAGTGCTGGGATTACAGGTGTGAAACATTGTACCCAGCCAGTAGAAGTGTTTTAAAGGTGTTCTTTATATAAATTTTATATATTTCTTAAGTTCATGCTTGGATATTTTATCTTTTTTGTTATTAGCATAAAAAGGGTCTTCTCGACAGTGTGGTGATTACTCAAGGATCTAGAACTAGAAATATCATTTAACCCAGCCATCCCATTACTGGGCATATACCCAAAGGACTATAAATCATGCTGCTATAAAGACACATGCACACGTATGTTTACTGTAGCACTATTCACGATAGCAAAGACTTGGAACCAACCCAAATGTCCATCAATGATAGACTGGATTAAGAAAATGTGGCACATATACACCATGGAATACTATGCAGCTATAAAAAATGACGAGTTCATGTCCTTTGTAGGGACATGGATGAAGCTGGAAACCATCATTCTCAGCAAACTATCTCAAGGACAGAAAACCAAACACCGCATGTTCTGACTTATAGGCGGGACTTGAACAATGAGAACACTTGGACACAGGGTGGGGAACATCACACACTGGGGCCTGTCGTGGGGTGGCAGAAGGAGGGAGGGATAGCATTAGGAGATATACCTGATATAGATGACAAGTTAATGGGTGCAGCACACCAACATGACACATGTATACATATGTAACAAACCTGCACGTTGTGCACATGTACCATAGAATTTAAAGTATAATAATGATAAAAAATAATAATAAAGGATCTTCTCTTGCGTTGTATCTTCTAACTAGTTATTGCTTATATCTATGAAGGCTATTGACTTCTGAATATCAAAGGCTTTTGAGTTAAGGACTACTATGATGGCATTGTACAGAAATTATTACAGAAGTTATAAATAATTTGGTATTTCAAATGAGAAATTCATCCATCAACCAAGGCAGGGTCAGGAAGGAAAGGAAGAAACAAATAGATATGTATTTCAAAGGTATGGGACTTAGAAACTCATTTGATGTTGAGGAAAGGGTGAAGGAAAGGGCATGTGAGTTTTCTTTTTTCTTTTTTTTCTGTTACCCAGGCTGGAGTGCAGTGGTGTGATTTTGGCTCACTGCAACCTCAGCCTCCTGGGTTCAAGTGATTCTCCTGCCTCAGCCTCCCAAGTAGCTGGGATTACAGGCGCCCACCACCATGCCTGGCTAATTTTTGTATTTTTAGTAGAGATGGGTTTTTGCCATGTTGGCCAGGCTGGTCTCAAACCCCTGGCCTCAAGTGATCCACCCACCTCAGCCTCCCAAAGTGCTGGGATTACAGGCGTGAGCCAGCATGCCTGGCTGTGTGAGCTTTCAACTGGTAACTGCAGTGATAACATTGTTAACAGAAAATAGGAAGCGGAGAAGGTTGGAGAAAAAGAGAAGGTGTGTCAGTTTGGGCATTTAGATTTTAAGACTGGAAGTAAATAGAGAGGTCAAATGTGAAAATTTAGATTTGGAGGCCATCAATAGAGCTGTAGGAGTTTCTGAAATGACTAGGGAGAGAAAGTAGAATAATAAGAGAAGAACCAATGACAGAATGTCAAAGAATTTTTATATTTAAATAATAGGTAGAGGAAGCTGGTCCCTGAAAGAGTCCAAGAATGAAGGATCTGAGAGGTAGAAGGTGAATGAGAATACAAAGTCATAGAAACCAAACGAACAGGGACTTGGCTTATCAATTATGAAATTACCAGTACTTCTTAAGGCAGCAATCTCAGAACTGTTATGAAGATGAGCTAAGACTATGAAGGATTCAGTAAAGAGATATGTTAACTAGGAATGGGTTTGTGGTAGGAAATTTATACTGTGTGTTTCAAACACGTGAAGTCCAAATACAAGAGATCTCGTGATTCAAATAATCTATGTTAAACAAATATGCTCAGATATAGCTTGGCTTAAATTAAAATGGTTACTAACACTTATTTCTTGTTTATTGCCATTAATTCAAAGTTCAGTGCCTTTCTGAATATGGATTTATACTTTACCTTCTGACACATGTGTATGTGGTGGGGGTAGAAGGAGGCTTCAGGTAAAATATAACATTTAAGTGCTAAAAAGGACAATAATTTTTCCCACTCTCAGATAAATGTCTGTTCTTTCACACAGGTATTTATGATAATGATAACCTCTTAGACTTAGGGTTTACAACATATTGTCATATTTCACAGAGACTCACAAGATTCTGGGAAGTAACTAGGACAGGGATCATTATTTCTTAAAGTGCAGAGACGGTAGAAGAATGATAGAACCGGGTCCAGATCTAAGATGTTCTTGACTCCTAGCCTATAGGCATATGTTATGAGTCAGGGTGGAGTGTAGAAAATGTTTATTCTAGGTATTTTAAACAGAAAAGGATTTAATGCAGAGGTTTAAGTGCTTATAAATACAGTTGGCCCTTCATACCATAGGTTCCTCATCTGTAGATTGAACCAACCACAGATTGAAAATATTTGGGATAAAAAGCCAATAAATAATACAACAAGAAAAATATACCAATAAAAATAATAAAGTATAACCACTATTTACATAGTATTTACACTGCATTTTTTTTTTTTTTGAGATGGAATCTTTCTTTGTTGCCCAGGCTGGAGTGCAGTGATGCGATCTTGGCTCACTGCAACCTCCGCCTCCTGGGTACGAGCAATTCTCCAGCCTCAGCCTCCCAAGTAGCTGGGATTACAGGAGTGCACCACCATGCCTGGCTAATTTTTGTATTTTTAGTTGAGACAGGGTTTCCTCATGTTGGCCGAGCTGGTCTCGAACTCCTGACCTCAAGTGATCCACCTGCCTCAGCCTCCTAAAGTGCTGGGATTACAGGCCTGAGCCACCGTGCCTGGCTTGCATTAGGTTTTATAAGTAATCTATAGATGACTTAAAGTATACAGGAGGATGTGCATAGGCTATATGCAAATGCTATGCCATTTGCCATTTTATGTAAGGGACTGGAGCATCTGCAGATTTCATTATCCCTAGGGATCCTGGAACCAATCCCTGCCCAGATACTGAGGGACAACTGTAAGTGGAAAAACAGGCTTTAGACTACCTCCAGAAATGACTCCTGGAACAATATGGTTGAGCTGATTATCAGGGGAATCACCCATGTGTTTGTCTCTGAAATTACTGCAGAGAGCAGGAAGCCACACTAGGAAGTTGCTGATACTGTTGGTACCATCACTGCACCACTTGACCACCTCTAGACATTCACAAAATTGGTGATTTGGCACTGGAACATGGACCTTCAAACCTAAGAATCACAAGAATAGACTTTAGAACACTGCTGCTAAGAAACTCTCCATGAGCTTGCTTGCAAGAAAAAGTCACCAAAAAGAAGTAGGAAGATGGATTCTGCTTCAATTTTTTTCCTTCAGATCTTTCAATAACAAATCTAATAGATGAAATGTAATTCATATTCACAACTTAGCTGTGAGGAAGTCTAGAAAATGTGGTTTTTTGGCTTTCCTGCCCCTTCATACAAGGAGGAAGCTGGAACAGAAATTGAGCAAGCCAATCTACATTTGCCACAGCAAACTTAGTGTGTGTTCATTCAAAATGTTGGCAAAAATAATGAACAGGCCAGAACCATGTGGCACAGCACTAGAAATGGTTGCCAGATGGATATCATTACTAATATTCAAGTAAGTTTGAATGGTTATAATTGGTCACGGTTATAACTGGCAGAGCTGAGACTTAAACCTAGGTCTGACCAGAATGCTATATTGCCTTTCAATTTGATCAGCAGCTCAGAATTCATCTACTCTTATTTCTGTCTCCCCCAATCCCCAAAGCTATGAAAGGGTATTTTTCTAGGATCCTCTCCTGATTTACCAATCCCAATGAAAATGAGATGCAGTTTGCCATTGGGGCATCCATGATGTTTTTGGCAATCACCATGTGACTCTAACATTCCCTACTCCTGCTTAAAGCTATGTTGGCTAGAATTTGGATTTGTGTTGAGTGACAGAGACTCAAAATAAGACTCAAAATAAATGTGAGTTAAACCAGAAAGACATTTATTTCTCTCATGTAAAACACATCCAGAGGTAAGCAGTCAGGACTAGTTGGGCATCTTCCCTTCCAAAGTCATCATGCCCTGGGCTCCTTGTATCTTGTTGCTCAATCATCCTCAGCATGTGTCTTTAACATGAAGTCCAGGAGGGCTGCTTGAGTTCTAGCCATCACATTTGCATTCCAGCCAGCAGAGAGGAAGGACAAGAACACTGCAAAGAAGTAGCACCCAAACCTTTTGGTTACATCTCTTTGAGTACTTGGTAAGTGTCTCCACTTAACTGCAAGGGAAGTTGGCAGATGCAGCCTTTTGGTCAGATGGCTGTGTGCTCAGCTAAAAATCAAGGACTTTTACAGTAAAGAAGAAGGGGAGAATGCATACTACTGGTAAGTATCCGCCTCTGCTATAGTGACCTCATTGCATCCTGCAAAGACATTCACTGTGTCTTTTTCATTATATTGCAAAATTTCAAAATGGCAGGTGTCTTCTCTAGCACCTTGTACAGAGACTGACATATTTTAGGCACTTTATCATCTGTTAAAAAAAAAGTCCCATTTTTATTTTGATGACATTTTAAGTGATTTAAACATAAATATGACTAGAGTATACCTGTATGAAATATGCTTGAAAAGCTGTGTGGAAAACAAAATTTTGTTTTTAAATCTTCATTCTCCTAATACATCAGGGTATTTCTATGGAGAGAAGGGAGGGAAAAGGATTCAAGTAATTTGGAGGAAAATTACAAACTACAGGTAAATCTAAAAGCAATAAAAATGAAAAAGAATTGTTGACATATAAGGATGGGAGGTTAAATAAAGAACTCCACAAAAATCAAACTCAATTCTAAATTTAAAACCAGAATGAAAATTTCAAAGAAGCAACCAGATCATACAACTGCAGTAGGTACACTGTGAACACATATCTTAAGTATAGCATAATGGTATGAAGTGGGATTTGAAATTAAGATAATCCTGGCTCTTCCTGTTATTATGTTACCTCCACCAGTTAATCTCTGAAGTAAAATTTTCTCACCTGAAAAATAATACTCGCTAAAAATTGTTACAATGAGGACATGAGAATATATGCAAACTAACACTGGGTCTAATGCAAAGAAATACTCTATATACCACAGTAATATCACTCTCATGATATATTTTATTTATATGACTCTCTTCTCCTCTCCAAGAATTAAGTACTTCTTAAAAATCAAATCTTGAAAAATGTAGTCTTTTTGTTTTGTTCTTTTTTCTAAGCAGATTATAGCAACAAGACTGGCATACATATTTTTAAAATTTCAGATGATGCAATATTAATAAGTGATCCCATCCATAAATTTATAACTTTAATTATTTAAAAATTCATTTATAACAATGCATGTCAAAATAAATCTGTACTTCAGATTTAACAAAATAAAAAGTTTGGTCTTTTCTTATGCTGTAGGAGCTGAGGCAACTTGCATTTGTGATACTCAATAATACCTGATTTTTCAGCTCATAGGGGGAAGGCAAGATACCAGTTAACAGTTAGCACCAGTAAACTTAGTTCGGCAGATTTCAAATTCTTATTTTTTCTTCTACATAGTGTAGTATACATACTGTTGGCACTTAACAAAGAACATGTACTTAACTCTTTATGATTGTAAGCCCCTCAAAGGTGGGTACAAGATCTTACTCATCTTACCTAGCTATTTTTTGCAGTGACCACTACTGGTTGCCTCCCAAAGAGCAAGTCCCTAATATCTTCCCTAGGTGATGGAACTCATTTAAGATGAATGACCACATGCTCCAGGAAATGGGCCCCCCCTCCTACCTATAAAGCATTAATTAAGGATCTAAGCTAAGTAATTGGCCTTAGGATGAGCCTTTGTTTAATACAATGAGACTAACAGTGTGTGTGTATGGAGTGCTTAATGGAAGATTCTGAGATTTTTTTTTCTCTCTGATAAAAGGCTAAGAACTGCTCTTACTATCCTGCTTGGGATGTTATGAGGGTATAACATCTGAGCTGTGGCAGCCATCTTGTGACTATGAGGTAATAGACACAGCAAAGCAAAGCTGAAGATGATGGAACAGAAACACAAACAGGATCTGGTGCCTGTAAACAATGAACCATTGAATGAACCCTTGAACCTCCTATCTCCACTATTATTAAGCTAAAAGTAAGTGTCCTTATGGTTTAAGCCAGTGTTGGGTTTTCAATTACTTGAAACCAAAATCACCTCAGGTGTTACACAGTATTTTCACCCCCAGAATTTCTTACTGGTTGACTCTATGCACTGGTTCTTATGTTTGCCTGCTCTGACATTTTACCCTTCCATGTCATTGAGCACTGAGGATCCTAACATACTAATTTTATAGTATTATCTAGGTAGTTCATTACTTTCATTTTCTCTTGAGTGACTGATTGCCTTTCTTGGGATTAGTTTTTCTTCAAGTACTTTTGAATTTTGATCTGCAGGCTCAGCTTTCATGGGAGCCTTCCTGCTCTTTACCTCTCCCTTCCTAATCTCCACTCCTTTCCTTTTGTAATTGCTTCTACCACCTGTTCAAACTGAGGGCTCCAGATCTATGGTGATAGTGGAACTATCACAGATCTACAAAGATCTATGTAAACAGAGGAGTAGGCTGTTTGAGAAGATCTGTCTACAATATATAGTCCCTGGCACTGGTTGTTGTTGCTTCTCAGTTTCAAGAGTGAGGAAACTCCATTCAAGACCCTGGTTTCATTACTTTGCAGGAGCTGACATTTCTGGCTACTTCGGCCTGCTTCCAGACCTGTAGCCCAGCTTCTGGCTTACAAATTCATTACACTTATCAGTTTGTTATTTCTGGTACCTGGAAATGTCTATACTGCTTTTGAACACAGCTATGCTTAAAATTTTCTCATTTTCTATTCAGAGCTCCAGAAATATACTTACCTAGGTACTCCATAGGCTAACATTTAAACACTATGTGAAAGAGAAAAAGATGGCTTTTTGGACAACATAAAGTTCTATGCCATGCACCATTCATTGGTAATAATCTTAAGTGAACAACAGAGTTTTGATGAATGAACTAAGATCTGTGTATTCTTCTGGATTAATAGCACACAGCAGATCAGCAGCACTGTTCTGCCTTCTGCTCATTTTTATTCACTCCCTAAAGTTAATGACATCAAAGGAAGAATAACATTGGGTCTGTTTACAAAATGTGTTGCCTATATAAAATATGTCCCATAAAACACCTTCAGATCCAGTCAGTTTAATATAAAATGTTTTTAATTGTTTTTGAAAACATTTAAAAAACAATTTTTGAGCACTTTAATAAAAAAAGAGAACTGAAATGCTACCGCAATATTCAACTACTGTAGTTTCAGCAGGTACAACAGACAACAAAACACTGGGGAAATCTGACTTTTTGCACTAAATGAAACATGAAACAGGGCTTGTTTTTGTCATTTATCGTGTAGTAAAGCACATTATAGTACAAGACTATTATATGAACCTCAGAAGCACTGCACAAAAAAACACTTTCCTTCTTTTCAGTTCAAAAGTCAGTGCTTATTGCAATTATATGCAAAATTATTTACTTCATGAAGTTTTATGATAAACAGTATGCAAAATGTTTTAAACATCAAAACAATAAAAATAATCTGGAACAGAACATATTCAACAATAACTAAGCAGAATTAGTAAACATAAAGTAAATAACCTGTGAATAACTATGCTTGCCTGGTTAACACTGAACCAGTTTCAATACAGCGAAGAAAAAAAAGAGTGGTTACAGGAATCCTAGTACTGTACAAGATAAGTCAATAACACTCATGCACATTTTGTGATCATGTATTAACATGGTGAAGCAAACTAAACTTAATTCTTCCTGCTGTAATATTCTCATGTAAGAGAATAATAGAAATATCTCATTGAGATCAATGCACATTGCTACATAAGACAATTTTATCTGTCACTTTGATGACATTTTGTCTTTTCATAATGAAACACATTTAAAAAGTTTAATCTGTGGACTGTATTGGTTGCATTTATCCTAAGAGATGTGCCTACCACAGGTTCAACAAATTTAGTGCAATATATGAACCCCAGAAAGTTTGCTGGACGAATTCAACCAAATTTAAAGAGTTTGCTGCAATACTGTACAAGGGGTTAAAAATCCTCCAGTCTTAATATTTTTATCAAAAAAGATTTCCATTATTTTTATATTAGTAGGAAGCTAATAATGTAAACAAGGGATTAGAATGGCCTCAAAATCTCCTTTTCAGAGTATCTCATAAAGAAAGGCTCCCATCATTTGTCAGGAGAAATCACACAGTTTCCTTTGGGTATTGCATACTTTGGTGTGCAGTAGTGCTGTGTCTCAATGTACAGTGAAGAAATAACTAGCATCAAGAAAAAAATACCTAACAAATCATGAAATCAAGATAACAGCAAACACACACAAATGCCAATAACTAAGACATATCAATATATAAACCTCTGCGCCAACTCTAGCACCATTTATTTATCAAAATATGTTAATACCCTACCTTGCAAATTTATTGAACAACAAAACCTTATTAAACCCTTCAGCACATTTGCTAAATATTCATTGATTGTAGTCTTCTGATTGGCTTACTAAGGTAAAGGAAAGCTTAGCTAGGTTCAAGGTAGCATAGCAAATGGTTTTATGTTAGCTTTAAAAACAATGGCAATTTAAAAATCTCTTTGAAAGTGATCTTGAAACTCACTTAAATGGAGCTTTCAACCAGTGAGTAGGTTTGTGTCAACATGCAACTCATAAATAATTATTCACAAAACAAAATGGGAGCCATAGAGAGAAACATTTTAAAACAAATCCTGAGTTCTTCTTTTGCAATTGTGGTTATCACAATAAATAAATTAAGCAAGTAATAAAATGCTCTTCTTCTTCAAGTACTATTGATATCCCCTTTGTTTCATCAGAGATATAAAGATTTGTGGCTTCAGACCTTAGGTGGTGAAATGTTTTTTGTTGTTTTTTATGTTATCCTCCTTCCTGTTTTTCAAAGGGATCCTATGATCAAACTACATTACTATATTCAGGAGGAGTGAGGGAGTCAGTCACTCAATTGAAGAGGAAAAAAACTGATTATTGTGGAATATTTTAATGAAAAATTTCAAAGTAAATCTCAGTTAGAATCTCAATATGTACATGCAGCCATTGTGATGAAACTAAGAGAATGCTTTTGTTTTCCTTCTCATTCCCCTAACTTAACAAATAATAAGACATAAAGCATTTTTCTAACATGCTTGTATTTATTATATTAAATTACAAATGCCTGGAGTTACATTTGCTTGTTTTGTGTGTGCGTGCCTGCGCATCTATGTGTGCTAGCTCCATATTAAAATCAACATTTAAATATTAATGCAAGGTCACAAATATAAATGGCTACTTGTTTTTTTTCCCTTAAAAATTTTAGTGCAGCTTTGCTTTCCTTAAAGTAATATTTAATTTTCCATTATTTTCTATTTAAGCCCTTCATCGTGGGTGTAAATGGTACTGAAGCCCCAGAAAGTCCTACAGAGATTTTTCACCCTACAGTAGCTCTATGCTTCAAGCCTAAATATTTATAATAACCTGAATATTATCCCTGTTTCAAGGAAGACTTTCTTGTCTACAGTTCACCCTAGCTATGATTTTATATCTAAAAGATAATGCCAACAACAAAACAGCCTATACCTAAAATTGATGGTTTATTCTGAGTTCTGTGCAGATCATCTGATGAAATGAAACTAACTTACACAAAATAAAGATCGACTGCTCTTGTAACAGCTGGATAGTCAATCAATGTGAATAAATGGGGCACATTATAAAATTTAAAACCTAATACTTGTTCTTCTACAGCCTACTGTCTTTAGACACTTGTTAAGAACTGAGGCAAGTCTAACCATTTCCTACTGAAGAAACCACTTCTGCAGCAAACGCTTTTAAAATGTCACAATTAATAGTATTTCTGCTGCGGGAGGCACTTCCATTAAGACAAATACAATACATATGTCTTTAGATACAGTGTGCTACATGTTATAAAACACAATTTAACCCAACATTTCAACAGTAGGATGGTCCTTGCTTTCTATCCATTCAAAACCTGATGAAGTCATAGAATTCATGGATTCACTGCAAATTTGTTGAAATAATGGGTCATTCTTTAATTCTTCCAGTGTAGCTTCATCATCTTGTCCCTGCTGACGACCTGGATCAAACAGTAGATTTGGGTCTAAAGTGTTCAAATCATTGATGCTGCCTGAGAGCTCAGAAGACAACCTGATATCGCTAGAGAAATCAGATGCAGTATTAGTGAGATCAGATGCTCCCTGACCTACCAGCTGCTGGTTGGTTTGCAAGCTGTCTCCACTCAACAGGTCTTTAACAGTGCTATTGAAATCTAATTGTTGCTCTCCAATTTCTGATTGTGCTTGATTATCTCCAGGAGAAAAATTGATCTGACCGGTGCTATTACTTTTGGTGAGGTAAGATGGTGTTTGGAACTCATAAACAGAAGTGCTGGAATCGATCATATTTTGTGGGTTGGCACTAGGAAAAACAGTGGAAGGTTCCAAAATCTGAGTGAGATTCATCCGGGCTGTATAATTAGAGGGCAGGTTGTTCATTCCCAAACCTCTCACTGCATCATCATTGTCGGAATCAAGTTTACTCAACAAAACATTGGTTATTTTTTTACTGTTTGCTTGCTTCTGAAGAGCGTTTGGGAAGGCTGTCTGCATCATGACTGTCAATGGAACTGATTGGCTTCTTTGAGCTATGTTGTTGGCACATGCGTCTGTGTGAACATTTGTGAAAACATGAACTTCTGGGGTAACTGGACTTCCAAAGGGGGTCACATTAGATCGTGGGATATTAGATACTGGATAGAGGGTGCTTCCACTAAGATTACGTTGGCGATGAACAGCAGGGCTCACACTCCGGCATCTGAAGTTGCTGCTGGCAGATGAATTAGTTCCTTTATTATCAAGAGGGGCAGGGACTGCAAAACCCTCCTGTTTGTTGGTGTTATTTACAGTGGCACCTTGATGCTGCACAGGAGAGACAGGAGTCAAACGACCAAAATGAGTGTCATGATGTCTGGATTGAGACTGATAAGACTGTCCAGGCACAGCAAAAGCATGAGGTTTCCTGAAACGGTCTTCCACTAGTTCCTGATAGCTTGGGAGAATACCATGGCCAGAAACTGATGAATTACCAACCCCACTATACCCATTATTCATCCATTCAAGCTTGGTTTTGTCAGGGTGTGTGGCCATGGGTCTTTGCATCGGTTTCACAGGACTACTTGAGACAATGCTGGCGTCATGATATGCCATACTGGAGCTTATTGGAGTGAATGCAAACGGATTCCTGCATTCAACAGGGCTGGGGGGGACACTACTGCTGCAGTTAGAATGTGGAGTACCAATGGGTGTATGTCGGCTACTTCCTAAAGCACTATCCACAGGTGTAGTCTGGGCTAGCCTGGAGCAAGGGCTCTCCCGTGACAGACTCTGAGATCCAGCAATCATTTCAGATGTCGGGGTTGGGGTTGGGGTTGGAGTAGGAGTGGGTGTGGGTGTGGGTGTGGGTGTGTGGATTGGAGTGCCATTGCTGTGGATTGGATGATAGAAGTGGGTGCTGGAAGTGTGAGATGACATTGGAGCTCCTGGAGTTACTGACTGACTCTGAAGGGTCATTCCCAAACAGTTGCCGTAAGAATGAGAATTGTTCATTGACATTTGCTGCTCCATAAGCACCAGCTCTTCCACAATACTATCTTGTGTAAGTTCATCATCAAAAGGAAAGTAGCTTTCATTTGTCTGGGAAACAGAAGGCTCAAACTCCTTCAGTTCAGATTGCAGAGGTAACTGATCTGAAGAATGTGCTTGTATTTGATTTAAAGAAGATTCCTGTATCTGGCTATGTAGCTGCTGGCTATATGTGTCCTGTGGCATTCCTTCTAATTCCCAAACAGATTTCTCTAAGTCATTGATATCAGAGTGCTCAGGAATTGTCATAACACTGATATCTTGCTGTTGTTCACAACTGGCAGATATAAACTCAGAATCTTTAGTGATTTGTTGCCATCCATTTGGATTAAAGCTGCCAACTGACTTTGAATCACTGTCCAAGAGAAAGACACTTCCTTCAAGTTTTACTTTTATATCTGGAGATGATGATGGGGTTGTTTGCTGTTCCAAAGCTGAATCACTGATAACAAGGGCAGAGGAATTCAAGGGTTGATTTGCTCCTATGTGTGAACTGACATTTACTGATACCTTGCTAGGAATCTGAGCACCTGCTGTTGAACCTTCTGTTTTCCCTGAATGTGGAACCTTTTGGTCCTTCTTAACACTGCCTTGTTTCTGCCCTTCTATGGTAGCTGCTGAAAGCTGTTCCACAATTGGTTTCTTTACAGGAGGCACCTGGGTCTCCTGCAATGTAGAAGACAGTCGTTTTCTTGGGCTTTTAGTGCATAATTTAGGGTCTTTATTGATTGAGTCACCATTAGGTGGTGAGCTGCTGCTGGTGAAAGTTAAGTTCTGAGAAGCAACTGATAGAGTGATAGTGCTTTGATTATTGCCTGTTGACGTGCCTGGCAGCATTTCATTACAGCGACTTTTACATTTGGTCCTCTGGTCACAGACCTTAGTTGCTTTTATTTCAATGACACCTTCATTTGAAGGTTTCTGCAGTGCTCCGTCTGTATTACTTTTCTGCCCCAAAAGGGCACTAGGTGTCTGGGGAGCTTTAGCCTCATCAGAGTTCTCTTGGCACTGTACAGGATGCTCATCTGATGATGTTTCGGGTTCCACTTTGACTTCCACAGCAGATGTTCCCCCCGCACTGCTGCTCCTGGACCCAGGAGACTGAAGCGACACGACAGAACCATTCTTGATCTGTGGAACACTCCTTGATTCTTCTGTTGTTCCTGTAGCACTGCTGACTGAGGCAGAATGTTTAAGAGGGGTGTTACTGTTGCTGGGTGTGAGGGATATTGTTGTCATTTTCACCACATTTAGAGAACTCATGTGTGAAGCGGGTACAACAGCAGTTTTGATGGGACTACTAGTAAAGAGGACAGTAGTTGGAGAGCGAATGGTGAGTGCACTGGTGTTCGCTGGTTTGGGTAAGATCTGAGGGTAACGGTGCCGGGCAGAACGATCCCCACCAGGACTGGCTGGAACGTTCTGGGGAGTCTTTGGTGCCTGTTTCACAGACTGCATGTGCTGAGTGACCACCTGTACATTGAGGGGAAGAACTTTGCCGTCAGAAGAACTCATTGGACTCGGTGAAGTTACCAATTGCCTAGTCCGCTGGACCTGTTAAAAGATAGCAAAAAATCAGATTTAACAGGTCTAGCCTGTAAATAGTAATTCATGTATCTGTATATACTTTTAAGTCATTTATTAAATGTTAATGTTAAAAAGAAAAAAGTTCCTATGTTAGAAGAGAGTTCTTCTAGACCAGGTTCTACACAATCAGACACATAAATGTAACAAATGCAACCATAATGCATTATAATTAAAAAATATGTAAGAACATTAAGTTACTTTTCAATTAAGACTAAAAGCTTCACACCTGTGATGAATATTTGCTGAAACAATGATTTAAGGGGGTTACAGGAAGAAGACATAAAATCTTGAAGAAACATACAACTGTAAAGGTTACCTACCAGAATCTATGCTAAGATGGCTCACTCATAGGGGAAACTGTCTTATAAATGTGTCTACCTTAAATGTCTGTAACTAAACCACTGCAAATAAGATACAACTACTGTCTACTCCAGTTTGCCCTATAATGAATAGTGCGGTTACCATGTATTTCATATTTTAATAACACGATGATGATAATAGGAACAAGAAAAACGACAAAATACTTCCTAAATATTATTATCAATAATAACATAAAGCACCAACTTACTCTCATTTTAAAAGTCCCTTCATCATAACCTCAGTTGTGTGAGATAGGAAAGGAGGAGACTGTTTCCTTATCTACAAATAGAGGTTAATAAACTAGCTAAAGAACTTGGCCAAGGTTCTAGTCCTGTATCTGATAAGCCACGGATAGGCCTACATTTAAGTAATCATTACACATTAGAATTTTACTCCATCTGAATGTAAAAAAGAAAAGCGTTTAAATTTTAAAAAAAGACTGCAATTAAATTATCTTGGCTGGGTGGGGTGGCTCACGCTTATAATCCCAGTACTTTGGGAGGCCAAGGCGGGTGGATCACTTGACGTCACAAGTTCAAGACCAGCCTGGCCAACTAAAAATACAAAACACAAAAATACAAAAATTAGCTGGGTGTGGTGGTGAGTACCTGTAATCCCAGTTACTCGGGAGGCTGAGGCAGAATAATTGCTTGAACTCAGGAGGTGGAGGTTGCAGTGAGCCGAGATCACAGCACTGCACTCCAGCCTGGGAGACAGAGCAAGACTCTGTCTCAAAAAAAAAAAAAAAAAAAAAAAAATCTTGGCTCAGCCAGGGATGAAACAACTCTAAAAATGAGAAAATTACTCACTCTTACATAAAGCTCTGAGTGGTTATGTGCATACTTTGTATGTCTTGGATCTTTATATTTTCAATAATGTTTCATAGCTTACTTTGTAATCAACAACATACATCCTGAATAAAAGACTGAAGGGGAATGAATCTTCCTGTGGTCACAAAATCAGTTTGTGGCTACTCTTATACCTGCCTTCTTTTCATCTGCCACTTTTAAGTAAACAGTTGATTTCCCACCATCCCAATAAGGCCAAATACTATTTAATTATATTACCGGAATGGGACTAGGGACAGCTGCCACAACGATACCAATAGGTTGAGGAGAAAGGATTGAAGGATTTCCATTAGGAAGATTAGTCACTCCATTGCTTGTAGCACTTTCTGACTTTTTTGCTGCAGATTCTCCTGGCAAAGGGGATTGTAGTTTCTGTTCTTGCTGCTTCTTCTGGATTTTCCGTTGCAACTGCTGTTTAGCATCAATTGGAGATGGCAAAGTCTTCACCTGAGGCTGAAAGGAATTACTTTCAGCTGTAGGTATAAAAGCAGAAGGCTGGGTAATTCCTTTCATTCCTGAAAATAAACAGAAAGGAAAGCTGCAATAAATACTCTCCTTTATAGAAGGGAGGTTCCTTTGAATTTCTTTGAGAATGTAGCCATCTACTGGACAAAGCAACCAAAATGGCAAATTTTAACTCACAATTTCTTTATGAAGCATTAGACTTCGAATTTATAAACAATTGTCAATATAGTTTTGTCATCTTACAATATGGTTCAACTCAGGCGACAGTTTCAGTTAACAACAGGATTTTAAAATCAGGTGACAGTTTCAGTTAACAACAGGATTTTAAAAACCGTAGCTATATCGTAAATGTGCAGAAGCTGAGATAAATGCCAACACAGCATTTTTACATTTTCTCAAAGGTCAGTAAATTTCCCTCCCCCCATTTCTAATCAGAAATAAATACATGTATTTTCATGATTTTAATATTTAGCCCATGAGGGGCATTCAATAATTCAATAAATATTTGCTGAAGCCACTCCTCATAATGGAATAAATTTGTATGGAGAAAACAGTTTTTAATCCTACCAGCAATTCATGGAAATAGGCACTATTATTTTATTGCTACTATACAATGATTCCAGTATGACCTAGAAGAAATTCAGAAGCAGAATTTCTTAACAAGACTAAAGTTAAGATATTCCAAAAAAGTGTCACTGAGAAAACCTTTAAAACAGTAAGATAAACACTGAAAAAAATTGACAAAATAAGCAAAATATAAATTTTAGGAAAAATGGATTATAAAATAAAAATTTTTTAAAAGCTCATTTCAGATTTAGGGCGTGGCATTGAGATCATTAGAAAGTAAGTTGTGGGCAGTAAAAACAATGAAGAGAAGAAAGGAGAGGAACAACTATCCTGCTGGTACACCTTGCCCTTTCTTTTCTTTTCCCCATCCCAATTTCTGCTTTTCATCATTCTAGTTAACAACAACAACTTGGTGTGGGGAGCAGGAAATAGACAATGAGGAAGCTATAACTCTCTCCCCATACTCAATAATGATGAGGATCTGTTGAACCCCCAGCCCCTTTTAAAAATCACAATTTTTCATCTCAAATCCAGCTCCAGTTGTTTTGCCCCTTTCCGACCCCAAGCCTCAGCTCTGGCTTCTCAGCACCTGCACTCTGGAGAGCCTCTGCCAATGGCTCATAGCTTGGCTGTCTTATCCTTCCTGCCAGGGTTTTGAGACAGGAATGAGTTCCAAGCAGCTGACTTACAAAAGGACATTTGTAACACAACCTGTTCTTAATATGGAGACTATATTTATAAAAAAAAAAATTCACCTTCAAAGGATAAAAATTAGTCTACTATCGAAGGTCTTTTTTGAAAAATATAGTAAGGGCTGAGATCAAAATTTTGAGAGACATTCTAAAAATGTTTTGAGTAATGATACAATTGGTAAAGTATTTACCCTCTCAGGCTGATTGCTTTCAAAAATGGAGTGTCTTTTTAATATATGTAATTTTTAATACTTTTGTTAAACTCACACCTTTATTTGCACTTAGACCTTAAAAATTCATTCATTCAATTCATTCAACATTTCCCACAGTTAGACTTTGTGAATGACAGAAATAGGAAAGAGATGTTTCTTTTCCCCATGATACCTCCTAAATCCTTCATCTGTTGATGTACTCTTTTAGGTGTTGGCAGGGGCAGGAGAAAGACAGCAGAGCAAACTGAAGGGTTCATTCCTTTTAAAGCTTATTTTACTATATGACATTATGATATAATTGAGTGAAGCTGGGCTTTGGAGACAGACAAATCAGAATTCAAATCCTGGCTCCATTACTTATGTGCCCATGGACAAGTTAATTGACCTCCCCAAGTCTATAAATTGGGAATAAATATCACCTATCTCACAGGACTGCTGGGGGAATTAAATGAGGTAACATAAGTGAGCTATTTAGCTCGATAAGGCTGGTCAAGCATTCTCCTGCTGGTCAGTACAATGAATAAACAGACTTAGGTCATACAGTTTACATGCAGACAGGAAAAACTCTGTGACACTCTTTTTCTGAAATGGGTCTTCAATTGACCACAAAAGGAGAGGTTACACACACATACATCCCACATACTAAATGTAAAATTAGAAGAAAACGGACTCATTATTAATGTGTAAAAGATACTAAAAAAAGAAGTGAAGTTAATTAAGAGACTATAATTCTGGCCAAGATAAATCTATTGTAGATTTTTAAATATTCAGAATTAACACTTAGAAGGACAGTCCTTGGAAAAATAAGTCTCTGATCACTATATCACTACATTTTTAACAGACATCCTGATTTTCTAGAATAATTTATCCACTCTAGGTTTATAAGGTATAACTGAAATAAGATATTTTTAAAAATTCATCAGAACTGTTATTTTACACAACTATTAATTTAGGAGGGAGTCATTCTAACAAGACTGTCAATTCCCAAAATTGTCGATTCCAAAAACTCATCTTTGAATAAAAATAGTCATGAATACACAGTAAAAAATATCACTCTTGTTATTTTTTAGTAAGGCTTTGTACGGTTTTGTTTTTTTGAGGCTAAGTTACCTGTCACAGTGTGCAAAGATAATTTTATTTATAAGCATTAGTTTCTGGAATGGGAATCTAACAAGTAATTTTAAAATTTAATCTTATTATTTTACTTCTCTTATTAATTTAGATACACATATACATATATGTACATATAAAAGTACATATAAACACATTCTATAAATGTAAAAGTAGCAATGGAAAAATTAATAACATATCAGCTGGGGAATCTACAGTTTCATATGCCAGCAAAGCAATATATAGAAACATAGCATTAAGCTTTATAATGAAAGGATTATTATTTTCTTGGCTCAACAGACCCATCTGAATTTAGTGTTAAGCGGAGTAAGAGTGAACACATGCAAGTACTAAAAGGATGAAGTTCTTTGATCTAACTCTTCTTTTGCTACCAATTCTAAATACAATAATACCTCTGTCAGTTTTTAGCTTGTTCACAGTAATGTTGTACCTGCTGGTGCTGCTGCCATTACAGTTAGAGCTGCCATTGACTTGGTGCCTATATAGTGACTTTTTACAAGGAAGCGGGCTAATTCCAAGACGGTGTCAAATGGTTGGCTTAACACTTTCTGGGCCCACTCACACACAAGACGGCAAGCAGAAGAGATAACTTCTTCATCAATATTTTGAAGCTGCCCAGAAGGTTCAGCTCCTTCCAACTAGGCAAAGAAAAAAGGAAATGTTAACTTGTAAAAGACCAGAGAAATTAAATTGAAGCATGTTAAAGATATGTATTCTTAATTAGAAGATACAATATAAATCTGTGGGTTAAAGTAGTATGAATTGACCCACTGGCAGACATATAAGAGCTTTGCAAATAAGGGACTCATACCCACTAGTGCACAGCAGTCAGCAGCCTTGCGAATATAACATTTTAAATGGTTTTTAAACATACAAGAAGACTGATGTTTTGAATCTTTCTAATGTCAAAACTATGCCAATAGCCACACATTTTTTCTAAAATTCCTATAAAACATATTACATGATGACTGACTTTTTCCTCTTGACTATACACACATATAGTCAATATGTATTTTGGAAATATCGAGAAATCAGTAACTTCTAAACTTTTGTTCCCCCAAATTTCATGTTGACGTAGGTCATATACACTAACATTTTTCAGCCACTGTGTGATTTTTTTTTTCTTATTTGTAAAAGGCACAGTCGCTAGGCTTAACCAAATGAGACTTTGCAGGATGCATTTCAATGTTAATATAAAGGTACAATTTTACTTATTAAAAAGAAAAGGCTGAATTCTTACCCCATCTCCAGTTTTGTGAAAGTCAAGGTTGGGCAGTGTTGGCATATGAACAAAAGCTTTTTTTCTTAGTCCACTGTAGCAATATGTAATAAACAGTTAAGGTCTAAATATTCAAAATTAAATGAATTGCTTATACAGACAGCACTTTAAAAGTAACCATATATGAAATGAGAAAAAAAAATCAACATGACATAACATCTACTTTCTGAATTCTTCAGTAAGAAAAACCTTAATATTAAAAACTTGGGACACTTTTACTCTTTTGAAACTGAAATACCCCTTTAGAATGTTAAATACTACTGTCTTAAATGAAAAGATTCTCATCTGTTATAAATTTTATGAATAAATGTTCCTAATATGCTGTGCCAGCCACCAGTAACAAACAGGTCAGAAGGAAAGGAATAGCCAGATGGAAACCTGGCACAGGGAAGGGAAACTTCAGCCCAGGGCTCTGGGACAAAAACAACTCTTAAGAGTGTCACAAGGGCTTTAACCTTTTCGTTTCTCTTTTTCCACTGAAACATACAGGATTATCGCCTGTAACATGCCAAAGACACATCAAAACATTTTTGTTTGCATTTGGGAAGCAAGAATAGGTCGTGCCAACTAGTGGTTAGAGAACACCTGGAACCATTTTAGAAAAGCAAGTTTCTTCCCTTCCCCTTCCTCTCATCTCCTCCATTTTATGCTCTGAAAAAAAGACAAGAGCTAAGGGGGAGAAAATGGATGTAATTCTAATATGATACAGAGACCCTCTATTTTACAATCTTCTTCTAAGAGGAGAAAGAACTATAATGAATTCTTAATTTTAATTTCCTTATTTCTGTTTGCTCCTAAGTATTTCTCCATCACAAGAAGGACCTTTTCTGTACTCTGGCTTTAATTTTAATATGGGCTTTAAATGGATGGCTGAAAAATACTTGTACTGAAAGATTAGTGTTTCTGTTAAAGTTCCATAAGATTTTTTTTTTTTTTTTTTTTTTTTGCCAAGGAGATCCCCTATGTTTCTAAATTAAAGGAAGAAACGAAGATAAGCTAGCATCTTTCTCCACTTTTATTCTTATAATTGTTAAACATATGGCAGGCCTCAAAACTTCTTACTGTTAAAACAAAGGAGATCAGACCATTAATAACACTTTACATTGATAGACTAAGGTAAAATCTATCACAATTCTAATCTATGAATAAACCATTATTTGCTATTTCTTTCATAGTGTGATAAATACCTGTGAAAGTTACATTTGCAATTATTCTACTTAAGCTTTTGAGTTGCTTTAATTTGAAGTTTATTTCTAAATAAAGTTGCCAGTTGAACTACAACAATAGATGTTCTATAACAAGTGAGAACACAGAGATATTACTAACACCATTCTGGTAAAGGATATTTAGATTTGCCTCTTGTGCCCAAACGACGTGCCTTCATGTTTGGAAAGACGTTTTTCATGATCTTTCCAAAATCAGCAGCACTTAATGGATGGTAACCAAGATTGTCACAATAGCTCCTGCAAAAGAAGGAAGGACCAATTTAGAGTGACAGAATTCAGAATTATATCGCAGGGTGCTATTTCAATACAATTTGATCCTTCTGACAAAGTGAAGCAAAGGATCTTTCAAGTCATTTGCCACAATGTCTATGATCATCACTCTTTGGTGATGCATGTTAACTCAGGTTTAGTTAGCTGGCTTCAACCTCAGGGTATATAGTCCTGCTTTCAATAACATTCATAAATCTTGCAGTAAGATACAATGTTGGTACAAAGTTTTCGAATTACAATCCCAACCAGTGCTCATAAATGAATATATCCAGCTCAGCCAGTAGGGCTGTAAGTTTCCACATATGTATCAGGCTCACATACTGGGATAATTTCCAATATACATATCATGCACATCAGACAGAGATAATACTACTAGGTGGTTTAAAATTTAGAAACATGATATGTTTGAACTAAAAGGGACCCTACGAATACACCAACACTCTCATTTTACTGATAAGAGAAAAAACAGGCAAGGGGAGAGGTTCCAAAGGTCCTAGTGTTATCCTCCTTCTACCCCCACCATCCCTAGTATTGCTAGGAAAAAAGTTACTTTGTAAGACAGTAACTTCAAGTGGGATCTGGAGACACACCAAGTCTTAACTACTACTGGAATCAGGTGTTCTGTTTTTCTCTAGAGCTGCCAGTCATAGGTAAAATGTCAATCCTCTACCAGTTCAGCAGCAGACCAAGGCCACACCTTATTCTGGCCACCAAGGCCTTTGGGAGAACCACTACCTGGGAAATATGAATGAAGAGGAAGCCAGAGGAATTCCCTTGTCTCCGCCTCACCTCTCATTTAGCATCAACCAGGACAGCTTCTTGATGAAGTCATGCAGAAAAGAAATGAAAACAACTGGAACACATGGTGGGCAGGGTGTAATGGAAACCAGGACTTGGGTCTTTTTGTAGATTGCTGAATGTCCTGATAACATCCCTAAAGTGACCTTAGCTCAAGAAGTTAAGTTGGGAGAGACTCAAGAGGAGGCAGAGACCCCTGGGAGCCTTAATACAGAAAGAATAAGGGTAGCTCTGGAGACAATGCTATTTCTCTTGTTTGTGGCTTCCCTATTCCCACAGCAAATCCTGCATACCCCTGGGGTTAAAAGATGGGAAGGAGTAGCCCAGCAAACACATCACCAACAATGCTACGAGCAGAAAGGGAACTAATGCGTACTGAAAGTTTCCCATATAGGTAGTATTAGCAGCTTCATATTTAAATTGAGACTAAATTTGATACTTTGAGGGCTCAGGGGGTCTTGCAAGGTTGAAGGAGCAAAGTGAAGAGGTAACTATTTTGGGTGCTGACAATGGAAATGAGCTGCATCAAATCATAACAATTTCAGAAGCAAGTTAAATGAGTTCTTTATGGTTCAAACCGGCACAAAAAGAAAATGAGAATGAGGCTCTTTTGCACCCCAGGGACTTGACCCATGTTGATTCCTCTACCTGGAACATTACTTTTCTTATCTTTCAAGTCTCTGCTTAAATTTTATGATTTTTGAAAGGATCTCTTCCGACTAAAGCAACGTCCTCATGTCACACCCTCATCATGTTCCCTATCAGTGTAATCTGTTTCTTTTCTTTGCATGAGTTACAATTACACAATAGTTAATTTATTTGTCTTCTTCATCACACTAAGTTCAAGCAGGGCAGTGACCATACCTATTGGATTCGCCAGTGTATTCTCAGCACTAGGAACAAGATTTAAGGGTCATAGTAAGACCATCTGTATTTAAAACTATAATAAACATTAAAGAAACACATTAAAAGACTTAAAAAAGCAAAGAAGAAACATTGCCCCCCTCCGGATCCTAGGACAGCACTGGCAGAAATGGGTCTAAAAAACTGAAATCAAATAAACAGAGGCAGTGTAATGAGACATTTGAGAGATAATATATCCATTCTATTCTCCATCTGTGTTTCAGATTTTGATTTTTTTTTTCATTAGTAAACCAAAATTTTTTACTTTGGCAGAAGGGGTAGGAGAAAGGTTGGCAAAAGAAGTAATGTTAAGTATCATCGACCTAAAGACATAAAGTGAGCAAAATTAATATAGTAGTTTAGTTTATTTGGGTCAAGGTTGAGGACTGCAGACTGGGAAATGCTGAGAAGTGCTCCAGAGAATGAAGGAAAGGCTCATGTTTTTAAAGAAAAAAGGACAAATTAGGAGAGGGGGCAATTACAAAAATTGTTTGTTAAGAATTCTCATTGGTGTAGAGAAATAACTGATTAGTAATTGCTATACATTGTTGAACTATAGGGTATGAATTATGGTGTCTAGCATATGGCATTGTTAGGTTAGTTTATGGTTACTTGGTGGTGACAGTCTAAAGTCCATACAGCAGGCAGATTACTTAGCTCAAAGAGGGGAGTGAGAGATGACTACTTTCACATTTTAATGCCTCACTGGGCCCAGTAATTTAAAAGAGCTCACGTTCCTCAGATAAAAAGTTTCTTGTCTTTCTTGGTATACAGATGACCAATGCCAAATTTGTTTTTCAATACAATTTATATTGTGTGGTTATTTCACAAAATCATCCAATTCCATCTGGTTTTTGATACTTATTCTACCTCTTGGAAGGATATAACAACCTCATTGTCGAATACTCTGGTGGATAAATATTAAAAGTACTTTGTAGACATAAATAGCTCAAATTATTCCTCCTGAATCATGTCAGAAGAAAACTGCCTATGATTCAAAACTTTATGCTTTGATAACTCATTTCAAACAGAAAATAAAGAGGGCATCAATGTAAAAACAACAAGAACAATACCTAGAATAGGTTCTCAATTTCTTTAATTTTGTGAAATGTTAGAATTGAAAAAATAAATCAGAAGTTGTATAGTTCAACTTCCTGCCAGATGTAGAAATGGTCATACTCTTAAATGATGGGTTACCTCAACACGAACCCTTCTTTGATGGGGAGGACTCTTTATTGTGAGGTGGCCTTATCCAATTTCTAGTGGTTGTAATTTTTAAAGAAAAAGAATTTCAATAGGACACCTTTCCCCATTAAGAAAAATCTAGATATTCAATGATTCTTTTAAAAATCTAATTTAGTAAGTACTTACATAATATTTATTCAATTTTGTCCTATATAACAAACCATTGGTCATTCCAGGCCATGTGGAGATCTTGGTTAGTTTACATCTCATTTTCCTGCTTCACAACGTTAACTGCAGGTTGACCAAGCAAGATACAGTGTCAATTGACTCTTAACTCAGTGTCAGATTATACTTTGCAAGACTCAAAAAAGGGTGAGGAACGGAGAATGTTCTGTTTACGCGATCACTAACACTCTAATGTCATTTTAAAAATGAAATAATTTCACACCCGTAATCCCATCACTTTGGGAGGCCGAGGCAGGCAGATCACAAGGTCAGGAGATCGAGACCATCCTGGCTAACACGGTGAAACCCTGCCTCTACTAAAAATACAAAAAATTAGCTGGGCGTGGTGGCAGGCGCCTGTAGTCCCAGTTACTCGGGAGGCTGAGGCAGGAGAATGGCGTGAACCCAGGAGGCGGAGCTTGCAGTGGGCCGAGATCGCGCCACTGCACTCCAGCCTGGGCAGTAGAGCAAGACTCCGTCTCAAAAAAAAAAAAAAAAAAAAAAAAAAGAAGAAAGAATTGTTTTTTTTTTTCTCTTGCTCCTTGTTTAAAAGTACATTTTTAAGCCTGAAATTAAGCCTAATATTCAATATGACTATGAACACATCACTCAAAATCCATGGTAACAATTCAGTCTTTAATATTCATTCATGTCACAAATTTAATTGTACAAGTTAAAGGTAAACATTGTTTAATGGTACAAAAATATAAACAATGAATCACAAAAGACTTGTGGTAAAATATAGTCATGGGATACCTAACCATACCTGACATTTTTTGAGTGCTTTCTTTGTGTTAAATCATTTAATCCTCTCAACAACCTTAAGACAGGTAGTTTTATTAAACATATTTTATAGATGAGGAACTTGCACAGAGAGGTGCACTAATCCCTTTATTTAACAGATGAGGTATTTTTATTGCTAATTGATAACTATAAGCATACTGAATGAATAAAGAAGAATCAAATAGCAATAAAAAATGATGCAGGCGATATCGCCACTGATCCCACAGATAAAACAATAAAAAATGATAATAAACCAATAAAAAATGATACAGGGGATATCGCCACTGATCCCACAGAAATACAACTACCATCAGAGAATACTATAAACACCTCTACGCAAATAAACTAGAAAATCTAGAAGAAATGGAAAAATTCCTGGACACATACACCCTCCCAAGACTAAACCAGGAAGAAGTTGAATTTTTGAATAGACCAATAACACGTTCTGAAATTGAGGCAGTAATAAATAGCCTACCAACCAAAAAAAGCCCAGGACCAGATGGACTCAAAGCCAAATTCTACCAGAGGTACAAAGAGGAGCTGGTACCATTCCTTCTGAAACTATCCCAAATAATTGAAAAGGAAGGACTCCTCCCTAACTCATTTTATGAGGCCAGCATCATCCTGATACCAAATCCTGGCAGAGACACAACAAAAAACTTCAGGCCAGTATCCCTGACGAACATCAATGCAAAAATCCTCAATAAAATACTGGCAAACTGAATCCAGCAGCATATCAAAAAGCTTATCCACCACCATCAAGTCAGCTTCATCCCTGGGAAGCAAGGTTGGTTCAACATATGTAAATCAATAAATGTCATCCATCACATAAACAGAACCAATGACAAAAACCACATGATTCTCTCAATAAATGCAGAAAAGGCCTTCGAAAAAATGCAATATCCCTTTATGTTAGAAACTCTCAATAAACTAGGTATTGATGGAACATATCTCAAAATAATAAGAGTTATTTATGACAAACACAGCCAATATCATACTGAATGGGCAAAAGCTGGAAGCATTCCTTTTGAAAACCGGCACAAGACAAGAATGTACTCTTACCACTCCTATTCAACATAGTACTGGAAGTTCTGGCCAGGGCAATCAGGCAAGAGAAAGAAAGAAAGGATATTTAAATAGGAAGAGACAAAGTCAAACTGTCTCTGTCTGTAGACAACATGATCCTATATTTAGAAAACCCTATTGTCTCAGCCCAAAAACTCTTTAAACTGATAAGCAACTTCAGCAAAGTCTCAGAATACAAAATCTATATGCAAAAATCACAAGCATTCCTATACATCAATAGACAAGCAGAGAGCCAAATCATGAATGAACTCCCAATCACAACTGCTACAGAGAATAAAATACCTAGCAATACAGCTAACAAGGGAAGTGAAGGACCTCTTCAAGAACTACAAACCTTCTCCCTCTCCCTCTCCCTCTCCCACTCCCTCTGCCTCTCCCTCTCCCTCTTTCCACGGTCTCCCTCTGATGCCGAGCCGAAGCTGGACTGTACTGCTGCCATCTCGGCTCACTGCAACCTCCCTGCCTGATTCTCCTGCCTCAGCCTGCCGAGTGCCTGCGATTGCAGGCGCGCGCCGCCACGCCTGACTGGTTTTCGTATTTTTTGGGTGGAGACGGGGTTTCGCTGTGTTGGCCAGGCTGGTCTCCAGCTCCTAACCGCGAGTGATCCGCCAGCCTCGGCCTCCCGAGGTGCCGGGATTGCAGACGGAGTCTCCTTCACTCAGTGCTCATTGGTGCCCAGGCTGGAGTGCAGTGGCGTGATCTCGGCTCGCTACAACATCCACCTCCCAGCAGCCTGCCTTGGCCTCCCAAAGTGCCGAGATTGCAGCCTCTGCCTGGCCGCCACCCGGTCTGGGAGGTGAGGAGCGTCTCTGCCTGGCCGCCCATCGTCTGGGATGTGAGGAGCCCCTCTGCCTGGCTGCCCAGTCTGGAAAGTGAGGAGCGTCTCTGCCCAGCCGCCATCCCATCTAGGAAGTGAGGAGCGCCTCTTCCCTGCCGCCATCCCATCTAGGAAGTGAGGAGCGTCTCTGTCCGGCCGCCCATCGTCTGAGATGCGGGGAGCGCCTCTGCCCTGTCGCCCCGTCCGGGATGTGAGGAGCGTCTCTGCCCGGCCGCCCCGTCTGAGAAGTGAGGAGACCCTCTGCCTGGCAACCGCCCTGTCTGAGAAGTGAGGAGCCCCTCCGCCCAGCAGCCGCCCTGTCTGAGAAGTGAGGAGCCCCTCCGCCCGGCAGCCACCCCGTCTGGGAAGTGAGGAGTGTCTCCGCCCGGCAGCCACCCCGTCCGGGAGGGAGATGGGGGGGTCAGACCCTCGCCTGGCCAGCCGCCCCATCCGGGAGGGAGGTGGGGGGATCAGCCCCCTGCCCGGCCAGCCGCCCCGTCCGGGAGGCGAGGGGCGCCTCTGCCCGGCCGCCCCTACTGGAAAATGAGGAGCCCCTCTGCCCAGCCAGCCGCCCCGTCTGGGAGGGAGGTGGGGGGGTCAGCCCCCCGCCCGGCCAGCCGCCCAGTCCGGGAGGGAGGTGGGGGGGTCAGCCCCCCGCCTGGCCAGCCGCCCCGTCCAGGAGGTGAGGGGAGCCTCTGCCTGGCCGCCCCTACTGGGAAGTGAGGAGCCCCTCTGCCCGGCCAGCCGCCCCGTCCGGGAGGGAGGTGGGGGGGGGTCAGCCCCCCGCCTGGCCAGCCGCCCCGTCCGGGAGGGAGGTGGGGGGGGGGTCAGCCCCCCGCCTGGCCAGCCGCCTCGTCCGGGAGGGAGGTGGGGGGGGTCAGCCCCCCGCCCGGCCAGCCGCCCCGTCCGGGGGAGGGGGGGTCAGCCCCCCGCCCGGCCAGCCGCCCCATCCGGGAGGCGAGGGGAGCCTCTGCCCTGCCGCCCCTACTGGGAAGTGAGGAGCCCCTCTGCCCGGCCAGCTGCCCCGTCCGGGAGGGAGGTGGGGGGGGTCAGCCCCCCGCCCGGCCAGCCACCCCGTCTGGGAGGGAGGTGGGGGGGTCAGCCCCCCACCCGGCCAGCCACCCTGTCCGGGAGGTGAGGGGCGCCTCTGCCCGGCCGCCCCTACTGGGAAGTGAGGAGCCCCTCTGCCCGGCCAGCCGCCCCGTCCGGGAGGGAGGTGGGGGGGGTCAGCCCCCCGCCCGGCCAGCCACCCCGTCTGGGAGGGAGGTGGGGGGGTCAGCCCCCCACCCGGCCAGCCACCCTGTCCGGGAGGTGAGGGGCGCCTCTGCCCTGCCGCCCCTACTGGGAAGTGAGGAGCCCCTCTGCCCGGCCAGCTGCCCCGTCCGGGAGGTGAGGGGAGCCTCTGCCCTGCCGCCCCTACTGGGAAGTGAGGAGCCCCTCTGCCCGGCCAGCTGCCCCGTCCGGGAGGGAGGTGGGGGGGGTCAGCCCCCCGCCCGGCCAGCCACCCCGTCTGGGAGGGAGGTGGGGGGGTCAGCCCCCCACCCGGCCAGCCACCCTGTCCGGGAGGTGAGGGGCGCCTCTGCCCGGCCGCCCCTACTGGGAAGTGAGGAGCCCCTCTGCCCGGCCACCACCCCGTCTGGGAGGTTTACCCAACAGCTCATTGAGAACGGGCCAGGATGACAATGGCGGTTTTGTGGAATAGAAAGGGGGGAAAGGTGGGGAAAAGATTGAGAAATCGGATGGTTGCCGTGTCTGTGTAGAAAGAGGTAGACATGGGAGACTTTTCATTTTGTTCTGTACTAAGAAAAATTCTTCTTCCTTGGGATCCTGTTGATCTGTGACCTTACCCCCAACCCGGTGCTCTCTGAAACATGTGCTGTGTCCACTCAGGGTTAAATGGATTAAGGGCGGTGCAAGATGTGCTTTGTTAAACAGACGCTTGAAGGCAGCATGCTCGTTAAGAGTCATCACCACTCCCTAATCTCAAGTACCCAGGGACACAAACACTGAGGAAGGCCGCAGGGTCCTCTGCCTAGGAAAACCAGAGACCTTTGTTCACTTGTTTATCTGCTGACCTTCCCTCCACTATTGTCCTGTGACCCTGCCAAATCCCCCTCTGCGAGAAACACCCAAGAATGATCAATAAAAAAATAAATAAACCAAAAAAAAAAAAAAAAAAACCAAAAAAACAATACCAGGGCATAGGCCCCACCCTAAAACCATTAAATCAGAATCAGAATCAGAAATTCTGAGGGCAAAAACCTGGATCCAGACAAGTGTATCTAAAAGTTCTCCAGGTATTTCTCATGTGCAACCAGGATTAAGAATCACTAATGCCAGGTGCAGTGGCTCATCCCTGTAGTCCCAGCACTTTGGGAGGCCGAGGCGGGTGGATCACGAGGTCAGGAGGTCGAGACCAGCCTGGCCAATATTGTGAAACCCTGTCTCTACTAAAAATACAAAAACTAGCCGGGCGTGGTGGTGTGTGCCTATAGTCCCAGCTACTCGGGAGGCTGAGGCAGGAGAATCACTTGAACCCAGGAGGCGGAGGTTGCAGTGAGCTGAGATTTCGCCACTGCACTCCAGGCTGGGCAATAGAGGGACACTTTGCCCCAGAAAAAAAAAAAAAAAAAGAATCACTAACCTGGTTCAGCCTTTTCATTTGGCAGATGAGAAAACTGAGGACTCAGAAATTAAATAACTTGCCTAAGATGGTAGAGCTCTCTTCAAACAGGTAACTGTAACATAGACTGGCTATGCACTAGTACGGTATTTTTCAAAATTAAAGTAATGCTTCATTAGTAAATTGTAAAAATAAATTTAGTGCATCCTGACCAGAATTTATTTGGAACAGAATAAAAAATATCAGAGTACAAATCAAAAAAAAAAAAAAAAAAAAAAAGAACTACAAACCTATTTAAGAAATCGTACTGGGAAAACTCGCTAGCCATATGCAGAAAACTGAAACTGGACCCCTTTCTTACACCTTATACACAAATTTACTCAAGATGGATTAAAGACTTAAATGTAAAACCCAAAACCATAAAAATCCTAGAAGAAAATCTAGGCAATACCATTCAGGACATAGGCATGGGAGAAGATTTTATGAAGAAATCGCCACAAGCAATTCCAACAAAAGCTAAAACTGACAACTGGGATCTAGTTAAACTAAAGAGCTGCACAGCAAAAGAAACTATCATCAGAGCGAACAGACAACCAACCTATAGAATGAGAGAAAATTTTTGCAATTTACCTATGGACAAAGGTCTAAGATCCAGAATTTACATGGGACTTAAATTTACCAGATAAAAACAAACAACCCCATCAAAAAGTGGGCAAAGGACATAAACAGACACTTCTCAAAAGAAGGTATTTATGCAACCAACAAAAATATGAAAAAAATCTCAACTTCACTGATCATTAGAGAAATGCAAATCAAAACCACAAAGAGATACCATCTCATGCCGGTCAGAATGGCGATTATTAAAAAGTCAAGAAACAACACATGTTGGCAAGGATGTGGAGAAATAGGAACACTTTTACACTGTTGGTGGGAATGTAAATTAGTTCAACCATTGTGGAAGACAGTGTGGAGCTTCCTCAAGGATCTAGAACTAGAAATACCATTTGACTCAGCAATTCCATTACTGGGTATATACCCAAAGGAATATAAATCATTCTATTATAAAGACACATGCAAATGTATGTTTACTGCAGCACTATTCACAATAGCAAAAACATAGAACCAACCAAAATGCCCATCAATGATAGACTGGATAAAGAAAATGTACATATACACCATGGAATACTATGCAGCCATTAAAAGGAATGAGATCATGTCCTTTGCAGGGACATGGATCAAGCTGGAAGCCATCATCCTCAGCAAACTAATGCAGGAACAGAAAACCAAACACTGCATGTTCTTACTCGTAAGTGGGAGCTGAACAATGAGAACACATGGACACAGGGAGGGGACCAACACACATCATGGCCTGTTGCGGGGGCGGTGAGGGGAGGAAAGAGCATTAGGACAAATAGCTAATGCATGAGGGGCTTAATACCTAGGTGACAGGTTGGTAGGTGCAGCAAACCACCATGGCACATGTTTACCTATGTAACAAACCTGCACATTCTGCACATGTATCCCGGAATGTAGAGTAAAATAAAATTAAAAAAAAAAAAAGTAAACTGAATGCTTGTATTGTAACCAAAATTACATCATTAAATTTTTTCCTAATATTTATAAAAATAATTAAGAATTATCAATTTTCCATTAAAAGGACTCTTAAGACTTACCTAGACCCATAATGTTATTTTAGTGAGTCTTAGTATTCAAATATTATAAATGACAATAAAGGATATGGGAATTTTGGGAGGTCCCAAAGACATGGTAGAATTACATTGCCTTAAAAGTATTAATCAAACAAAACATTTGCTAGACAATCTGAAAGACAAATGAAGTACAAGTAATATGGTCAAATATCTAATTAGCTTGAGCCTTAGAAAGTGGAAAAGTTGTTGTAATCCTCCCTTATTTTTAAGGAGTAAATAGATCTTAAGACTCTGGAGAGAAAACTCTTCAAAAGTGCCTGACCCTAACCATAAAGAAATTGGTCTTTTCCAGTTGAGTGTGGTGGCTCATGCCTGTATTCCTAGCGCTCTGGGAGGCCGAGGTGGGCGACTGCCTGAGCTCAGGAGTTCAGGACCAGCCTGGGCAACCTGGTGAAACCCTGTCTCTATTAAAAATACAGAAAAAAAAAATTAACTGGGCATGGTGGTGGGCGCCTGTAATCCCAGTTACTTGGGAGGCTGAGGCAGGAGAAATGCTTTAACCCGGGAGGTGGAGGTTGCAGTGATCAGAGATCACGCCACTGCACTCCAGCCTAGGCAACAGAGTGAGATTCTGTCTCCAAAAAAAAAAAAAAAACAAACAACAACAACAAAAAAACAACAGAAAAGGAAAAGAAAAAGAAAAAAGAAATTTATCGTTTTCGTATTGTTCTGTGTTTTGGGCAGAACAATGATATAGTATGTTGAACAATGATAGTAGTACTAGTAAGCTGATCTTAGACTAGGATCATACTAATATATCACCTTTGAAACTCATTGATAATGCTTTTTTTTGTGGTAACTACACAATGAACAATATATCTGAAAGATTACTTTGCTTGAAGTCAAAACTAAAGAAGAGTTAAATTATTTATATATAAAAAAACTATCATATATGACCCTCCTTAACCAGGACTTGCCTTTCCTTTCCATCATTTTGGCTAATAATCCTACAAAAAAGATTCAGTCATGGTGAATCATGATTCACAGGTTAAGAACCTTAACCTGAAGTTTATAAATTGCTAATAAAAAAAATCCCATAGTTTATGAAGTCATCTGATAAATCCTCAAGATTTTAAAAAGAAATTTGTGTCTTTACTTAATCACAGTAAAAAGTAAATCTTAAAGGCTTGAGTTCTCATGGCCTATGAAGAAGCCATTTAAAATGACTATTCTTTTTTTATTTTTATTTTATTTTTGAGACAGAGTCTCGCTCTGTTGCCCAGCCTTGAGTGCAATGGCGTGATTTCTGCTCACTGCAACCTCCACCTCTGGGTTCAAGCAATTCTCCTGCCTCAGCCTCCCGAGTAGCTGGGATTATAAGCGCCCACCACCATGCCCAGCTTAATTTTTTGTATTTTTACTAGAGACAGGGATTTGCCATGTTGGCCAGGCTGGTCTCGAACTCCTGACCTCAGGTGATCTGCCTGCCTCGGCCTCCCAAAGTGCTGGCATTACAGGGGTGAGCCGCTGGGATTACAGGGGTGAGCCTCTGTGCCCAGCTAAAATAACTATTCTTTTTTTATTGTATGATTCCATTTATATGAAATATCCACAGTACAGAAATCCATACAGACAGAAAGATTTATAGTTGACACGTGTGTGGTGGAAGGGGAAACTGGGGCTGTCTGCTTAGTGTATTCAGGCTTTTAAAAAATGACTATTCTTTTGGTGAATTTGGATTGTTATTTTTAAAGCAAAGACACACACACACATATGTGATAAATATATTGATCATACTCTACATATAGTATGAGCTCTCTTTGTATACATACTTTCATTTTTGGATTGCCTGAGGTCTCCGTTGTTTTAAATTAACTGCATATAGGCCCGGCACGGTGGCTCAGGCCTGTAATCCCAGCACTTTGGGAGGCTGAGGTGGGCAGATCATGAGATCAGGAGATTGAGACCATCCTGGCTAAGACGGTGAAATCCTGTCTCTACTAAAAATATAAAAAAACAATTAGCCGGGCGTGGTGGTGGGTGCCTGTAGTCTCAGCTACGTGGGAGGCTGTGGCAGGAGAATGGTGTGAACCTGGGAGGCAGAGCTTGCAGTGAGCCGAGATCGTGCCACTGCACTCCAGCCTGGGCCAACAGAGCGAGACTCCGTCTCAAAAAAAAAAAAAAAAATTTAACTGCATATAAAATGTCCAGATTTATGATTATCGACAGTAACTACCTATAGATTAAGAATTAACAAACATTGAAAGAAGGGGCCTTGACCCAGTAAATTCCTGAGTAACCATCTCTCATCTTTGAATTTCCATCCAGATCCAATTATACTACACTTAGTTATTCAATAGTTGGGAACATTTCTGAACTCATGTTAGTAAAAGGATAAATTCAAATTTTCACAAGGTTGTATACATGAAAACAAAAAAAGCCAAGAGACCCTAGTGTCATCTGATGTAATCATACCATTTCGTAGATGAGAAAACTAAGGAAGAGAGAGGTAAAGATGGTTTGTAAAATGGTTTGTAAGATGGTTTGTAGTTAAATAAGTGGTTCTTTACTGATGACTCAAGTAGAATTTCATGCAGTCAGTACTCAATACATATTTGTTGACTGGTTGCACTACAACATTTTTAAAAGGTTCCCTCTGAAGAACAGTGATCAGCCCTCAATTTTACTTTTCTGCATAAAATCTTAATAAATACATACAGCTGTAATGTAAACAGTATGACATTCTTATAGAATCTGTGTCAGTAGAAAATGAGTGAGATGTAGTTACCTACCATTCATGAATGTATAGAAGAGGTGAGAAAAAAGGACAGAGACTTAAATAGGTTCTCCGCAGAAGACGATACCCAGTTGGCCCAAGAACATATAAGAAAGGCACTCAACTTCATTAGTCATCAGGGAAATGCAAGTTAAAACTACAATGGAAAAAAGGATAATGTCCGTATGCAGAAGAATGAGCTAAGAAATTATGGTATATATTCACAAGTGGGATACTACATAGCAGTGTGAATGAATAAACTAAAATGCATAAATTGTACAAACATTGTACAGTTGTACAAATTGTACAAACATTGTACAGTTGTACAAACTGTACAAATATTGAGTAAAAAAGCCAGATAAAAAATATAGTATATTGTATAACATCATTCATGTAATGTTCAAAAACAAGCAAAGCTAGCCTGTGGCATTAGAAGCCAGGACAGAGGTTACCCTTGATGAGAGAGGTGCTGGTAAAGAGAGTGAGTGTAAGAGGTTATGAGGCAGGATTATGGTAATGTTTAGTTTCTGAATCTGGATGCTGGTAATACGAGGGTATTCCTTTTGTAAAGATTTGTCAAGCTGTAAACTTATAATCTGTATATATTTTCTGTGTGTATGTTACTTTCCAATAAAAGTTACATAGAGTGCTGTAAATAAAATGCCATGCCTGAGCTAGAACTAAGGGTCTAATATTATACGGAGAAAGGAGATTTAAACTGGGCCTTAGAGAACAAGTAGATTTACTCATATGGGTGTTAGGGTGGGTGGAGGGTGAGGCAGGTCTATTTCATGTAGAGGAAAGAATATGAACAAAAACTGAGAAGAGCAGCATATGGTTTTGAAACTAAGAATTTCAAAAAAGCTAACATGTAGACTTATGTACAGTGAACAGATCAGGGTAATTAGCATATCTATCATCTTAAACATCTGTCATTTATTTGTGTTGGGAACATTCAATATCCTCCGCACTACTTGAAAGTATACACTACTGTTAAGCATAGTCATTTTTCAGTACTATACAATTTATTCCTCCTATCTAGTTCTAATTTTGTATCCTTTAACCACTCTCTTCCTATCCCCATCCCCTTTCCCAGCACCTAGTATCTTCTGTTCTACCTTTTACTTCTGTGAAACGAACTTTTATCAACTTCCACATATGAGTGAGAGCATGCAGCATTTAACTTTCTATTCCCAGTTTATTTTACTTAACATAATGACCTCCAGATCCATTCATGTTGCTGCAAGTGACAGGATCTTATTTTTAATGGCTAAACAGTATTCCATTGTGTATATATACATTTTCTTTATTCACTCATCTGTTGGACACCTAGGTTGATTCTTTATCTTGGGTATAATGAATAGTGTTGCAATAAACCATGGGGGCGTTAGGTGTCTCTTTGATATACAGATTTCTTTCCTTTGGCTAAATGCTCAGCAGTAGGACTGCTGGATCATATGATAGTCCTATCTATCTATCTATCTATCTACACATATTTTAAAAATTCTTGTGAGTATATATTAGGTATATATATATATGGGGTATATGGGATACTCTGATATAGGCATACAATGTGTAATAATCATATCAGGGTAAATGGGGTATCCATCACCTCGAGCATTTATTCTTTGTGTTACCAACAATCCATTTATACTCTTTTGGTTATTTTAAAATGTACAATTTAATTATTCTTGACTATCATCACCCTGTTGTGCTGTCAAATACTAGATCTTATTCATTCCTTCTAACTATGTTTTTGTATCCATCAACCAACCCCACTTCACTACTGTGCCCCCACTACCCTTCCAAGCCTCTGGTAACCATCATCCTACTGTATCTCCATGAGTTCAATTATTTTAATTTTTAGCTCCCACAAATAAGTGAGAACATATGATGTTTGTGTTCCTGTAAATGGTTTATTTCACTCAACATAGTGACCTCCAGTTCCATCCATGTGATTGCAAATGATACGATCTCATTCTATTTTTATGGCTGAATAGTACTCCATCTTGCCTATGTGCTACATTCTCTTTATCCATTCATCTGCTGATAGACACTTAGGTTGCTTCCAAATCTTGGTTATTGGGAATAGTGCTGGGATAAACATGGGAGTGCAGATATCTCTTTGATATCCAGATTTCCTTTCTTTTGGATATATACCTAGCAGTGGTATTGCTAGATCATATGGTAGCTCTATTTTTAGTTTATTGAAGAACTTCCTAACTATTCTCTACAGTAGCTTTACTAACTTATATTCCCACCAACAGTGTATGAAGGTTTCCTTTCCTCCACATCCTTGTCATCATTTGTTATTGTCTGTCTTTTTGATAAAAGTCATTTGAACTGGGGTGAGACTATATATTGTTGTTTTGATTTGTATTTCTCTAATGAACAATGATGTTGAGTACCTTTTCACATGCCTTTTTGCCATCTGTATGTCTTCTGAGAAATGTCTATATAGGTCTTTTGCCCATTTTAAATCAAATTATTAGATTTTTTTTCTATAGAGTTGTTTGAGCTCCTTCTATATTCTGGTTATTAATCCCTTGTCAGATGGAGAGTTTGCAAATAATTTCTCCCATTCTGTGGGTTATCTCTTCACTTTGTTAACTGCTTTCTTTGCTGTGCAGCTTTTTAACTGCATGTGATCCCATCTGTCCACTTCTGCTTTGGTTGCCTGTGCTTGTAGGGTATTGCTCAAGAAATTTTTGCACAGTGCAATGTCCTGGAGTTTCCCTAGTGTTCTCTTATAGTAGTTTCATAGTTTGAGGTCTTAGATTTAAGTCTTCAATCCACTTTGATATCATTTTAGTATAGGGCAAGAGATAGGGGTCTAGATTCATTCTTCTACATAAGGATATCCAGTTTTCCCAGCATCATTTATTGAAGAAACCATGTATTTCCCCAGTGTATGCTTATGGCATCTTTGTTGAAAATGAGTTCACTGGCTGGGTGCGGTGGCTCACGCCTGTAATCCCAGCACTTTGGGAGGCCGAGGTGGGTGGGTCAAATGGGGTCAGGAGTTCAAGACCAGCCTGGCCAACATGGTGAAACCCTGTCTCTACTAAAAATACAAAAAAAAATTAGGCATGGTGGTGCGTGCCTATAGTTCCAGCTACTTGGGGGGCTGAGGCAGGAGAATCGCGTGAACCTGGGAGGCGGAGGCTGCAATGAGCTGAGATCGCGCCATTGGACTCCAGCCTGGGTGACAGAGTGACACTGTGTCTCAAAAAAAAAAAAAAAAAAGAAAGAAAGAAAACGAGTTCACTGTAGATGTATGAATTTGTTTCTGGGTTCTCTATTCTGTTCTTTTGGTCTATGTGTCTGTTTTTATGCCAGTACCATGCTGTTTTGGTTACTACAGCTCTATAGTATAATTTGAAGGTAATGTGATTAGTCCAGTTTTGTTCTTTTTGCTTAGGATATCTCTGGCTACTCTGGCTATCTCTTTTAATATAAATTTGGGATAGTTTTTTCTATAATATTTCTGTGCAGAATGTCATTGGTATTTTGATAGACACTTCATTCAATCTGTAGATTGCTTTGGGTAGTATAATTATTTTAATAATGATTCTTTGAATCCATGAACATGGAACGCCTTTACATTCTGTGTCCCCTTCAATTTCTTTCATCATTGTTTTATAGTTTTCACTGTAGACATCTTTCACTTCTTTAAGTACATTCTTAGGTATTTAATTTTATTTGTAGCTATTGTAAATAGGATTACTTTCTTGATTTCTTTTTCAGATTGTTCACAGTTGGCAAATAGGAATGCTACTGATTTTTGTATGTTGATATTGTATCCTGCAACTTTACTGAATTTATCCATTCTAATAGTTTTTTGGTGGAGTCTTTAGATTTTTCCAATATAAAATCATATCATCTATAAAGACAGATAATTTGACCCTTCATTCCCAGTCTGGATGCCCTGTTTCTTTTTCTTGTCTGATTGCTCTAGCTAGCACTTCTAGTACTATTTGAATAAAAGTGGCAAAAGTGGGCATCCATGTCATGTTCCAGATCTTAGAGGAAAGGCTTTCAGTTTTTCCTCTTTCAGTATGATACTAGCTGTGGGTCTGTCATATATGTCTTTTATTATGTTAAGGTATGTTCATTCTATGCCCAGTTTTTTGAGGGTTTTTATCATGAAGAGATGTTGAATTTTATGAAGTGCTTTTTCATTTCTTGCTTTTTATTTTTCTGTGTATCTGTTGTATGTTTTTAGATTTGAGGTTACCATGAGGCTTGCAGATAATATCTTACAATGTATTAAACTGATAACAAATTATTGGATTGCATAAACAAACAAGCCAAAAGAGAACTAATAAAACCTTTATACTCAAATATTGTCTCCCCATTTAAAAACTTGTTGTTGTTTCTATTTATATTTTATTGTACTATGACTTGAAAAGTTGTGTAGTTATTGTTTTTGATTAGTTCATCTATTAGTCTTCCTACTATGAGTAGTTTACACACCACAATTACAGTGTTATAATAGTCTGTGTTTTTTTCTGTGTATACACTATTACCACTGAGTTTTGTACCTTCAGATGATGTCTTACTGCTCAACAGCCTTTTCTTTCAGACTGAAGAACTCTGTTTAGTATTTCTTGTATGCCAAGTCTGATGTTAATGAAATCCCTAAGCTTTTGTCTGTGAAAATCTTTTTATTTCCTTCCTGTTTGAAAGATATTTTCACTGGGTATACTATTCTAGGGTAAAATATTTTTCCCTTCAGCACTTCAGATATGTCATGTCACTCTCTCCTGGCTTGCAAGGTTCCCACTGAAAAGTCTGCTGCCAGATGTACTAGAGGTCCATTGTATGTTATTTGTTTGTTTTATCTTGCTGCTTTTAGGATCTTTCTTTATCCTTTACCTTTTTGTATAGGGCAAGAGATAGGGGTCTATCAAGGTCCTCAGATAGGAATTTGATTATAAATGCCTTGAGGTAGTCTTCTTTGGGTTGAATCTGCTTGCTTTTCTGTAACTTTCTTGTACTTGGATATTGATATCTCTCTCTAGGTTTTGGAAGTTCTCTGTTATTCTCTCTTTGAATAAACTTTCTATTCCTATCTCTCTGTCTACCTCCTCTTTAAGGCCAATAGCTCTTAGATTTGGCTTTTGGAGGCTATTTTCTAGATCTTGTAGGTGTGCTTCATTCTTTTTTTTATTGTTTTTTTGTCTCCCTCTGACTGTGTATGTTCAAATAACCTGTTTCAGGGTCACTAGTTCTTTTTGATCAATTCTGCAAGTAAGAGACTCTGATGCATTCTTCAGTGTATTAATTGCATCTTTCAACTCCAGAATTTGCTTTTTAAAAATTATTCAATCTCTGTTAAATTTGTTGGATAGGATTCTGAATTCCTTCTCTGTGTTTTCTTGAATTTATTTGAGCTCCCTCAAAAGAGCAATTCTGAACTCTCTTTTTGAAAGGTCACATATCTCTGTCTCTCCAGGATTGGTCCCTGGTGCCTTATTTAGTTCGTTTGGTGAGGTCATGTTTTTCTGAATGGTCTTGATGCTTGTGAATGCTCATCAGTGTCTGGACATTGAAGAGTTAGATATTTATCGTAGTGTTCACAGTGTGGGCCTGTTTGTACCCATCCTACTGGGAAAGACTTTGCAGGTATTCGAAGGGACTTTTGTGCCGTGATCTGTTTTTGGCCACCACAGAGATAACTGCATTTGGGGGCATTACAAGTCCAGTAATGTGGTTCTTGCAGATTCACAGAGGTACCACCTTGATGGTGTTGGATAAGGTCTGGAAGAATTCTGTGCATTACCATGCAGAGATTCTTGTTCTCTTCCCTTATTTTCTCCCAAACAAATGGAGTCTCTCCCTCTCTCTAGGCTGAAATGCCTGGAGCTGGGGGAGTGGTGACACAAGCAGCCCTGTGACCATCACTACTGGGTCTGTGCTGGGTTAGACCTGAAACAAGCATAGCACTGGGTATTGCCCAAGGCTCACTGTTACCACGACAGGGCTACCATTTATGTTCTCACTCAAGCCCTAGGGCTCTACAATCAGCAGTTTGTGAAGCCAGCCAGTCTTTTGTTCTTGCCTTCAGGGTTGTGAGTTGCCCCAGACCCCAGATGGGTCCAGAGATGCTATCCAGGAGCAGGATTTGGATCCAGAAACCTTAGAAATCTACCTGGTGCTTTATCCTACTGCGGTTAAGCTGGCACCCAAACCACAAGACAGTCCTTCCCACTCTTCCTTCCCCTTTCCCTAGTCAGAGGAGTCTCCCCGTGTCCACCACCACAGGCCCACAGGGAGTATTGCCAGGGTACTGCCAATGTTCACTTAAGGCCCAAGGGCTCTCCAGTCAGCCTGTGGTGAATGCCCTCAAATCTGGGACTCACCCTTCAGATGGTATTTCTCACCCTTAGATGGTATTCGAGAAATACCATCTAAGGGCCAAATACCATAGGTCGACAAAAACCATCTAAGAGCCAAGGCCTGGAATCGGGGACCCCAAAAGCCCTCTTGGTGGTCTTCCCCACTGTGGCTGGGCTGGCACCTAAGCAGCAAAACAAAATCCCCTTTATTCTTCCCTCTGCTTTTTCCAACCAGAAGTCTTGCCTTGTAGCCACCACAGCTGTAAATACACTGGGTCATACCTGAAGCCAGAATGTCTCAGAATCTCACCTAAGACCTCTGGCATGTACTACCTGGTTACCACTGCTAATGGTATTATTCAGGGCCCAAAGGCTCTTTAGTCAGCAAGTGATGAATCCTGCCAGGACTGGGTCCTTCCCATCAACGTAGTGGGTTCCCTTCTGGCCCAGGGTGTGTCTAGAAATGTCATTTGGGAGCTAGAGCCTGAAATGGAGGTCTCAAGACTCTGCCCGGTACCCTATACTACTGTGGCTGAACTGGTATTTAAGCATTAAGATAAAGTCCTCTTCACGTTTCCTTCTCCTCTCCTCAAGTGGAAGGAAGGGGTTCTTTCAGAGTTGCAAGCTTTGCTGCCTCAGGTTGAGGGAAGGCTGATGCAGGCACTCCCTTGGCCACCCTGGCTGGTGTCTCAATAGGTGGTATGCCGCCCAAGTCCACTGGTTCCGAGCCCAGCAAAGCACTAGGAGTTGCCTATACATTGCAGTCCTTGTGGTCTAGACTGCCTTTCAAGTTTATTTAGGACTCCAGAGCACTTTAGCCTGCAGTGGTGAGGCTTGTGGGAACTCAGTTTCCAACCACTGGGATGAGAGATTTCCTTTCTGGCTAGGGCTGGTCTGAATGCTCTTTCCACAGGAGCTGGCTGAGTTCTGCCCACTGTTGGCGGCACTGAGTTCCAATGCAAAGTTCCACAGCTGCTGCACTCTCTCTCCTGCAAGTGGACTCATTCTCCGTGGCAGGTGCTGGGAGATGGGGGAGAGGTGGTGTCAGCAATTCAAGACTTTTTTTGTACCTTCTTCAGTGTCTCTTTCAACTTAAAACCAGGTACTATGACCATTCACCTGATTTCTGGTTCTTACATTTTTGTGTGTGTGTAGATAATTGTTAAATTTGGTGTTCCTGCAGGGAGGATGATCAGTGGAGGCTTCTATTTGGCCATCTTGGTACACCTCTCTGTATTTTTAAGAAACATCTGCCGGGTGCAGTGGCTCACGCCTGTAAGCCCAACACTTTGGGAGGCCGAGGCAGGCGGATCACAAGGTCAGGAGATTGAGACCATCCTGGCTAACACGGTGAAACCCTGCCTCTACTAAAAATACAAAAAATTAGCCAGGCATGGTGACGGGCACCTGTAGTCCCAGCTACTAGGGAGGCTGAGGCAGGAGAATGGTGTGAACCCAGGAGGCGGAGCTTGCAGTGAGCCGAGATCGTGCCACTCCACTCCAGCCTGGGTGACAGAGCAAGACTCAGTCTCCGAAAAAAAAAAAAAAATCCATACTGTTCTCCATAGCAGCTGTACTTTACATTCCCACCAACAGTGTGTAAGTGTTCCCTTTTCTTTGCATCCTCTCCAGCATTTATTTGTCTTTCTGAAAGTAGCTATCCTAACAGGGTAACATGATACCTCACTGTGGTTTTTATCTGCGTTTCCCTGATGATTAGTGATGTTGAGCATTTTTCCACGTACCTATGGCCATTTGTACACCATCTTTTGAGAAATGTCTACTCATGTCCTTTGCCCATTTAACAATCAGATTTTTCTTTGCGGCTTAAATGTCTGAGTTCCTTGTACATAATGATCTGGATATTAATCTCCTGTTTAGATGAATAGTTTGCAAATATTTTCTCCCATTCTGTAAGTTTTCTTTTCATTGTATTGATTGTTATCTTTGCTGTGAAGAAGCTTTTTGATCTGATATAATGCCATTGGTTTACTTTTGCTTTTGTTGCCTGTGCTTTTGAGCTCTTATTCATAAAATCTTTTTGCAGGCCAATGTCCTGAAGTCCCTATGTTTTCTTCTGCTAATTTTGTAGTTTTGGTCTTACATTTATGTCTTTGATCCATTTTGAGTTAATTTTTGTATAGGGTGAGAGATGGGAGTTTAGTTTTATTCTTCTGCATATGTATACCCAGTTTCCTCAGCACCATTTATTGAAGAGACTGTCCTTTCCCCACTGAGTGTTCTTAGCGTCTTTGTCAAAAATCAGTTGGCTGTAGATTGTGGATTAACTTTTGGATTCTCTACCCTGTTCCATGGTCTATATGTGTGCTTTTATGCCAGAACCATGCTGTTTTGGTTACTACAGCTTTGCAGTATATTTTGAAGTCTGGTCATGTGAGCCTTCCAGTTTTGTTCTTTGTGGTTAGCATTTTTTGGCAATTCTGGGTCTTCTGTGCTTCCATATAAATTTTAAGGTCTTTTTTTCTATTTCTGTGAAGAATACAATCAGTATTTTGATAGGAATTGCATTCAATCTGTAGACTGCTCTGGGTAGTATGGTAATTTTAATAATATTAATTCTTCTGATCTATGAGCATGGGATGTCTTTTCATTTATTTGTATCTTCTTTAATTTCTTTTATCACTGTTTTTTAGTTTTCCTTGTAGAAGTCTTTCGCATCCTTGGTTAAGCGTATTCTGAGGGTTTCTTCTGTGTGTGTGAGTGTGTGTGTGTGTGTGTGTGTGTGTGTGTGTGTGTATGTGGCTAACATAAATGGGATTACTTTCTTGATTGCTTTTTTCAGCTAGTTCATATATACAGTTTTTAATCTTAAAAAAGCATGATATTTTTCCATTTTACAAAAGGATAGTAGGCAAACATTAAACGTTAAGGACTTCCTCATGGATACAAATCCCAGTATATGTCTAAATAAATTAGGACTCAAATTTATATACATATAGCTACTTTCCAAGTCCAATCTTTCTCCCCTGTATAAGTCCTCCTTCCCCTGAAAAATAAATGGTTTGGGGCTTTATTCTGTAGCAGAGGGAAGCATTAAATATAATTTGGAAGGAGTCTGTTTCATAGTTTATGCTTTTTACAGACCATAACAAAGTCTTTATAAAGGCTTTGATCTTCTGTGTTTTCATAGTTTTTATTTCTTATGGTTAAAATGGCTATTTCAATTTGCTGGATCATTTCAGTTAATTTTTGAATAAAGCATGGCAACTAGAACTGACCATTATCTGATCCATCAACATTTAGGGATTTAAATTATTTAGTTTCCTAGTATCAGTGAACTGCATAGTAAAATTCCTAAACTGACTCCTCCATAAAACAATGGAAAATCCCTGGAAATTAACCAAAGACCTGCAGCAAACTGGGTAGCATTTATTTAAGAATAGCTTTGTGCCATTTTAACTTGCCCTAGTCTGATCTCTCATTCCCCATTAGGAGCCTTGAAAACTAATACCCCATATTCCCAGTGCAGTCTTGTGTTCACTGAAATAAAGTAGTTGGAGTGTTTTGCAAATCCTCATCACAAACAATTGTCATTATTTCACTTGTGTGGTGGATTCCCTGAAGGACCCCACCTGATACAGAGGAACAAAGGCAGGCATAAGACATATAGAAAACAAATAGCAAAATGGCAAATGTAAACCTTACTTTATCAGTAATTACATTAAATGTAAATGGATTAAATTCTCCAGTTAAAAGGCAGGGTGAATTTAAAATAAAACATCATCAAAGTATATGTTGTCTATATACTACATACATACTTATATTCAAAGACACAAATAGGCTGTAAATAAAAGAACCAGAAAAGATAAAGCATGGCTACAGTAACTGAAAAAGAACTGGAGGGCTGTACTAATATCAGAGAAGAGAACTGTTACCAAAGATATTAAGATGAAATGGTCAATCCACCAAGAAGCTGTAACAATCGTAACTTTTTATGCAGCAAACAACAGAGCTCCAAAATAAGTAAAACACACAAAAAAGACAATTCAGCAATAACAGTCAGAGACTTCAATGCTCCAATTCAATAATGAATAGAAATAAGCAGATGATCAATAAGGACACAGATGACTTGATCAACACTATAAACCAACTAGACCTAAAAGACATCTACAGAACACTCCTCCAGCCAACAATAGCACAAAAAGCATTCTTCTCAAGTGCATATGGAATATTCTCCAGGATACATCATACTTAATACATTTTAAAAAAAACTGAAATCACACAATGTATTTTCCCTGGTCATAATGGAAAGAAGCTAGAAGTCAATAACTGAAGGAAAAGGAAATTCACAAGTATGTGAAAATTAAATTCCTACATAATCAATGGATCGAAAAAACACAAGAGAAATTAGAGAATACTTGAGATAAAAATGAAAGCATAACATATCAAAATATATGGGATGTAGTCAAAGAAGTGCTTAGCAGGAAATTTATAGGGACATATGCCTACATTAAAAAAGAAGAAAGGTGTCAAATCAATAACCTAATCTTCCAGGTTAAGAAACTAGAAACAAAAGAGAAAACTCACTCCTAAACAAGCAGAAGAAGGCTATAATAAAGATTCTAGTGGAAAGAAATATAATAGGGAATATAAAAACATTAGAAAAAAAAGTAAACCCCAAAATTGTTTTTTTGAAAAGATTTTTTTTTTTTTTTGAGACGGAGTTTCGCTCTGTCGCCCAGGCTGGAGTGCAGTGGCGCGATCTCGACTCACTGCAAGCTCCACCTCCCAGGTTCATGCCATTCTCCTGCCTCAGCCTCCCATGTAGCTGGGACTACAGGCGCGCGCCACCATGCCCGGCTAATTTTTGTATTTTCAGTAGAGACGGGGTTTCACCGTGTTAGCCAGGATGGTCTCGATCTCCTGACCTCGTGATCTGCCCGTCTTGGCCTCCCAAAGTGCTGGGATTACAGGCGTGAGCCACTGCGCCCGGCCGAAAAGATTAACAAAACTAACAAATGTTCAGCTAAGCTGTCCAAGTTTAAAAAAAAAAAAAGAGAGATGACTCAAATAACTAAAATCATGAATGAAAACGGAGGTATTAACTACTGACTTTGAATAAAATGTACTACAAGGGAATACTATGAAAAACTGTATGACAACAAATTGGATAATATACATGAAAGAAACAAAATTCTAGAAGAACACAAACTATCAAAATAGACTCAAAAGGAAATAGATAACCTGACCAGTAACAGAGATTGAATTAGTAACTTAAAAAGTACCTACAAAGAAAAGCCCAGACCAAGATGGTTTAGCTGGTGAATTCTAATCAGTCTTTCATAAACTCTTTGATAGTTTAGAAGGGAATACTTCTAAACTCATTATATTAAGGCCAACACTATCCTGACACCAAAATCAGACAAAAGCATTCTGAGAATGAAAACCACAGACCAATATCCCTCAGATGCAAAAATCCTTAACAAAAGACTGACAAACTGAAACTAGCTGCATACATAATGGATTAGATATCATGATTAAGTGTGATTTATCCCAGAAATGCATGATAGGTACAACATATAAAAATAATAATGTAATACACTATATTCAGTTCATCTAAAAAAACCTTTGATATAATCATCTCAATAGATGCAGAAAAAACGTTTGACAGATATCCAACAAACTAGTAACAAAATGGAAATTCCTTGACCTAACAAAGGCCATCGATAAAAACCCACAGATAATATCATACTTAATGGCAAAAGACTGAAAGCTTTCCTCTTTGTATCAGGCAACAGACAAGGAAGGGGGTGTCCACTCTTACCATTTCTATTCAACACTGTACTGAAAGTTCTAGCCATGGCAATCAGGCAAGAAAATAAATGAGAAGACATCCAGATTAGAAAGGAAGAGGTAAAATTATCTCTATTTTCAGATGAAATAGATAAAAAAATCCTAAGAAATACACTAAACCCTATAATTAGAGCTAATAAAGGTGAGCAAAATTGCAGGATACGAGATCAATATACAAAATCACTCTTATTTCTATATATTGGCAACAACTAATCCAAAAGTGTTATTAAAAATAATTCCACTTCAATCAAAAATATTGAGCAATAAATTTAGCAAAAGAAGATTAAGATGTATACATCCTTGAAAGAAATTAAAGATCTAAGTAAACAAAAATATACCCCATGTTCATGGATCAGAAGAATAACTTATTTTTTCCTAGGTTAAAAACAGGACCAGGCACAATGGCTCACGCCTGTAATCCCAACACTTTGGGAGGCCGAAGTGGGTGTATCACTTGAGGTCAGGAGTTTGAGACCAGCCTTGCCAACATGGTGAAACCCATCCCTATAATAAATATAAAAATTAGCCAGGCGTGGTGGTGCATGCCTGTAGTCCCAGCAACTGGGGAGGCTGAGGCAGAAATATCACTTGAACCCGGAAGGCAGAGGTTGTAGTGAGCCGAGATTGCAACACAGCACTCCAGCCTAGGTGACAAGAGTGAGACTCCCCCTCAAAAAAAAAAAAAAAAGTTCCAAATCAGGTAATAGATGAATTTTATAGAACTCATGTTAAGTTTCTTAGATGTAATCAAAGTATTATAAAAGTGATTGTCTTTATTCTTAGGAGAAGTATCATATCCACAACTTACAAATGGTATAGGAAAAAAACTGTTGAACCTATGTGAAGCACATAGGAATATGGATATTCTTACAGTATACTTTCAACATTTCTATTATCTCTGAAAATTTTTGTAACAGGAAGTTGGAGAGCACACTGCCCTGAAAACAAAGCAGTCGCCCAGGGTAGGTGATGATGGCAATGAATACAAAGTGAAGAGATCTAAAAAAGTAATGGTATTTCTAAAACTAGGAATTCATAAAGGTCTTGCAATGTCTACTTGGCATAGTTCAGGCTGAGGTATCTGGCATTATCATGGTTTTGTAGAAGGGTGAAACGTTTCTGGTTTTGGTATTTTTCTGATGATGTTTCCTATGGTTGATCTTTTTGGCCATGGTACATGTGGCTGCTTCTCCCAGGGTACAATTTGTAAAGATTTTCCTAAGCCATTTGTAAATGGTAGCTGAAAACTCCCTATCCTGTAATACAGTTAATTTTCTTATATGTACTTGCATTTGCCTAAAATTAATTTTATTGAAACTCTACTAAGGATACAAAATCATGAAACTTTTGTGTTAATCCTAACATTTGTAAAGCAAAACTCATAAAAAATACAGTAAGGAACTGTGATAAAGAATCTCACATCATTTTTGTGAGAAATTTACTCAGTTGAAGATGAGCAGTGTGTTAACAGACAAAAAGAATTTTTTACAGAATTTGAAAAATATTAAAAAGTTGAATTAGTGCAATCAATGTAATATACAGAGCTACAGAAAGAGAATGTCAAAATATTTTAAAAATTGATAATTTGTTAGACTGAAAGTAAATCTCAATAAAAATATCAGAAACTAAGCCCCATTCTCTGACCACAATTTAATAAAACTAAAAATATGAAAGTGTAAAGCAAAATAAAATGAAATAAACCCTCAAACACCTGAAAAATTTAAAAAGAAAACAAACTTCTAATTTAGGTCACAGAAAAAAGCAAAACGATAATTCCACACTATTGGAAAATAATGGCAATTATAACAACTCATATGCATATCAAATGGAATACAGCCAAAACTATAATGAGAGGCAAATTCATAGATATAAATGTTCCTATCCTAAATGTGAAAGAATGAAAACAAAGTTAAGCATTCCATTTAAAGAGTAAGAAAAAAACCCAAGAAAACCAGAAGGACCAAAAATAAAAGCACCTAATAAATGAAAAAAAGACAAGAAAATAAAACATATCAGATTTTACTTGTCTAAAAAAGAAAAATCTAAAAAATAAATTAGGCTAAGTGAAATATGAAAAAAGAGGAAAATTCAATGTACAAAACTAGAAATATCAAAAAGCATATAAGAAGATACAAAAGATATTAAATTTATGAGAGAAACAAATGACCAAAATTGATGAATAAAGTAAAAACCTAACCAGTGTAAAACACAAAAATTGTCAAAGAATTACCTCCAACAAAGGCTCCAGGCCTAGATGGTTTTGTAGTTGAGTTCTTTAAAACTTTCAAGAATAAATAAGTCCCATGCTATATAAACTGTTCCAGAGCACAGAAAATTAGGGAAAGAGTTCCAATTCATTTTGCAAAGCTGGCCTAACCCTGATATCAAAACCTGACAAAGATAGCATAAAAAAAAAAAGAAAATTACAGACCAAATTCATTTATGAATGTAGATGCAAAGTTCCTAAATAATACACTTGAAAACAGAACTCAATGGTACACTACAAGATAACACGTCTTGACATAAGGAGGACATTCATTCTAGAAATAAGAGATTATATTAGGTATCTTTTTTTTTTTTTTTTTTTTTTTTTGAGACAGGATCTCACTCTGTCACCCAGGTTGGAGTGCATTGGCTTACTGCCGCCTCCACCTCCTGAGCTCAAGCAATCCTCCAACTCAGACTCTCGTATAGCTAGCACTACCGGTGCATGCCACCATGCCCAGCTAATTTTTTGTAGAGACAGGGTCTTGTTTTGTTGCCCAGTCTGGTCTTAAACTTCTGGCCTCAAGTGATCCTCTAGACTTGGCCTCCCAAAGTGTTGGGATTACAGGCATGAGACACTGTGCCCGGCCTATATTAAGTAATATCTTTATAAAATACATCACATTGACAGGTCAAATAAGAAGCACTGCAAAATAATCTCATTTGGATGCCAAAATATTTAATGAATTCCAATATTCACTTCTCATTAAAAAGAAAATAAAGTCTTGTTCAACTATAAGTGATACATACTTAACATCAGTGAACTTACTGTAAGAGGAAATGATGTCTATCACTGCTATATGTAAAATTGGAAGGAAAGTCTATTAAATGTAATAACAAAGTAAAGACAATGAAGAAGATTCACAGGATAAACTATCTAGAAAAGTCAAAAGTAACAACTAAAAATAAGGACTAAACAAAATCCAGTAAATATAAAATGTACAACATAAAAATAACAGAAATCTAGGAAGTTCCTATAAACCAAAACAAATAGTCTTTTTCATATTTATTCATTTTTTCATATTATTCATATTTTTCACAATATGAATAGAAATTACCGAGGATTATGTTAAAGGAGAAAATAAGTGAACTTAATTGAGGGAAAAAAGGGAAAACATTAATGAAGGGCATGAAAGAAACATGTAAATTAAGAAACATATTTCTAGTCTGTAGTTAATTTTTCTAAAATTTTCAGTTAATGTGTTTGAATCAAAATCCCCTTAGAGTTTCCTTTTTTAAAATCAGAAAACTGATTCGCAACTTCCTATAAAAAAAATTAACTGGTCAGAAAATAAAACCAAGGAAACTTGTGAAAAAGAGGTATAAGGAGGAAAGATGGGTCCTGTCAGCTATTTAAACATTTAATAGCTAAAATATCTAAGTAGTATAGTATTACCAGAAGAACAGAGAACATAAAGAAAGAAAATTGAGTCCAGAAGCCTTTAGTAAGGTAACAGTACATTATAGATTAGTGTTAAGACAGAAAAATTATTCAATAAAAAAGCTGGGATAATTAACCATTTAGAAAAAATTAAAATAAGTACCTTATCTAATAGCATTTACTAAAATAAATCACAGATAGACTCAAGGCTTATATATAAAAAATAAAATAAAAAATACCTAGGAAAAATATATGTGAGTATTCAGCAGCTGGTGGCATGGAGTTTTTTCTAAGCATAATAGTAATGTTACAAGCTGTGACAAAAGTGTACAGATCAGACTACTTATTTAAAAATTAACTAAAATTAACAAACAGCAATCTTGAAAAACATTTATGTTTTAATATTTATGTCTTTAATAAATGGACATGTAAAAGGCTAGAACAAACATATCAGAAAGAAATGCATTTAGTGAATAATAAATAACAGTATTTAGCCAGCAATCCCAATTTTGATAATTTACATTAAATTATACAGCCAAGGATGTTCACTGCAGTGCTATTTGCAACTACCCTCTCACCCAAGAACTGCATAAACAGTGGGGCCAAATTTGGTTAAACAACAACAAAAATGTATACATTAAAGAAGGCATTAGAAAAACTATAAGGAAATAAAACCAGATGGTTATTTTCAGATAGTGAGATTACAGGTGCTAAATTTCTTCTTTATACATTTATAACTATTTGCCCAAACTTTCATGATGAATATACATTTTATAATTAGAAAAACAGTATAAAAATCAATGCACTAATAATTTTCCTGAAGACATGAATATTAGAATTCAAAAATTTCAACAAATAAAAAAGCTCAAAATCATTTGTAAACTAAACTGTTTTTGCATACTGAAAGCTCCTTAAAGCTTTTTATTTCTATTAATATCTTAATTTAGCATGAAAACACAGTTAAAAGAAGCCAGTCTTTACTGTCTGAGATTACAACTTCATTTTTTTCCTCAAAGGGATTTTGCTTTTAATGACTATTAAAGGGATTTTGACACAAATACATCTAAATACACTGAAATGAATTATAAAAGGGTCCATACACAACAGGAATAACTTAAAAGGATACTTCATATTAATAACACCATTTCTTTCATTGAGTATTGAGAACACAGAATGATCAGTCTTAAACTGATCCTGTTAAGTTTTTGTTCGGGAAATTTCATTTAGGCACTCTAAACAGGATAATGAGTGCCTAATGATTGTGTGTCTAACTGAAATCTCTCCTGTGATTTAAAACTCTTGTTCTTAAAATATATAGCTATATTCTATTTAGTTTTCTTTAGACAACATAATTGTAAAACTTTTAACTGTTTTCTAATACTTTGATCTACATTTTGCCTTTCTGTAGTGTTTCTACCTTTTTTATCTCTTTCAAATTATTTAAACCCAAATGGCAAATTATGGTTTTAGGCAATGTACAATCAAATAACAGAACAACTTGAAGCTTCTACATGCTGTAATTCTATGGAAACACCAACATTCTTTCTTCCTAGCACATGTCATGTTGTTATGCTGTGTCTCTTACAATAACCATATTATTTGTATGCACGTATACTAACCATATGTAAACTAATTCATACTCTGAGCTGCTTATTTATCTACACCAAGTGGAAGTCCTGGCCAAATAATATTAGCAGTATTTCTAACTACTTGTCCAATGTTTTCTACCCACTCAGTTTGATATTACTCAACTTTAACACGCTTACCTTCTTAACCTATTATGAACTCACTCATGAAATCTGAGTTCTAGTCTTAGATCTGCCCCTCACTAGTTTTGTCACACTGGTAGAGTCACTTAACTTCTCTAGGTTTCAAATGTTTTCATCTATAAAAAGAGGATAGGAACATAGTGGAAGACCTACAAGGTCTGTTACAACACAAATTTTATTATCATTGTCAGAGATCAGGTTCCGCTCTAATCACTCTTACTATAAAATTAGTGCCTACTATGTGGAAATGCTATGGGGGAACACTACAGTAAATAAGTGAAATATTCTTAGTGAAATTTTTTGAACTAAAATACCCAGACTCAGATATTTTGTGTATAGTACTCTATTAATTATCATTAGAATAATTCTCTCCAATTCCATGAACAGAACTGGCATTTCTTTCCTAATCATGCTATTATAAAAACTCTCCCTTACCTACTACTGCCTTTTTAAATTGTAGCCTATCTAAATCACTTTCTTTTTTTTTTTTTTTTACTTTCTTTTTTTTTTTTTATTATACTTTAAGTTTTAGGGTACATGTGCACATTGTGCAGGTTACTTACATATGTATACATGTGCCATGCTGGTGCACTGCACCCACTAACTCGTCATCTAGCATTAGGTATATCTCCCAATGCTATCCCTACCGCCCTCCCCAACAACAGTCCCCAGAGCGTTATATTCCCCTTCCTGTGTCCATGTGATCTCATTGTTCAATCCCCACCTATGAGTGAGAATATGCAGTGTTTGGTTTTTTGTTCTTGCGATAGTTTACTGAGAATGATGTTTTCCAATTTCATCCATGTCCCTACAAAGGACATGAACTCATCATTTTTTATGGCTGCATAGTATTCCATGGTGTATATGTGCCACATTTTCTTAATCCGGTCTATCATTGTTGGACATTTGGGTTGGTTCCAAGTCTTTGCTATTGTGAATAATGCTGCAATAAACATACGTGTGCATGTGTCTTTATAGCAGCAAGATTTATAGTCCTTTGGGTATATACCCAGTAATGGGATGGCTGGGTCAAATGGTATTTCTAGTTCTAGATCCCTGAGGAATCGCCATACTGACTTCCACAATGGTTGAACTAGTTTACAGTCCCACCAACAGTGTAAAAGTGTTCCTATTTCTCCACATCCTCTCCAGCACCTGTTGTTTCCTGACTTTTTAATGATCGCCATTCTAACTGGTGTGAGATGGTATCTCATTGTAGTTTTGATTTGCATTTCTCTGATGGCCAGTGATGATGAGCATTTCTTCATGTGTTTTTTGGCTGCATAAATGTCTTCTTTTGAGAAGTGTCTGTTCATGTCCTTCACCCACTTTTTGATGGGGCTGTTTGTTTTTTTCTTGTAAATTTGTTTGAGTTCATTGTAGATTCTGGATATTAGCCCTTTGTCAGATGAGTAGGTTGTGAAAATTTTCTCCCATTCTGTAGGTTGCCTGTTCACTCTGATGGTAGTTTCTTTTGCTGTGCAGAAGCTCTTTAGTTTAATTAGATCCCATTTGTCAATTTTGGCTTTTGTTGCCATTGCTTTTGCTGTTTTAGACATGAAGTCCTTGCCCATGCCTATGTCCTGAATGGTAATGCCTAGGTTTTCTTCTAGGGTTTTTATGGTTTTAGGTCTAACATTTAAGTCTTTAATCCATCTTGAATTGATTTTTGTAAAAGGTGTAAGGAAGGGATCCAGTTTCAGCTTTCTACATATGGCTAGCCAGTTTTCCCAGTACCATTTATTAAATAGGGAATCCTTTCCCCATTGCTTGTTTTTCTCAGGTTCGTCAAAGATCAGATAGTTGTAGATATGCGGCATTATTTTTGAGGGCTCTGTTGTGTTCCATTGATCTATATCTCTGTTTTGGTACCAGTACCATGCTGTTTTGGTTACTGTAGCCTTGTAGTATAGTTTGAAGTCAGGTAGTGTGATGCCTCCAGCTTTGTTCTTTTGGATTAGGATTGACTTGGCGATGCGGGCTCTTTTTTGGTTCCGTATGAACTTTAAAGTAGTTTTTTACAATTCTGTGAAGAAAGGCATTGGTAGCTTGATGGGGATGGCATTGAATCTGTAAATTACCTTGGGCAGTATGGCCATTTTCACGATATTGATTCTTCCTACCCATGAGCATGGAATGTTCTTCCATTTGTTTGTATCCTCTTTTATTTCCTTGAGCAGTGGTTTGTAGTTCTCCTTGAAGAGGTCCTTCACATCCCTTGTAAGTTGGATTCCTAGGTATTTTATTCTCTTTGAAGCAATTGTGAATGGGAGTTCACTCAGGATTTGGCTCTCTGTTTGTCTGTTGCTGGTGTATAAGAATGCTTGTGATTTTTGTACATTGATTTTGTATCCTGAGACTTTGCTGAAGTTGCTTATCAGCTTAAGGAGATTTTGGGCTGAGACAATGGGGTTTTCTAGATATACAATCATGTCGTCTGCAAACAGGGACAATTTGACTTCCTCTTTTCCTAATTGAATACCCTTTATTTCCTTCTCCTGCCTGACTGCCCTGGCCAGCACTTCCAACACTATGTTGAATAGGAGTGGTGAGAGAGGGCATCCCTGTCTTGTGCCAGTTTTCAAAGGGAATGCTTCCAGTTTTTGCCCATTCAGTATGATATTGGCTGTGGGTTTGTCATAGATAGCTCTTATTATTTTGAGATACGTCCCATCAATACCTAATTTATTGAGAGTTTTTAGCATGAAGGGTTGTTGAATTTTGTCAAAGGCTTTTTCTGCATCTATTGAGATAATCATGTGGTTTTTGTCTTTGGCTCTGTTTATATGCTGGATTACATTTATTGATTTGTGTATATTGAACCAGCCTTGCATCCCAGGGATGAAGCCCACTTGATCATGGTGGATAAGCTTTTTGATGTGCTGCTGGATTCGTTTTGCCAGTATTTTATTGAGAATTTTTGCATCAATGTTCATCAAGGATATTGGTCTAAAATTCTTTTTTTGTTATGTCTCTGTCAGGCTTTGGTATCAGAATGATGCTGGCCTCATAAAATGAGTTAGGGAGGATTCCCTCTTTTTCTATTGATTGGAATAGTTTCAGAAGGAATGGTACCAGTTCCTCCTTGTACCTCTGGTAGAATTCGGCTGTGCATCCATCTGGTCCTGGACTCTTTTTGGTTGGTAAGCTATTGATTATTGCCACAATTTCAGATCCTGTTATTGGTCTATTCAGATATTCAACTTCTTCCTGGTTTAGTCTTGGGAGAGTGTATGTGTCAAGGAATTTATCCATTTCTTCTAGATTTTCTAGTTTATTTGCGTAGAGGTGTTTGTAGTATTCTCTGATGTTAGTTTGCATTTCTGTGGGATTGGTGGTGATATCCCCTTTATCATTTTTTATTGCATCTATTCGATTCTTCTCTCTTTTTTTCTTATTAGTCTTGCTAGCGGTCTATCAATCCTGTTGATCCTTTCAAAAAACCAGCTCCTGGATTGATTAATTTTTTGAAGGGTTTTTTGTGTCTCTATTTCCTTCAGTTCTGCTCTGATTTTAGTTATTTCTTGCCTTCTGCTAGCTTTTGAATGTGTTTGCTCTTGCATTTCTAGTTCTTTTAATTGTGATGTTAGGGTGTCAATTTTAGATCTTTCCTGCATTCTCTTGTGGGCATTTAGTGCTATAAATTTCCCTCTACACACTGCTTTGAATGCGTCCCAGAGATTCTGGTATGTTGTGTCTTTGTTCTCCTTGGTTTCAAAGAACATCTTTATTTCTGCCTTCATTTCATTATGTACCCAGTAGTCATTCAGGAGCAGGTTGTTCAGTTTCCATGTAGTTGAGTGGTTTTGAGTGAGATTCTTAACCCTGAGTTCTAGTTTGATTGCACTGTGGTCTGAGAGACAGTTTGTTATAATTTCTGTTCTTTTACATTTGCTGAGGAGAGCTTTACTTCCAAGTATGTGGTCAATTTTGGAATAGGTGTGGTGTGGTGCTGAAAAAAATGTATATTCTGTTGATTTGGGGTGGAGAGTTCTGTAGATGTCTATTAGGTCCGCTTGGTGCAGAGCTGAGTTCAATTCCTGGGTATCCTTGTTGACTTTCTGTCTCATTGATCTGTCTAATGTTGACAGTGGGGTGTTAAAGTCTCCCATTATTAATGTGTGGGAGTCTAAGTCTCTTTGTAGGTCACTCAGGACTTGCTTTATGAATCTGGGTGCTCTTGTATTGGGTGCATATATATTTAGGATAGTTAGCTCTTCTTGTTGAATTGATCCCTTTACCATTATGAAATGGCCTTCTTTGTCTCTTTTGATCTTTGTTGGTTTAAAGTCTGTTTTATCAGAGAATAGTATTGCAACCCCTGCCTTTTTTTGTTTTCCATTTGCTTGGTAGATCTTCCTCCATCCTTTTATTTTGAGCCTATGTGTGTCTCTGCACGTGAGATGGGTTTCCTGAATACAGCACACTGATGGGTCTTGACTCTTTATCCAATTTGCCAGTCTGTGTCTTTTAATTGGAGCATTTAGCCCATTTACATTTAAAGTTAATATTGTTATGTGTGAATTTGATCCTGTCATTATGATGTTAGCTGGTTGTTTTGCCCGTTAGTTGATGCAGTTTCTTCCTAGTCTTGATGGTCTTTACATTTTGGCATGATTTTGCAGCAGCTGGTACTGGTTTTTCCTTTCCATGTTTAGCCCTTCCTTCAGGAGCTCTTTTAGGGCAGGCCTGGTGGTGACAAAATCTCTCAGCATTTGCTTGTCTGTAAAGTATTTTATTTCTCCTTCGCTTATGAAGCTTGGTTTGGCTGGATATGAAATTCTGGGTTGAAAATTCTTGTCTTTAAGAATGTTGAATATTGGCCCCCACTCTCTTCTGGCTTGTAGGGTTTCTGCCGAGAGATCCGCTGTTAGTCTGATGGGCTTCCCATTGAGGGTAACCCGACCTTTCTCTCTGGCTGCCCTTAACATTTTTTCCTTCATTTCAACTTTGGTGAATCTGACAATTATGTGTCTTGGAGTTGCTCTTCTCGAGGAGTATCTTTATGGCGTTCTCTGTATTTCCTGAATCTGAATGTTGGCCTGCCTTGCTAGATTGGGGAAGTTCTCCTGGATAATATCCTGCAGAGTGTTTTCCAACTTGGTTCCATTCTCCCCATCACTTTCAGGTACACCAATCAGACGTAGATTTGGTCTTTTCACATAGTCCCATATTTCTTGGAGGCTTTGCTCATTTCTTTTTATTCTTTTTTCTCTAAAATTCCCTTCTCGCTTCATTTCATTCATTTCATCATCCATCGCTGATACTCTTTCTTCCAGTTGATCGCATCGGCTCCTGAGGCTTCTGCATTCTTCACGTAGCTCTCGAACCTTGGTTTTCAGCTCCATCAGCTCCTTTAAGCACTTCTCTGTATTGGTTATTCTAGTTATACATTCTTCTAAATGTTTTTCAAAGTTTTCAACTTCTTTGCCTTTGGTTTGAATGTCCTCCCGTAGCTCAGAGTAATTTGATCGTCTGAAGCCTTCTTCTCTCTGCTCCTCAAAGACATTCTCCATCCAGCTTTGTTCCGTTGCTGGTGAGGAACTGCGTTCCTTTGGAGGAGGAGAGGCGCTCTGGTTTTTAGAGTTTCCAGTTTTTCTGTTCTGTTTTTTCCCCATCTTTGTGGTTTTATCTACTTTTGGTCTTTGATGATGGTGATGTACAGATGGGTTTTTGGTGTGGATGTCCTTTCTGTTTGTTAGTTTTCCTTCTAACAGACAGGACCCTCAGCTGTAGGTCTGTTGGAATACGCTGCAGTGTGAGGTGTCAGTGTGCCCCTGCTGGGGGGTGCCTCCCAGTTAGGCTGCTCAGGGGTCAGGGGCCAGGGACCCACTTGAGGAGGCAGTCTGCCCGTTCTCAGATCTCCAGCTGCGTGCTGGGAGAACCACTGCTCTCTTCAAAGCTGTCAGACAGGGACATTTAAGTCTGCAGAGGTTACTGCTGTCTTTTTGTTTGTCTGTGCCCTGCCCCCAGAGGTGGAGCCTACAGAGGCAGGCAGGCCTCCTTGAGCTGTGGTGGGCTCCGCCCAGTTGGAGCTTCCTGGCTGCTTTGTTTACCTAATCAAGCCTGGGCTATGGCGGGCGCCCCTCCCCCAGCCTCGCTGTCGCCTTGCAGTTTGATCTCAGACTGCTGTGCTAGCAATCAGTGAGACTCCATGGGCGTAGGACCCTCTGAGCCAGGTGCGGGATATAATCTCGTGGTGCGCCGCTTTTTAAGCCCGTCGGAAAAGCGCAGTATTCGGGTGGGAGTGACCCGATTTTCCAGGTGCCGTCCGTCACCCCTTTCTTTGACTCGGAAAGGGAACTCCCTGACCCCTTGCGCTTCCCAAGTGAGGCAATGCCTCGCCCTGCTTCGGCTGGCGCACGGTGCACGCACCCACTGACCTGCGCCCACTGTCTGGCACTCCCTAGTGAGATGAACCCAGTACCTCAGATGGAAATGCAGAAATCACCGTCTTCTGCGTCACTCAGGCCGGAGCTGTTCCTATTCGGCCATCTTGGCTCCTTCCCCGCTAAATCACTTTCTTTTATCTCTGTTGCTCTCTACTGAACTGTAAATTAATTGCTCAAAATTGGAGTTCTCACTACTCCTCCCAAACAATGTGATGTTTTGGGTCTCTTTTGTTTAAAAAATCCTTTAACTTTTTTTAGAAAAAAAATCATAAGAATTTATGGGAATCTTTGAAAAAGATTTCAAGGAAAAATTCAAATATTATAGGAAAACATAACCATGTCTTGCCAAAGGCAGAAAACTTTTAGGAATATAAGGACTGCTTTCATGGGCCAGGATCACTCTTCCGCAAATGCAGCATGCTCTCTCTAAGGTATCATGAAGGGTGGTGCAGATTAAAGTCATCACTTCAAAAATTATATGAATACTCTGTATTCCCTCATTAGTCTGTTATGGAATTGTCACACATTTATTTGCCCAATGTGCCTTTTGGAAAACCAGCAAGACATCTTTGGATAATTAGTCCTTTAACATTCCCTACTTGAGACAACTTTTAGAATTTTAGAGCTAAAAGAAACCTCAGTTTGGGCAATGGTAAAACTCTTTCTCTACAAAAAACAAAAACAAAAGTTAGCCAGGCATGGTGATGCATGCCCATAGTGTTAGCTACTCAGAGGGCTGAGGCAGGAGGATCGCTTGAGCCCTGGGGGTGGGGGTGGGAGTGGGAGTTAAAGCTGCAGTGAGCTGTGATCGTGCCATTGCACTCCAGCCTAGGTGACAAGAGTTAAACCCTGTCTCAAAAAACAAACAAACAAACAAACAAAAAAACCAAAGAAACCTCATACATCTTCAACTGCCTCATTTTATAGATGAACCAACTGACAAAGACTGGTTAAAATGCTTGCCTATGTCACACAAGTTTAATGGCAGAATCTATTCTCTTGATCTTCAATCCAGAGTTTCAACATATCATACAAGTTTACCTGATTTCTATAACCTTTTACTGAATTCAAATTTGCTTCTTTGAAGTTTCGGAGGGGTCTATTTTAACTAACTTGAATTTAATGAAGAATCTATGCTTACTCTAAATATATATATATATATATATGCATATATGCTGAATAAGGGCAAGGGCTGTGACTGTTTACAATTGTATCCTGAGAACTTATCACAGGGTCTGGCATATAGGTATTCAATGGATTGTTGTAGACTGAATGAATGAACAAGTTGGATCACATGCACTCTCAGTTTTAACCTTTGTAAAGAGAAAATAAATCTAGAGTCCTTCAGTTTAACTTTGTTCTCTTGATCATTTCAGATATTTTTATCTAGACTTTCTTCTAGCTCCATTATGTTTCTTTTGGTGAGGTAGTAAGAACTGTGAATAGATACCAATAATCTCAATAAGTACAATTTCCTTCGCATTACCTTACACTGGTTAGCAATAGCACTTATTTGACACTTTTTGCCCCAAATTTGTAAGTACAACACATTAATTCTTGTTGGTCTGACCTTTCAATATGCCCTCAAATTTGCTTTTATTTACTCTGCTGGAATAAATTCCTCCTTCCAAATCAATTATAAAAATGTTAAACGAGACTATATTTAGCACCTATTAACCTTTTTCTAACCAGAAGGGCTCATCAGCCTCTGTATTTTTGTATCCTGGATTTAAATAAATTGTAAATACAACCAAATTTGAGTGTCTAACATGTGCAAGGACAACTCTCTTGTCCTTGATAAATAATATACAATATTCTTTGGTATGGAGAAGAATTAGAAGACTTTTAGATTCATGAAAAGGGCCTTTAAAAAGTCCAAGTAAAAAATCATGTTTTAGTTTCGCCTTATGTATTGATTTATTTATTGCCTTCCACTCTCTAACCCCAGATACACACTCCTATCATACCTAAGAATTCTATAGGAATCCTTTTATTCACCAATCCTACACCACTGTCCTTGCACTCTCTGACCTCCCTCCTGTCATCCTGAAGAACTCTACAGAAATCCTTTTATTCATTAATCCTGCCCCCCTTTATTATAAATGCTACTACAGAAGCTTAGAGCTGGAATGAATCTTAAGAGATTTCTAAGTGTAATTCCCATATACCAGCTTGATATTCACCAATAATAAAACAAATCACTATGGCCAAGTATAGTATTTTACCTCTTTAATATATCAGCATGCCATATTACACATACTACTTACTTGTACTCATCATAGACTTCCTGTTTGGGCAGTGAAGTCTCCGGATGTTCCTCTAGGGTATTCCGAATCCAGGAAAAGGCATGCATTTGTTGTGCCCGACTAGATGACATGGCATTCTGATCACTAATAGAATGAAAACATGTTTTAGCTGACCAGACAGCAATTCATTAACGATTTTTGAGCTAGGCCTAAATGTTCCACTAAAGAACTGTATACAAATACACTATCAACGACCAAACCAAACTTAGGACATCTAGTAGATAATTGTCCACCTATGGTTGTGAGCTGTTTGCTATAGCTAGTGTAAGACTGAAGTTACTGCCCTGCTCCATCCCTCCCCATGCAGGTGATAGAGCACTGACAAAGTATTTGTTTTGGTCAAAAATCACCTTTAAGTGGGTATCTGCTCATGTACTTACCTGTTCATTTGCCTACACTTACCAAATAAATCATCAAACTTTAAAACAAAATTATATAAAAATTGCTTATTTCTATTTGCTCAGCATTCTCATATAATATATATATATACACACATATATATATACACATGTATACACATACATATACATATATACATACACACACACACACACACACATATATATGTATATATAACTACTTGGAAATCTTACTAAAGCATTCTGTGCTCCAGAATGGAATTTGCACCAGAGAGATCCTGAACAGACAAATCTCCCCCTACAATCCTTCCTAAAGCCAGGCCCCCTGCCTCAGCCTGACATATCCATTAAACACTGTAAACTTTTACTATATGGAAGTATTACTTATAAATAAATACCGAAATGGACACCAAAGATAGGACAAGGGAAGCTACTCTACTGATTGTGACATCCATCTCAGCTATCTGTAAGAATAATTTATTTAATTTCAAAGAAAACACTGAGCAAGTGTCTAGGACATAACATGATTAAAACAGTGATAAAAGTTGGTCTGAGGGAAAAAAAGATAAAACTCAAATAATTTGCATTTCATTTATTTCTATATACAGTTTTAAAAAATAGAATGATAAGCATAATTTATATGAATGAGATGAATTCTGAGAAATACTTAAAAGGTTAAGGAAACTCTTTTAAAAATTAGAATGACTGAATGAACAGCTTCTCTCCACAGTTTCTATAATTTTTAATGATGAAACTATAGTAATACCCCAAGCACTTAACACACCTTACATTTATGAATTCATGTTTCATACAGGCAATTTCACTTTATTTTCTGTTTTATATTCTATGATGTGTTTATCTGATAGTACCTAAAAAAACTCTTATACCTTATTCCTTATGATACTTATCTGTTTATTCTTTGGTTTTCTGTTCAATTTTCACAATCCCTCACACTGCATAAACATAGTCATCTGTCTATGAAACAAAACCCAAATTGCATGTCATAGCATTTACCCAATTGCACAAATAAATTAACAAAAACTGCAAGTAAATACTTAACCAAATATCACCAAAGACTAAAATGATGTATTGTTTTGCCAGTATGTTTTCTAATCATTTCAGGAATATTGCAAAAACTCTAACAACCAAAACATACAGACCTCACATATATCCTAGGGACATCCTATAAACAGCATAATTATAGCAAAGACAAGAATAGATATACCTTTTCTCTCCATTGCTGAGACCAGAAGGCAGCTGAAGGTAGAGGTAGAGTTTCTCTAGGTCTGTAAACTTCTCAACTTCTTGCTATTTACAAAGGATTAAAAAGAAAGATCATTTTTAAAAAACACTCATTTTTCCCCAAACAAAATTTACTAACATCTCCCTAAACGATAATGACTATTTAAATTTAAAACAGATGAATCATCTGTCTTTTCTCATCACTAAAATAATACAATGAGGTTATTTGATAAATTTATTGCATACAAAAATTTAATAAAAGAAAATGGCACTTCCCTATTAGTTCTTACATCATGGGCATAAATAGAATTATTGACCAAGGCTCAAAAAAAGCTTCTCATTTTTAATCACATTTAAAGAAGGAGGGTTTTACTTGTCCTATAGGACAAGTACTGGACCAGGAATCAAGAGAAACAGTTATTAGTTAACTAACCGTTAACTGGCTATGAGGTTTTCAGCACTTTTACAGCAAATTTTCTGTAGAACTATAAAATGAATGACATAATTTCTAGAATCCGTTTCTAATTTTCAAATATTTACAACATGTGACTGATGGTGCTACTGTTACCTGTGGATGGAACTGAGGTTAAAAACACTGAAATAAAACCAGTAACTCTTTCCAGACCTTACAGATGTAATTATTTGTTGGCTTGCCAACAGTAGCTATTTAGAGAATCTACTTGTAAGATTTTCTGTTGCTACTGTTCTGCAACTATGTCATTTTGTCTCTAAATGTAACCTTTAAAATAATTTTTGCCTTCCTACCTTTCTTCTAAACTCAGTTTGCCATAATGGCTCCAAATGTGCCACAAATCCTATTATAATAAAAATATTCATAGTAAAATTCTGGTAGCCTAATCTAAGCAAAATTCCATTGCAATGAAAAATGTGGACAGATTACTGGCATTCCTGGTAGAATTTATTCTTACTTAATAAAGCACAGTTTAAACAGAGATTCAGTTTTTGAAAATACTTAACATGATATAACCAAGCCTATTCTTAGTCTTATCAGAAGATATCCACAAAAGTTTAATCTTAGAATCCATCCACATAATGATTTAATCAATCACATGCAAATAGCTCCCAAATTTACATTTTTAAAATCCCATGGCCTACAGGTATTTTCCAATTGGCTCTTGCTCCAATACCTAATGTTATCAGCTATACCCTTGTGTAGCTCTCCCCTCAAAGAAAACAAACACACATTCTCTTCTTAATTGCTACTTATCATCACCTTCTTTTCTCTAGTTTCCACAGTGTTCAGTTTGGGAGTGTGTTTAACTCTTTTTCTCTTGGTGCATTCCACATTAATCCTTTATTTAGCCCTCTAACACTCTGCCCCATCTTCTTCCAGTCTCGATTTTTCACTGCCACCACAGTAGTCTAGGTCTTCAGCTGTCTTTCTTTCAAGAATAAGGATAATTCGTTTGCTTATGCATTACTTTTGTTTTCTGCTATGTTCCACAAGTGGCATAAAATAACTATGAACCTATACTATGTATCACAAATCATACAAAGAGTGAACAATACAACAAAGATGAACAACACACCACCACCACAGTTCTTGCCCTTAATGAACTTTTAATGACACTTAAATTTCTAAAATGTCTAACCAGCTGGTTTTCCTACCTCCGATGTCACCCCACTTTAATGTCTTAAATATGGTTCCTGAAATTTTTTTTTGTCAAATTGTTTTTTTTAAGAGAGTCTCACTCTGTTGCCCAGATTGAATTGCAGTGGCTTAATCATAGCTCACTGCAGCCTCAAACTCCTGGGCTCAACTGATCATCCCACCTCAGCCTCCCAAGTAGTTGGGGCCAGAGGTGCGTGCCACCACAGCCACATAATTTTTTAATTTATTTTTTGTAGCTTGTTGCTACAAAATTGTTGCCTAGGCTGGTCTGGAATTCCTGCCTGGCCTCAAGTGATCCTCCTGCCTCCCAAAGTGCTGGGATGCTAGGTATGAACTACTGTCAAATATTATTAACATCACCCACTTAATCACACCAATGCCAATCATATTAAATTAAGAGAAGGTTATAATAATAAAATACCTAATATTATGAGCCATGTCTGAGAAAGTGTAATAAAAATATCATTTTTGATCATAAAGAAAAAAATCTACTGTTGGAGAAACCTTGGATTCTATATAGCTTTCAAATTTTAAATATACTGGAAAAAAGAATAGAAAAGAAATTCCAGAACATAGAAGAAATTTCAGAAGATGTTCTAAATTAGTATTAAGCACCAAAGAGATGATTTAGAAGATGGCAAAAAAAAGTTTTGAAAAAGATTAAAGTCAGTGTCCTAATTTTTTTTAAAACAATGAAAACTTGTAACTGTTCAATTACTGTTTTCATTGCCATATGGGGTACAACACATAGAAGAAAAAATTTGGAGAGCAGCATGAAAACTGATAATAACAAAATTCTATAAAGCAAACAAAAAAAATGACTCAAGTGTATAGTGATGGCATTTCAGTCCAGCAAGGCTGGGCTCATCATCAAGATTTCTGGTTTTGGATATACTGTGTCATCCACTGCTAATTAGTGGCTTCTGAAACAATGCTCACTGGTTTAGGAGAAGACCCTAACCTTGCTTGATTGTCAAGGCAAGAGTATCATGTGGCAAGTATGTTAAACATCTGATTATTTGATATGCTTTATGACAATTTAAATGATAAGAATTAAAAGTTTTCTGTTCTATGTTGAAATTCGTTGGTGGTCAAAAAAAATTCCTTTGGCTGGATTTATAAAATAAATCATAATGGTATTCTATTTTTGGAGCACCAGAGAAAAGACCAACTTCATAAACTTTAAAAATTATAATTTTTTATTTAGCCATAAAAGGAATGGAGTACTGATACATGCTACAACATGGATGAACCTTGAAAACATCGTGCTAAGTGAAAGAAGCCAGACACATATCATGTGATTCTGTTTATATTAAATATCCAAAATAGGCAAATCCCTAGGGACAGAAAGCAGCTTAGTGTTTCCCAGAGGCAGATGACTGCTTAAAGGGTACTGAGTTTCCTTTTGGGGTGAGGAAAAGGTTTTGAAACTAGATTCAGATGGTACTTGTACAACACAGTTAATGTACTAAATATCACTAATGGTAAATTTTATGCTATGTATATTTTACTACAATAAAAAATCTAATTTTTTTTTTTTTGAGGTGGAGTCTTGCTGTGTCGCCCAGGCTGGAGTGCAGTGGTGCAATCTCAGCTCACTGCAAGCTCCGCCCCCCGGGTTCACACCATTCTCCTGACTCAGCCTTCCGAGCAGCTGGGACTACTGGCACCCGCCACCAGGCCCAGCCAATTTTTTGCATTTTTAGTAGACACAGGGTTTCACCGTGTTAGCGAGGATGGTCTCGATCTCCTGACCTCATGATCCGCCTGCCTTGGCCTCCCAAAGTGCTGGGATTACAGGCGTGAGCCACCATGCCCAGCCTAAAAACTCTAATTTTTAACAGAGATTTGCACATTTGGAAAACATATCTGATGATTCGAAGTGAAACTTAAATGACAAACAACATTTGTAGACTTAAAAGTCTTCACTTACTTGAGTTGAAGAAGTTCTCAAAGAAAAGCTAGTGAAAACGGTTTCAAATTTAGGCAGAACCTCAAATATTATTCAAGTCTTTTGAATGAGGTAGCTGATAATTTCATACTATTGCAGTTGAAGATCTTGCCTGAAAACTTAAAAGACCTCTTTCTCATGCACTTCAATCTTTGCAAAAAGATATTAAAAAGGAATCTTTGAACTCAAGTTTGATTTATATGTCAAACACATTCCAGGAAACAATTTTGGAGAATTTTCAAAAAATATCCTTGGTTATTTCCAGCAAGTGAGCCGACCTTGCATGTCATCATCCCATTTTCATAAGCAAAGATTTATGAAGACGGTTTTTCTGAACTTTTAGCTATGAAAGCACAACAATGCTACAAACTTAATGACGATTGAGATGGTACTTTGACCTTTCACATTCTGGACAGAAAAGCCTGTAGCAAACAATCAGATTCAACATTCATTTTTATATTATGTGATCAAGGGGAAAATGAAGGCATAGTGTAAGATCAAGTTGCTTTTGGAGGTTGAAGGTGGACTTTGGTGTTTGAATCCTGCCACGCAACCCCCTTCCCTTCTAAAACTTTGGTTGACAAAAAATACTGACATAAGAACTAGTAACATGAAGCTAATTCTTTCTATGAGGTGCAAGTGTAGAGGTGAAGAAAACATGGGACAGAGACAGTATTCCATCTGCTCACCTACATTTCTCAGTCCACTTTGCAGTTAGCTTGTAGTCATGTGATTATTATGAATCTGATCACAGTGATGTAATTCACTACTCAGCTGACAGTTAAGAATCAATGTGTCGGCCGGGGGCAGTGGCTCAAGCCTGTAATCCCAGAACTTTGGGAGGCTGAGGTGGGCGGATCATGAAGTCAGGAGATTGAGACCATCCTGGCTAACACGGTGAAACCCCATCTCTACTAAAAATACAAAGAAAATTAGCCAGGCGTGGTGGTGGGAGCCTGTAGTCCCAGCTACTCGGGAGGCTGAGGCAGGAGAATGGTGTGAACCCGGAAGGCGGAGCTTGCAGTGAGCTGAGATTGCGCCACTGCACTCCAGCCTCAGCGACAGAGCGAGACTCCGTCTCAAAAAAAAAAAAAAAAAAAATCAATGTGTCACCCCATCCCATTTCCCCCTCTGTGGCACCTTGGAAGCCATGTGTTGCACTGGTGAAGCTATAACATGTCAGCCTTCCTGTCAATGTTGGTTCTGAGGGATTATTTGGAACAGTGGTCTTCAGTGATTTCTGCTGCATATGATGTGAATGAAAATACATTTTTGTGGTTAGGCCACTGGTATTTCAGGCTTAGTTACAACATCATAGATTAGCCCATCCTGATTAATATAAAAATTAGACTCTTTCCTCTAGCACCTTTGAGGAAACTGAAGGATCCTTTTTACATATGCAGATAAAAATGTGGAAACAGACAGGAACAGCACCGGTCTGCAATTCCCAGCGAGATTGATGCAGAAGGCGGGTGATTTCTGCACTTCCAACTGAGGTACCTGGTTCATCTCACTGGGACTGGTTGGAATGTGTGTGCAGCCCACGGAGGGCGAGGCGAAGCAGGGTGGGGCGTCACTTCACCTGGGAAGCACAAGGTGTCGGGGAATTTTCCCCCCTACCCAAGGGAAGCTGTGAGGGACTGAGCCTGAAGAACTCCAGCACAGACACTGCGCTTGTCCCATGGTCTTCGTAACCCACAAACCAGGAGATTCCCTCTGGTGACTACCCTACCAGGGCCCTGGGTTTCAAGCACAGAACTGGCTGGCCAATTGGGCAGACACCGAACTAGATGCAGGAGCTTTTTTTTTTTTCTTCTTTGCCATACCCCAGTGGCATGTGGAATGCCACTAAGACAGAACCATTTACTCCCCTGGAAAGGGGCGCTGAAGCCAGGGAGTCAAGTGGTCTGGCTCAGCGGGTCCCACTCCCACGGAGCCCAGGAAACTAAGATCCGCTGGCTTGAAATTCTCGCTGCCAGCACAGCAGCAATCTGAGATGCACCTGAGACAGTCGACCTTGGTCGGGGGGTTGCGGGGTGGGGCGGGGGGGTCGGCCATTGCTGAAGCTTGAGTAGGCAGTTTCACAGCCACAGGATAAACAAAGCTGCTGGGAAGTTCAAACTGGGTGGAGCCCACTGCAGCTCAGCAAGGCTGCGGTGGCCAGACTGCCTGATTGCCCCTCTCTGGACAGGGCATCTCTGTAAAACAGGCAGCAGCCCCAGTCAGTGGCTTATAGCAGACTTAAACATCCCTGCCTGATGGCTCTGAAGAGAGCAGCAGAACTCCCAGTGCAGCGTTCCAGCTCTGCTAAGGCTCAGTCTGTCTCCTCAAGTGGGTCCCTGACCCCTGTGTATACTGACTAGGAGACACCTCCCAGATGGGGCCGACAGACACCTCATACAGGAGAGCTCTGGCTGGCATCTGGCAGGTGCTCCGCTGGGTCGCAGCTTCCAGAGGAAACAACAGGCAGCAATCATTGCTGCTCTGCAGCCTCCGCTGGTGATACCCAGACAAACAGGGTCGGGAGTTAACACATCCACTCAAAGACCCCACTGGAAGGTCACCAACATCAAAGACAAAAGGTAGATAAATCCACAAAGATGAGGGAAAACCAACGCAAAACGGCTAACAATTCCAAAAACCAGAACGCCTTTCCTCCTCCAAAGGATCACAACCCCTCGCCAGCAAGGGAACAAAATTGGATGCAGAATGAGTTTGAAGAACTGACAAAAGTAGGCTTCAGAAGGTGGGTAATAACGAACAACTTTGAGCTAAAGCACCAGGTTCTAACCCAATGCAAGGAAGCTAATAACCTTGAAAAAAGGTTAGTTGAATTGCTAACTAGAATAACCAAGGTAGAGAAGAACATAAATGACCTGATGGAGCTGAAAAACACAGCACGAGAACTTCGTGTAGCATACACAAGTATTAATAGCCAAATCGATCAACCAGAAGAAAGGATATCAGCTGAAGATCAACTTAATGAAATAAAGCGAGAAGACAAGATTAGAGGGAAAAAAAAAAGGTACGAGTCAAGCCTCCAAGAAATATGGGACTACGTGAAAAGACCAAATCTACATTTGATTGGTATACCTGAAAGTGACAGGGAGAATGGAACTAAGTTGGAAAACACTCTTCAGGATATTATCCAGAACTTCTCCAACCGAGCAAGACAGGCCAACATTCAAATTTAGGAAATACAGAGACCACCACAAAGATACTCCTCGAGAAGAGCAACCCCAAGACACATAATCGTCAGATTCACCAAGGTTGAAATGAAATAAAAAATGGTAAGGGCAGCCAGACAGAAAGGTCAGGTTACCCACAAAGGGAAGCCCATCAGACTAACAGCAGCTCTCTCGGCAGAAACCCTACAAGCCAGAAGAGAGTGGGAGCCAATATTCAACATTCTTAAAGAAAAGAATTTTCAACCCAGAATTTCATATTCAGCCAAACTAAGCTTCATAAGTGAAGGAGAAATAAAATCCTTTACAGACAAGCAAATGCTGAGGGATTCTGTCACTGCCAGACCTGCCTTACAAGAGGTCCTGAAAGAAGCACTAAACATGGAAAGGAATAACTGGTACCAGCCACTGCAAAAACATACCAAATTGTAAAGAACATCGACACTATTAAGAAACTGCATTAACTAATGGGCAAAACAACCAGATAGCATCATAACGACAGGATCAAATTCACACATAACAATATTAACCTTAAATGTAAATAAGCTAAATGCCCCAATTAAAAGACACAGACTGGCAAATTAGATAAAGAGTCAAGACCCATCAGTGTGCTGTATTCAGGAGACCTATCTCATGTGCAAAGACACACATAGGCTCAAATAAAGGGATGGAGGAAGATCCACCAAGCAAATGGAAAGCAAAAAAAAGTAGGGGTTGCAATCCTGGTCTCTGATAAAACAGACTTTAAACCAACAAAGATCAAGAGACAAAGAAGGGCATTACATAATGGTAAAGGGAACAATGTAGCAAGAAGAGCTAACTATCCTAAATATATACGCAGCCAATACAGGAGCACCCAGATTCATAAAGCAAGTTCTTAGAGACCTATAAAGAGACTTAGACTCCCACACAATAATAGTAGGAGACTTTAACACCCCACTGTCAATATTAGATAAATGAGATAGAAAATTAACAAGGATATTCAGGACTTGAACTCGGCTCTGGACCAAGTGGACCTAATAGACATCTACAGAACTCTCCACCCCAAATCAACAGAGTATACATTCTTCTCAGCACTTCATCACACTTATGCTAAAACTGACCACATAATTGGAAGTAAAACACTCCTCAGCAAATGCAAAAGAAGGGAAATCATAACATATAGTCTCCCAGACCACAGTGCAATCAAAGTAGAACTCAGGGTTAAGAAACTTACCCCAATCCGTACAAATACATGGAAACTGAACAACCTGCTCCTGAATGACTACTGGGTAAATAACGAAATGAAGGCAGAAATAAAGATGTTCTTTGAAACCAATGAGAATGAGACACAACATACCAGAATCTCTGGGACACATTTAAAGCAGTGTTTAGAGGGAAATTTATAGCACTAAATGCCCACAAGAGAAAGCAGGAAAGACCTAAAATTGACACCCTAACATCAAAATTAAAAGAACTAGAGAAGCAAGGGAAAACAAATTCAAAAACTAGCAGAAGACATGAAATAACTAAGATCAGAGCAGAACTGAAGGAGATGGAGACACAAAAAACCCTTCAAAAAAAAAAATCAATGAATCCAGGAGCTGGTTTTTTGAAAAAAAAAAATCAACAAAATAGACCACTAGCCAGACTAATAAAGAAGAAATGAGAGAAGAGTCAAATAGACACAATAAAAAAATGATATAGGGGATATCACCACTGACCCCACAGAAATAGAAACTACCATCAGAGAATACTATAAAAACCTCTATGCAAATAAACTGGAAAATCTAGAAGAAATGGATAAACTCCTGGACATATACAGCCTCCCAAGTCTAAGCCACAAAGAAGTCGAATCCCTGAATAGACCAATAACAAGCTCTGAAATTGAGGCAGTAATTAATAGCCTACCAACCAAAAAAAGTCCATGACCAGACGGATTCACAGCCGAATTCTACCAGAGGTACAAAGAGGAGCTGGTACCATTCCATCTGAAACTATTCTAAACAACAGAAAAAGAGGGACTCCTCCCTAACTCATTTTATGAGGCCAGCATCATCCTGATACCAAAACCTGGCAGAGACACAACGAAAAAAGAAAATTTCAGGCCAATATCCCTGATGAACATCGATGTGAAAACCCTCAATAAAATACAGGCAAACCGAATCCAGCAGCACATCAAAAAGCTTATCCACCATGATCAAGTTTGCTTCATCCCTGGGATGCAAGGCTTGTTCACCATACACAAATCAATATACATAATCCATTCACATAAATCCAATCCACATAAACAACAAACGTAATCCATCCACATAAATCAATAAACATAATCCCATCCACATAAACCCAATCCACATAAAAAGAACCAATGACAACAACCATATGATTATCTCAATAGATGCAGAAAAGGCCTTTGATAAAATTCACCCCTTCATGCTAAAACCTCTCAATAAACTAGGTATTGATGGAACTTATCTCAAAATAATAAGAGCTATTTATGACAAACCCACAGCCAGTATCATACTGAATGGGCAAAAACTGGAAGCATTCCCTTTGAAAACTGGCACAAGACAAGGATGCCCTCTCTCACCACTCCTATTCAACATAATATTGGAAGTTCTGGCCAGGGCAATCAGGAAAGACAAAGCATAAAGGGTATTCAAATAGGAAGAGAGGAAGTCAAATTGTCTCTGTTTGCAGATGACATGATTGTATATTTAGAAAACCCCATCATCTCAGCCCAAAATCTCCTTAATCTGATAAGCAACTTCAGCAAAGTCTCAAGATACAAAATCAGTGTGCAAAAATCACAAGCATTTGTATACACCAATAATAGAGACCCAAATCATGAGTGAACTCCCATTCATAATCACTACTAAGAGAATAAAATACCTAGGAATACAACTTACAAGGGACGTGAAGGATTTCAAGGAGAACTACAAACTACTGCTCAAGGAAATAAGAGAAGACACAAACAAAAGGAAAAATATTCCATGCTCATGGATAGGAAGAATCAATATCATGAAAATGGTCATACTGCCCAAAGTAATTTATAGATTCAGTGCTATCCCCATCAAGCTACCACTGACTTTCTTCACAGAATTGGAAAAAACTACTTTAAACTACATATGGAACCAAAAAAGAGCCCGCATAGCCAAGACAATCCGGGGCAGGAAAAACAAAGCTGGAGGCATCATGTTACCTGACTTCAAACTATACTACAAGGCTACAGTAACCAAACAGCATGGTACTGGTGCCAAAACAAATATACAGACCAATGGAACAGAACAGAGCCCTCAGAAATAACTCCGCATATCTACAACTATCTGATCTTTGACAAACCTGAGAAAAACAAGCAATGGGGAAAGGATTCCCTATTTAATAAATGGTGCTGGGAAAACTGGCTAGCCATATGTAGAAAGCTGAAACTGGATCCCTTCCTTACACCTTTTACAAAAATCAACTCAAGATGGATCAAAGACTTAAACGTAAGACCTAGGACCATAAAAATCCTAGAAGAAAACCTGGGCAATAGTATTCAGGACATAGGCATGGGCAAAGACTTCATGTCTAAAACACCAAAAGCAATGGCAACAAAAGCCAGAATTGACAAGTGAGATATAATTAAAACTAAAGAGCTTCTGCACAGCAAAAGAAACTATCATCAGAGTGAACAGGCAACCTACAGAATGGGAGAAAATTTTTGCAATCTATCCACCTGACAAAGGACTAATATCCAGAAACAAAGAACTTAAACAAACTTACAAGAAAAAAAACAACCCCATCAAAAAATGGGCAAAGGGTATGAACAGACACTTCTCGAAAGAAGACATTTATGCAGCCAACAGACATAGGAAAAATGCTCATCATCACTGGTCACTAGAGAAATGAAAATGGGAACCACAATAAGATACCATCTCACGGCAGTTAGAATGGCGATCATTAAAAAGTCAGGAAACAACAGATTCTGGAGAGGTTGTGGAAAAATAAGAACGCTTTTACAGTGTTGGTGGGAGTGTAAATTAGTTCAACCATTGCGGAAGACAGTATGGCAATTCCTCAAGAATCTAGTACTGGAAATACCATTTGACCCACAATATTACTGGGCATATACCCATAAATCATTCTACAATAAAGGCACATGCACACGTATGTTTATTGCGGCACTATTCACAATAGCAAAGACTTGGAACCAACCCAAATGTCTATCAATGATAGACTGGATTAAGAAAATGTGGCACATATACACCACGGAATACTATACAGCCATAAAAAAGGATGAGTTCATGTCCTTTGCAGGGACATGGATGAAGCTGGAAACCGTCATTCTCAGCAAACTATCACAAGATCAGAAAACCAAATACTGCGTGTTCTCGCTCATAAGTGGGAGTTGAACAATGAGAACACATGGACACAGGGAGGGGAACATCACACACTGGGGCCCGTCGGCGGGTGTGGGGCTAGGGGAGGGATAACATTAGGAGAAACACCTAATGTAGGTGACGGGTTGATAGGTACAGCAAAGCACTAGGGCACATGAATACCTATGTAACAAAACTGCACGTTCTGCACATGTAACCCAGAACTTAAAAAGTATATTTAAAAAAATGTGGAAACAAGAAAAAGTCTCCTCCCCATAATAAAAAAGGCTTTCATTCATTCATTTTTTAGATTAGTATTTAACTTATTTTGAATTTCAAATGATATTAACCAAGAATATAATTACATTTATCAGAATGGGGTATGGGCAAAAAATGGTTTATAAGCACCAGTTTAGAATATACAGCCTTCATGCTCTCTTCCAGTTAACTTTTACTTTTAAAAAAATCCAAAAACTGGTTAAAAAGTCAGCTCTAATAAGTTTACTACACATGAACCTGCAATATGCCAATCTGTTCCTCTACTTTGGGCCGTACGTAGCATTTACTCAGGAAAGTATGCAGCTTATCTTCAATTAATCTGCATTTACTGATTGTTTTAAAAAATGTTTTCCAGTGTCTGGTTACGACCCTCAACTATAATGATCCTGGTTTGTCCAAACTAAATCCACCTTTGAGGCAGAATCCTGAAAGATAAGACACAGCCAAATGGAAACTCTTTCAATATTTTAATATCTCATTTAATTTTTAAAAATTAAAACTACAAAGTATTTCAAACACAGTAGAGAATGTGCACATGCATGCATCAATGTCCACATTTACAAGATGCTAACCTTTTGGCATGTTTGCTTCTGATCTTGGACTTAATCTATTTAACAGCATATAGAAATAGTATTCTATGAAACAAAACCACAGTTTGTTCATGTCTCTACTGATAGACAATATGTTATAACAAAGTTTCACTATTTCAGATGGTGCTGTAATGGAAATCCTTTATTTGTGACTCTTGTGGCCTTGTGTGAGAGTTTTTTCCTAAGGTATGTAACTTAAAAGTACAAGTGTCTGGTAACAAAGAATGTATATAGTCAACCTTATTGGATATTTTCAAATTGCTCTCTAAAACTTATACCAATTTATGTTCCTAATAGCAATACTACAGTTTATTTCTCCAGATTCTTGTTAAAACTTAAGTTTTAAAGTTTAGCTAATCTTATGGGTATGAAAAAGTATCTAATTGTTTTATACTTCTCTGATTGATGATGAGACTGAATCTTTTCATATTATTTATCATTTGAGTTTAACAGAGTAGCTCTAAAATTTTAATATGCACCAGATTCACTTAGTGAGCTTGTTAAAACAAAGAGTGCATGACCCCACTTCCAGAGTTTCTGATTCAGTAGGTCTCAAGTGGGGACCTGAAAATCTGGACTTCTAACAAGCACCTAGGAGATGCTGCTAATGCTGGTCAGAGGATTACACTTGGAGAACCACAATGTTCAAGGAACTGCCCGTTCATTTCTTTTACTCATCTAAATATGCGGATATTTATCAGGCAGTCTGGATACTAATCCTCTAGTGGTTGAAAGTGCTGCTAATATCTTCTCCTAGTTGTAGCCTGTCTATTCACTTTGTTTTTGAAGTCTTGTGATATCGAAGTTTGTCATTTCCAGGCAGTCAAATCTATCAATCTTTTCATTCATAATCTGAGCTTTTGGTCTTTTGTTTTTGAAATTTTCCCCTATTTCAGTGTCATAAAGATAGTATCCTATATTTTCTTTTTAAAGTTTAAAAATTTTGTTTTTCATGTGTGGGCCTTTAATTCCTCTGGAATTTATTTTTCTGTAAGATATAAAGTAGGGACCTAACTAAAAATTGTCCCAGTATCACTTACTGAGTATTTCACACTTTCTCTACTGATTTTTTGTGCTACATCTATATCATGGGATTCTTTATTACAGATGAAAAAGAATGCCACTTTTATGTTCAGCATATGAAAACGTCTTTCTCTGAGTTGGTATTCAATTTAGGAAAAAAACCTAACAATTTTTATTTTTGAGACGGAGTCTTGCTCTCTTGCCCAGGCTGGAGTGCAGTGGCACAATCTTGGCTCACTGCAACCTCCACCTCCCAGGTTCAAGCATTCTCCTGCCTCAGCCTCCTGAGTAGCTGGGATTATAGGCGTGTGCCACCACGCCCAGTTAATTTTTGTATTTTTAGTAGAGATGGGGTTTCACCATGTTGGTCGGGCTGGTCTTGAACTCCTGACCTCAATGATCTGCCCGCCTCGGCCTCCCAAATTTCTGGGATTACAGGCGTGAGCCACTGCGCCCGGCCTAACAATTTATCCTTAAGATGGTCATACAGCAAAATGTATGATTCACTGACTCTTCTAGAACTTATGTCATAGAGACTTCTCATATAAGAATATCACCCAGTAACTGATTAGCAGAGTAATAAAAGTAGCTTTGATGAAGCTTTTATAAATCTGAGGTTAATAAGCAAGTCTCCTACTGACAAATTAATAATAAAGAATAACCCATATTACATAAGACCTATAATAAGGATATGACATATATATAAAATAGATGAATGAAGCAGCTGTTACTTGAAATTGATGTCTATATCAAGCAGTAAGCTATAGTGGGTAAGGTATAGGATATAGAATTAGAAGACCCAGATCTGAGTTCCAGATTTGCCACTCATTAGCTTTGTAATATTAGGCAAGCTTTTTAAGCTGAGTATCAATTTCAAAATATAAAACACAGCGACAAAATGCTCATAATTTTTGTGATATAAAACTTATGATAGGTAGTGTTATGTAAATGTTATTATTTTAAAAATATGTTATTGCTTAAAATCAGATCTTTGGCAGAAGAGTTTATAATTCAAATTCTATCAACAAGTATAGAAAATTTGATGTGGCAAAGTAAGGCATTTAAAACATTAAAGTAGAAAAAAATTTTTTTTTACAGAGATAGGGTCTCACTCTGTCACCCAGGCTGGAGGGCAGTGGTACAATCACAAATCACTGCAGCCTCACATATTTTTTTATGTAGCTGAAACATTTAAAATCTACTCTCATACCCTGGGCAATATGGCAAAATCCCTTCTTTACAAAAAATACAAAAATTAGCTGGTGTGGTGGTGCATACCTGTAGTCTCAGCTACTTGGGAGGCTAAAGTGGTACAATTGCTTGAGCCCACAGAGGTCAAAGCTGCAGTGAGCCAGGATTGTGCCACTACAGCCTGGGTAACAGAGCAAGACCCTGTCTCAACAAAACAAAACAACCCACCCCCAAAACCCAAAAAACAACTCTTTTCACAATTCTGAAATATACAACACATTATTGTTATAATAGACACCATTCTGTGCAATAGGGCACTACAGCTTATTCTTCCTATCTAACGAAAACTGTGTACCCTTTGATCAACATCTCCCCTTCCCATATCCCTCCCTGCCACCTCCCAGTCTCTGGTAAGCATCATTTTACTCTCTATGTATGTGAGTTCAACCTTTCTCGATTCCATATATAAGTGAGATCATGCATTATTTGTCTTTCTGTGCCTGGCTTATTTCACTTAGTATAATGCCTTCTAGGTTAGTCCATGTTGTTGTAAATAACAGAAGTTCCCCCCTTTTAAGGCTGAATACTACTTCATTGTGTATGTATAATTACATTTTCTTTATTCATTCATCTGATGATGGACACGTAGGTCGCTTCTGTATCTTAGGTACTGTGAATAAGGCTTCAACGAACTTAGGAGTAGGTAAGGCATCTTTAAGAAATTCAGGACGTATTTCGCCTGGTAATCTCCACTAACTTGGTTGGAATACCACAAGAGCAAGAGTCCTCCAGATTTTATAGGTGACCATCAGACTTGGTCACTCATCATTGAAGATTATGTTACACAAGTACTGGCTTCCCTTAGGGTGAGTGCAGAAAAGGGCAGATACTATTTTTTCCTAAGCTATCGACATATAATTGAAGTTAGTAAATATTTCTGACAACAGCTGTGCTACTAGAGAGAAAGAAATAATCAATCTAAGCAGAATAGTTCAGAAATAACTTTCTCCAGGTTCGTCTGGGAACAAAATGGGTAACTTTTCATTTCTCTTCTGTCATAAAGAAATACCTGAAACAATATTCTATATTGCAAATACTAATTTTTCGGTGTTCCTGTTTGCTCCGGACATCTGTTTCTGAACTGTCAATACATACCAGATGGACTACAGAGAACCAGAGAGAGTTTTAAATGTCTTATTACCAGAACTTAAAGACCTTTAAGCAGATGGTAAGGAACTATGTTTTCATTATTTATTGGCATAATATTCAATTTAAAAGTAGCCTAAATGGAGAGATCTGCTCCTGTTTTTAGGGACCACTGTGAAAAAGTGAAGCATCAGGTTTAAGCCACAACTTCACAAATGTTAATGAAAAGTGATTTCCCTTGTTTGAAATCTGTAGTGATTTGTTTCCTGTAACGACAATCTTCCCTCTCATGTTATTCTGTTTGGTTTTGTTTTTTTAAGCAAGGTTAAAAAAGTGGGGAAGGGCTGATGCTTATAAAGAGCATAACAATTAGTACTTCACTGAGGAGCTTTCTTGCAAATCCTTGATGGTGAAATTATATCTGAGGATCATTATTTCCAGAATTAGCAGAAATGCTTGTTTGAGACTTATAAACACCTTCCAAAGTACTGGCCAGGTTGACAATAAATGAGTTCTGGTGGAAGATGATCAATCAGGGTATCATGTCCATAATTAGTCCATGAAACTTTTCTTTTCAGATTGGTATCAGTAAAAAGTTTTTTTTTTTTTTTAAGTTTTAACTTTGTGTTTGGAATAGTCAGCTTAAATTCCAGAAACCTAAATAATCAAGTTTAACTGTTTCTTCAGTTGAGTTACCATATATGGAGGGAACATAAATACACTAATAATTATGCTTGAATTTGTCTGCCCTTGATTTAAGCTTCAAAAACAAAACTCCAAAAAGAAATACTAATTTTTCCCCCCTCAAGCGACACTGATTCAGGAGCAGTTTCTAAAAGGACTCTTCTTCACCAGATCACTAACAGAAGGATCAAAAAGGAGAAAGTATAAGGATCAAAAGGGAGAAAATATAAAGCTTATTCTGTTGCCTCTTTAAATTTATGGAAACAATCAACATACCTGATATTATATTCTCTCAGGCCCCAGCAGTTCTTCCACAGGATTGAGTAAGGAAGATAGAGAAAAAGGTCAGGTATGAGGACTCTATTTTCCATGCTTGTTGCTTAGAATTCTTAATTTTCAGCAATTTTCAGTTTCCTAACTTGTTATGAGGACCACTGGGGGTGGCAGGGATAAGTGATTTTCTTTTAAGGGCTACCTACTATAAACAATGTAAGAGGAAATTGTTTTTCTATTCTCAGTTCTAGGGGGAGAGCAATTTTTACTGTACTGTATTATCGTGAGGATTTGCCCTTTTATTTATAAACCTATTGAATTAGGTATATAAATGAAAATGGCTTAATTTTCTGTTCAAAATATTCTGCTCAAAGATAAGGAGTATGATCTGAGTCAATTTGAAAGACATCAGTACTTAGAGAACAGTTAAGGAAAAGTGATGCAATGCTGACAAGCAAATTTCAGCAAAACCCAAAACCTGTTTCTCACAATGCTTCTCTTCCTAATCCTGCTGGATGACCTAGAGAATTTACTGCAACCTAAAAACAAGCTAAACAATAAAAAAATTCCCTTTGAACTTCCCTCAACTATAATCAAGCCTGGAGAAATTCCAATATTAAGAAGCCCCAAGGGGCTGCAACATTAGCACTGACAAATTCTTACTCCAAGATAGACATGTAAGATATTACTAAGTAGATTCTGTGCTTAATATTGAGAAGTTTCTGCACATAAAACTAAGAAATGATTATATTACATTATAAAAGAAAAAAGTAGGGACATTCATTGGTAATTTTTATGAATGTGCTCTAAAATATATTTCGGTTTTCTTAGCTATTTATATTTGCCTGTTTAATACTTTAAAGAAACTGAGTTCATAAATTGATGATAAATCAAAAGATAAATCCGGAAAGAAACACAACTACAATGAATTTTTTAGAACTTAATAGTAAAAAAGGAAGCTGAATCTCTGAAACTGAGATAATGAATAACACGGTAGAAAGTACCGTAGTATCATAGTATCTTTGGCTTCATAAGTGCCAAAGTAAGAACCAAATGAAATGCTTAGACAAGGGCATACTGCTAAAACACTCATATAGTAGGAACTATGGTTCAAATAGCCAAAGGGTACCAAAGCCAAAATATTTCAGTCCCCTTGAAATAGAATTCAAATGAGAGCCATCTTAAGAACACATCTTCCCATTGTTAAATTCTACAAAAACTGACCATCATAGGATCATCATGTAACATTCCCCTAAATTCACTCTGAATCACTCAGGAGAAGCCAAGGTTATTATCAATGTTTCTGTGTGCTATTTGAAAAGATCACACAGTTCTACTAGCAGGTGGGGATGGGTGGTGGTATCAGCAAGAAGGATAAGGTTTAGATCTTTCTAGTCACTGTGTTTTTAACTTTTTTCAGCATGTAAAAAAATGATGGTACTTGACAGTCCAGCTGCCACAATGCTTTCAAAAAACTGGATTTCTACTGGATTCTTCAAGATTACAAAGTTACAGCCTTAACAAACAGGTAGGCCATTGAGAGGAAAAGTCAATTCTTTAGTCTCTGTTTTCTCTGTTCCTAGTAACCTTTCCTTCTTTTCTCCCCTAGAGTTTACTTTTCTGCAAGTTTGAAATGACTTAAAGTGCAAAGATAGAAAAATTAGAATACTGTAAGAATTCATTTGTTTCCATCAGAGCACACTTTTGTGTATTATGTCATTCTTTGAATATAAACATATTAATGAAAATTGCATTTCTTTCTGGTAATGATGAGAAATTCCCATCATATTTTTGAGACAATGTAATAAATTTGAAAGCTAGCTGACAATGGTTAGAGCATTGTTTATAATCATGAAACACAAAAGTTACCAGAACTTATTTTTTTGGGGCTCAGTGGCAATTTAGTCCACTCGAGTCCCTAACAGGAGAGAAAAAAAAAACATTAATAACCATGTTTTTCTCACATACTAAAGGAGGATACAATAACTCAAGTGTTTAATGTAAAAAAAGGAAAGAGTAAAAGGTTCACAATCCTTTAAATGGCATGGCCTTATATAAATTATTTCTTTTTGTGATACTAAACAAAACCAAACAAGCTATTTAAATCTGGCCCCACTGCCAAGTTTTCTCATTCAAGTAAATTCTGCACAGACATGCTCTTCATTTTGAAAAGTGCCTATTTCTTCTCCACTAAGTGAATAGAAAGAAAAAATAAGATTCTGAGATAAATCTTACTAACAGTAACTCCAGTGCCGTATCACAAAATAAATGTGATCTTCTACCCATGAGCCTTTTTCGAGCAGTAACAGGTGAATTTTTGTTATTTATTTATTTGATATATTTTAATTAGATAATGCAAACAAAATTTTAGTTTCAATCAAGTCTGTGTCGGTGAGTTGACCTTGGTCACCATTTAGTATTCATTAAAGCAAGGATTTGAGGTGAGAAAGCATGCTTTCTCTTGTAAAGGGAAGAAGATAATTTTTTGGAATTGCATACTCCACACATCCATAACCCCTCACAGATGCAGCATATATCTCTGGAGGGCAGGAAAGTAATTGTTAAGAATTACTACTGGAGTGAACTACTCAAATTTATTGCTGGGAGTGTGTCACCTCTTAGAAGGCCCCATTCTAATAGTAGGTCTGTTTCTCAGGAACACTTTAGCAGTAAGTAAATGAAGAAGACTGGCTTCTGATTTAAAACACTAAACCATGGGACAGACTTGGAAAGTTTAAAAATTAAACAACATTATTCATTTATATATTCATCTAGCATCAAGTGCCTACTATGCTCTAGGCACTATCTTATATTTTAGTAACAGGAAGACATACAATAAAATTTAAAAGTAAAACATATGTTACATGATGATGATAAACGCTATGAAGAAAAAGTGTTGGGAGGGTATGTTAAACCACAATTTAAAATAGAGTAATCAAGGATGGTCTCACAGGAAAGTGAGAAGGCAACATGTTTTACACAGTGGCTGATCTATAGCAGAGACTCAAAACAGTTATCATTATTCTTTGTTATATACTATTTTTGCTTTCTATTGGCTGGCCGTTGTAATGGCAGCTAAAGCAGGAACTGACAGTAAAGACTCCATATTACTAAGAAATAAAAACAGAGGCTTTCTTCCCATTATCTATCCTCATATGTACCATTATGGGTCCCCAACCCTGTAAAGAATAGCTCTTATAATAACCTTGCCCCCAAATAATCTAACACAAAAGCCACAAACTCAAACGCCAGGCACGTAATGCACATGAGTACAGTAGAACATAGGTAAGAAAAATCTGATGAGGTAAAAGCATGGTGGGGACTAAGAGGATTAAAGAGTGCATGTCATGTTTAAAAGGAATAACCACTACTTAGGTTCAACTGCTGTCATGCGCAAACAAGGGTTCAGTGTCCTGTTTTCAAGAGAAAAGAGAAAACAAATACCTAAGTTTTTCTGTGAACTTTCCTCTTTCTAAAATATGGCAACCAATCCAAAAATTTTAGAACATCAGTGTGGGCCAAACAAAACAATTTTGTGGAAGAGATCTAGCTGTGGGTCTCAAGTTTAGCCCTTCTGGTCCATCTACAGGGTCAGTAGCTGATTCCTTCCAGGGCCATAAGCACCAGATGCTTGATTTGCTGGACCACACCTGTTTGTTATTACCATCCAGACTATATCTGAGCAATCATATGTTTTAATATCCAAGATCTGTGAAACATACAGCACTTAGATATGGAGCAAGCCATACCAATAAGATTCCATTAAGCCAAGATGGAGATGAGACTAGGAAGGTTATACCCAGGGAAATAATATCTATTGCAGTGTCCCAGATAGGATCCTGGTGAGAACTCAGGTACTACTGAAATTCCACACAGATAACCATGATACATGAACAGACTTCCTACCAACAGACTGCTTGCACTGCCTTCCTTTGCCTGATTTTAACTATGCTAAAATTGGATTTTTCACATGGGGTAGTTAGTACCTCTGCCGCGATTTTTTTTCTTTTTTAGGTTTTAGATTTTTGTAATGGACAACTCATGTGTGCCCAGAAAGTTGGTTCTTAAGGTTTATCTCATAATAGGCTTTGCTGTTCACTAAAGTAGGACAGTTTTTAGAGAACACAGCTTAGGCTGTTAATTTTGATCATTTGCCTCAGGAGTACAAACACTGTGCCAGTAGAGTTGGAAGGTAGAAAGAAAAAGTCTTTTAAAGCAATGGTCCCCAAGCTTTTCAGTACCAGGGACCAGTTTCACAGAAGACAATTTTTCCATGGATGGGGTGGGGATTATGGGGATGGTTTTGGGACGTAACTGTTCCACTTAGACCATTAGGCATTAGTTAGATTTTCATAAGGCACGTATAACCTAGATCCCTCACATGCTCAGGTCACAATAGGGTTTGTGCTCCTATAAGAATCTAATGCCGCTGCTGATCTGACAGGAGGCGGAGCTCAGGCAGTAATGCTTGCTCGCCTGCTGCTCACTTACTGCTGTGTGGCCCGGTTCCTGACAGGCCATGAACCATACCTGGGGAACCCCTGTTTTAAAGGATTACATAATCAGTGTTTAAAACTTAAAATATACCAACTACAAGTTTTTTACTATATTCCCCTGCAAGAGGACATCACTAAGACTTCTCCCCTGGAAGGAACCTGACTCACTACACAATTATCTAAATGATGGCATCTGTTACCTAGTTTCAGGAAGTGACAATACCCTTAATCCTCCAGAAGCAACAGGTATTCTGGTAACCCCACATCATTTTTCAAATTTTCTCTCCTAATGACAGTCCTAGAAAATCCTCCTTTGGTCAGTTCTCATGAATAAACCCTACCCTAGTAGAGCTGACTTAATTCAGAAAGCCATATACGTACCAATGAGAAGGAACTCATTAGACACGTTCCATTTTTGACCAGGTGAGTTTACTTGGCCTTCCAGGTGCTGAGCATAGCATGGCCTGTAAAGCAGATGCTTTACTAGGGTATGCTAAGTTACCAAAAATATAGGCTACCTGCATTTTTTAAACCTAGAAATAGCTGGCAAAACATAAAAATGCTTTCTTAGAACACTGGCTGGTTAGAAAGCCTAGAAAATAAGATGGTACACTCTTCCTGGAAGGTATGTAATACAGACTTAAATGAACTTAAAATACTCAGCCTCTTTTATCCCTGGTTTTAAGCCTTTGATCTCTGCAGCCAGGTGATAGGACAGGGTCTCATTCTGTCACCCAGGCTGGAGTGCAGTGGCACGTTCATGGCTCACTGCAGCCTTTGACCTCCTGGGCTCAAGAGATATTCCCACCTCAGCCTCCCAAGCAGCTGAGAATACATGTTCATGCCATCATGCCCAGCTGATTTTTTATTTTTTGTAGAGATGGGATCTCCCTATATTGCTCAGGCTAGTCTCAAATTCCTGGGCTCAAGGGATTCTCCTGCCTCGGAAAGTGTTGGGATTACAGGCATGAGCCACGGCAACCAGCCTAGGTTGTCTACTCTTCTAAAATCTTACTAGGATTGCGTTGAATTACTGAATCCATGAGATAGAAATACTTCTCTCTTGTTTTCAGCTGAATTCCTGGCAAGCTAAATGTTATTTAATTTTACATTAGCCTTGCTAAAGGGAACCAAAATATATAGCCCTCTTAACCTTTATTTTTTCTAATAACTCCAAAGCAAAACTAGTCAATTTAGGGGACCCAAACATTAGAATTAGTTGGGAGACTGCTTCCTGTTGGTATACACACCTGAAGGCAGTAATATAAACAGGAAGTTCTCAACATCCTGTTACTTATGAATAATATGTAAAAAGTAATTTCTCTTTCTATGCTAGAAACTTGCCCTATAGACCTTACTATTTCATAAATATTGTGTTTCATAACACCAGTTTCATGAGAAGTTGTATGAGGAAAAGGGTGAAGAGGAATTCAGAGCAAAAAAATTTTGGAACATACTGCACAAATAAGGTTGATGACATGTAGCAGCTGATAAAGCATTTAAGACATCTTTTAATTGATTTCATAAACATACTTGACTATGGAACTTTTTTTTTTGGTTTAAAGAGATGGGGTCTTGCTCTGTCACCCAGACTGTACTGTGGCGGCACAATTGTAGCTCCTGCAGTCTGGAACTCCTGAGCTCAAGTAATCCACCCAGCCTGAGTAGCTGGGGCGACAGCTACCATGCCTGGTTACGGAACCTTTTGCATAACATATTCCTATTTTATGGAATTACTATTCCAAGGAGCATATTTTGGGAAACACTGGATTACTATTTCCCATCCTCCTTTGGTTGACTCTCAGCAGACTAGGCCTTTTGTACACCACATGTTAAGAATTCTTTCTCATGGGAGGCTGAGGCAGGAGGATCACTTGAGGCCAGGAGTTGATTCAAGACCAGCCTTGGCAACATAATGAAACCTCATCCATACAAAAAAACAAAATTTTTTTTGCCGGGTTTGGTGGTGTGCACCTATAGTCCCAGCTTCTCAGGAGGCTGAGGCAGAAGGATCACTTGAGTTGAGCTCAGGAATTTGAGGCTGCAGTGAGCTATGATCATGGCACTGCACTCCAAACTGGGTGACAGAGTGAGACGATGTCTCAAGGAAAAAAAAAGTTATTTCTCTTACATTTTAGTCCCTAACTATACCTCTCCGATAGACCAACGTAACTGAAGTAAAATAAGGGGACTCGGTAATATAGACTGAGAAACTTACACTCAGCTGGGTTTAGCTAATAATGCTCTGGTGTTGGATATATCAAGGGTAAAATATTACCCTCACTAGTAAACTAATTATGAAAAATGTAACTGGATCAGCTTTACAAGTGTATTATGACATTATACATCTAAAAATGTTACAACTCAAATAAGAAATTTAGTTTAAGATATGCTGCTTATTGTTAAAAATTACATTTTCACTGCAAAAGCACTAAAACATTAACAAAAAAATCTATTCATATTTATGCTACTACAAATATTTTCATTTGTCTTTACCAATAAACAGATAAATTTTTTCATAGCTTTAAAACTAGAAAAGTACTTTATATTTTTTACTTCTAGTAGATTTCATATTGTCTTCATAATTGGAATCAACTTAAATATCTAACATTATTGTAGCTATTTCACTTTAGTGAGCACACTGTAAGTTTTTAAAATGGCATTCAGACAACCTGCTTATAAAAACAGACTGTGTTTACAATTATTGGTTACCAAAATTCAGTAAGATGAGTCCAGTTTTTAATTTTTCATTTCAGATTACTTTCTATTTGGAAAAATAAGGAACATTTTCTTGATTATAAGCTCATACTTCAGAAAATCTGTAAAGCATGATATAGCATAGTTTTTTAAAAGTCTGGGATCTGAAGTCAGATTATCTGAATTAAATGTCTAACTCTACCAATAAGTAAGTTTTAAAACCTTAGGTAAATTACTTAAACTTGTCTGAGTCTGTTTCTTCATCTGCAAAATGACAATGATGACACATTAACCTCACAGGCAAATTATGAGGACTGAATGATAAAACATGTGAAGCCTTTGTCTGCCTCATAGTAATTAATAAATACTAACAATAACAATAAAAAACAAAGAAACTTTGTTTAGGGGATATTATGTGCATATTTACTTACTTTTTGATAATCACTGTTTGTAAATAACGATCCAGTAAATATTTACTGAGTGTCTTCCATGAAAAGACAGTGTTAAAGTACTAGGGATATAGAGACATAAGTCCCAGCCCTTACTTCCAAAACTTATTTCTGGAGAAGAAAACAAATTAAGCTGGCGATAGCATAGTACATGGTAATAGCTTTGATAGGGATATACACAGAGTACAAGAAAGTTGGGGCCCTTAACACTGGACAGCATGACTAATATGTTGTCTCATGACACATATGTTGCTAACCACCACATTCTTTTTCTTCCTCTGGTTTAGACTAGAAAACAAAAGATGTCCTAGTTCCACTTGCAGGTAGGGGTAGCCATGTTGACATTACTCTGGAGGTTGAAGTTCCTAAAGTGGTTTTCCTGAATATAAGGAGGTGTCCTGAATAAAAAGATGGCTTCCCTAGAAGAAAGCCCGTTTGCCCTTCTTCCCTTTTTCCTGCCTTAGTCTTTGGACTAAAGGCATAGTGGTACAGCAGCCCATCAGTGATGTGACACAACAAAAGATAACATAGCAAATAAAAAAGAGACTAGGACTCTGGTGGCATTGCAGTTATTGCAATACTCTTGAATGCCTAACTTTGGACTCTTTATTTGGTGACACAAATTCTTACTACTTTAAGCCACCAGTTGTTTCATTCTATAGTTAGGATTTTCTATTATCTGCAGATAAATGCATAGTCCTAGTAGATAAAGATTTCCGAAAATGGTAACTTCTGAGCTAGTGCAACAAAAGGAGTAGAACTTAGGCAAGTGAAGAAACTCAAGAAGAGCACTGCTGGTAAAGTGAATAGCACCTACAAAGGCCTGGAGAGGGAGGGAGCATGAAGTGTTCTACAGTAAGCACCTTCCAGTTTCTTGGATGGCTTTAGCCAGGTGATTCCAAACTTTCTCCATCTTCCACCTGCTTATGTTTAAGAACTTCAATACTCTGCCCTCAGTAATTCCATATGGTGAGCATTTATTTTTAAACAGTAAGTTCTGTGATGATGAACATAAAATGCAATCCTTGACTAATGTTTAGACTTAGAAACATATATTTATGGAAATTAAGTCACTTTGATCCACATTATGAATTTACACATATAACACCTTCAACTAAAGCTGCCATGTGTGCTTATGTGCTATGCACTTTATTTACACTAATTATCTCATTTAATATATATGACAACTCAGTGGAATAGGTACTATTATCCTTCTTTATACCCACCTAAGTTAGGTTAGAATTATGGGAATTCAGAAAAGAATGGCAGGACAAGAATTCAAACTCAGTTCTGTTTCATTCTATAGCCTCTGCTCTGAGCCACTCTGCTATAATGCTAGTCAGTTCTTTTTTTTTTTTTTTTTTTTTTTTAGTTTCTAGTCTCTTTGTCCCACTTCACCTGCTCAAATCCTTCCTGCATTTATGCAATAAAGTTTTAGTTCCCCACGAGCACTCTGGGGATGAGAGTGGGGTGGATTGGTTATCTTTTAACAGGTGAGTATGGAAGGAAGGGGCATACTAAACTAAGTAGAGCAGGAGCAAAGGGAAGAATGGCAGAAACAGAAAAAAAAAAAAGTTCTTCCCTTCTAAAGGAATGAGTTATCTTTACTTATTGGCAAACCAGGAGTAACTCCCAAAAATATTTCCAAATATTTTATAAGTGTATGATCTCTAAAAGGTATAAATTTAAGGTGGCAACACTTCTATTTTAAACCGCAGTATGTTTAATGATTGATTCATTAGTTTATATTCGTTCATACATTCAACAAATATTGATCACGTTCATGTGCCTCTGGGTATATTCCAATGCATATGTTCCTATACTCAAGAAGCCAAGACCAAATAAAAATGCCAATTATAACTACCATAAAGGTTATTGTATCACACAAATAAGGTAAGGATATAATGGAACAGAAAATATAAAATTCAGACCTGAGAAATCATAGAAGGCTTTCCAGAGGGGTTGATATCTAAGACGAATCCTAAACTATAAGTACGTGTTACGAACAAAGAAGGAACAGTCTAGAATAGAGTTTCTTAACCTCAGCACTCTGACCTTTTGGGCTAAGTCTGTTATGGGGGCGGGGGACATCCTGTTTTGGAGGATGCTGAAACAGCATCCTTGGCCTCTTCCCATCTGATACCAGTAGAACTCACCAAGTGTGAAAACCCAAAATGTCTCCATATATTGTCAAATGTCCCCTAGGGGCGTGGAGGGCAAATATTGCCTCTGGTTGAGAAGCACTGTTCGAGATCTCTGTTGTCTAAATCATTACCACTAGCCACATGTGGCTATTTAACTTCAAATTCATTAAAATTAAACAAAATTAAAAGTTCAATTCCTCAGTCACACTAACCACATTTCAAGTATTCGGTAGCCACACATGGCTACTGATTACCATATTGAATAGTGCATATATGATATAAAACATTTCTACCACCACAGAAAGTTCCATGGATAATGCTCTTACAGATTGAGGGAGTAAATATTGTCTTCTATTCCACAGTTTGCTGATAGGCTGTGGGGAGAGTGGAGAAAGATGAGGTTGGACAAAAAAGGTAAGGTCTGAGTATGAAGAATCTTCCACACCATAAGGCAGAACAATGGGGAGCCAATGAAAGGTTTTAAGCAAAGGTGTGAAATAAACAGAACTTTATAAAGACGACTATGATGATAGTGTGGAGAACGAATGTGGAAAGACTAGAAGCAGAAAAAGAGTTGCAGTATCTCAAATAATTATGATCTGGATTAATGCAGTAGCAGTAGGAATACACAAAAATAGAGCAACCAAGGAGTCAGAACTGATAGGATCTGGTGACTGACTAGTTGTAAAGCAGGCTGAGGAAGAGTCAAGACTGACCTCTAGGTTTTTAGGTTACATGAGTGAGTACCATTCACTAAGATAGTATGATAGGATAATGACCCCAGAAATGTTCATGTCTTAATCTTTGAACCCCTGGAAATTTGCATGGCATGGGACCAAATCAAGGACCTTAAGATGGGGAGATTATCTTGGCTTCCCTGAGTAGGATCAATGTATACTCAGGTATCCTGATAAAAGCGAGGCTGAAAGAGATTTGACTACAAAAAAGAGCCCTGTCAGAATGATGCAATGTAAAAAGGCTCAAGCAGCCATTAATGGCTTTGAAGATGCAGCTACTGGAAGCTAAAAAAGGCAAGGAAACATATTCTTCCCTAGGGTCTCCAGAAAAAAAACAAAACAAAACAAAACAAAAAACCCATGGCACTGCTAACAACTTAGTTTTATCCCCGTGAAACCCATGTCAGACTGCTGGCACACAGAAGTCTAAAATAATCAATTTGTGTTATTTTATGCAGCCTCTAAATGTATGTTAATTTGTTATAGCAGCAATAGGAGACTAATACAGATAGTTATAGAAGTGGGGGTATGATACAAGTTTGGCTCTGGAAAAGTTGAGTTTGAAGTACTTATGTGACATCCAGGTAAAACTGATCAGCTGATAAAGAGTTGGATTATATGGGCCTAGAGCTTAGGATGGGGACATATAATTAGGAGTCATTGGTATAATGAGACTAATTGAAACCATCAAAGTAGATGAGATTATTTTGGACAAATATAGACAAAATGCAAAGCAACAGACACCCTTGAAGGGTGTGAGAAGGAACGGCCTAAAATGTAACAGGAAAACCAGGATAGTGTGACATCTTAAGGAATTTTAAAAATGAGAATGTACCAAACTGGGGGGATGAGGGGGTAGTGTGTGTATGGAAATGGTCAACAGAGTGAACTGAAAAAAGGCTGTCATTTGGAAGTGATATTACCTATTATATTCAGCAGTGAGGGGTCATGGTATCCTTTATAAAAGTTTCAGAGGAGTGGTATTAAAGATTTTTGTTACTGGGGTTCAAAACTGAATGGAAGGTGAGGCATGAGACTAATTCAATCAACACTTTGACTAAACTTTGACTTTCTTCTTTCAAAGGGAAGAAGATACAGTGGTAGCTAGAGGAAAGGTTGTGGGTTTCAGGAAGGATTTCTTTTTTAAATATGGGGGTAAAATTAAGCATTTAACTATTCATGAGAATAGGCTAGTAAAAAATAAGAAAATAAAGAAGTAGGAGAAAGAGAATGAATCATAACATGAATTCTGAGATAGGAATGGATGAGACCTAGAGGGTAGGCAGAGAGAGATCAGCATTCAGACAGGCAGAAGGACAACTCTTCTGTTGAGAGATAAGGGAAAGAAGACAAGAACAGGTATAGAATTGAGCAAGTATTAAGTTAGGGACAAGAAATGTATTAATTTGGTGGAGTACCACAAGGCAACTTCCTATTTTCTCAGAGAAGTAGAAGGCAAGATCATTTACCGGCAGCAAGAAAAGAAGAGGCGAGTTTAGTAGCTTGAGCTAAAGAAGTCTGAAACAGGTTTAGTGGAGAATAGTGGAAAATAAATCACTAAAGAAAAAGAGGGTGTGAAGGGGCCTATATATTTTATTGAATCCTTAAAATAGCTGTTAATAGACTTCTGCATGTGGCCGCAGTGGAGTACCTGATACTGCAGCAACTCTCCCAGCACCACCATCTCAAAACATGAACAAAATATCAGAAACAAGTGTTTTCAGAAATTGGACAACAAAAAGCATAGACTGTTAGACCTGAAAAAGAAAAAAACAAATGAGACGATTCTATCTGAAGACAACTTGACTGTCGTGCAGAAAGAAGCAACTTAAGCAAAGCAAGGCAGTACTGCAGAGCTAAAGAGAAGGAGGTTAGTGTTCGAGGTGGCAAAGAATCATATGGAAGAAAAATAAACAGCTTCAAAATTTACACAAATCCCTATGTAGATTTGGAATTTGGAATCTATAGCTGAAAACTAAACTGTATATATGTAGATAAAAACTCCAAAAGGCTGGGCAAAGAGCTACCAGGGATCTACAAGTGGCTGACACATGTTCCAGTTCTGCTGAAACAAACTTCAATACACTTTAAAGGAAGAGAAGAACAAACTTCAATACACTTCAAAGGAAGAGAAGAAAACTCAAATGCTCAAAAACCATAAAAATCAGTGTTCAGCACTAAATTAAAAAGTATTACATATGCAAAGAAGCAGAAAATTATGACCTGTAATTGCAACGAAAATCAGTAAATAAAATGGACCACAGGCCGGACACAGTGGCTTACGCCTGTAATCCCAACAGTTTGGGAAGCCACGGCAAGTGGATCAGATGAGGTCAGGAGTTCGAGACCAGCCTGGCCAACATGGTGAAACCCTGTCTCTACTAAAACTACAAAAAATTAGCTGGGTGTAGTGGCGGATACCTGTAATCCCAGCTACTCTGGAGGCTACTCCGGAGGTTGAGGCAGGAGAATCGCTTGAACCCAGGCAGCAGAGGTTGCAGTGAGCTGTGGTTCTGAAATGCATTGCAGCCCGGACAACAAGAGTGAAACTCCATCTCAAAAAAAAGGGACCACAAAAATGATAGAGATAATACAATTAGCAATCAAGGAATTTAAGACAGGTATTTAAGACAGAAACAAAATGATAAGATGATAGAGAAAATGATAAACAAATGATAGAGATACTACAATTAGCAGTCAAGGAATTTAGGACAGGTATTTAAGACAGAAACAAAATGGAGGATATAAAAACTTCTATAAAAAAGTGGAATTTCGCTCACACCTGTAATCCCAGCACTTTGGGAGGCTGAGGTGGGTGCATCACCTGAGGTCACGAGTCCGAGACCAGTCTGGCCAACATGGTGAAACCCCGTCTCTACTAAAAATACAAAAATAAGCCGGGTATGGTGGTGAGCGCCTATAATCCCAGCTACTTGGGAGGCTGAGGCAGGAGAATCACTTGAATTCAAGAGGCGGAGGTTGCAGTGAGCTGAGATTGTGCCACTGCACTCCAGCCTGGGCAACAAAAGTGAAACTCTGTCTCAAAAAAAACCCAAAAAGTTGAATTTCTAGAACTGAAAAAAATATAAGATCTAGAAGAGAAAATTTATTAGATGGGATTTATAGCAGATTAGATAGTTCAGGGGAAAAGAATAAGAAAAGTGATAATAGAGAAACAAACTATTAGTAAGTATAGAAAAATTGTTGGATAAAAATCAGCATGTGGCTGGGCACGGTTGCTCATACCTGTAATCCCATCTCAAAGCACTTTGGGAGGCGAAGGTAGGCAGACCATGAGGTCAAGAGATCGAGACCATCCTGGACAACATGGTGAAACCCTGTCTCTACTAAAAATACAAAAATTAGTTGGACACGGCGGTGCATGCCTGTAGTCCCAGCTACTCGGGAGGCTGAGGAAGGAGAATCGCTTGAACCTGGGAGACAGAAGTTGCAGTGAGCCGAGATTGCACCACTGCACTAAAGCCTGGTTGATAGAGCCAGACTCCGTCTAAGAAAAATAAAAAAATCAGCAAGTAACTATGATTTTAAAAAAAAAACTCTTAGCAAAATAGAAACAGAAAGTAACATGTTTAACCTGATGAAGAGCGTCCATGAACAAGCTAATGTTAACTTCATATTGTATGGTGAATGAATCACTGTTTTTTCCTTAAGATCCGGAACAAGGCAAGGAAATTCACTCTCACATTTCTATTAGCCTATCTCCCAGAGGTCCTAGCAGTACAATAAGGTGAGAAAAAGAAATTGGCATATAAATTAACAAGAAATTAAAACTCTTTTTATTCGTAGATAATATGATTGAGTGGGTAGAAAATCCTAAAGACTACATAAAAGCTACTAGATTTAATAGGTGAATGTAGCAAGTTTGCAGGTTACAAGATCACTATAACTATTAGCAATAAAACAATGGATAACAAAAATTTTTAAATGCCATACTCAGTAGCATCTAAAAACTTTTAGTTTTAATAAAATGTGTACAAAACCTATACACAGAAAATAACAAAACACGCTGAAAGATATTATAGAAGAACCAACTGAAATGGAGATACACCAAGCTCATGAATTAAAATTTGTTAATAAGACATCAATTGTGTCCAAATTGATCTATAAATTTGATGTAATCCCAATAAAAATCCAAGTAGAACTTTTTTTAAAAATAAAAATTGACAAAGTAACTCTGAAATTTGTATGGAAATGCCAAAAAATATATGAACCATTTATATATCTGATATCAAGACTTTCTATAAAGCACAGTAAACAAGACAGTGTAGTGATGTCATAAAGGCAGACACAGCAATCAATGGAAAATAAGAGCCTAGAAAAACACCCACATATAATGATTTTTGATATAGGAAGTGACTGGGGAGAGGCAGACTTTTCAATAAATGGTACTGGACAACTGGATATCCATCCATATTGTAAAAAATAAACCTTGAAGTTCAACTTAAAGCAAACACAAATTTAACACAAAATGGTTCAAACATCTAAAAGAAAAACACTACAACTATAAAACTTCTAGAAGAAAACCTAATAAAATCTTTATGAGAAGATTGAGATATCTGGAAAAGGAAGTAAAGAGGCTGGCCAATCCTCCCTACAAACAAGTATAAAATGACACAAAATGGTCAGAAACTAGGCTCTGGAAACTAACTACAGGCAAACAACATATTGGGAAGTGTTTAGTCATTAGTGACTACTGAACTTTAGGTAGTAGTAACTATGAGAGTCTATTATTCTTGCTTATGGCTGCTGCCATGACCTATCCCACATGGTTAAAATAGTAGTGTTGCTAGGATGAGGCAGCCTGTGTTTAAACACGCAAAGAAAAACACAATGACAAAGAATCAGACAACAGGAAATCTTAATAGAGAAACTAGAGCACAAATAAAGATAATCAGAGAAAAAAGTAAATAGAGCTTCAGAGAGAAGAGAATAATAACATCAATCATTTCAACATACGTGAAATGGGCATTTTAGAAGGGGAGGAGAGAATCAAGGGACTGAAAAAGTATTTGGAAAGATAATGGCTGAAAACATCCCAAACCTAACTAATCTATGTGAGCTCAACAAAGCCCAAGTAGGACAAACATGAAGTGATCCACTATATACGTAGTCAAACTGTTAAAAGTCAGAGAGACAGGAGAAGTGAATGAGTGACAGAATCAATCTAGGATAAATCTTAATACCAACAAAAGAAAACTTACGTACAGGCAGACATTAATATAATTAATGGCTGATGTCCAAAATGTAATGGATTAACATATTCAAAACAATGAAAGAAAAAACAAGCAAACAAAACTGTAAACCAGACATTCTATTTCCAGCAAAACCATCTTTTAAAGCAGAAGGCAAAATAAAGACATTCATAGATAAACACAGACTGAGAAAATTCATTACACACAAACCTGTGGTATAATAAATACTAGAAGAACTGCTTTAGACTGAAAGGAATCATCCTTGATTCCTCTGTTTCCCCTCCACATTGAATCTATCAGCAAGCAAGGCCTACTAGTTTTATATCCAAAAATGCCTTAAATCCATCTACTTACAAAAAAAAATCTTCCATTGCCATCATCTGAGCAAGAGCCTTGAATTATCTACTGAACTTCTGCAATAGCCTAACTAATTTTCCTGCTTTTACTCATATCCCCCTACAATCCACTGTTCCAACAACAGCCAGGGTATTAAAAAAAAAAAAACAGATTGCACTATTCTCTGCATAAAATCCTCTCATCAGCTTTCATGCACTTAGGATACTACTTGCCATGACTAAATATGTAATACATGAACTACTTCCTGCTTGAACTTTTCTATCATTCTCTACTTCCTTCCGTAAGTTCCAGCATACTGGGATCCTGTATTCTTCAAATACCGCAAACTCATTCCCAGCTTCAGATTTTTTGTACCTACTGTTCCTTCTACCTCATGTGTGTCACCAGGAGATCATGACTCAAGCTGGCTTCTTATTACTCAGGTCGGCACTCAAATGTCATCTCCTCAGAGAAGATTCTCAGAGAAGCTTTTCCTGGCCACCCTATCTAAGGTTACCCTACCCACCATCACTTGCCTCCCTTTCCCTTTTAAAAATTGTGGAGTATCATTTATCGTTATCTGAATTGTAATGCTTAATTATTTAGTCACTTGTTTAATGTCTACCTCACCCAATAAAATAAAAGGATCATGAGAGGAGAGATCTTAGTATCTTGTTCATCACTGTATGTCCAGGACCTAACACAATATTTTTTAATTACTGAGTAAAAATTTACATATATTCTAAAACTTAGACTAAAATGTAAACATTTCTGAACTCTTAAAAGACTTTAAAAAGAACTTTGTTCTTATTTAGTATTTTATAAGTGTCATATTTTATAATTTATACCAGTCTTCTACCTCTTCTTAATGAAGAGAAAAAAGTGAGTGATCCTCCAAAGTTATCTCAAGTATTGCAAAGAGAGTGGGTGGCCATATATAGACAAGAACTGTGTCTGTCTTGCTTACCACTGTACTCTCGTACCAAGAACAGGGTCTAGTATATGATAAACATGAAATAATTACAGAATGACACATTAACAATGAGACTCTTAAGAGTTGGAAGACAGAGGAAATGCTCTGGGGGTTGGTGGCAATGTATTACTCCCTCCACTCCCAGTCACCACTTTTCTAGGTCTTAAGAGTAGTCTTGAATATATCTCTCTATAACAGACTAAATTTCTTAAGGGCATGGAATATGTCTTTTCTGTTTTGTATTCCTTATGAGTAAAACTGGCAGACAGAAGATGTCCAATAATTTTAATAATTTTTTGAATGAAATGCAAGAGCATTGGTGTCTTCATTTGTAAAAGGGAGGTAACAAGATTACCTACTTCAGAGGATTATTATAAGACAAAAAAAAAAACTCGAAAACCAAAAAACTACACACACACACACACACACACACACACACACACACACACACACAACAAAAAGAAGAGTAAATGAAAGGAAAAAGAAAAACACCTCCACAAAGTCCTCTTTTAGCTAGCTATTAGGTTAGAAAAGTGTAAGAGAACTGATTAAATTTCCTCTTCTCCTATAAACTATTCCTATGTATTCAGCTACCTATAGAATAATAAGCTAATAATAATATAAGCTAATAAGACATCATACTATTTCAGCACCAGACACTGTAACAGACCACCACCACCACCAACAACAACATAGTCAGGTTAGCTTATAAGCAAGACCCAAACTTGGATAAGAGAACTTCCCAAGTCACAAGTGGGGAAAGAGAACTAACTATACTGACAATTTGGGGAATCTAACAGTATAGAGCCTTCGTGTGTTCTAAAGCCTAGAGGCTATCCTTTTGGTAGAGATTTTATGAAAGAAATCAGCAGTATTCCAGATGTCCCAGTAGCTGCAATGCTCCTTCCCTCACACGTTTAAAAGAAGACCTATGAAACTACTACTATACTAACACAATCTAAATTTAAACTATTATTGTGGCTTTAAATCTTGAAAGCTGGCAACCCCACAAAAACTAATCCACTAAGCATCTTAAAAGCTGTTTTTGAAAACAAATTTTTACAATTCTATTAAGTAGAATCTAAACTTAAACTATTATTATGGCTTAATTCCTACAGGCTGCCAACCAAAACATGAAAAACACACTATCTCAACAAAACTAACCCATTAAACATCTTCAAAAACTTTTCTCTAAACAAATTCTCAGAGTTATTAGAATAGAAAAATAAATATCCAATTTAATTGTTCGTTTAAGCAGTCTTTCAGTAAGAGCCAGTTAAGATTCAAAAACATGTAATTACCTCAGATTGTGATTTTATTATTGATGAGATACAGGTAAGTATCTAGGTAGCTTATAAACAATTCACCCGAGGGGGCTGTAATTAAAATATCAAATTTTATTCACTGGAGTTAGATTATATTTAAAATCAATATTTACTTGAAAACTGTATATTTTATATCGTCATAAAAACCTTATTGCAAAAGGATTTTAATATTAGTTATTTCACTTACCAAAATGCAGTCCACTTTAGATTGTACAGTTTTGCTAAAAGAAAGAGAAAGTTAGGTTAGTAAAATGAAAAGTTTATTAACTATCTGCAATATTCTCAAAAAGATGTGGTAATTTAGTCTTCCTTACTAAGAAAAAAATAAATACAGCTTCCTATTAAGATTAGGGATTGTAGCCTAAATCTGTGTTTTTCACAAAGCAAAACAAAAATCTATTTCCCATTTACTGTACTAAATTTAATCTTAAAGCATGGTTAAAACATTTCCTAAGTTTATTTTGAATAAACAATTAAATTTTTAACAGTGTATAAGTGCAGATTTATTACTATACTTACAAGTATGGCCCAGAGCTTACAATAATTATGATTTTTACTGTCTGCCTGCCACTCTGGACAATAATTTGCTTAGCACTTAAAAGTCATAACGATGTACTACAATCTGTAGCTTGTAAGATTTGATACATAAAAGATTCTGTTCCCTCCTCTCTCTGTCTCAACACACACACACACACACACACACACACACACACACACACACACACACACACCAGTAACAGGAATCCCTAGACATAAAAGCAATAATAAAAGATTAACTAATATAGTAATAAATTGGGAGGGCAGAAAAATACACTTAGAAATAAATAATACAATAAAGCCACTATACATCAATTTAACTGAACTACTGAATATAAGTGAACTGTTAATATATAACACAAATGAAGCCAGTATAAAATAATTTAAACAACTATCCTTTGGATTTTGTTGTAACACATAGGAAAGTGAAAATGCAAAGAAATCGTGCAAAATGTTCAGGAACAGTTTACACACAATCTTTAAAAGATGTTAAAACCAAATTGTCTTCTGTAAAAAGTTATAAAGCCAAATATATGTAAACCAAAATTGGTTATTTGCCTTTGTATGTAGCCATACAGCTAAGCTATAATATAAAAAAAATTAGTATTTAAATCTCATTTAACACAATCATTAATAACAAAATTTTATGCCTGTACCCAGATTTCAAATTTCATTTTCTAAACAATAAAATATGACTGGATTCAGTTTAACTGCAAAGTTCAGAACGACTAAAAAGAGCAAAAAAAAGTAAAGGATAAAGGATAGGTTAAGAGGTACTGAAATCCCCTTCCCACAGTCCTACAAAAGATTTTTAGGTTTTAAAATCTCTTTGTATAGCTTATAATTCATTGGCACCTAACTTGTACTATTTTTTCTCTCTTCTCAATAACTCCCAGTTTCCTCTGAGATGTGAGAGTAATCTACATATTAAGAATTGCTGCTAAAAAGGTAATATATCCAGGATCCAACCATCTCTCATCACCTTGGTCTAAACAGTCATTACTGGCCAGGCGTGGTGGCTCATGCCTGTAATCCCAGCACTTTGGGAGGCAGAGGCAGGTGGATTGCCTTGGCTCAGGAGTTCGAGACCAGCTTGGGCAACACGGTAAAACCCCATATCTACTAAAATACAAAAAAAAAAAAAAAAAAAAGCCGAGCATGGTGGCTTGCACCTGTAGTCCCAGCTACTTGGGAGGCTGAGGCAGGAGAATTGCTTGAACCCGGGAGGCAGAGGTTGCAGTGAGGTGAGATTGTGCCACTGTACTCCAGCCTGGGCAACAGAGCAAGACTCCGTCTCCAAAAAAAATAAAACAAAATAAAGAGTAATTATTTCTTGTCTAAGGTGTTACAATAACCTTTTAACTGGTTTCTCTGTTTCTATCTTTGCCCTATCACCAACCACCACACCCTGTGGGCTACTCCCAACAAAGTGGCCAGAGTGATTCTTTTTGAAGATGACATTAGTCCTTTGCTCCAAAGTCTTTACCATGGCCATAAAAACCCAGTATGACCCAATCCTCTGCCATCTTTCTGATCTAATCTCATACTAGTCTATTCTTCATTCATTCAGCTCTAGCCAGGCAGCCTCCGTGATAGCTCCGCGGCAGGAGTGGGCCCTGCACTGGCTTGCTCTGTCAGCTTCTAGGACTTTTCTCCCATATAACTTATCCCTTTACTTTCTTTGTTACTTGCTCCATGTTATCTTCAACAGACAGTTCTTCCCTGACTTCCCCATATAAAATACTCCCAGTCACTCGCTATAGCTCTCATCCTGCTTTATTTTTCATCATTGCACTTATCACCAGTGATGTTATAATTTTATTAATTTGTTTACCAGCTATCTTCCTTGACTAGAATTTAAGCTTCATGATAGCAGGCTTTGTCTGTTTTGCTCATTGCTGTATCATCTGGTATATGTAAGGAGTTCAATAAAATCTGTTGAATGAATAAATGAAAAAAAAAATTTCAGTCCCCCAGATGAAGAAAAAGTCCTTGGAAAGACTGGGACCACTTAAGAATGAGTTTTTATATAAATTAGTATGAAAATGAAATGTTTATTTTATAACATATAGATCTCAATATATTTTCATTCTACCAGTAACTGACTACTCTATGGGATTATCTAAGGAGGATGGTTCTATCCACCTATCACAAACAACTTGGTAAACCTCTAAAAAATATATGTAAATGATAGCCTTTTAAAGCAGGGTCCCCAACTCTCATCCCTGTTAGGAACGGGGCCACACAGCAGGAGGTGAGCAACCAAGCGCATTACTGCCTGAGCTCTGCCTCCTGTCACATCAGTGGCAACATTAGATTCTCATAGGAGCCTGTGAACCCTATTGTGAACTGTGCATGTGAGGGATCAAGGTTGCATGGTCCTTATGAGAATCTAATGCCTGATGATCTGTCACTGTCTCCCATTGCTCCCAGAAGAGACCACTATCTAGTTGCAGAAAAACAAGCAGGCTCCCACTGATTCTACATTATGGTGAGTTATATAATTATTTCATTATATATTACAATGTAATAATAACATAAATAAACTGTACTATAAATGTAATGAGCTTGAATCATCCCCAAACCATCTCCCCCACCCCTCCATCTGTGGGAAAATTTTTTATCTTCCATGAATTTGGTCCCTGGTGCCAAAATGGTTGGGGACTGCTGTTTTAAAGGACAGAGTTATAAAGAAAATTGAAAGCCCTTCTGGTAGATGAGGGCCCTGGAATCACTTAACTTAGCCCCTTGATTATTTTTACTTTATACTTAAACATAATAGAAAAATATAGATGAATTTTAAGTTCCCCTTTTCTTCTGCCTAGCCTTATACCCCTCCCTACCTTCTCAAAGGCAACTATCATTAATCCAATATGTAAACTTTCCAGTTGTTACTTCAAGTTGTTACTTGTATTAAACAAAAATCTATAAGCAACATACACTGTTCTGTGAAGCTTTTAAATGTTTATGTAAATTCCATCACACTGTACTTTTCTACAATTTTTTAATTCAACATTGTTTTTGAGATCCATCCATGTTGATACACTTAAATGAAATTCATTCATTTTAACTACTAAAAATTATCCCATTGAATGAATAATAAAATTTATTCATCTATTCCTCTACTGAAAGGTAATTATGTAGCTTCCAGTTTTTCTACAAACGATACTGCCATAAGTGTCTTTGTATATGTCTCTTGGCATATACCTGTAAGAATTTCTCAGCTTTAAATCTAGAAGTCAATTTTCTAGGGCTTATAAATGATTTTTTTCTATTTTATTTTATATTAACAAATTTCTCTCAAACACTTGTATCCATTTATACTTCCATTAGCAGTATATGATAGTTCCTATTTTCTTATTACCTTGCATATATATGCCATTTATACATGATATAGGTAATACATATATACTAAAAAGTTACTATTCCAATGGGCATGAAATTGTATTTTTTTAAAAAATTGTCTTTTCCTCAATTACTAGCAATGTTGTGTGCCTTTTTACCTGCCTGTTAGACATAGGGATTTTCTCCCCTATGAATTGTTTGTTCCTATCCTTTGCATATTTTTAAGCGGAGCTATTTCTTATTACATTATAGAAGCTTTATATATTCTGGATACTAATTCTATTATACATATTTAACTTTGTTAATAACTTTTATTAAAGTTAACATTTTTGATCTAGTCAATTTTTTTCCTTTATGAGTTATTTTTATGTCTTATTTAAGAAATCCTATCTAGCTAAGGTTAAAAGCAGTCTATATTTTATTCTAAAAGTTTTGAAGTTAGCTTTTCTCATTTTGATCTTTAATCGGAATTTATTCTTGTATATGGTATAGTGTAATATACAGTATATACTACTTCCATCTGGGAGCCCATTCACTATTTTATTATACTAAATTTCTGTACACGCTTGAATCTTTTTCTGGGCCTTTTCTGTTTTATTATTAATCTACTCACCTATCCCTAAGTTAACACCACACTTCAAATTTATTACTGTTATAAAATTTAGGTCTATTTATTTGATTGCATGACCCCCCTTGTTCATTTCCAAAACAGTCTTGACAATTCTTGGACCTTTGTTTTTCCAGGTGAATTTTTCAATCGGGTTTTCTAATTTCACAACAGTCCTCCTAAACTTTATGTAGGACTTTATTTTTGGACTGTATTAATGTTATAGGTTGAATGGGAGAAGATGACTGATAATTTGCATTTTTTTAATCTGTCCTTAAAATGTCATTTCCTTTCTGAATAAATCTTTTGTTAGAAAGAGTACAAGGCAACTTACAGATGGTATTGTGAATTTTATCTGTGTGTTGATGTTCAGGCAAACTATTGGTTTTCTATGTTGACCTTATCTCCAGCAACCTTCATGAACTCTTATTAGTTCTAACAGCATGTAGTTGTTTTTTTTTTTTTTGAGACAGAGTTTTGCTTTTGTTGCCCAGGCTGGAATGCAGTATGCCATCGCGGCTCACCGCAACCTCCACCTCCCAGGTTCAAGCAATTGTCCTGCCTCAGCCTCCTGAGTAGCTGGGATTAGAGGCATGTGCCACCACACCTGGCTAATTTTGTATTTTTTTTTTTTTTTTTTTTTTTTTAGTAGAGACGGAGTTTCTCCATGTTGGTCAGGCTGGTCTCAAACTCCCAGCCTCACATGATCCACCTGCCTTGGCCTCCCAAAGTGCTGGGATTACAGGTGTGAGCCACTGCGCCCGGACAGTTCTAATAGTATGTAGATTCTCTTGTAGATAATCATTTCATTTATAATTAATATTTTTCTTCCTTTCCAATCTTTATGTCTCTTTCTCCCTTCTTTTTCTTATCTAATTACTTTGGCTAAAATCTCCAATATAATAAAGAGTAGCAGTGATAGAAGATATCCTTGTTTTGTTTCCGCATTAAAGAATTTACTTCTAAACTTTCTGTAATCAAGAATAATTCTGGTAACATCTGTTTTGGTAAATGTTCTCTATCAATTTAAGGCACTCTTCTTTTAGTCCTACTAGTATGATAGTTAAGGCTTTTGTTCTTCTGTTCTCTCTGCCAAGGAACACTCTTCAAAAGTGCTATCTGCCTGGCTTGCTCCCTTACTTTTCTGTGCTCAGTGGTTCAAACGTTATCTCCTTAGAAACCTTCCCTGACTATCTTGTCATTCACGTTGCTTTATTTATCTTTATTATAATTACTGCCACTGGCATTTATCTGTTTGTCCAACATCCCCACTAGCTTATAAAGACAGAAGTTGGTATGATTTGCTTACTACTATATTCCCAACGCAAGGAACAGTACCTGGCAAAGAGGTTTATCTATGTATCTTTTTAAAAAACTAGCTTTGAGTTTTCTTGATCGAGCTTTTTTGACATCTCATCAGTTTTTATTTTTTGTTTTTCTTCTGCATTATTTGTATTTATGCTGTTAAAGTTGAATACAAAACACATTTTCCTCTTAGTTCTTTGTTTTTAATAAGCACACAAAAGAAAGACTTTATCTTTCTATTCCTGAAAAATTTCCATTAACTGGAACCTACAAATTTTGCTACGTAGTATTTTGTTATTTACTTTTAAATATTTTGTAACTTAGTATTTGATGTCCATGTATATGTATGTATTTTATTTTTAAACTATCTACTACTCACCAATTATTTTTTCACTTCAGCCAGGGAATATGGTTTTCATGATGAAAACTTCCTTTGGGACCCAAGTCACAGTCATATTTTTTAAGAATCTATGTATCCTTTAAATAAACCTATATTCTCTATTTATCTGCTAGAGGGATTTCCATATAGATCTATATTTAATCAAGTTTATTAATTATGCTGTTTAAATAATTCATTGCCATTTTATCTACCAGTTTCTGACATATGTTAAATATCCAACTACAACTGGACATTTATTAATTTCTCTTTGGAAGTGTCAATTTTTGCCTTCTTAACTCTAAGACTATACTGCTAAGACTACATTCTATATAAATAAGACTATAATTTTTACATTTTCTTGGTAGTATATTCCTTTAATCATGATCTAGTGTCCTTTAAACTCAGTAATGCCATTTTGTCTTAAGCTCTACTCTGCTGCATATTAATTTTGTTAAACCATCTTTCTTTTTGTTTTCTGGTTTTTACTACTGATGAGAAGTTTGTGGTCAGTCTCCCTTTCTTTGTGTAATTTATGCTTTTTAATTTAATCATGAGTTCATTTTAAGTGAGGATATTTTCTCCATGGAAGTCCTGTATACCTGGATTGGCATTAATTTCTCTCGTGATTTGAAATTTTTTAATTATGAACTTATCTTCACAAAGATTATTTTTCAGAGGAGTCTCATATCCTGTGGGTTACAGAAGCAGTTTCACATTTGTCTCTGCTGAATTTCTAAGGGTTTAATGGTTCCAGACCAATTTGTATACGGATTTATTGATTTAGAGTCCTTGTACCAGAAGGAAACTGTTATATCAAATGAAACTCCACATTCATCTACAAAACAGGCTTAAGGCTCTGGTTCTCATATTTTACCCTTCTACATGCCCTGAGCAAACAGCAAGCTTACCTGAAACTTCCTGGGTCTGTCTGTGGGTTCCCTGTTTTAGTCCTATTTCACAGGTAAAAATCTCTCTTCAGGTTCTATGCTTTAGTTCATCAGTTCCAACTACTTTGTGAGGGCACAGAGTATGTGGCCTAGACATTCCTATGAACATTAAGACATCAATCCCCAGCATTTAAGGTCTGTATGAGGACATGAAAACCACTATGGGTCATTTAGAAATTAGTTCCTGCTTACGACCTTTCTTAAGTAAGCTCCCCTGATTCCTTGTTACTAGCACCTATGAATTTAATTTCTCTTTCTTGATTTGAAGCTTTTATATACGTATATAACCTTTCTGTATATATCTTATCAAAAGTTTATGTCCGGAGTGTGGGGTGAAAATCCTGCCACAAGAGCTCAACTATACTGTCTAGGAGTCTTTTATTATATGGGTGTATACATATACTATATGTATACCTATGAACTGTATACATGTGTGTATGTGTATATATGTATAATATACACACATATCTATACATGTGTGTATAATAAACACACATATCTATACATATATGTGTGTATAATAAACACACCATAGTTTTATACCAGTGTTAATGGAATATTTTTGAAAACTTCCCCCAAATTCCACCACTACAACCAATAAACTCTTTCCTTCTTTCCCATATTCTCTCCTGTATGTATTCATGAACATATCTAATTTTTAACACAGCTATAATCAAAGCAGGGTATTATTTAAATTTACCAAAATCATGTTCTACTAAGAGTCTTCAAATTTTTAATGTAATGTATTTTTTGTAATATTCCATTTAGTGGATGTTTCAGTTTCCTGAACTAACACCTGAATATACTTTGAGTGTTTCAATTAAAATAATGCTTCAGTGTTCTGCTTCAGATAACGACAAGTTAACATATATTAAAATAAACTTGCTACACATAACAATTATACATTCTGGACAAAATATAAAAACAAACATTAAATCAAAAGAGTAATCAAAAGCAGGAAGCAACTGGAAGGAAGTTAGCCTTAAATGAGAAAACTGTACTGGTAGAATTTTTTTTTTTTTTTTTTAGATGGAGTCTTGCTCTGTCACCCAGGCTGGAGGGCAGAGGCACGATCTCAGCTCACTGCAACCTCCGCCTCCTGGGTTCAAGTGATTCTCCTGCCTCGGCCTCCTGAGTAGCTGGGATTACAGGCGCATGTTGCCACACCTGGCTAATTTTTTGTATTTAAGTAGAGATGGGGTTTCACTGTGTTGCCCAGGCTGGTCTAGAACTCCTGAGCTCAAGCAATCCACCTGCCTCGGCCTCCCAAAGTGCACTAGTAGAATTTTTATAAGGCTTTTGCCTGAGGGTACTTATCAGCCCATGTGGCAATGGTCACTTAGACTGAAGCAGGAATCTGTTGTCTTGCTAGCTTAAAAAGGACAAAGTTTGGGGTTGCCAAGGCAGCTTAAAAGTGAAAGGTGAAATCCCAGAAAGGAAAGTGCTCCAAAATTTCTATATGAACTACGCCCAGTATTTGAATGACCCTAGTTTGAGGAAGACTCCAAGGTTCTTCACAAAAAGAAACAGCTGGAAGGTGGAAGGATTTGAGATGAGATTTCTGCTGCTGCCTGTCACAGAAAAAATAAAGTTGGGGTTTGAATCCAGCCACATTAGATGTCTACTAAAACAAAAAGTCAACACTCATCAGAGAAAAAGAACAGAATCCAAAGTCTATAACATATCACTGATAATGCCCATTACACAAGCAAAATACACTATAGTGAACAAACAGGAAAAAAAGACCTAGAGTCAAGAGAAAAAGCAGCTCACAGACACTAAATCCTGAATGATCCAAAGTGTCAGAATTAGCAGACAAGGACTTCAAAGCAAGTATTATAAACATGTTCAAGTATTTAAAGGAAAATATGGTCATAATAAATGTTCGCATGGGGAAATCTCAGCTGAAAAATGGAAGTTATGAAAAAAACCAAATGGAAGTTCTAGAACTTAAAAGTTATAATGTCTGAAATGAAAAATTCATTGGATGACCTTAATTTGAGATCAGATGGCAGAAAAAGGGTCACTTAACTGGAAAATCAATAGGTCTATTGAATGTGAAGAAAAGATTTTTTAAAAATAATAAACAGAGCTTCAGAAATTTAAAGTGCAATATCAAGTGGTCTAACTATGTACAATGGGAGAGGAGAGATAATGAGACAGAAAAATATAATGTTTAATAAATGGCCAAAGTCTTCCCAAATCCTATGAAAAACACAAACTTCTAGATCCCAGAAGTTCAGCAAATTCCAAGCAGGATAATTATAAAGAAACCCACACATTGTCAAAAGGATCAAAAAACAAAGATAAAAAGCACACTGTGAAAGCAGCCAGAAAAAAGTAACATTGCATGCAGTGAAAAAGTTGTATGAATGAAACCTGACTAATGATACCTGACTTCTACATAGTAAACTGATTTGCAGCAGAGGTACCAAAGCAATTCGAGGGACAAAAGAAAATCCTTATTACAAATCCTGGTGGAGTAACTAGACACATCTGTAAACAAATGTACAAACCTCATACTATAGAAAAATTTGAGCTGAAGCTTAAAGTGTCTAGAAGAAACCATAGGAGAATATGATGTGAGAGCTGACAAAGATTTCTTAGGGTTACAGAAGCAATAAACATTTTTTTTTCTTTTTCTTTTTGAGACAGAGTCTCACTTTGTCACCCAGGCTGGAATGCAGTGGTGCGATCTCGGCTCACTGCAACCTCCACCTCCGGGGTTCAAGTGATTCTCCTGCCTCAGCCTCCCCAGTAGCTACGCCACCATGCCCAGCTGATTTTTGTATTTTTAGTAGAGATGGGGTTTTCCCATGTTGGCCATGCTGGTCTTGAACTCCTGACCTCAGGTGATCCGCCCATCTCGGCCTCCCAAAATGCTGGGATTACAAGCGTGAGGCACTGCGCCCCACTGCAATAAACATTTTTAAAAAGGCTTTGGGAAGCCAAGGCGGAAAAATTGCTTGAGGCCAGGAGTTTGAGACCAGCCTGGGCAACACAGTGAGACTCTATTTCTACAAATTTTTTTTTAAAAAGCCAGGCGTGGTGGTGCATGCCTGTAGCCCTTAGCTACTTGGAGGCTGAGAATTGCTTGAGCCCAGGAGTTCAAGGCTTCAGTGAGCTCTGATCATGTTACTGCAATTCACCCAGGACAACAGAACAAGACCCTGTTTCTAAAAATAAAAATAAATCAGACCCCATCGAAATAAGAATAAACTTCTATTCACTGAAAGACATCAATTAAGACAGTAAAAAAAAAACAACTACATAAAATACTCGAAAAACATATCTGACAAAAGACTTATGCCCAGAATACATAAGGAACTCCTACAACTCCATAGTAAAGACAGGTAACTCAATTAATAAAGAGCAAACAACTGGAATAGATATTTCACAAAAAAGGTACACAAATGTCCAATAAACACATGAAAAGATGTTCAAGGAACCAAGCCACCAAGGAAATACAAATCAAAATCGCAACAATACACCAGTAGGAGGCTTAAATTTAAAATTCCAAAAACCCAAATATTGGCAAGGCTTTGAAGCAACCATAGCTTTCATACATTTATGGTGGGAATGTGAAAGGCAAAACCACCTTGGACTAGTTTAGCATTTAGACATAAACCTACCATAAGTATTTATCCAACAGGAATCAAACTAGATGTCCACAAAACAGATGTTGAAGAAAAAGAATGTTCATAGCATCTTTATAATTCCAAACTGGAATCAATCCAAATGATGTCAATGTAAGAATAAATAAACGCTTTGTGGCATAGTCACACAATGGAATACTACTCAGCAATTAAAAGTAACCCATACATACACAGAGGAACATGGATGAATCTAATAAATATTATACTGAGCCATATAAAACACCTAGAAAAGTTCATTCTATATGATTTTACTTATATGAAGTTCTAGAGTAGATAAAATTAATCCATGGTAAAGGAAAAATTAGAAAAAGTATCTGTCTCAGGATGAGGCTTCCCTGCTCACTGGGAAGGATCATGTACAGACAACATAATGCAATGCTCCATTTCCCCTTTTCAGGAAAGAATTTTGTCCACTGCTGGGAGTGCAGTGCAGTGCAGCACAAAGCCATGGGTGTCTGTCAGCATTCAGTGTCTGTACCCTTGGGTATGATTGCTTAGGCTGAAGGAAATATCACTTCTCAAGGTCATACCAATTTCCAGGGACAGCCCATATCTAGACACTAATCAACATGGGGATATTAAGGCCCAGCCCCTTCCCCCAACCTGGGACAGCTTTGATTGGTCATTCTATCTTCAGAACTCTTCAGCATTACAGTTCAACTTCACCTCTGCCCAAGCTGTTTCCTTCCCATCCATTCCCTTCCATAGATATGAATCACAAAAGCATTCCCTAATAAAGCAGTTCTTAAAAAAATATGATTCCTGGACTAACGGTATCAGTATTCCTGGGAACTAGTTAAAATGCAAATTTATGGGTCCCACTACAGACCTACTGAATCAGACAGCAGAAGCACCATCTACACATGAAGAGCTTCCTATCAACTTTTTGTGCCCCACTCTTAAACATACTCAGATGGACAGACAACTGGAAAAAACTCTCTAATATGAAAGACAGGAAAAAAGGGGGTGAAACCCTTACTTGGAAGAAATAACACTGTGCAAAAAGAAAACAAAATTTTAATCCTCACAAAGGTTAAGGGAAGACACGGCATTCAAGAAACACAAATTGGATACTATATACATATATTTTTAAAGTATATTCAGAAAGTTAAAAAGAGACATCTTAGAAATTAAATCTATTTAGGCTGGCTATTTTCTGTTTGCTCTTTGAAATCACTCTCTACCCTCTGTGATAACCCAGGAAGCTGGACTTTTCACCATCAGTAGGGCTCCCTTCCTCTCTGGCCAATTTTTGTCACTGGACAGAGGTAGGGATGTAAAAGAAGAGAAAGCACCTGGTTCTCTCTGACAGGCAATGAGTTAGTGGTTTGGGTAACTGTGGTTTTTGTTAGCATGTTTTGTAATATCTTTTTGAGTCAATAAATTATAAGTTCCTAAAGCTTTGATTAAAAAATTAAATATATGAAAATTCAAGTAAATAAAATTTCAAATAACAAAACCTCAAAGTTATCAAAAAAGAAATGGAATTACCTATAGACAAAGGAGTTAGAAGAATATATTTGCAATTATCTATCTTTTTACCATTACTCCAACTAGTTAAGAAAGCATTTTCAGCAGCTGGAAAGATATGCACAAAAATACACGTATCACTCAATAATAAACCACCAATGCACATCTGAGCCTGCACTTTATAAAAGCAGATAACATTTGACTTTTAAATATTTCATAATTTAAATGTTCATTTATTATTTTGGGGTTTCTTAAACATTTTTATTTTATACATGTTTATTTCAATTCAAATTTTGACAGACTAAAAGACTGTATTTTATTAGTCCATTTATAGGCAATTTTGCAACACTGATTTCTTGTGGGAAAAAAAAACCAGACAGATAGTAATTATTACGATCTGTGGAACTGAATGACCAGGAAAACCGACCTCTTACTGCAAACCAAGCACATGGAAAGCCCACCCATGCAGCAGCAGTGTCTTGATGATCAGCTGAATGGAGATATAACATCTTATGTTGTGCCCAGAAGGTAGGGTAAGGCTCAAGGCTGCAAGGGGCAAAATGTTCTCATAAAGGCAAGATTCAGGTGCTGCTTGCTGAAGCACTCCACAGACACACCCTGTCTGTCCCAATGGCTTGTGACTGCCACACAGCAACAATGAACACAATATACTCTCACTCTCACTCTCAGAGCAAGTATCTTCCCCTTATGAGAGAATGAATTCAGGCAATTCTTTACAAAAATGACAGCATTTGTTCCAAAGCACCAACAGTATAACGCTTTTTAGAAAATACACAGAAATAAACAGACTAAACATGGGAATTAGTTCTTAATGGTGGAATCTGTTACTACTGTATCTAGCGTAATAATAACTTCGGATAGATTACAATCAAAATGCTTATCAAATAGACTGTGCTGTGTGAGGGAATGTCTGACCAAAGAGTATTCTCACAGGCACTTTGGGTGCTGGCTGGTAAGCGCTCACAGGGATTCTTCTCAGTGCCAGAGAAGCTGAGCATCACATGTATTTGTAAAATCCTTCTCCAGACTTCTTGCCAAGCTTCTTCTCTGCCATCAGCTTTTTCAAGGATGGGCTGGGCTGAAATATGGGGTTCTTTGTATCTATTTCATGCCATCCATCCATGATGAACTGCACAGAATCCAGCCCAACGTAATCTAGAAGCTCAAGTGAGCCCATGGGGTACCTGGCTCCTAACTACATAGCAGTGTCAGTGTTCTCCTTGGATACATCACCTCATTCATGCAGCCTGACTGCTTCCATGAGGTGTTGAATCCTGAGACAGCTGACAATAAACCCAGGAGTGTCCTTGCAAGGAACAGGATGCTTTCCCAGGGTTTTGCTCAAGTTTACCAAAGATTCAAATGTCTTTCGGGTGGTCACTGGTGTTTTAAAGACCTCTACAAATTTCATCAGGGGCACTGGGTTGAGTAAATGGAGGCCAGCAAATCGGTCTTGTTTGGTGGTAGCATTGGCTATGCTTGTAATTTGCAAAGAGGAAGTGCTGCTGGCAAACTTGTATGTTCAGCAACAAACTTGTCCAACCTCTTGGAGAGCTTGATTTTCACCTTTAGATTTTCTACAATGGCCTCTACCACTAGGTCTGTGCTGTGGACTACGGATATTGCATCTGTGCTGGTTGATATGCTGCTTAGGGTTTTCTCCACAAATTCATCAAAAGCCTTAGGGTTTTCTACAAACAACTTCTTTGTCACTTTCCTAAGGCTTTTCTCAATTCCCTCTTTATATTTTGCCAAGATGTCCTCTGTCTGGTCTAGCAACACTACTGTGTGGCCGGTCACTGCAGCAACCTGTGTGATGCTGATGACCATCATGTGCTTGATGATGATTTTTCTTGCCCAAGGTTGTGGACAAGGAAGACAAAGAGTGCATGAACTGCCTGGTGATGAAAGCCATGGTGCAGTGGCGGCGGCGACTGCAACAAGACCCAGGCAGGAAAGGCGCGTGTGGTGTTGGGACCAGCAGACGGGCAGCCTCTGAGGCCATTTTCTATTTTTGAATAAAATGATACTACTAATTTTATCTGCAAATAAGTTTTGTTCAAATGACAATGTATGCTCAACATTAATATTTTTCTAATTTTTTAAATTGATGATTGTTGATAATTGATAATGACAGGCATTGAACTTCCTGTTTTGCTGATTTTTAACTTTTACAAAAATTTTAATTAAATAGTATCAGTCTGGTATTTTGGTATTAGATTTTAAAAAACAAAATTTCAGTACCATAATTGTGCTGTGGTATCATAACTATTACATTTATGGAACATGCTAACTACTCATCTTCTAAATCTTTCAAGATTTACATCTCAAGTCATATTACCAGAATGTTATTGATATAAAGTAGTAGGGAAGAGGGGGAAAACATCAGCAATAAAGCAGATAAAAATTTAAGCAACAGAGATGGCTTGAGAAAGCATATTGTGTTTTCTCTAAATCAAACTATAGGGTGAAGCTAGATAAAGCTTTCTTATCCAGGGGGGCTACACAAAAGAAATAATAAATTTTAGGAAGCATGTGTTTAAAAATTAAAAAAACTTAGTCTAATCCTACTTTCTCACAAAGAAATGTCACAAAAATACCATGTAACATTTCCCTTTATTCAAATTTAAAGATGATACAATAAATAAATTAGCAGTCATGGGCCAAACATATATAATATATAATACAATGTAAGCAATAGTATCACAGAAAGAACATTTAGATATCTTGTTTGCTAGAAACATTTCAGAAACTTTCCCCAGTTTCAACAAATCATTGATAAACTATTTTTTACTGCAGAAAATATTCTAGGAGACTCTCACTTGTCCCTTCCAACACCAAGTTTAGCCTCTATCCAAAAGTTCAATGCTATTTTTACATTTATTTGGAGTCCTCAAGTCTGAAGTCAGAGTGACTCACAACTCCTATATACTTGATTCAAATTTCTTGTGTTATAGAAACAGAGGTATCTGTGAATACCAGATACTAGATTTAACCCAAAGACAATCTGAAATAGAGGAGGTATACTATAATAGATCAACGAGAAGAAGCTCTTACATTCTATCCTTACCAGGACAAATCAAACTCTTAGCTTCTACCCCTATAAAATAATTAATTCCGTTAAAAACACATTGACTTCAGATCCCTTTTGTAGGTTGTGACTTGGCTCGCAGTCCATCATAGCAAAACTTATTTTTACCTTATACTTGCTTATATTAAATGAAAACTATTTACTTTTACTTTTGTTTGCTCATATGCTATAAAACAAAATTTTTTATATTTAAAAAAATAATAATAGTCATAATAGTGGCTAATGCTAAAAAGGTGTAGCCAGAAAAAAAGGAAATAAAAAACATTCGGAATCACACCATGAAGACATTTAAATTCACTTACTTTGTCTTCTTAAAAATAATGGATTCTGTTGGTAAGGATGGGGAGAAATTGGAATCCTTGCACATTGCTTGTGGGAATGAAAGATGATATGGCTGCTCTTGAAAAACTTGACATATCTTCAAAAAGCTAAAACAGAGAATTACCACTTGACCTAACAATTCCACCCAAAGAAATAAAAATAGGAATGCAAACAAAAACCTCTACACAAATGGGCTGATGTTCATAGCAGCACTGTTCACAAGAGTCAAATGGAGGAAACAACCCAAATGACCATAAGTGGATGAATGGATAAACAAAATGTGATATATTATTAAAATGAAATATTATTCAACCATAAAAAGGAATGCAGTATCAACAAATGCTACAATATGGATAAACCTTGAAAACTTTATGCTAAGTGAAAGAAGGCAGACATAAAAGGTCACATATTGTATGACTCCCTGTATACAAAATCTCCAGAATAGCTATATCCAGAGAGATAGAAAGCAGATGAGTGGTTGGTTGGGGTTGCGGAAATGAAGAGTGACTGCTTAATGCATATTCCTTTTGGATGATGAAAAATGTTCTTGAACTAGATAGAGGTGATGGCTACATAACACTGTAAAGTTACTAAATGCTACTGAATCATACACTTTATGTGGTTAATTTTTATGTTATTAATTTTACTTAATAAAAAATAATTAGGATCATAAAATTAAGAAAAAACTTCCTTTAGATACTACTAGTGCCTAATCAACAGATTGCAAACTATCAATTCTGTTTCTCTCTGTAATCCAAGTTGCCTTTGAAATAGTCATTGTTCTTAGTACTTGCCTGCTCTTATGAATTTTAGAGACTCTACTTTTCATGAAAGGAAATTAACCAAAGACCCGTGTTTCTCAACCAGGTACTGACATTTAGGATGGCACCCTGCTTTACTTTATGGGTTTATCAAATGCATTATAAGATGTTTGGAATCATACAGTGGTGTTCACTAAATGCCAGCAGTGCTTCCTAGACATTCTGACAGCTAAAATTGCCCCACATTATTTCCACTTGTTTCTAGTTGAGAGCCACTGCTCTAGAACAAAATGACATATGCTATGTATTGTGTTACATTATAAGAAGTTCCCTAATATACGCAACTCAATGCTCTACAAATGAGTCATTTCAAAAGCTCACACGTTTTTATGTATGGAAAGTAAACATCTTGCTTTTGACATAGGATGCTATAAAGATTTATTGATTTTATTGTTGTTCTAAACATAAAATCTAATTTCAGCCAGAAGAATGAACTTTATCATAAGGTAACTTGTGCCTGATATTTGATTACTAGATCATATTACACAAATGAATTTTCAACTTCTATTAATAACATTATTTCATTCATATATTTTCTTTGCTTTTTAAAAAATATTATCAGGTTCCAAATATATAGGAAAGTTATAAAGAATAATATAACACCCATGTACCTGCTAGCCAGTTTGAACAAACTTCAACTTTTTCCTTTTTTCTTTAAGGAAGAAAACTTTACAGATAAAGTCCCCATGGGATCTTTTCCTATCTCATTCCACCATTCCTTTCTCAGTGGTGACCGCTATCCAGAAGTTGTTATTATTCCCATGAATGTATATACATTTACTACAAATGCTGACTATCTCCATAAACAATACAATAGTTTTGTTTACTTCACAGGCATGAAGTTCTGCGGCATGTATCACTCTTTTTTTTAAAAAAATTTACTTAATAGGCATTAGAAGTTTATCTATTTTGATACATTCTAGTTTACCCATTTTAACTGTTACATAGAAGTGTGGATTCAATTGTGTGTCCAGACCCCTCCCCAAATTTGTATGTTGAAGCCCTAACCCCCAAGTGCTGTATCTGATGGAACGGATACAGCACTCGGAAGGAATCAACCCTGCTGGCACCTTGATCTTCGACCTCAAGCCACCAGAACTGGTAAAAATAAAATAAAATAAAATAAATTTCTATTAAGCCATCAAGTCTGTGGTACTTTGTTATGGTTGCCCTAGCAAACTAATATGCACGGTATTCCATTGCTTTATTTATTCTTTAATAATGGGCTCTTAACGGTATTTCCAGCTCTGTACTGTAACATACAACATTGCAACAAATGTTTGGTATGGAGATCTTGTTATTCATATTGCAGGACTTTTTCTTGGACACATACACAAATATTCGCACACACACTACAGTATGTTGATCTTCAACTTTCTAATTATTGCCAAATTGCCTTTCAAGGTAATTTTGGCCAATCTATACTCCATCAGCTGTGTATAAGACTGATTTCTCTCTATCCTCTCCAAAATTGGTAATGACAGACTTCTGCCAATCGGATGGGTATGAAATATTTTGTTTTAAAATGCATTTTTTTTAATCAGTGATGTTGAACACCTTAATGTATTTGCTGATCACTAAGTTTTCTTCTGTGAATTGCCTACTCATATCCTTTACCCCTTTTTCTGCATGGTGGTTTTTATTATTTTATTTACTAATAGAAGCTCTTTTTATACTTTAGATACTAATCTTTTGTCAACTACTTGAGTTACATCGCCATCAGCGGCATGTTGCTTTTTTTAAACAGTGTTCATTGTCCAAGGAAAATTTTTATTTTAATATAGTCAAATATTTTTCTTTATGAAAAGTGCTTTTGACATGTTTTTAAAAATCTTCCTTACCGTGAGCTCCCAAAGTTATTTTATTTTCTTCTAAACTTTTGCTTTTCACATTTGGGGGCTGAGTTTTTCTGGATTCCATGTGTGATGTGATAGTTTTTTTTTCATATAGATAATGAAATGTCCCAGTGGGCCATCCCTTCCCTTGCACACAAGGCCTATGTCTTGTTAACCTGCTTCCTAAGTCTAGCACTTTGCCTGGTACACGTTAGGCAATTATAAACATGTGACCAATAAAAGGAAGGATGGAAGAAAGAGAAGGGAGAGAAAGGGAAGCAAAGTAGGGATAGGAGTGTGGAAAAAAAGTATTTGGATCATGGTCTTTGATACAAACTATATATTTGAACCACAGAAGTCAAAGGGTATTAAAACAGATTCAAGGGGTGGACTGCAGGAAGATGGGCTTTCCAGGATTCTGGAATGCTAGAGGTAAATATACCACTTAAGTGCATCTGGGCACTGACTCTGCTTTCTCTCCCCCAGGATGAGAATATGGTCTTGCTAGTGCTGAATTAGTTCAAAATCCAGAAAATTGTGATGTTATAAATATCATTTATTAAGTCTTTGCAGAATGTTCAAGAAAGCCTAGGTACAAAAAGGCAATGATATATTCAGAACTTGATACAGCAATGCTAGCTGAACCTTTCTCGTAGGGACGGTGGCTATATGTACCACAGGAAACCTAAAGAGATGGGAAAAACTTTTTTAGATATACTGTATTTGCTGCTATTCAGAATAGTCACTTGGTTTCTACATTCTTAACTAAATAATTTAGGAGCATACAACAGGTGGGTAATAGCCTCTTCCCAACAATCCCTAACCTGAAGTTCAAAGGTGGAATGCTGTAGTGGAGGCAGTATAAAAAAGAAAAAAAAGAATGGGACCTAGAATGACTTTTGCCTCAGACGCCCTCAAAAGAAAAACATCTCTCCCTAGAGCAACGTATGTCTAGTTCAGTATAGTCAAGGAAATATGTTCCATTAGAGTAAAAGGGACTCAGCCTCCCAATGTAAGTACGCAACACCACCTACAAAGTATTCTTGCTGAAATATTGAAACATATCTCTATTTAACTACCAATTTATAGTAATAAAGGGGAAGAGGAATATGCTACATAGCACCATGAAGATAAAATCAGCAAATCCAGACTGTGGGAAACTCCATAGGACAAAGGATCCAATTTCTTCAACAAATAAAAAACTTCAAGAAAAAATTTTTTAAAGGGATCTACAGTTTGAGAGATATCCACCAGTAGCCATAAGGACACTGATTCAAACAAACTGTAAATGTGATATGATGTCTGGGATTCCCTTCAAAATAACCAATGAAGACTTACAGATAAATAAGATTAGCTATGAAACTAATTGTTAAAGTTGAATAATAAAGACCTGAGAGTTCATTGTCTTTTCTCTCCTTTTGTATACATTCGAAATTTTTTACAATGAAAAGTTAAAAGAGGGGACTGGGTGTGGTGGCTCAGGCCTGTAACCCAGCACTTTGGGAGGCCAAGATGGAAGGATCACTTGAGGCCAGGAGTTCAAGACCAGCCTGTTCAACATAGCAAGACCCCATCTCTGACAAAGAAAAAAAAAAAAGTTAAAAGAGAGGAAGGACTTAGCAGATCCTTTTAAAAGGAAAAGCAAATAAACCATGTAGGACCTACAGCTAAGAGACTGCAGTCTGACACCTAAAAACCTTCTGATGTTGATTTAAACTGTGAAAAACTTAAAATTTACAAGAGAAGGCTGTAAATCAAAGATTCAACCACTATAACCAGTCTACTGAGTGACTGTTAATCAGTATTTACTTAAGTTACCACTGAGTGATACTGAAAGAATATTATTTGAAAGTGTAGGATATAATGACTCATTTTTGCTTTCTAATGAGTTATTTTCCTTTTTTGCTGTCCTTCCACGTATAGGTATCTTTCCTTACGTGATTGCTGGTTGCTCCAAATGCTGAATTTTACCATTGTAATATTTAAAAATAGCTAATTTGCTCTAACAGGATTGTAAAAATATGTATTTTGGGGAGGCAGAGTACTGAACAAATTGTGCTGCTCTCTTTAGCCTCAATCTATATGCCTTCCCTGTTTTCTTTAATGCAAGCATTTTCAGGTTGATATTAATATTAAAAGCTCAAAGAGTCAACAGGATTCAAATATGTCAAATAACAGGAAAGCATTTGCACATATAATATACTCCTTAAAGTTAAGAAGATCTTCAAATAAATTTATTTAGTAAGAAACACCATGGTAAATATAGCAGGAACCAAAAACATGGTCTTGACAGGAAGAATTCCAATTCTGCAACTACTAGCTATATGCCCTTGACTTAGAAGAATCATTTTTCCCGAGGCATACTACATCTCGAGTTTTTAAAATAAAGATTCAACATTTACATAAAAAGCCATATTGTAATAACAAGCATGTAATAGGTTCTTAATAAATGCTACATTAAAACTAAATCTAGTCTAACCCTTTCATTTACAAATTAGGATAAAAAATGACTTGTACAAGGTCACACACTGATTTTTATTTGGCTCCATTATCCAGTTAAAAATGCTATGATTATGTCTGATAATAATGCCTCCACTTTACACTGGGATTTTAATCAAGAAGAATATTTTGTGCCCCAGTCTTACCATTTTGGAACTTCCTCTGTCATAGAAACATTATATATTGTCAGTAAATAAGCTGAATTAAAGGTCAGTGCCCTCTAGTGCTGAACCTTCAGAGGTAGGTGCAGGTTCCAAATACAGGCAAATTTACCTAGTCTACAGAACAGGAAACAATCTCCATAAAAATAATGAAATGAAAACATGAGATAGCTACATGCACAGCGACCCATCTGTAAGGATGACTGTTCTCTCTGGGAGATGAGATTTTAAGCCTTTACTTTCTTTTCAAACATTTAAAAAGCTTTTAAAACTTTTTGTTATTGTTTAAGTTTTTATAACATATAAAACATTTAAAAAGAAGCTAAAACACAGGGCAAGATAACATCACTGGATTGCACAGTGGGGAAAACAACTCTTCTTCTCCTACTGCATAGTTTCAGAGGAAGTTACAAACCATGCAGCTTAGTATCTAATGTTACATTAAGAAAAAGTCGTAAAAGTGCTGTAATCCCAGCACTTTGGGAGGCCGAGGTGGGCGGATCACGAGGTCAGGAGATCGAGACCATCCTAGCCAACATGGTAAAACCCTGTCTCTACTAAAAATACAAAAATTAGCTGGGTGTGGTGGTGCATGCCTGTAATCCCAGCTACTCGGGAGGCTGAGGCAGGAGAAATGCTTGAATGAGGGAGTCGGAGGTTGCAGTGAGCAGAGGTCGCACCACTGCACTCCAGCCTGGCAAGCCTCGCCGTCTCAAAAAGAAAAAAAAAGAAAAAGTTGTGTCAGAGATAAGGCAGATCTTTAAATTGAGAAAAACAAGAGGATAAATGTGACTTCAATTTTTTGAATGTACTTTAGGTGCCACTAATAGGTGACATGCTATGTATGTACAAGTCTTTTTTTTTTTAACTGAAAAGCATTAAACCAGCCCATGGTATTAGGTGCTTAAATGATTATAAAAAAGAAAACCAAAATGGAAATGGTTTAGAGAGCTGAAGTTAAAATGAGAATTCCATTAAGGTGGCATATCCAGGTAATGGTGCTTAATGGGAAGACTACGGACTATACCAGTGTCTCATATAAATTAATATGAGAACATTTCTTAAAACTGTAGCTAAAATGGCCTACAGGTATACTTGTAAGACATGACTTATTACTCTTTTCTAGAGTTAAGAGTTTATTAGGGCAGTAAAGGGTTCAGTATCCCAAATCTGGTCCAAAAAATAAAGTCGCCAAGTTCAATGTCCTGTAGTCCTCCACTTAAACCCAAGAATCACAGAACTTTTCTTATCACAAAAGGCAAAACAATTCGAAAACCAATTTGATAGTTAATATTAAAATTCTCTTCCACAAGGCAGTAATAGAACCAAAGGAAAGAAAATCCAGCCTAAAAGCATTTCAATCTATAAAGGAGAAGGCTATCTAAGGAGATCAAAAAATTACGAAGTAATCTCCTCAATGTTCAAATGATGCTCTAGAGAGGAAGATACCAAAACTGATATATTTTTAAAGATAGAAGAGTTATTAGTGGAAATAGGTAAAATAATTTATTAAGGATATAGTTAGATACGTCTAGATTTTTCATTTTCCTTCCTGTGCCTAAAGCATAATTCTATGTAGGAATGTCTGGTAGTAGTCTCTTTTTGGGCTACTTCAAAGCGATGTATGGATAAGAAATCATTTGTTTTTTGGCCAAAAGTTTAAAAAACACTGGCCGGGCGTGGTGGCTCATGCCTGTAATCCCAGCACTTTGGGAGGCCGAGATGGGCAGATCACGAGGTCAGGAGATTGAGACCATCCTGGCTAACACGGTGAAACCCCGTCTCTACTAAAAATACAAAAAAATTAGCTGGGCACGGTGGCGGGCGCCTATAGTCCCAGCTACTTGGGAGGCTGAGGCAGGAGAGTGGCATGAACCTGGGAGGCAGAGCTTGCAGTGAGCTGAGATCGCGTCACTGCACTCCAGCCTGGGCGACAGAGCGAGACTCTGTCTCAAAAAACAAAACAAAACAAAACAAAACAAAAACCACACAGCCACACAGAAAAACTGCCAAGTAACACAATTTTTCCCCAGACCAGAAAGCTTTATAAAAACCTAGATAATCAGGCTTAGTCTCTGAAACCTATCACTTCGCGGGAGAAGTGCCTACAGTCTCACTATCCAATAGAAATATAATACAAACCATAGAAATCTTAAATTACCTAGTACATTAAGAAGTAAAAAACAGATATTACATTTAGTAAAATATTTTAGTGTGTCAAAATATTAACATTTTGATATGCAATGAATATAAATATTGAGGTACTTAAGATCTTTTTCATACTAAGTCTTTGAAATCCAATGTGTATTTTATACTTACAACACATCTCAATTTGATTTAGCCACATTTCAAGTATTCAACAGCCACATGCAACTAGTGGCTACTGTACTGGACAGTGTATGTCTATGGCACAGCATGTCTCATGAGCTATACTTAAAAGTTTGGGCCAGCAGCTATAGCTCACACCTGTAATCCCAACACTTTGGGAGGCTAAGGCAGGAGGATTGCTTGAAGCCAGGAGTTTGAAACCAACTTCGACAACACAGCGAGACCCTACCTCTACAAAAAAAATAAAATAAAATAAACGAGCCAGGTGTGGTGATGTGTGCTTATAGATCCAGCTATGTGGGATGCTGAGACAGGAGGATGGCTTGAGCCAAGGAGTCTGAGGCTGCAGTGAGCTATCATTGTGCCACTGCACTCCAGTCTGGGCGACAGGGCAAGACCTTGTCTCTAAAAAAGAAAAAGAAAGTATAATGACTGTCTCAGAGGTGAGCATACAGAGACAAAAGAGGTCATCTGTTATTCTGACAGGGCTTACATCCAAAATGTACATAAAACTGCCAATCTCTTGGGTAGAGTGCCATCAATCATGATACATGCAGATTAATTCCTTTCTAGATTTTACTAGGACAGCAAAGTGATCAGTATCTCAATATCTGCCCTCCCCCCACCAAAAAAAAGTGACTAAGCTAATATCTTATTGCTCTTCACTTAAAACCAAGAATCACAGGCACAGATCATAAGGCATTTATGTATTACAGTCAGTAAGGGATTATAATAGAACATGGGCAGGAGTAAGTTGTCAAGTATAAAAGGTATCTGAAAACGTGAGAAGCCAACCATATGACAACCTGGAACAGATAGAAAACTGCAAAGTTAGTACAGATTAGTGACATATTGCCCGTATTCTAGAAGTACACTTTGCGAAGACACTTCTTCCTAATATCTGTAGGTAACCCACAGAGAAAGTGGCTAATGTTCAGGTAAATTTAGGAATTGCTGGGTTAAATAAAATGAGCCAGGATTTTAATATTGTTTAAAATTGGATTTTAATTTAAGGATTAAGTTCCCCTATCCTTATAATACAAGACTGATCATGAAACTCTCAGAGATGTGTGAACCAGAGCAACTCCATCTTAAATAGGAGCTGGGTAAAATGAGGCTGAAACCTACTGGGCTGCATTCCCAGACATTAAGGCATTCTAAGTCACAGTATGAGATGGGAGGTCAGCACAAGATACAGGTCATAAAGACCTTGCTGATAAAACAGTGTGCAGTAAAGAAGCCGGCCAAAACCCACCAAAACCAAAATGGCCACGAGAGTGACCTCTGGTCATCCTCACTGCCACACTCCCACCCACACCATGACAGTTTACAAATGCCACGGCAATGTCAGGAAGTTACCCTATATGGTCTAAAAAGGGAAGCATGAATAATCCACCCCTTATTTAGCATATCATCAAGAAATAACCACAAATATAGGCAACCAGCAGTCCTCAGGGCGTCTCTGTCTATACAGAAGCTATTATTTCATTCCTTTACTTTCTTAATAAACTTGCTTTCACTTTACTCTATGGTCCTGCCCTGAATTATTTCTTGCATTTAATCCAATAACCCTCTCTTGGGGTCTGATTGGGACCTCTTTTCTGTAACAAAACCTTTTTTTTTTTTTTTTTTGAGATGGACTCTCACTCTGTTGCCCCAGGCTGGAGTGCAGTGGCCCAATCGTGGCTCATTGTAACTTCTACCTCCCGGGTTCAGGTGATTCTCCTGCCTCAGCCTCCGAGTAGCTGGGATTACAGGTGCGTACCACCACGCTTGGCTAATTTTGTATTTTTAATAGAGATGGGGTTTCACCATGTTGCCTAGGCTGGTCTCGAACTCCTGGCCTCAAGTGATCTGTCCACCTTGGCCTCCCAAAGTGTTGGGATTATGGGCATAAGCCACCGAGCCTGGCCTGATCACGAACCTTAATATGCTAACATACGTTGTATCTATTTGAGAGTGGGTTGAAGAGCTATCCCATACATCATTTCCCAAACTAATGAAAAAAACACTTTATTTTCATGGATCATCTTGAGAAACTATTAGACCATGTTGGGGAATGCTGATTTAAAAGCACAGGTAAGGCTACTCCTACAAACCCAGGGAAAATCAGTGCCAGAGTATTTGTAAGCAATATGAGAATATTGTAGGCTAAAGCTTTGAGGGTCTAGATCCTTACAATATTTTAATGTAAAGTCTAATAACTAAATGATCAGGAACACCTTTTTGATTTGATCAAAACCAAAAGGTAATGATCTATGGAGCTATACTATCTACCCATACCTACATTCAAGTAATAATGGCAATGGAATATAGTATGAGTGTAATTAAAATCTTACCCCAAATAATCTTATTTTAGTCTTATGCTCTTAAGACCAAAAAAGGAACTTAATGAAATCAAATGCGAGTCAGGGTCATGCACCTTACTCTAAACCTGCTACAGTTCAAACTAGGCGTGCTCAATAATCTGTGAACCTCAAAGCACAAAGTTTAAAGAAGTAACTGACCAATGAGAATAAGTAGTATACACAGAAACATCTAAAACGATCATATTGTCTAGAACCAAAAGGCACCTGAATGCCTATAAAGGCATCTATTAAGACAATAAAGGCAAAAGAAGAGTATTTTCCCCTAAGAAAGAAGAGTTTTCTATGGCTTGTGGAGAGCATTTCAAAAATTTAAGACAAAGCACATACTCCAAAAAATATTGTCTAATTTCTCCAAATCCCTGGTCTGAATTAAATGCTCTTTCTACATCACCAAAGGAGAGAGAACATAAAATGAAGTTGTGAGTAACACTTTAGTTTTCAGAGCAGATAGCTGTAATTGCCAGTAGCAGGAAACTCAAGTTTTGCCAATTCCAGTGGGTAGGAAAAGGCTGTCTTAATTTGCCTTTCCCTGAGAACTAACAAGTCTGAACAAGTTTCTCTAGGTTTTTGAACACATTTCCTTTCCATGAAATGCCTGATTATGCTTTTTGCCCAAATTTTGTTTCTCTCTTAGAAATCTGTAAAATGTCTTTATCTCAAATACTAACCTTCTTTCAGTTATATTGCAACTATCTTCTCTCACTTCTCCTCCCAGAGTGATTTTACCCTTTCACTCTCATTATGTTGACACAAGTTTGACTAACAAAACTTTAAAATTGAATGTAAATGCCCAGATGTTTTCACTAGAGATTTCTACTAAACATTTAAGAACTAACACCAATTCTACACATTCCTTTACAGAAAACAGAAGATGAGAGAAAACTTCCCAATTCATTTTATGAAGCTAGTCACTACCCTGCTATTAGCAGAGGGACAGAAACATATATTAGTGAAGCATGACTAAGAACCTGGAAATAAACTCACTCAAATATGCTCAAGTGAGTTTTGACAGAAGTGAAAGTTATTAAATGGAGGAAAGACAGCTTTTCCAACAAATGGTGCTAAAGCAATCAGACACTCACAGGTTAAAAAAAGAGATACCACCCCACATCCATTAGGATAGCTACTATTAAAAATAAAAATTATATAAAAACCCAGAAAATTAACAAGTGTTAGTAAAGATGTGAAGAAAGTGGAATCCTTGTGTACTGCTGGTAGGGATGGAAAATGGTGTAGCTGTTATGGAAAACAGTATGGTGGTTCATCAAAATATTAAAATTACCATATGATCCAGCAGTTCCACTTCTGAGTATGTATCAAAAAGAATAAATGCACAGACTAGAACAGACCTTTGTACACTAATGTTGAGAGCAGCACTATTCACAATAACCAAAAAGTGGAAGCAATGCATGTGTCTATTGATGGATAAATGGACAAAAAAAAATGATACACATATACAATAGAATATTATTCATCAGACATAAAAAAGAAAAACATTGTGATGCATGCTACAATATAAATGAATCTTGAAGACATTATGCTAAGTAAAATAAGCCAGTCACAGAAAAACAATAACAAATGCTGGCAAGGATGGGGAGAAAAGAGAAACCACATACACTGTTAGGGGGACACAGTGGCTGGTGCACAATCATGATGGAGAATAGTTTGGAGGCTCCTCAAAAAACTAAAAATAGAGATTCCATATTATCCAGCAATCCCACTGCTAGCTATATAGCCCAAAGAAAGGAATCAGTATGTCAAAGAGATATCTGCACTCCCATGTTTACTGCAGCACTATTAACAATGGTCAAGATATGGAATCAACCTAAGTGTCCATCAACAGATGAATGGATAATGTGGTACATATACACAATGGAGTATTATTCAGCCATAAAAAAGAACAACATCCTGTCATTGCAGTAATATAGATGGAACTAGAGGTCATTATTTTAAGTGAAATAAGCCATGTACAGAAAAAAAAAACAGTACATGTTCTCACTTACTTGTGGAAGGTAAAAATTAAAACAACTGAATTCATGGGGAGAAAGTGAGAGAGAGAGAAGAAGGATGGCTACCAGAGGCTTGAAGGTTGGGGTTGGGGGTGGGGTGTGGGGAAGTGGGGATGGTTAATAGTTACAAAAAAAAAATAGAATAAGACCTAGCATTTGCTAGCACAACAGGGTGATTACAGTAAAAAATAACTGAACATTTAAAAATCACTAAAGTATGACTGGGCTGTATGTAACACAAAGGATAAATGCATGAGATGATGGATACCCCATTTACTCTGATGTGATTATTACACTTTGCATTCCTGTATCAAAATATCTCATGTTACCCATAAATACATACATGTACTATTAAAATAACTATGTCAAATTAAAAATTAAAAAAGACCCCAAACTAGACAAACACTGTAAGATTTCACTTTCATGAGGTACCTAGAGTAGTGAAATTCTGAGATAGAAAGTAGAACTGTGGGTATCAGAGACTAGAAGGAGGAGGAAATGGGGGGGTATTGTTTAATGGGTACAGAGTTTCAATTCTGCAAGATGAAAAGAGTTCTGTGGATGGCTAGTGTTGATGGCTACAATCAATGTGACTGTACTTAATGCTACTGAACTGTTCTCTTAAAAATGACTAAAGTGGTAAATTTTATCTTAGTTGCATTTTACTATAATTAAAACAAATTTTTAAAAAATTAACATCAAGCTAAGCCTCATACCTTACAGAAAAATTAACTCAAAATGGATCACAGACTTAAATGTAAAACATAGAAATACAAAACATTTGAGAAAAAAAGCAATAAACTCTTTCAGATCTAGGGCAAAGCAAAGTTCTTAGACTTGGCACCAAACATATTATCCATAGAAAGAAAAACTGATAAATTGGACTTGTGCTCTACAAAAGACTGTTAAGCAGATTAATTTTTTAAAAAGAGCTAGGACTTCTGGTTTCTGGTCCAGCATGTAAGAAGCTGTAAGTCAACACTAAGCCCTACAAGATAAAAAGCCGAAAAAAACTGAAAAATCAACAACTCTTCTTAGGATTTGTCAGAGTGGTAAGATCAGGGGTCAAATCACAAACCCCCCAAATGGGAAAGACCAATAGGAAAATGCAGAGAATTGTAGCTTGCTGGAGCAGAAACCCACAAGCCACAAACCTGCATGAGAATCTGTACCAAAGGAGGTAAACAAACTATAACTGATGAATTACAAGAGGCTCAGAATGAACAAGTCTGAGATAAACTCCAGGGAAATCCAGTAATCAAGCATCTCCACACTTTTACCTCCAAGAGCTTGACCAGGTTTTCCCAGTGAATATTTAAGAAAAACCTCCTCTGAATATTGGAGATAACTTTCATGCCTTAGACAAGGGAAGGAGAAAAGGAATCATTGTGAAATATGCCAAAGCATTCTGTTCCTAATAACGCTACCCTCAGGAGAAATTAAATCAACCAGAGCCTATCCTGCTGGAGCTTCATCAGAGCATAACTGACCTGGGCAAAAGGCAAAACCCAACTCCAGACCAGTCTAGCCATCCTGTTCCAAGTAAGGGGGCACTGGAGAGACTGAGAAGCACTTGTGAAGTTTACAGGGCAGAGGTACAGGCTTTCCAAAAGACTGAGACCTCAAGATAACATTATAGAATGCTCCCCCACATACCTTACTACCACATTACTAAAGGCCTATTTACAGCAGATCCTTTTATTCAGTAACTCGCACCTGGTTATTAAGAAAAAGTTATAAGGCAGTAAAAGGCAAAATCCAGTTTCAAGAGCACAGCAAACAGCAAAAACATAGTCCAATGTGGCAGGGATGTTGCAATTATCAGACCAGGAATTTAAAATGATTATGATTAAGATGCTAAGGGTTCTAATGGATAAAGTACACAGACTGCAAGAACAGATGGGCAATATAAATAAATAGAAATTATAAGAACTAAAAAGAAATGTCAAGAGATTAGAAACACTACCAGAAATGTTTGATGGACTTAATGGTAGGCTGGACACAGCTGAGGTTAGAATCTCAGCTTGAGGTTTAACTTGGTAGAAACCACCAAATTTGAAAAGCAAGGAGAAAAAAGACTGAAAAAACAAAAGAAAACAAAACCCAGAACAGAGTATCCAAGAACTGTGGGATAACTACAAAGGGTGTAACATATGTGTAATGGAAATTCCAGAAGGATAGGAAAAAGAGTAATACATGAAATTTCTGAAACAATAATGACAAAAGAATTTCCCCAAACTAATGTCAGACACCAAACCACAGATCTAGGAAGCTCAGAGAACGTCAACCAACATCAATGTCAAAAGCAAAACAAAACAAACAAAAAAACTATACTTAGGCATATAATTCTCAAAACTACAGAAAATCAAAGATAGAGAAAAAATCTTGAAAGAAGCTAGAGGAAAAACATACCATACCTATACAGGAGCCAAGATAAGAATTATATCTGATTCTCATAAACCATGCAAGAAGGAGAGTGGAGTGAAACACTCGAGAGTGTCAAGAGAAAAAAAAAAAACCCAACCTAGAATACTAACACCTGCAAAATGTTCTTTCAAAAGTGAAGAAGAAATATTTTCTCACAAAAACAAAAATCGAGGGAATTTGTTGCCAGTAGACTTGCCTTGCAAGAACTGTAAAAGGAATTCTTTAGAGAGAAGGAAAATAATAAAGGTCAAAATGCAAATCTGTGTAAATAAGGAAAAAGCATCAGAGAAGGAAAAAGTGCAGGTAAAATCAAGTTTTAAATGTTTCTTATTTTTAATTGATCCAACAGATAATTTGTTCAAAACAATCACAGGAACAATGTACTGAATTATGTATGCTCTTATACAGACACATATGCTTCTATATAAACAAAATTAATGACAGTAGTAATATAAGAAACCAGAGGCAGGAATTAGGATTATTTTGTTATTATAATGTATTCACAGTACCTGTGAAGCAGTATGACGTTAACTAAAAGTGGACCTGGATTAGTTGTAAATGTATACTGAAAACTCTAGGGCAAACACTAAAAAACGCAAAGAAAGAAATATAACTAGTATGCCAATAAAAGAGATAAAATAGAATCAAATAAAATGCTCAATCAAAACCACAAAAGGCAAAACAAAAAAGAGAGGAAGACAAAAATAAAAACAAAGAACAAGGACGATAAATAGAAAATAACAAATATGATAAATATTAATCCAACTATATAAATAATTACTTTGAATGTCAATGGTCTAAATGCACCAATTGAAAGACACCACTGTCAGAGTGGATCAAGAAATAAGACCCAATTATATGTCGTCTACAAAAGCCAACTTTATTAAATACAAGGATACATACAGATTAAAAGTATATGGATGGAAAAAGATATGTCATGCTAATACTAGTCAAAAGAAAGTAGGAGTTAACATATTAATTTCAGATAAGGCAGGCTTCAAAGCAAGGGGAGCATTACATAGTGATAAATAGGTGAATGCTTCAAGAAGACGTAACAATCCTAAATGTATATGAACCTAATAATATAACTTCAAAGTATGTAAGGCAAAAACAGAGAACTGCAAGGAGAAACAGAATAGACTATTACACTTGAAGAGTTCTGAAGAGTTCAATATCCCTCTATCTGAAATGAACAGGTCCAACTGGTATGAAATCAGGAAGGACAGAGTTGAACTCAACACCACCACCAATGGGATATAAAGGACTTTTATAGAGCACTTCATCCAAAAACAGCACATTCTTCTCAAGCTCACATGGAACATTCACCAAGACAGATCATATTCTGGGCATTAAAACACATCTTAACAAATTTTTTTAAAAATAGAAATTATAGAGTATCTCCCCTCAGACCACAGAGGAATTAAATCATAAACAAAGATTGCTGAAAAATTCCAAAATACGTGGAAATTAAACAATGCACTTCTAAATAACGCGTAAGTCAAAGAAGAAATTTTGAGAGAAATTGTAAAATACTTTAATTCAAATGAAAACGCAACATGTCAAAATTTGTGAGAAACAACAAAAGCAGTACTTAGAAAGAAATTTATAGCACTGAATACATATATTAGAAAAGAAGACCTAAAATCAATAACCTAAGCTTCCATCGTAGGAAACTAGGAAAAGAAGGCTTAAAAAAGAAAAAGATACACAGATTACTAATGCTGGAAATCAAAGACGGGACATCACTACAGATCCCCTGGCATTAAAAAGATAATAAAGGAATTACATGAACAATTCTATGCCAACAAATGTAATAACATACATTAAATGAACTAGTTCCTGGGTGACACAATCTGCAAAATCAGAAAAGAAATAGAAAATGTGAAAAGGGCTATAGCTGTTAAAGAAAATGAATCAATAATTAATAATCTTTCCAAACCAAAAGCAAAGGGTCTGGATGGGTTCACTGGTAAGTTCTACCAAACATTTAAAAAAGAAAGTATATCAATCCTCTACAGTCCTTTTCAGAAGAGTCACAGAAATATAGCCAACTGATCTTTGACACAGGAGCAAAGGCAATACAACAAAGAAAAAACAGTCTTTTCAACAAATAGTGCTAGAAGTGAATATCCATATGCAAAAACAAAACAAACAAAAACACTAGAGACAGATCATACACTCATCACAAAAATTAACTCAAATGGATTACAGACCTACATGTAAAATGCAAAACTTTATCCTAGAACACAACATAGAAGAAAAACTAGATGACCTTGTGTTTGTGACTTTTTAGATATAACACCAAATGCACTATCCATAAAAGAAAGCATTGATGAGCTGGACTTCATTACAATTAAAAATTTCTGTTTTGCAGAAGACACTGCCAAGAGAAAAGAAAGTTGAGCTACAGATGGAGAAAAAAATATTTACAAAAGACACATCAGATAAAAGACTTACCCAAAATACAGAAAGATTCTTATAATCAACCCCATTAAAAAATGGGACAAAGACCTGAATAGATACTTCACCGAAGATGTACAGATGGCAAATAAGCACATGAAGAGATGCTCCATATCATGAGTCATCAGGAAAATGCAAACTAAAACACCAATGAGATACTAAACATACCTATTAAAATGGCCAAAATCCAAAATACTGACACCACCAAATCCTGACAAGGATGTGGATCAACCAGAGCTCGCATTCACTGCTGGTGGGGATGCAAAATGGAAGACATTTTGGCAGTTTCTCACAAAACTAAATAGATTCCTACCCTATGACCCAGCAATTGCACTTCATGAAATTTACTCAAAGGAGAAAAAAATACATTCATACGAAAACTGGTACACGTTTTTAGTAGATTTATTTGCAACAGTCAAAATTTGGAAGCAACACAAATGTCATCGGTAGGTGAATGGATAAACAGTGGTATATCTATTAATGGAATATGATTCAGTGCTAAAAAGAAATTAGCTATACAAGACATGAAAAGACATCAAAGAAACTGAAATGTATACTACACTAAGTGAAAGAAGCAAATATAAAAAGGGTACATACTGTGTGATTACAACTATTGACATGCAGGGAAAAAGCAAAACTACAGAGACAGTACAAAGATCAGTGGTTGCCAAGGGTTAGAGGGGAGGGAAGAATGTATAGTCAGAGCACAGAGGACTTTTAGGGTAGTAAGCCTACTCTTTATGATACTTTAATGGTGGATACATGTCATTATATATCTGACCAAACCCATAGAATGTGTAACACCCGGAGTGAAGCTTAATGTAAATTATGGACTGTGGGTAATACTGTGTCAATGAAGGTAAACCAGTTTTAACAACTGTACCACTCTAATGTAGGATGTTGATAATGGGGAGGCTATGCATGTTGAGGGCAGAGAATGTATGGGAAATTCTGTATCTTCTGGTTCTTCTTTTGTGTGAATCTGAAACTGCTCTAAGAAATAAAGTTTATTTTTTAAAAAAAGTTAATTAAAGAAGACAAGCTTTAGTGTAAAAAAACATTTCATACGTATATCCAACAAAGAAATATGTTAAAAATAGAGTATGTTAAAAATACTCTCAAAACTCAACAGCAAAAAAAGCAATCAAATTAGAATGTATGCAAAATACTTGAAAAAATATATCACCAAAGAGTATACACAAATAGTACAGATGTTTGTATAAATGGTAAACAACACATGAAAAGATATTTAACATCATTAGCCATTAGGGAAATACAAATACAACCACAATGAGATATCACTGTATACTATATACCTATAAGAACAGCTATTAGAGAGTGTCAATGCCAAATACTGGCAAGGATATTGAAAAACTGGATCACTCAGACATTGTCTGTGGGAATGTAACATGGTACAGACATTCTGGAAAAGTTTTGCTATCCTTTAGGAAATTAAACTTGCAACTACCATATGACCAAGCAATTGTACTCCTTGGTACAGTACATTTGTACATTTCTCCATTTATCCCAGAGAAATGCAGATTATGTTCACATAAAAACCTGTACATAAATGTCTACAGCAGCTTTACTCATAAGGGCCCAAAACTGGAATCAATCCATATATCCTACAATGGGAGAATGGTTAAACTGTGATATATCCATATCATGAAGTACTATTCCATAATAAAGAGGAATAAATTATTGATAGCTAGAACAATCTGGATGAACACCCAGTGAATTATGCTGAGTGAAAAAAGCCCATCCCAAAAGATGACTTATGATCCTATCTACATAACATTCTTGAAGTGACAAAAGCTTTAGAAATGGGGGAACAGATTAGTGACTGCCAATAGTTGAGGGTGAAAGGTAAGAAGTGGGTAGGGATATAGAAGGATACCATGAGGGATATTTGCAGTGACAAAAACGTTTTGTCTTGACCGTATCAATGTTTTGGTTGTGACAGTGTATGACGCTACAGATTTGCAAGATGACACCACTGGGGGACTGGGTAATAAAGGGTACACATGATCTCTCTTTATATTATTTCTTATGACTAGATGTGAACCAACAATTATCCCAAAATAAAAAGTTCAATTAGAAAAAATTAAACATACATATGTAATCATTTCCTTCCTGATATGTGCATTTGTATCCCTCCCTACTCTAAAACTATCTTTTGTCCTGTAAAAACAAGTATATATTTTATTCTAGTATTTTTTAAGATTTTCTTTTACAATCTTTGTCACCTACAATTGATTGTGGATCAAGGGGTAAACTTGGATCCATTTCACTTTTTTTCTATATTGATAGCCCGTGATCTTAGCACCATTATATAGCCCATTGCTGCCATTATCTGAAAGCTCACCTCTGTCTTATATCAAGTATCCATCATGCATGAGTTTTTTTCTAGGCTCAATTCTTTTCCCTCATCTCCAGTTATTTAACCATGTGCAAATACCAAACCGCCATAAATACTGTAATTATAGTAACTCTTGGCATTTGGTATGGCAAGTTCCTAACTTTGTCCTTCTTCTTTAGGAGCACTTTGGCTATTCTAGGCCATTTTTTCTTCCACCAAAAGCTTAAAATCAGACTGTCAGGTTTTTTGAAAAATATTTTGATTAAAATTTCATTGAATTTATAAATATATTAAGAAATAAAAAATCTGCGATATTTATTTCAATGAACATGGAACATGTCTCCATTTATTTATGCCTACATTATTGAAAATCTTTCAATAAGGTTTTAAAATCTCCTATAATAGGTCAGGCGCGGTGGCTCACGCCTGTAATCCCAGCACTTTGGGAGGCCGAGGTGGGCGGATCACGAGGTCAGGAGATCGAGACCATCCTGGTTAACATGGTGAAACCCCGCCTCTACTAAAAATACGAAAAATTAGCCAGGCGCGGTGGCGGGCGCCTGTAGTCCCAGCTACTTGGGAGGCTGAGGCCAGAGAATGGCGTGAACCCGGGAGGAGGAGCTTGCAGTGAGCTGAGATCGCACCACTGCACTCCGGCCTGGGCAAAAGAGCGAGACTCTGTCTCAAAAAAAAAAAAAAAAAAATTCTAGAATAAAGTCTTACATAACTATAGCTACATTTATTTCCAAGAACCTACTTGTTATTGAAAATGTTTAATTACACTATCGATTTTTATTGTATACAGAAATGCAAATGACTTTTGCTACATTATCTTCGTAATTCTGTGTAGATTGAGTTTTCCATGTAGACTAACGTATGGTAAGTTAGCTTCTAATTATTAAGTTTTACTCATTTTTTTAACTTCTGAATATACTAAGAAATCTGTACATTTCTTGTTTCTAATTTTAAAGACAGTGTTTTAACTACAACTTTTTCACTAATACGTACAATTGTCCCTTGGTGGGTATCAAGGTACTAGTTCTATGACTCCCATGGATACCATGATCTGCAGATGCTTACATCTCTTTTATCAAATGGCACAGTATTTGCATATAACCTATGCACACCTTCATGTATGTTAAATCATCTCCAGATTCCTTGTAATCAATACAATGTAAGTGCTATGTAAATAGCTGTATCATGTTTTTAAAATCTGTATTATTATTGTATCATTTTATATTTCTTTTTTCAAATCCAGTTGGTTGAACCCACAGATACAGAGGGCTGACTGTTAAATCTATTGTAGTCTGTAGATACCATTCATCAAGTTAAAGAAGTCCCCTTCTGTTCCTAACTTGCTAAGTGTTTTATCATAAAACAGATATTCAGTGTTATTTATTTTCCTGCATCAATTTAGATAATCAAATAACTTGACTTCCCTCATCTGTTAATGTGGTAAATTATATGAACAGATTTTCTAATGAACCGACTTTGCCCTCCTGTAACAGACTCAAGCTGGCTAGGATGTTATTACCATTTTTATACACTTGTGGCTTCAATTTGCTAATTTTTGTTTTAGATTTTCTGTTCCTATGTTTATGAGTGGGATAGTAAAATTAAAGGTCATTCTTATATTCTATTTGGATACCAAGATTATACCAGCCTCACAAAATGAGTAGGAATGTATATTTGCTATTTATTGCTGTATAATAAACTACTCAAAAACTTAATGGTTTAAACAAACATTTTTTATCTAATAGTTTCTGTGTCAGAAACTTAGGAGTCACTGAGGTGGGTGGGTTCTGTCTAACAGTCTATCCCGAGGTTTCAGTCAGGATATCAGCAGGAGCTGCATTATCATTTCCAAGATGGATCACTCACACTGCAGGAGGCCTTATACCTCATCACAAGAGCCTCTCTGTGGGCTTCTTACCTCATGATGTGGTGGCTGCCTTCTGCCAGAACAAACAATTCAAGAGAGTGAAAATGGAGCTGCAGTGCCTTTTATGAACTATGTTCTGAAGTCCCACACCACCATGTCTGCTTTTCTTCTGTTAGAATTGCATGATTAGGTCCAGCCCACACTCAAGGCAAGGGGAACAGGGCTCCAAAATATCAAGAGATTGTAAACATATTTTTTAACTACCACAGAGAATTCCTTCCTAAGTTCTGAGTTTGTATAAGATTAGAATTATTTGTTCCTAGAATCTTGGGTAGATTTCACTTACAAAACTATGGTGATTTGGTATTTTCTTTGTGGGCAATTTTTAAAGAACTAACTCCATTTCCTTAATAGTTAAAGGGCAATTAAGTTTTCTAATACTGAAGTAATTTAAAGTATTCTTAGAATGCATCCATTGTATTCAAGTTTTAAAATTTATTGGCATCAAGTTGCTTATAATATTCTTATTTTCACCTCTGCTGCATCCATAGTTATGACTCATTTTTATTTCTAATATTATTTGCACCTACTTTTTTCTTGATCTGTCACTTCTGACCCCGGAACATTTAATACAAGTTTGCAAAGAAACCAAATTAGATGCTACTGACCCTATCATACTTTAATTTTCTATTTAATCAATTTCTACCTCTTACCTTCTTTAGGTTAGTTCTGTTCATTTTTTATCTAAAATTCAAAGCTTAACTCATTAATTTTCAACTTTCCCCCCAAGTACAAGCCAGTTAAATCACAAATTTATAAATATCAATTAGCTACAACTACAAGTTCTGATGTGGAATCTTTTCATTATCATCAAATTTTCTACATCTTCTAATTTTTGTCATGATTTCTTCTTTCTTTTTTAAAAAATATAGATAGGGTCTCGCTATGTTGCCCAGACTGGTCTCAAATTCCTGGCTCAAGTGATCCTCCTGTCAGCCTATAGAGTAGCAAGAATTACAGGCACACACCACCATGCGTGGCTCTACGGATATTCTTTGGAGGTATATTTTTAATTGCCAAGTATTTGCAGGTATTTTCCAACAATTTATTAACATAAAAATGGTTAAAACAAAAAAAATTAGAAAGAATAGTACAACCAAAAACTATATGCTTCACCTATATTGACCATTGTCAAATTTATTTTCTTTCTATATAGACACATATGTACTATAATACATTCATTTTGCTGCACTATTTTAATAGTTGTATACATTACAATACCTGACATCTCCTAAGAATAAGAAGACAAATGTATCTACTAAGAATAAGCAAAATCTCCTAAATAACAATTTCATTATGCCATCTAAAAACATTAACAATAATTCCACAATATATCATGCAGTCCACTTTCGCATTTTCCCTAATTATCTCAAGAATGTCTAACAGAGCTTTCACCCCTAGAACCAGATCAAATCTAGGTTCATACACTGTAAGGGGCTGTTACAACTTTTTTTTTTTTTTTTCTACAATACTCCCTTTCTGAAGAGCCCAGGACAGTTGTCTTGAGAATGTCACATACTCTGAATTTGTGTGATTGCTTTCTCTTGATGTCATAAAGGAATGCATGTACTATTATAAAACACACACTTTATAGACTTTATATAGACTTTATAGACTTTATATCCTTCATAATACATGGGCATCTTTTCCACTAAATGTTTTAACTTATGAGTCAGTATCCATACAACTTGAGTACTAGTTATGAAGTCTGACTACACATTAGCTGAAGTGCATGATATGTACAATTTATTTAATTATAGCTTTAATTGTACACAGTTTTAATGATATGCATAGCTGTTATTTGGTAGCAACATATTCAGGCATAAATGCTAAATAACTCATGAAATGACAGTAATCCATATTCTTTCACTCAATCGAGCCAATCTGTCGTGTTTTACCTTTGATTTTTATTAGTTCTCCACCTGGGAGACTGGCGAAAACCCAGCGAGCATTATGTAAGGATATAGTCAGCTCTATCTGTAAATTCTGCATCCATGGATTCAACCAACCACAAATTGAAAACACTCAGGGGGAAAAAAAAGAGATGGTTGTGCCTGTACTGAACACACCCAAACTTTTTTTGGGTCATCATTCCCTAACAATATAGTATAAAAACGATTTGCACAGCATTTACATTGTATTAGGTATTACAAGTAATTTAGAAATGATTTTCTTTTTTTTTTTTTTTTTTTTTTTTTTTGAGACGGAGTCTTGCTCTTGTTGCCCAGGCTGGAGTGCAATGGCGCGTTCTCGGCTCACTGCAACCTCTGCCTCCCGGGTTCAAGCAATTCTCCTGCCTCAGCCTCCCGCCACCATGCCCAAGTAATGTTTTGTATTTTTAGTAGAGATGGGGTTACACCACGTTGGCCAGACTGGTCTTGAACTCCTGACCTCAGGTGATCTGCCCGCCTCAGCCTCCCAAAGTGCTGGGATTACAGGCGTGAGCCACCACACCCAGCCTAGAAACAATTTAAAGTATATAGAAGAATGTATGCAGTTACATGCAAATATTATGTCATTTTACATAAGGAATTTGAACATCCCTGGTTTTGTTACCTATGGGGGTCCTGGAACCAATTCCCCACAGATACAGAGGGACTGCTCGCTGTATGGCATCTAGGCCTCTAGAGGTGAGGAGGCATGGCAGTAGTTATTCTATTAGGAAAAGCGGAAAGCCAACTTTAACAGCATGTGTAGCGAGCAACAAAGAAGGCGATAATCACCTCCATCCAAACCAAGCAAAAAAACTCTCTCAAATAATAATGGTATCATGTATTGAGTGCCAATACATTGTGCTTTATGTACATTACTTGCAAAATGAGGTACAAATACAAATCTAGAAATGAAACCAGGACTGAAATCCATGTCTGTCTTATTACAAACCTACAATTCCCACTACACACCAATATCAGATAACAGAGAGATCGAATTGCACAATTAGAGAATAAATGTATATTACAACAGTGAATAAACAAATGGAAATGAGTGAAGGAATCAAATTAGATAAAAAAGTAGTGAGCAGGATGACACTGGGAGAAAAAGAGTGAAAACATACAAACATTAATACCTTCTGGGGTTTATTATAAAAAGTTAAAGTGTAATAATTTCTTAATTAATTGACAAGACTACAAAATTAACTTTTACTTCTCCCTTTAGTTAAATCAGTTCTTACTTCATATACATTGACACTCCAATATTAGATATAAATAAATATTTAGGATTTTATGTTTTTCTGATGACTGGTACTTTTATCATCAAGATATATCCACTTTATCACTGGCAATAATCTTTATCCTGAAGACTATTTTGTCTGGTATTAATAGAGCCACTCCAGCTTTCTAATGGTTAGTGTTTGCTTAGTACATGTTTTTTCCATCCTTTTATATTTATTGTAAATATTTTTTTAACTTTTATTTTAGATTCAGGGGTACACGTGCAGGTCTGTTATATAGGTAAATTGCTATGTCACAGGGATTTGGTGTACAGATTATTTTGTTACCTAGGCAATAAGCATAGTACCTGATAGGTAGCTTTTTTAACCCTTACCCTCTACCCTCAAGTAGGACCTAGTGTCTGTTGTTCTCTTCTTTGCGTCCATGTGTTCTCAATGTTTAGCTCCCACTTATGAGTGAGAACATGCAGTATTTAATTTTCTCTTCCTGCATTAGTGTGCTTAGGATAATGACTTCCAGCTACATCCACGTCGCTGCAAAGGACATAATCTCATTCTTTATTATGGCTGTGTAGTATTCCATAGTGTATGTTTACCACATTTTCTTCATCCAGTCTACCATGGATTGTCATTTAGGTTGATTCCATGTCTTTGTTATTGTGAATAGTGCTGCAGTGAAAATATGTGTGTACATGTGTCTTTAGGGTAGAATGATTTCTATTTCTTTGGGTATATACCCAATAATGGGATTGCTGGGTCATATGGTAGTTCCGTTTACAGTTCTTTGAGAAATCTCCAAAATGCTTTCCACAGTGGCTGAACTAATTTATACTTCCACTAGCAGTATATAAGCATTTCCTTTTCTTGACAGCCTTACCAGCATCTTTCTGTTGTTCCCTGACCAGGAAGCATAACCTTTTTTTTTGACTTTTTAATAACAGCCATTCTGACTAGATGGTTTTGATTTGCATTTCTCTAATGATTAGTGATGTTCAGCATCTTTTCATATGCTTGTTGGCCATGTGAATGTCTTCTTTTAACAAGCATCTGTTCATATCCCACTTTTTAATGGTTTTTATTTTATTTCATTTTATTTATTTTTTTGAGACAGAGTTTTGCTCTTGTTGCCCAGGCTGAAATGCAGTGGCGTGATCTCGGCTCACTGCAACCTCTGCCTCCTGGGTTCAAGCGATTCTTCTGCCTCAGCCTCCCAAGTAGCTGGGATTACAGGTGCCTGCCACCATGCCCAGCTAATTTTTTGTATTTTTAGTAGAGATGGGATTTCATCATGTTGGCCAGGCTGGTCTCGAACTCCTGACGTCAGGTGATCCACCCGCCTCGGCCTCTCAAAGTGTTGGGATTACAGCGGGAGCCACCGCACCTAGCCAAATGTTTTTTTTTTCTGCTTAATTTAAGTTCCTTACAGACTCTGGATATTAGACCTTTGTCAGATGCATAGTTTGCAAATATTTTCTCCCATTCTATAGTTTGTCTGTTTACTCTGTTGACAGTTTCTTCTGCTGTGCAGAAGTTCTTTAGTTTAATTAAGTCCCATTTGTCAGTTTTTGTTGCAACTGCTTTTGGCCTCTGTCAAATCTTTCCTTTCCCGGTTCCTATGACCAGAATGTTATTTCCCAGGTCATCTTCCAGGGTTTTTATAGTTTTAGGTTTTACATGGAAGTTTTTATTCCATCTTGAGTTGATTTTTGTATATGATATAAGGAAATGGGTCCAGTTTCAATTCTCTGCATATGGCTAGCCAGTTATCCTAGCAACATTTATTGAATAGGGAGTCCTTTTCCCATTGCTTGTTTTTGTAGACTTTGTCAAAGATCAGATGGTTTCAGGTGTATGGCTTTATGTCTTGACTCTCTATTCTGGTTCCATTGGTCTATTTGTTTCTGTGCTAGTACCATGCTGTTTTGGTTACTGTAGCCTTGTATTACATAATAGTTTGAAGTCAGGTTAATGTGATGCCTCCCGCTTTGTTCATTTTGCTTAGGATTGCCTTGGCCATTCAGGCTCTTTTTTAGGTCCACATAAATTTTAAGTTTTTTCTAATTCTGTGAAGAATGTCACTGGTAGTTTGATACAAATAGCACTGAATCTGTAAAATGCCTTGGGCAGTATGGCCTTTTAAAAAACATTAATTCTTCCTATACATGAGCATGGAATGTGTTTTTCCATTTGTGTCACCTATGATTTCGTTCAGCAGTGTTTTGTAATTCTTGTTGTACAGATCTTTCACTTCCCTAGTAAGCTGTATTCTTAGGTTATATTTATTCCAAATCTTTATATTTAAATATAATATACACTTTAAAGTATATCTCTTGTAGACAGTATATAGTTGGAGCTTGCTCTTTTATCTAGTCTGAAAATCTCTGCCTTATAACCATAATGTTTAACCCATTTAAAGTAATTATTAATGATTAAGTTAATGGTCTTGTTTTTTATTCATTCTGTTCCACTGTTCCTCATTTCCTGTCTTCTTTATTATTCATCTGATATTTTTTAGTATTCCATTTTATCACCTCTATTGGCTTTTTACCTGTACCACTTTGACAATTGCTCTAGGGATTACAATATATATCCTTAATCTATCACAGTCTACCTTCACTTAATATTGTAAGTTCATCATCTTACAACAGTGCAATTCAATCTGTCTTACTACTGTTCTCTGTGCTGTTTCACGATCTTTTACTTCTACATGATATAAACATTGTTAACATTTTTGCATTAAACAAAAAACTGTCTTTCACAGAAAATATGTACTTTAAAAAAGTCATTTATATTCTCCTACAGAGAGATCAATTCTGGTTCTCTTCACCCCTTCATTTGATCTGAGTTTCTGACTGGCATCAGTTTCCTTGAGACTGAAGGACTTATTTTAGCATTATTTACAGTGAAAGTCTGATGGTGATGAATTCTTTTAGCTTTTGCTCATCTCAAAATGTCTATTTTGTTTACATTTCAGAAATATATTTTTGTTTGATTTAAATTTCCAGATTGACAACTTTTTCTTTCAGCACTTAAAAGGTTCCATTGTCTTCTAGCCTCCATTATTTCTGATGAGAAGTTGGTCTTCGTTGCTGTTGTTTCCCTATGTATATCACGTATCTTCCCCATTCCTGCCCCTCTAGCTGTCTTTAAGATGCTCTCTTTATTTTTAGTTTTAAGTAATTGTACTCGTTGTGCTACTATGATTTCTTTTGTGATTACTGGGATTGGTGTTTGCTGACCTCCAATGATATGTGGGTTTTCTTCAAATTCATAAATCTTTCAATAATCATATCTTCAAATTATTTTTCTGCTCCAGTATCTATTCTTCTGGGACTCCAATTACACATATATTGGCCCACGAGTCACAGAGACTTGTTCATTTCTTTTTCCTCTCCTTTTTTCTCTCTGTAGTTAACTTCAGTGAAGTTTTCTTCGTAGTTTCCAATCTGTCATTTAGCATATTCAGTGAATTTTTCATTTCAGATATTACATTTTTTGTTCTAGGTTTTCCATTTGATTCTTATTTAGAGCTCTACTTTGGCTGATATTCTCTATCTGTGCATGGATACTGTTCATCTTTTCCTTTAAATCTTTGAGCCTATTTACCAGAGACAACATAAAATAGTTGGCTGCTAATTCCATGTCTCTGTCATCTCTGGGTCTATTTCTATTTTTTTCCCTATAGTTCCCTGCTTCTTCATTTGTTTAGTAATTTTTTATACAGCTGGTCATTGTGGGTACTATGTTGTGGAACATTTGGAATTCTTTTAAAGTATGTTTTGTTTTTGCATGAAGTTATTTACTGGCAGTTTAACCTAGTATTTTTAAAGGTTAGCTTTATGCTTTGTAGAATTGATCTAAAATAATTCTTACTCTATGGGTAAAGTAGCCCTAGTCTTTATGCTATAGACATCCTGAAGTCTTAATTAATGCCCAAGGTGCTGAGCGAGACCTCTCCAATTTAGCTGTTTGAAATTATGTCTTTCAGCACTGTGTAATCTCCAGAACCTCCTTTTGACTACAGGCCCCAACAGTTGTTCTTAGAAGAGACTGGCCCTGCACACGTGGAGTTCGGCATTCAGTTAAAGATTCAGAATGATCCCCATAAAGGTTTCTGAAGCTTCTCTAAGCAGCTCTCTTCCTTCCAGCAGAAGCCTTACAAATCCAACTGCTTCAGCAGCCATGCACTCCAATCACTGTTTCCTTTATCCTACTAAACCTCTAGTCTCTATTTGGGCATTATTTCCCTCAGCTACAGTTTGGATAGCCAGGGTGAGCTTACCTATTGGATTTCCCTTCTCCTAAGGATCATAGCCCTATGGTTGGCTATCTAATGCCAAATAAAACCCAGTTGCTTCATGTCTTTTATCCACTTTTACAGTTGATCATGGAGGGAGGGTAAGTTTAACACCCATTACCCCATTAAGGCTGGTCCTGGAAGTTAAAATGTATCAATTAATTTTTATATACTTTTAAAGTTTAATACATACTCATCAAGAAAACTGAAAAAATGAACAATTTTTCAAGAAATTAAAAAACCAAGCCCTACAAAGAGCATCTGTTTACTTCGGGTATATTTTCTTCTACTTATATATTTGTAACATCTTTCAAGACCATGATAAATGCTACCTCAGTTTACTTTATACTTTCGACTGTTTTGTTTTGTTTTTTCCCCCATTTAACATATGAATTTGAAGAAAACCCACATATCAGTGGAGGTCAGCAAACACCAATCCCAGTAATCACAAAAGATAAAACTAGTTTTTTTTCCCATTTAGCATTGCATGGTGGACATTTTCTCAAGACATTATACATAAACAACAGAATCTTTTTACAGCTATACAGTAAAATCCTGGCGTAATTTAAAAATAATAAGCAGTCTTTTTTTTTTTTGAAGGATAACCTTCAGGGATAGGCAAATAACATAAATGTGTGATGCAGCTGGACCTAATATAAATAAGATGTGGTGGGCCATGTAGTAAAATGGAACAAGTTGAAGGCATTCACATTAAAATTTTTGTAAAATTTTGTAAAATGAACGGTGCCAGTCCTGGTAAGGGAACCGTGTGTAAGAGAAAGGAGGATAGAGAAGATAAGCTGAAAACTCAAGTTGCAAAGAAATTATGAAGTATTTTAATTCTGTAAGCAAGCAATTTTAAAGTAAGTATTTTTAATGTAAACTGTTCATCTCAGAAAGGCTAAAAAACACATTAAAAAGAAGAAAATAAATATTTTGAAAACTGTATCATCACTCCCAACATTAACAAAAAGCAACATTTTTTGGTGTATTTTTCTTCCACTCTCTTTTGCCAAGATTAGGATTTTGTGTGTGTGTGTGTGTGTGTGTGTGTGCAGTTCTCTGTGTAAAACTGTATTAACTATACGGCATTTTTTAACCCCACTAATATTTTAACAAAAGAATTTACTAACGTAGTTACATGAAGTCGTTAAACATTTTAATGACTACATAGCCATTCACATTTTCCCATTTTCCTCTGTCCTGTCTTTTAATAGGGATTCAGTATAAGTGAAAAAAACACCTAAGTTTTTTTGGGGGTTTTCATTATAAGTAGTAACTTCTATTTTCACTTGTTTGTTCTGAGATGTCTTCTACTTAATAGAGAAAACTTTTCATTCTATCAGAAGTTCATTTCTATTTTGTCCTACTTTTTGAAAATCATCCCACTGTTGTTTGCATTTAACTATGTATTCATCTGGAATTCTGTTGATAACTGTTAGGGGTTGAGGCTAATTTATTCTCTCTCTCTGCCTGTTTAAACAGCTAACCAACTGCACTAATACCATTTCTTAAATAATCCTCCTGCTGATTTGTTGATGCCTCCTTTATCACTGATTTGTATTAGTATTATAACAAAAATACTACTTAAGATTCTGAATAAAAAAAGAACAAGAACAGCAGTAACAAACAAGATTTCACAATTAGATATTACTGAATGTAACATTTTTACATTTGGAACTCAAGGGATGAACAACTGTAGTCCAAAACAGCCAAAATATGCAGGTCTAAAATATAATTGTTTTGTTTTTTAATCTGCCACAATAACTCCAGAGCCCATTTATCTCTTTTAAGTCATAGCAAAGATTAACACATGTAACCTCAGCTATATAAACAAGTAACAAACACTGTACAACTGACATCCCAAAACAATTTCTTATAAAACCGGATTTCTCTTGCTGGGTTTCAGTTACAGTCCCTCATGGGTCATTGTCTTCATTATGGAAAGCCCTGTCTGAGCTACCTCTCCATTGTTTATACTGCACTGCCAGTGCTGGAATATGCACTCCAACTTACTTAAAAACTGATTTTAAACAATTATAGAGATTTTATTCTATTATTTAAAGCAAGACATAAATCGTACTTCTCTCCAAATAGGCTGAAAATGTAGGTAATTCACAACATTTCACATCTCACTTTAGAAGTCAGGAATCCCAATCACATCTCACTTTAGAAGTTAGGAACTCCAAAATGTCTTTCTAGCTTAATTCCTCTCTGCCTTCAACAGGTGCCTGCAACAGGTTGAAATTTGGTATCTTTATATCTGGAGACTACAAGCAAGTAAACTATCTAGCATAACCGTTTCCTTCTATAAACCTGCTTGCTGACTCACATCTTCCCTATAGGACATTATTAAATGATTTTGTAATAATATTTTTATATCAAAGGCTAATCACATATTTTCTTAGACAACCTAATTAAACTTTGAAACAACCTAATAAAAAGCTGTTAACTTCTCAGATTCTAAATGTTAAAAGCAGACACAATACTTTTATAAATTATATGAATAACTATTTTCTTTTATGATGGGAGAGGAAGTGGAAGACAGAGAAAAAATATAAAAAGAGGACGGGAAAAGGGTAAGAACAAGAGAGGAAAAACAAGAAAACAAAAAGGGGATGGAGAAAAATTCAAGGAGCAACAAAAGACAGGGAGACAAAATAGGAGGTTCTGAATTTTCCACTACAAACACTCTGTACTACAGAAGTGTTGAGGAAATACTTCCTTTCACAATTTATTGGCTATTATCTTGTGTCTTTAGACTAGATAAAAATGTAATCCATATTTATTAAACACAAGCTTTAAAGGAGATGTAATAATACACCAATGCAAATATTTTGGGGCCACCTACAGAGTCTACCTATCATAGTGACTATCAGGAAAGGTGGGGAATTCATGATTAATTAAAAGAGTAAAAGGAAATACAAATGTAGGTATTCAACAGGAATACCTACTAGTTACCCAGAGGGAAGTCATGTAAAGAAGGATTAAAAGCAAGAAATACCTTTGGAAAGAGTGACAAACAGATACAGTACACCCTAGGGGAAATTAGTTCAGGGAAACTGTTAAGTAACAAACTCTGATCATCATTTTCAGGAAGCCAAAGACTGGGCACTTAATTTCAGAGGCAGAGCTGGAGGAAAAAGAACAAAGTGATAAAAGGAGCTGAGAAAGAAAACCCAGGCTTAAATGGGCTAGAAGCAAAGATGGAATAAGAAAGTAATACAGAGAGAAAATTGTAAATACTTAAGCATTGTGATAAGACCTGCTATTTAATAAAAGTGGGACCCTGATGTAAATTACCCACTACTTTTCAAGTTTGTACCCAATGATTTCCTTATTACCATGAATATAATGAAAGCTATAAATAGCTGAAACCCTTTACTGAGGAAGGGCATCAAAAGTAAACTGCAGCCCCAAAGAAAGGTAGCACCCAAAACTCGGATGGGAGTGGGAGTGGCCAACCATCAAAGAACAAAAGGGAGCTTGCTTTCTGTTTGGAGGTTCCTCAAATCTATTTAATACAGGAAAAACTCTTTGGTATGTAAATTATCTCAATCAACCTGTTTTAAAAAAATCAGAATCCACATAAGAAGTGCTCAATAATTACTTGTAAAATTAATTCTAAGTAGAAAAATTAAGTGGTTTATACATAACACTGGCACCAAATATGGCCATTTCCTCTTCACCTCTGTAATTTAAGCACTTTGCCACTGGCTTATAGTATTTTGCAAAGGTTCTCAACTTCAGTGTTACAACACATTCATGAAATATATTACAAGTAATTGGTTACTAAATGATAAAATGAAATTGGTTACTGTAAAGGATAAACTTGCAGACAACATATAGTTGAGTCTTGTTTTTTTATCCACTCTGACAGTCTTTTAATTGGTGTTATTTAAAACATCCACACTTGAAATGATTACTGATATAACTGAATTGATATGGACCATATCTTTAACTTTTTACTATTCATTGACCATGTTGTTTCCATTTCTCTTTTGTCTTCCATTCTGAATTTGAGCATTTTATATGATTCCATATTCTCAAGTCTCTTAGCAACCAATTACACTTCCTTTATTAACAAATTTTTTTTATTGGTTGCTCTAGAGTTTGCAATATACATTTATGACTAATCCAAGTCCACTTTCAAATAACACTATACTGCTTCACGATTAGCGCAAGTACCTTAGAGTATTCTCAATTCCTTCATCCCAGCAGTGAATGACACTGTTGTTATTCATTTCGCTTATCCATGAGCTGTACTCAATGAATACAGTGTTATTATTTTGAACTGTTATCTATTAGATCAAGTAAATATAAGAAAAATAAAAGGTGTTATTTTATTTTCATTTATTTCTTCTCACTCTTCCTTTATATAGAACTGAATTGCTGACCTTTATCATTTTCCTTCTCTCTGAAGACCTCTTCACATTTTGTGCAAGGCAGTTCTACCAGTTGACAAATTCCAAGTTTTGTTTCTCTGAGAAAGTCATTATTTCTCTTTCACTTTTGAAGAATAATTTTGCTGGATACAAAATTCTAGGTTGGCGGTTTTACTTTCTTTTTCTTCAACACCGATATTTCACTGCACTTTCTTCTTGCTTGCATGCTTTCTCAGTTCAAATATGATATAATTCTTATCTTTATTCCTCTGTAGGTACAGTGGTTTTTTTCTCTCTGGCTTTTCAAGATTTTCTCTAATTTTCTACAGGTTGAGTAAAATATGCCTAGGCATATTTTTTTTTGGTATTTACCATGCTTGGTGTCCTCTGAGCTTCCTGGATTTGGTGTTTGTCATTAATTCTGGGAAATCCTCAAGTTATTATTACTTCAAATATTTCTTCTGTTCCTTTCTTTCTTCCACTTCTGATATTCCCATTATGCTTATGTTACACCTTTTGTAATTAAACTATGGAATTGAACTATGGAATTATGTAATTGAACTATGTAAATGAACTATGGAACTATGTTCCATCTTTTTCATTCAACTGAAGCAGCAAACCAAGCATCAGAACCAGACTCAGATATGACAGATTTTGGAATTATCAGACTGGGAACTTAAAAAAACTATGATTAAGACACTAAGTGCTCTAAAGAAAAAAGAAGATAATGATGACTAAACACTATGTGTTTAATTTTTTTCATCAGTTCATTTAATACACAATTACTGACACTAAAGATTTTAGTTTAGAGGAAAAGTGTATACTTACAATACTTTAAACTTTTAAAATGAGGCTGTAGGATTATATTCAAAAACATTAAAATTATGGAATTATGAATTCCACCTTGGAGGACTTAAGAATGATTGAAAATAAAGTAGTCCCCCCTCATTCTCGAGGGATATCTTCCAGTACCCCCAGTGGATGCCTGAAACCACAGATGGTACAGAACCCTATATATACTATGTTTTTTCCTGTACATACCTATAATAAAGCTTAATTTATAAATTAGGCATAGTAAGAGATAAACAATAACTAATGATTAATTGTAAGAACAAAATAGAATAAATAGTAAAATAAGTAATTATAATACATAGTAAAATAAGGGTTACTTGAACATAGCACTACCATACACCTAACTGTGATGACTATCAAGTGACTAAAGGACAGGATGGAGCAGGATGGCACAAGATTTCATCACACTACTCAGATTAGGGAGCAATTTAAAACTCACAAATTTTTTTTCTGGTATTTTCCATTTAATATTTTTGGTCTGTGGTTGACTGCAAGTAACTGAAACTTCAGAAAGTGAAACTGCAGATAATGGGGGACTACCATACTATAACTTTGCAACATGAGACTTTGGCCTAATTGTTGTTGTTGTTGTTGTTTTGTTTTTTTGAGTTGGAGTCTCGCTCTGTTGCCCAGGTTGGAGTGCAGTGGCAGGATCTCGGCTCACTGCGAGCTCCGCCTCCCAGGTTCACGCCATTCTCCTACCTCAGCCTCCCGAGTTGCTGGGACTACAGGTGCTCGCCACCACGCCTGGTTAATTTTTTGTATTTTTAGTAGAGACGGGGTTTCACCGTGTTAGCCAGGATGATCTTGATCTCCTGACCTCGTGATCCGCCTGTCTTGGCCTCCCAAAGTGCTTGTTTTGTTTTTAAGAAGATGACTCCTCTAATCCAGTAGTTTCTCAAACTTCGGTTTCAGTTAGAGAATGAGAATCTCCCGGAAGACTCGTTAAAACAAACACTGCTAACCATAGCCCAAGAGTTTCTGTTATAGCAATTCTGGGTTGGGGGAGCCCCCAAATTTAAATTTCTAACAAGTTCCCAGGTGGTGCTAATAGGGTCATAATTTGAGAACCACTGCTGTAACCAAGTAGCACAATATAAAATACAATTTTAAAGCTGAAAGGGTCTTTAAAAGCAAGATCTTTGGACCCCTGCCCCCCACCCAAAAAGGAAGGAAGGAAAGAAAGCTCTACATCAGTAGCCAGGGTAGCCACTTGTATGAATTTGAAACACTTCAGGCCCTCACAGTTGTTTTCCTATTTTAGTCCTATTTCTTCCATACTTCCCAAATAAATCTACCTCCTTCCTTATCTGCCCTCACCGACAGGCTTCCTTTGCCACCTTCAGGCTTTGGCCATAACTCAAACAAGTTATCTTAGCCTTGGGTCTTGTCTCCTAAAAAAAAATAGCTCAAACCCTCTGCTAGGACCAAACTTAAAAAAGCCATCTCCAATTCAATGTTAAGGGGTCTTTAAAATTCCAAGTTTATCTCTTGGGAACTAGGCTGGAATACAAAATAACTAACCAGTCCATAAAACCCTAACTACTGTTGTATACTCAGTCACGAAAGGTTGCTGAACCATGTGGTAGTCATCTGCTCAGTGGTTTTTAGATGAAGGACACAATGGCTTTCATTTGGAACACACATTATTAAATCTAGGTACATAGTGAAAGATATGGGATTGGGAAAACTGAAACTCTCAACAAATGATTACTTCAGTTTCACAAATGCAATTTTTAAAAGTATCAATTGCTGTTAAGTCCTTTATTCTGTAAAGTGTAACATCAGTTTAATATCTTGTTTTGGGAGAAAATTACCACATTATGTTATCAAATACAGAAACAATATGTAGAAAAAAATAAAAGTGCCTCTAAGAATGCAGTAAACAAAAAAAGATATTCACTAGTACCTACCACTAGGTGAAAAATAAAAAGATGCAAAATTGTTGTCCCCACCTTCAAATAGCTTGTTTATTAGAACAGCACTGGAAAAAAAATGAGTGATTAAGTGATAAATTGTACAGAACTCACTACACACTATGAAGTCAAGAAAAGGTCAATGTGTACTACAGTAGCTAACGAATGTTTCAGAGTACTTGAGCTATGGCTTCAACAATGATTAAGATGTAATTAAATGGCTGGGCGCAGTGGCTCACGCCTGTAATCCCAGCATTTTGGGAGGCCAAGGTGGGCAGACCACGAGGTCAGGAGATCAAGACCATCCTGGCTAACACAGTGTAACCCCAACTCTACTAAAAATACAAAAACAAAATTAGCTGGGTGTGGTGGTGGGTGCCTGTAGTCCCAGCTACTAGATGTAATTAAATAGGGTTTGGAGACAAGGAAATGATGTAAAACAGAAAAGATGTAAAGCAGGAATTAAAGTAGGATCACAGAATATAAGGCAAACAGTGAGATGCCTGAGGGACTGAAGTGGATGTTGAATGCTGGTGAATAGCAAGAAGGCTTATTTTGACTGCAATATACAGCATAGTGCAGTGGGGAAAAAGGACAAGGACACAGAACAGCTATGTTGCTGCTGTAATAATCCAGGAATGACATGGTGAAATACTGAATTATGGTCTTGGCAGTCATATTAGTCTGTTTTCATGCTGCTGTTAAAGACATACCTGAGACTGGGTAATTTATAAAGAAAAAGAGGTTTAATGGACTCACAGTTCCACATGGCTGGGGAGGCTTTACAATCATGGCAAAAGTCTCGTCTTACATGGTGGCAGACAAGAGAAGATGAGAGTCAAGTGAAAGGGGTTTCTCCTTATAAAACCATTAGATCTCATGAGACTTATTCACTACCATGAGAACAGTATGGGGGAAAATCGTCCCATGATTCAATTATCTCCCACCAAGTCCCTCCCACAACACATGGGAATTATGGAAGCTAAATTTAAGATAAGATTTGGGTGGGGGCAGAGCCAAACCATTTCATTCCACCCTGCCCCCCTCAAATCTCATGTCCTCACATTTCAAAACCAATCATGCCTTCCCAACAGTCCCTCAAAGTCTTAACTCATTTTGGCATTAACTCAAAAGTCCACTGTCCAAAATCTTACCCAAGACAAGGCAAATCCCTTCCACCTATGAGCCTGTAAAATCAAAAAGCTAGTTACTTCCTAGATACAATGGGGGTACAGGCATTGGATAAATACTACCATTCCAAATGGGAGAAATTGTTCAAACGAAGGAGCTAAAGGCCCCATGCAAGTCCCAAATCCAGTGGGGCAGTCAAATTTTAAAGCTCCAAAATGATCTCCTTTGACTCCATGTCTCACATCCAGGTCACACTGATTCAAGAGGTGGGTTCCCATGGTCTTGAGCGGCTCCGCCCCTGTGGCTTTGCAGGATACAGCCTCTCTTGGCGGCTTTTATGGGCTGGTGTTGAGTGTCTGCAGCTTTTCCAGGTGTGCAGGGCAAGCTATCGGTGGATCTACCATTCTGGGGTCTGGAGGATGGTGGTCCTTTTCTCACAGCTCTGCTAGGCAGTGCCCCAGTGGGGACTCTGTGTAGGGGCTTCAACCCCACATTTCCATTCCACACTGCCCTAGCAGAGGTTTCATGAGGGCTCCACCTCTGCAGCAAACTTCTGTCTGGACATCCAGCTGTTTCCATACATCCTCTGAAATCTACGTAAAGATTTCCCCTTTTAGCCATGGCTGGAGCTGCTGGGATGCAGAGCACCAAGTCTCTAGGTTGCAAAGAGCAGGGAGGCCCTGGGACTGGCCCATGAAATCATTTTTACCTCCTAGGCCGCTGGGTCTGTGATGGGAGGGGCTGCTATGAAGACCTCTCACATGCCCTGGAGACATTTTCCCCATTGTCTTGGTGATTAACACTTGTTTCCTCGTTACTTATGCAAATTTCTGCAGCAGGCTTGAACTTCTCCTCAGAAAAGGGGTTTTTCTTTTCTAATACATCGTCAGGCTGCAAATTTTCTGAACTTTTATGCTCTGTTTCCTTTTTAAAACTGAATGCTTTTAACAGCACCCAAGTCACCTCTTGAACGCTTTGCTGCATAGAAATTGCTTCTGCCAGATACCCTAAATCATCTCCCCCAAGTTAAAAGTTCCACAAATCTCTAGGGCAGGGGTAAAATGCTGCCAGTATCTTTGCTAAAGCATAGCAAGAACCCAGTTCCCAACAGGTTAATCTCCATCAGAGACCACCTGAGCCTGGATTTCACTGTCCATATTATTATCAGCATTTTGGTCAAGGCCATTCAACAAGTCTCTAGGGAGTTCCAAACTTTCTCACAAAGTTCCAAACTTTCTCACATTTTCCTATCTTCTTCTGAGCTCTCCAAACTGTTCCAGTCTCTGCCTGTTACCCAGTTCCAAAGTCACTTCCATATTTTTGGGTTATCTTTACAGCAGTGCCCCACTCTACCAGTACCAATTTACTGTATTAATCTGTTTTCACACCGTTGATAAAGACATACCCGAGACTGGGTAATTTATAAGGAAAAAGAGGTTTAATGGACTCACAGTTCCATGTGGATGGGGAGGCCTCATAATCGTGGCAGGGAGGCCGCACAATCATGGTGGCAAGTGAAAGGCACATCTTACATGGCAGCAGACAAGAGAGAAAGAGAGAGCTAAGTGAAAGAAGTTTCCCTTTATAAAACCATCAGATCTCATTAGATTTATTCACTACCATGAGAACAGTATGGGGGAAAACTGCCCCCATGATTCAATTATCTCCCACCAGGTCCCTCTCACAACAGGTGGGAATTATGGGAGCTACAATTCAAGATGAGATCTGGGTGGGGACACAGCCAAACCATATCAGCAGTGGAAATAGGAAGACAAGGAGAAATTTAAGCTACACTGCAAACTGGGAAACTTGTTAAAATACTGGACACGAGGATGAGAGAAAAATAAAAGATGAAACCAATGCTGCCAGACTGATGGAAAGAAGGAAAAGTGATATCTACTATCAAAAGAATTAGAGTAACTGAAATGAGTAATGAAATGAAAGTAAATGAAATGAGAGTAAATGAAAGCAATTTGAGGTGGCAAGGTACTAAGGCATAGAAAAATCGTGGTTGTGAAAGGCCAAGTTTAAGGTGACATTGGTTGTGGCAACCTGTACTCTGGTACTCTGCTCCAGTTCCCACCCAGCTCACATCCTTTTCTTCTCTACTATTACTTTATATTCTTTCTTCTACTTGTACATCGAAACTTAACATGAGAGGATTGTGATTAGTTAGTGGAAATCCTATTCCTTAGTCAAGCAAATTTTCTCCCAAGCCATTTTCCTCTATTTATTCACATTATTGGCAAAGCTCACTGTCATCATAACTCTGAATCTAATTTCTGCTAGTGAGATTAACAATGACCAAGTAAGTATACTGTTAAGTGTGTTTGGATTTATAGCCCATCCCTTGATTTTTCATTAAGGCCACTATCCTGAATTTTGTCAGTAAAAATATTATGTCCTCACTGAATCTCTCCCTCACCTAATTCTGTATTTGTTTATACCACTGCTTATACGCCATTATTGCATTTAACAAAACTTACTTTTGATAAACTCAATTGATGAGTCTCCCACAAAAGAGGGTGAATGTTTTAAAGTGGTAAGAATGTCTTATACTTTTTTAACCTTTTTATGCCTTGTATGTGGCAGTCATTAAAACAAATGTGTACTGAATTCAGTTTTCCCTGACTACATGATTCTATAAATTCAGAATTTATCGTTGACCTTCTGACTTCTTAAAAACCTGTACATGTAGAATCTGCCTAAAATGCTGCTTGCTAGTGGCTCCTGCTTCAGAAAAAAGGACATGCATTTAATAATATGACAGTTAAATTTTGATCATAGATTGCTTTGATATATCTTATTAATAGATGTAATGACTGCAATCAAATTACGGAAGTGATTCACTTACATTAACTAAAGCATCTTGTTGGAATACGTTTCTCAGGTTCCCAGAAGCACCAACTTTACTCTAAGCAAGATGTCACTGAAGTGACACTCATCCAATTAAATTTTTAAATTTCATGCTTACTGCAAAAACAATGGTAAGTTCTTGGTGTTGCCATATAGAAATAACATATTTTACTGTCATATTGTAGACTACTGATTCTGCAAGTGATTACTTTGTTTCAGATATATTCAATCTCCAAATTCCTATCAACTTTACATATTAGAAAATGAGAGTGTTTCATTTAAATTCAGTAAAAACTCACTAAAATGGACTTACCTTAGGAAAGGCCAGTCTAAACTACTGAAAAAAATTAAATTACACAACTCAGATCATTGTTCCCCTGGGAGTTGACGAAAGGTTCGTGAGACATGTTTCACAAGCTGGATCTTAAAGTTAGACACTTATATCAGCAGAAACAACATTCTTAAGGTAGCAGGTAATGGGACCAGACCAGCACATACGTAAGTAGAGAAATAAGATAATGGAAGCAAAGAAAAAGGGTTATGGATAGTGCAAATTGAAGCAGCCAGTTCATACAGTAATCCCCTGTTCTCGTTTGTTGTTTTTTTTTTTTGAGATGGAGTCTCACTCTGTCGCCCAGGCCGGAGTGCAGTGGCGTGATCTTGGCTCACTGCAGCCCCTGCTTTTCCCAGGTTCAAGCGATTCTCCTGCCTCAGCCTCCTGAGTAGCTGGGGCTACAGGCCCCGCCACTGTGACTGGCTAATTTTTTATATTTTTAGTAGAGACGGGGTTTCACCATGTTAGCCAGGATAGTCTTGATCTCCTGACCTCATGATCCGCCCACCTCGGCCTCCCAAAGTGCCCTGTTCTCATCTTGTAGCTACTTGACAATACAGGTGCTCAAAACAGAAAAGCCACAGAAAAACAGAAAAACACACAAACCAAGTGCTCTCCATGCTTGGTTTATACCTTAAAACTAGGCATCATAAATGGCAAGACAATAGCCCTAGTGACTCTCCCTCCCCAAGATAGCCATTGCTGTAATGCTTCATCTATAAGAGAGCTCAAATTAAAAATTACTGATTTTGGAAAGAAAAAGGGTGGCAATTATAGGGCATGTGTATCATTACTTCTTATTCCCATGCCCTTGCTAGAAATATCACTAATCAATCAGACTTAGCATGCAAGTTCCAATCAATTTGCTAATCCCGTGTTGGAATGGGTGTAAAGGTATCCTTTGCTATCTAAACCTTTGCTATTCAAATTTAGACAACAAATGGGTTCAGATAATTTATTTTTTTTATTTCAGATAAGGCTATTTGGAAGACATGGTAGTGTGTACCATATGGACTCATGCCTCCCAAAAATCCAAGACATAACAGATTGGAATCTGTCACTTTCTGATCTTTCACTTTCTGCACTCAGGAAAAAAGCAAGACTCAAATAGTAAGGAATATCAGAATTTTTCAGTTTGTGCTCAGTTACGAGGAAATAGAAAATTTCACCTCCCACACAACTTTTTGTTATATATATATGAGCTACGGTAATAGATGCCTGATAGAGAGGTTGTACATAATTAACCAAACCTCATGTTTCTATTTTGTCTTATAAATAGGAGGCATACAGTTAGTGAAATAGAAAAAGTAAATGCCTATTTACAGTCGCAAAAAAAGAAAAATCATGTTTTAAGGTATTTATTTATGTGGGTTGAGTGCCAAATATCTTAATCTCATAGTCAGCAAGTAAGTGCATTAAGGCCTTAGTGTTTATTGTTCCTTATTTTATTATCCTACCCAAGGCAGGAAGATTCTTCCTCCTATTGGCCCATGCTTCTCATCTTTAACTCGAACTTAGAACCCTCCAAAAAGCAGAAGAGAAAGCAACTAAAAGACTAAACAGAAAGAGAATGGTAGAATAGGAGGCACTGGACAAGAGTGGTCTACTTTGCTCAGAGATGTAGAATAACCATCTTACTATCATGTTCCTTATAATTTACAAAGAACATTCTGTCACGATTACTTATTAAAATATCTATCCTAGATGAAGAGGAATAGCTGTGAAGCTCAACTCTGCACTAAATTATTCTGAAAGAGTACATACTTTTCTTATTTATATAATTGAATCTACAATATGACATTCACTGCCTTAAAATATTACATTACTATTATGGGATAAGGTTAAACATCTCTTTATAAAGAAGACAAAACAAAAGCAGCACACAAACAGCCTCCCTACTACAATCTCTCAACCAGCAGTTAGTAAACTCCCCAACAACCAGGATTACTGCATAGCCTTACTTTTGCACAATAAACAGCTCTTAACTACTTTAAATGTAATATATGCTCAATAAAGATTTGCACAGTTAATCTCACATAACAGAACCCTTGCACAAGGTAGCAATAAGCAAGTCCTCCTCAGCTAACACCCAAGGAAACACTGACAAATCCTAATAATTCATCCAATGAAAATGTTCTGTTGATTGCCTATGATAAATTAATTATATTAGTCTTTCATTGTGCTTTTGGTTTTATTATTGTTGTCAATATTGATTTAGTAACAGTGTTAGAATCTCAGGAACCTTCACGGTCACTTAGTAAAAATCTCTCATTTTGTAAATGAGGAAACTAAGGTCTACTTTTTCCACAGTGCATTACCTTGACACTTGTCACTTCTTTTCCTGGTCCCCTAACTGAATAAAAGAGAAGTTTTATTGCATATTTTTGCTTAGGTCAATTTTACAAGGTTAATATTACAAGTGAATGGGCATTCCTCAAATGCCAGTCTCTGGCATACTTTGTATATAGCAGATACTCATTTAAGTACTTACAAACTCTTCTTGCTTAAAGTCCTCAAATATAAGTAAATGATAAGGCTTATTTTAATTTTCATTTGCACAATTTTAGCATGCAATATTATTTTCTAATGGAAAAAGTAATGCAACATAATTCTTAATCCAATGCATCTTTCATAACAAGACACTTCTCTCTTTTCTACCACTATGAAGCTCATTTTCCCCAATTAATACCAAAAATTTACAGTTAGACATAAACCAAATCAGTCCTGCACATACCATCATTCAAGACACCTTTCAATGGAGAGAGCAAATTGGTCAATCATTTAAATATGTACATATCCACTACCCAACCTAAACAAGACAAGAAAATCAACAGGCTTGGAATTGCTTAACTTGCAATTAACTTTTGTCAATAGGGAAGACAATTTTATCAGTTTAAAATCATAGGAGAGCAAGGAACTGCCTTCCTTCTGGAACCAGAAACCATGTTGGGACACAGCTAGCCTCAATACGGATATGCAAAATGCATCTTAAGTCTTTTGTGTGCTTGGTATTGAAGACAGGCTAAACTCAGGGTAGGTAGGAGGTCAACCTACTAATCAAAAATACATGGAAGCCAGCTGATGTGCTAGTCGGTCTGTATTTTTAAAGCAAAATGAAAATCATAGACTTTCAGTTAAAGTAAACTCTAAAGTTATGAATTTATAGTACATGTTTTCCACTGTAGCTGAAGGAACAATATTTCTCAACAGAGTTAATAAACTACCTGATTCAAAAACCAAGAATAAAACTGAACCACTGCATTCTAGGATGGCGGACTGTAATCAGAACTAATATGGCATCACTATGTAAACCTTCTGGATCACCAAACACAGCTCCCTGTAACTAAGATGGAAACAAGAGATTAATCACTTAATATCTAGATGTTGATTGTCATCATCATAAGAAAGTAAAACAAAATTGTTCAATTTGGGTTTTAACTAGAATTCAGAAAACATCCAAAATAGATCATATATATAATTCTACTTTTATTATAATCTTCAGCCTAAAATATAGCAGATACAGAAGTATGTATGCCTTACAGGATTGAATAAAGATAAGGAACTCTGACCCCAGCATTTTTTCCAGGGTCTAATAAGGAATCAGTAGAATCTTATAGGTCTTCTGTCATTGTTTATCTCTTTCCATAAAGTGGGCAAAACGATAGATCTTATATGACCGTTTTAAGAAGAGGCTTATGAGGTCTTGCCTGCAAATAAAGTTACAGAAATAAAAACAGTAATTGATAACAAATTCTTTTAAGAATCCCTAAATTTGAGTAAATGCAGTATTGGAATATTTTCTAAAATAAAACATCAGGATTTCTTTTGAATTTTCAGGTACAAGTTTAATACAAGTTGACTATCTCTTATCTGAAATGCGTGGGATCATATGTGCTTCCGACTTATTTATTTATTTATTATTTTTAGTTTTTTATTTTGAACCAGAGTCCTGCTCTGTCGCCCAGCTGGAGTGCAGTGGCATGATCTCGGCTCACTGCAACCTCCACCTCCTGGGTTCAAGGGATTCTCCTGCCTCAGCCTCCCAAGTGGCTGGGACTACAGGCGCACGATGCCACACCTGGATAATTTTTTGGATTTCAGTAGAGACGGGGTTTCACCGTGTTGCCCAGGCTGGTCGCAAACTCCTGAACTCAGGCAATCTGCCCACCTTGACCTCCCAAAGTGTTAGGATTACAGGCGTGAGCCACTGCGCCTAGTGTGCCTCCAATTTATTATTTTGGATTTTGGAATACTTGCATATGTGTAATGAGCATCTTAGGGATGTAACCCAAGTCTAAACAAGAAATTCATTTATGTTTCATATACACCTTATACACATAACCTGAAGGTAATTTTTATACAATTTTTTTTTTAACGGAGTTTTGCTCTTGTTGCCCAGACTGGAGTGCAATGGTGCAATCTCGGCTCACAGCAACCTCCGCCTCCTGGGTTCAAGCGATTCTCCTGCCTCAGCCTCCCGAGTAGCCAGGATTACAGGTGGGCACCACCACCCTCGGCTAATTTTTTGTATTTTTAGTAGAGACGGGGTTTCACCATGGCCAGGCTGGTCTTGAACTCCTGACCTCAGGTGATCCGCCCGCCTCAGCCTCCCAGAGTGCTGGGATTACAGGTGTGAGCCACCGCGCCTGGCCTATACAATATTTTAAATAATTTTGTGTGTGATACAATGAAGTCAGGTGTGGAATTTTTCACTTGTGGCACTAAAAACGTTTGGGATTTTGGAGTGTTTCAGATTCTGGAGCATCTTGAATTCTGGGGGATTTTGGATTAGGGATGATCAACCTGTATCTATGTTACAGCCTCACTGCAAATATGTTATTCACTCCCACTCATGTAGGTATGATCTCAATTCACAAACAGGCAGAAACCATCTCAATCCTATTTTTTCCACAGCAATTTTATTCTATCAGGGTTTCAAGTAAAACTGCCTTAAAAAGGTAAATAAAAGGACTTAGTAAATGTGTTTACTGTTGCTTACACTAAAAAATTTTCACTAAACTACGAAGACACTGAGAGATAAGAGGAAGGGAAAACTTGCTTTGGTATTTCTTTTTTTTTTTTTTTTTTTTTTGAAGTAACCAAAGAGGGGTACAATTTAAGCTAAAAGAAGTTTGCAGTTAGGTTGGGTTGTGGCCTTGTTTTAGGTAAAAATACATGGGTTACTAGTTTTCTTTTTTTTTTTTTAACAACAAAAAGCTAATTTTGGAATTCTACTTTTTAGAAAATACAAATAACCTTACAGCATATTCAATACTAAAGCACATGCCTACTAAGAAATCTCCTTTCTAGTGAATAGTGTCAGTGATTTGGACCTTTTGTCTATGGAGTAAGAATGAGTAAGGGTAAGAAACATGCAAGCTTGTTAACCTAGAGTTAACTTGAAGGTATTCATAACCATATTATAGAAACATAACAACATTGTCAATTTTGTACTAACCTTATTTTCTATAATTACCTTTAAAATATATTTCCAACTCTTTTCCACTCAACTTTGAATGCTTTTTTTCCAGACTCATTTAATGCCTGATATTTCAATGCACATACTTTTATCAAACCATATTTCAGTTTAATAAACAGAGTAAATTATGAACTGATAACTTATTGTCCAAAGGCCTACATCACATACTATATTTATATTTGTAGAGTAGGAGGACAAGTACAGACTTGTTTGTGATATGCAAGCCCAGTAATTTAGAAACTATGATAAACCAAATGCAAAACCCATTTGATAATTTTTAAATGTCACATTTCTTTTGAGTGTAATTTTAAACTCTCATTAATAATGGCACCAAAGGATGATTCAGGAAGTAGTACAAAACTGATAGTCTCTCAGAATATTATCAGGTGATAAAATAATTTGTAAAATAATATTATTGTCTCAAAAATGTGAAATATCTAACTGCAATCATCTATTAAAAATGATTTAATACATATATACTATTTCTTAGGAATATATGGTAGTAAAGGAGTTTTCACTTTTGATATCTTTATTTTACATAGTCACTTGATGAATAATATAAATCCATTCTTGTGGAGCAGGGGGTATGACACTATTAAGTATATTTACTAATTTTGTTTATTATCTACAAATGTTGTTTATTCCGAAATTTTAAGTATATAAAAATCATTTTTGCAAATAGGATTTCTAAAGTTGATCATTAGATGCCAATAAGTGTATCATTACAATTTTAAAACAAAAATATAAATTTTCATATTTTGGGATTCACGTGTTTGCTGCCCATTATTTTTTCAGAGCAAGTACCAAAAACTGGAGTGCACTCTACTTCAGAAGTTTTTCTCATGTTAAAGTCAGAGCAGTTAGGCTGTAATGGATGTGCCAATATAAAAAAAAATTAAATTTACACATTATTTGCCAAAAAGTGCACTCGACTATCATCATTATTCAAACATTTCAGTCAGTTGCCTCCACAACTCACTTATTTTAAAACTATAAAGTGAAGATTCCTTTCCCCTCTTGTTCTCATAATCAATTAAAATATACATTACTCATTCAACTTTTAAAATTTGTCTCTCTTAAAAGATTTTAGTCCATTAACTTGGATTTCCCACATCTGAATGTAAAACCAAGGTGCTTAATTCAATTTAATGATGATTTCAGAAACACAAAGTTACGTCACGTTACTAGAGGTTAAAAACACACACACATACACACTGGTTTTGTGAAAACCTTGATGGCAAGCAAGATATTCACCATCTCTTCTTTTAAATTATAGCTTTAAAAAGGGGGTGAGGGTATCCATTGAAGAATAAAGCCTGCTTTCTGTCACACACACACACACACACCCCAATCATATCTATCAGACCTATTCAAGTTGCCACAACATGACTATTGTCAAAGCCAAAAAAATTCTCCTTTAAAATATTTAAACTTCATTTTAAAATTAAAACTGAAAGCAAGATACTCAACTGCCAACTACTGTTGATGAAACTATTAAAGCCTGCACTGACCTACTTCATATCAGCATCATGACGGCATGGATGCATGCCAAGAAAATAATGAAAATTACTATATAACTAACCTAAATCTTGTATTTAAAAATTGTCACTTTAAAAATGTGCAAATACTGTTCATGCAACGCCAGTTGCTTTACGATATGTTTTCAAAATGAGAAAATGAGTTTTGATATTTTAGTACTCATATTCAATGATGGCCCTGCAAAGATTTCATTTCCATTTTCAAAATCAAGGCTTTTTAAAATACCATATAAAATTCTTTTTAAACTTCTATTAAAAGCAATCTTAGACCAAATTCCAAATATTACTTTCCATTTAAAAAATATTGCTACACTTAAAAAAGGCAGTTAATGAAGCATCCTACAAAACAATGCAAGTTCATGTTCAAAGAATATTGCAATGGCTCTAACAGTGGATGGACTTAGTGTATTTAATTATTAAAAGATTCCCACTAGACTTTAGGAGTTTAATGCTGAAATATTGGAAATTTTCATACAAGAAAGTAAAATAGCGAAAGATATTCCATCAATGGTTTCTTTTAAAAAGACATACAAATGGCAAGACATTTGATTCCCTATATTTTAATTTAAAAAAAAACCACTTTGTTGTAAACTACCATCTTAAAATATTTTATACTAAAAAAGCACTTTCTTCACAATCAATGCAAAGAATAAACTCCCTGAAAAAGAAATTTAATATTAGGATAAGGGAGGCAAAAACATTCAGAAATAGCAGCTAACCCAACTGAAAGGAAGAGACACATTAGGTTTTGTGCTGCATATTAATATTCTTACGCACAGTATCTGTTTGGTGAAAATTCACAATACACTTCTTCCTCCTTCTATGGCTGCAAAAAGGAGTAAACACATTTCACATTCTCCAGTTCCAAATTCATGCCACCATCATGCAATATGACTTAATTTCGACCCATATTTCTGTTACAATGAGTGAAAAAATAAAACCAAAAAACTTGTTTATCTGCACTCACAATTGAGGAAGGGGTAAAAGCATTTTTTAGCTAAGAAGACAGGGGCTGATTGATGCAAAGTCCGCACACCTCCAGAGATCCTACAAATGTGCACCCGACTGGGGAAAGCCACATTCAATGAATGCATCAGCCTCCTCCTCCGCTCCCCCCGCCCGCCGCCCCCCACCCACTTTGCAGCAGAAATGTGCCTGGGCTTTTTCACGCGAGCGATGGAGGATCCTCTTACCAGATGGAGTTCTTGATCTTGTGTTGCAGCGCGCTGGCCTCTGTCCCTGGCAGCCCGGGCACAAGGGCTGGCAGGGCCACCCCCGAGTTGGGGGCGCTGGGGGGAAGCTGCTGATGGGCATCAGGCTGCTGTGGTGGCGGCTGTTGTTGTTCCTCTGCCATCGCTGCAGAGGGGTGGGAGGGAGGGAGGGAAAGATGGGGGCGCGGGGAAGGGTGAGGGAAGAGACCGGGAGGGGAGGACGAAGGGGGGAGAGGAGGAGGGGGAGGGGGAGGGGAAGAGGAGGAGGAGGAGGAAGGAAGCTGGATAAGCTAGGCCTTTACCCCAGGGCTCGAGTGAGTCGCTTTCGCCTGCCGCCTGGGGAACATCACCGGGGAGACCAGCGGCTCCTCACGGCCGGGGCGCTTCACCGCGGGAGAGGCATGGCGGCGCCCCTCAGCCCCCCGCTGGCGCCGCCGCCTCCTCCCGTCAGCGGCCGGGGCTGTGGGGGGGTGAGATGGGGGCGTTTGAAGACGAAGTGGGGGGGGCAGGCTCCCCCCAAAATCCAAGAAGAACGGTTGCTCAGGGATTTGGCGGCCAAGCCTTCCTTCCTTGTCCCCGGGGCTTTCTACTGCCGGGTCCCCGTGCTGCTGCAGCCCCAGGCACCGCTCCACGCCACTCCCCACGCCGCCGCCGCCGCCGCCGCTCGCTCCCGGCCCCGCCGCCGCCGCGGCCGCCGCTGCCCTGCCAGCCCCGGAGGCAGCCCAGTGCGCGCAGCCGCACTGCGGCCCGGCGCAGACCGCACAACACCTACCGCTCCGCCGGGGGGCGTGGACCAGGGTGTGCGGGCCGCGGGCGCGACGGGCCGGGATGGGGGCGCACGGCGCGGAGGGCGGCGCGGGCCAGCGGGCCAGGGAAGCGCGCCGCTGGGGGCCGGGAGGAGTCCGGCCCGGCTGGTGGAGAGCAGGAAAACGTGGGGGAGGTGCTGGCGAGAGAAAGAGAACTTGCGTGAGGAGGAGGAGGAGAAACCAAATTTAATAATATTTGGCGTGGAAATGGGATTTGGGCGGGGGAGGCATCTTCAAAGCAAGTAAAGAGAAATCAACATTATCCCCCTTCCCCTGCACATGCATGTGAGGATTACTTCCTCCCTGAGTAAATGAAGAGAACTGAAGCAGGTAAGACGATAAACTGACTTTTCAGAAGCCCCCAAAGAAGAACACCCGTTGGAATTAACCACCCTTTAGGTAATTCGGTCTTGAACGGAAATCGCGAGTCAGGAGCTGGGTTGAGTGCTCCTCGGTCGGGCATTCAAAGCCCTCCAAATCTGGCCCCACTTTAACTATCCAATCATAGCGGCCTCCATCCCCCTGCAAGAACTCCCGGCTCCAATCAGGGAAGTCTCCATGCCATCCTCAACGCGCAGCAGATTCATTCTTCCTTCGTGCCTTTGCTCATGCTGTTCCCCTCCACCTCCCCACCCCACCCCACCCCCTTTCCAGGAATGCCCTCCCTCCTTTATACCGCTCCCAATTCCACCCAGGCTCTAAAGCATAGCTCAAGTCGCGGCTTGTCAGGGTCCCTGCAGCCAAGGCCACTGCCTGCCTCTGAAAGAAACGCATGTAGTACTCACAACATGGAGGCTCAGGCGTCAGCCACGAGCTCCTTCCTTTGGAGCCCGTTGAACACCCGCCCTCCCCCCGCAGACTCCGCACCATTCCCCCCCTTCCCATTCATACCTAAATGATAGCTTTGCCACAAATAAGTCAGTCTCCTTTAAGAGCAGAAGAATTGGCTTTTCTAGGTGGGGCTGATCAGGGAGGCTGCGTGGATGTAGAATACAACAGCCAAGGCCTCTGGCACCAAATGGAACAGCTGTTCAGCTCACACTGACCTTTCTTTGGGCCCGTGGGTGTTATGAGCCCTTCAGCTTTAACTTTTCTGATAGAGTGTCTATCAGGTTTCTACCTGTTAGATCCTCTGGCCACTTTCCTGCTGTGTGTGGACTTTGGGCTGTGGGGCTCTGCCACCTTTTAGACTCCTAGTGGATGGTGAATCTGATTGGCTTGGGTTGCCTGGCCTTTGAGTTCTCAGTTCCCTGCCTTGGCCTGAAACCCTCTTGCTTTTGTCCACTGTGCCCTCTCTCCTGGCCCACAGACTTAAGGCCCAGACTCACACTGAATGCTTGCACGTGGTGAGGGTTGAGGGTGGGGGTGCAGGGAGGAAGAACACCTGTGTGCAAAATAAGCCGCCCCCCCGCCCCCGGGGCCTCTTGGATTACGCTGTGCTCCAACTACCCATTGCACGAGTTGCATCACACAAATGAGCCCCCTTTTCCATACTCTAAGGTCTCTATTAGCTTAGCCACTTTAGGAAACTATAGGTGGTTTACGACATTCATTTTGCATACATATCTTCATGTGGGTGTGTAAAGACAGTATTTTTGTGGACCTAATTGATAGACATGGTGTGCACTAGACAGAAGCTTTGAAGGATAAAAATAGCTAATGTTTGTTGAACACTTTGTGTGCCAGACTAGCACTTTCCATACATTATCATAGTTATTCCTCCCCAAGAGTGTATAATGTAGGTATTATTAGTCTCCCTCTGTTACAGATGAAATGGAAGCTTAGGTTAATTAACATTCTTAAAATTACCCAATTAGTAAATGCAGGAGCCAAAATTTGAGTCCTGGAAGTTTAATTCCAGAGCCTGCAAGCTATGCTGAAACTGGAATTACGCTGAAAAATCTTGAATGTAGGTATATATATACGTGTGTGTGTGTATGCCCTATATCACGTTGAGGAAAGTTGCCAAGTTCCCCAAGGTTCTAATTTTTTGCCTTGCCAAGAGAGAATGATGGCTCCAAGTTGCAACACCCTGGGAGGGGGAGATCCTTAGGAAGTGGGAGAGTCATCGAGGGGGTAACGTATCTAAGGTCTGCCAAAGGCCTTAAGAAAAGGAAGCCGAGAACCAAGACGTTTTATAAAAAGTTCGCTACCGGGTGTCACACAGGCTGGCTTCCCAAGTGCAACTTCTGAGAGTTTTTAATGGGTTCCATAAAAGAGCCAGGTCACCCCAGCAGCCACTAGAGGGCTCACGAAGCTGCAGCCGCGGGCTGCCCTCTAGCGGCGGTGCTGACCGGAGTGTGGTGGTAAACCTTTTCCGGCCTTCCAGGACCTACAGGGAGTTGAAGGAGACCAGCAATGGGAGGGGTGGCAGAGAGTATCAGACTGAGGAGACCTTATTGCCAGAGTGAGATACCCTTTCAGGGAGGAAAGGGGCAGCCCTCACTACTCACTTAACATCTGGGAGTACAGTGGGTGTTTTGTTCCAGTCTTCAGAGAAGACTGTGAATAAAATCATGACATTAAGAAATCTGATGAAGTTACCCAAAATTTTGAGTGTGGACTCAAGCCAAACCCAGGGACCCTGAATAAAGGCAGGAGTGTAGCCATGTGCTTCTCATATTATGTGGGTTCCTTTGATTGTGCAACCCTGTACTGAGGACCCTCAAGGACCCAGAATCAATGTGGCTCATTTTCTCTGAGCATCATTTTGACTCTCTGGTAAATAAGGTAAGACATTGTAGTAAGCATGACTTTTTAAGATAACACACAAGTATTACCCAACCCTGAGGAGCCTAAGTTTATTCTCTACTGGGAAAGTGTACACCAGAGGAAAATTTTGAGGAACACTGATGTAGTGGGTTAGAAAAACCTGGCCTTGGAGTCAGAAGACCTGGGAATTCAAACCCTCTGTTTCGATCTCTATAAAAATGAAAATAATGATGTACATCAGAGGGTTGCTATAAGGAAAACATGAAAAGTTATAGGTAAACCAGGGAAGTGTTGTCCACATTTAGAGAGTATCTACAAGATGGATTGTCAGCACCTCAAAGGAAATGACTATTTTATTTATCCTAGTAGTCCCAGGACATAATTCCTGACTCCTGACTATTTAATAAATATTTGTGGAATTTAGTAGTTAACTAACCCTCATTTTCCTAGCCCAATCCATTATATTGTCTTGCTCTCTTGTGTCTGTAAACCTTGTCTCCTTTATGAAACTGTAAACATTTTATACTGTCCAGACTGTAGTATATACATTTATCATGCCTGATATATAGCAGTATTGGGCACGGAAAATATGAATAAATAAGACCTGGCCCCAACTTGAAGTAGTTTACATTTTTGTGAAGTAGAGCAACATATTAACATATATAAGATGATGAGTTATAAACATATCCACTAGTGTTGTGGAGTCATAATGGAGGGAGGGATTGGTCTTGCTCAGGGTAGAAGAACTGGAGAAGGCATCATGGCTGGCATTTTAATTGGGTCTTGTTGGATGAATAGGAGTTGAGTAGGCAGAGCAACAGAGGGAAGATGATTTCAGATAAAGGGAGTAACATGAGCACTGGTGTGAAGCCATGAAAGGGTACTGTTTGCTGAAGGAATAATGCATAGCACGGTGTTGACTCTGTGATCAGATCCTAAAGTAGTATAGGCGAGGGAAAAGAAGGAGAGAGAGACAAAAACCCACTTTACAAAATGTTACTTTGCATTATAGTTAGGATCGTTCTATCAAAGGAAGGCCTGAAAGTCGGTTTCATTATTGGTACATACTGATTAAGTGCTGAAAGTATACATTTCACTTCCACAAAGTATGGTGGTTTACCAGATATGGAAAAGGTAAAGTTCTACCCTGTTCTCCTTCTTTCCCAACTTGAATATAAAAATAAAATACTCCTCTCATCCTCTTTTCCCCTGATCATTACTTCCTCTGTCTTTTTCCATTGCAAGCTTTCTCCTCTAGAAGCTGAAAGTAGAGTTTAATGACCTACATGTTATTTAAGAGAACAAGGAAAGAAGGCTTTTCACCTCTCCCAATTCTTCCTTGATAGCAGAAAGTGATGGATAATTTCTTTCAGCTAAGCTGTTGTCTTTCAAAGTGCAAGTAGTCCTAGGAGGGCTTATATATATATAAGTTTCAATGCTGTAATGTGATTGAGCTTTCTTTCAGTCTTTAATAGCATTAGAGAGAAGAGGATGTGGGAGGGAGTGAAGAGGAGAAAAATAAAAGCAGCAGCAAGATTACAGAAGAGGGAAGTTGGGGGGTTCAGAACTAAGTTAATATTGGCAAATTTTGATACATGTTCTCAATACCAAGAGTGCTAATGTAAGTATGCTGTGAAAATGTGAATTCTTCTGTTAGAGCACAAATATGTCATTATGTCATTAAAACAATGTATAGCCCAGTGTTAAGGCTAAGTAGCCTAACTATTCAAATACTGTCAAGGCAGCAGACTGTTAACACTGTCACTACCTGGCTATGTGACCCTATCTGTACAAGTCATTCTTTCAAGTACCTTTGCTTATCTCTAAGGATTAGTGGGATAAAGTTCACATAATATACTCAGCTCTTCAAGTGAGTAGTATGATGAAACAAATGCTAGATCCCGCTTTGATTTCACTTAGAAATTTTCCACTGTTGGTACCATATACATGTTTATGTTGTAACTTTCAATTCTTTTACATTAAAGAAGGTTCAAGTTAATATCATCTACATACATTTTAAAGGAAGTGTTTACTTTAACTTGGGCCAAAAAGTCCCAAGTAGAAATTTGATATCTTAGAAATTCAGGAAAGGAGTGGCTGTGAACAGAAGCAGATAAAGAAAAACACTAAATTGTGACACTAAAAGTGTTTTAGTTATTTACTTAACACTAAAAGTGACAATGAAAAGACACCAGAGCCAATCCCACAGTGAGGAAGTCAGTGCCAGTGCAGTCTGAACAGGTGGGGCCTAACCAATAATTCACAAGGTCGATCATTCCTCCATTCCTTTCAAGGCACATTCGAGAACCTGCTATGTACAAGTTACTATATTGGGACCTTAGAAAGATTAAAAAATAAGTAGTAAAATATTGTTCTCATTTTCAAGAAGCTCATAATCTAATTGGAACACTACACATGTCAGCCCATACATATTTTTAAAAGTGAAATAAAAACACAAAAAACAAACAAAAGGTGTGTGACAGGATAATTTATTGAGCTATTTATTTGGGTTTTATGCTCCTTATATTTTCCCTCCCTTCCATTCCAAGCAGGCTTCAAGGGAACTTTGTGTTACTAGGCAGAAAGTTGTCTGACAAGAGCTCTCTCTTAGGCAACTCCAGGGGGCACCATTCACATTTTAAATGAAGCCTCCTGGAACAGGACTCCTTAGAATGCAGTGTCAATGTTATTTCTGGAATTGGACCCAGCAATCTGTCTTTCAAGTTTGTTGCTCCTTGAGGAGATGTTGCTAGGGGGTTAAAAAGGTAAGCACATCTGGGGAGAGAGAGAGAGGGAGGGAGGGAGGGAAGAAAGGAGGGAGGGAGGGAAGGAAGGAAGGGGCGCTGAGACAGGTGGATCACAAGGTCAGGAATTCAAGACCAGCCTGGCGAAGATGGTGAAACCCCGTTTCTACTAAAAATACAAAAATTAGCCGGGCATGATGGCAGGTGCCTGTAATCCCAGCTACTTGGGAGGCTGAGGCTAAGGCAGAGAATTGCTTGAATCAGGGAGGTGGAGGTTGCAGTGAGTCGAGATTGTGCCACTGCACTCCAGCCTGGGCGACACAGTGAGGATCTGTCTCAAAAAAAAAAAAAAAAAAAAAAAAAAGAGGAAAGAAGAAGCATCTATGGGCAGGTGGAATTACAGAAAAAAAAATTCCCATGAGCTGTAGAAAATCAAAGATTGGGGTTCCAGTAGTAAGAATAAGAGTACCCCAGGGAGATACTCTAACCTCATATGGATGCACAATGCCATTAGGGAGGCTGGATTCCCTTGCCTCTCTTGGCCCATAAGTGGAGGAATTGCCAGTGAGGATGTCAAAGTCCATCTTCCATTTTCTAGGCTCAACATAAGTCTTTCAAACCCTACTGCAGTACTAGGAAGAGAGGAAAGCCCAGTAAGAACTGAGATTGGATTTCCTTCTACTCCAGCAGAATTAAGGCTGAGATCACTTAAGTCTGTGGTAAATTTAATTTGATTTAAAGAATAGTGACATGTCTTGCACACCCAAATTTGTACTTGCAAATTTATACTTCCTAGTGGTGGATGCTATATAAAAAAGACACTGGTAGGTGAGATATATAAGATTAAAAACCAGTGAATGGCGTAGCTAATAACTGCTAAGGAAGTTTAGAGAAAGAGCAAAAGGAGCTAAAGTTAAAAGTGGCGTGGAGGACTTGGGATGGAGCTAGAGTGTGAGTAAAATGAAGGATTTATAAAGGTGGGAGAAAGAATGGAGACAAGTCCGAAGGGAAAGGCAGTGTGAGTAGAAGCAGGAAAACGAGCATGCAAATGACAAGACACACAGAAGACTGGTCTAATTGGAGTGAACAGCTGATGATAAAGGTTATATGGGGTACCAAATTCCGAGTGTATTCAAGCTAGTCTGAGGAGTTTGTGCTTCCATACTGTGTACAAAGCGAGGTTCTACGAGAGAACAAGTAGTAGGAGATATATATTTTATATTTGTATGTTTACATATTTTAAAGGAATTGGCTTATGTGATTGTGAGGCTGGCAAGTCTGAAATCTGTAGGGAAGGCCAAAATGCCTTGCATAGTGGATGCTGCAACCCACAGGTGAAATTTCTTCTTCCTTAGGGAAAAAAAAAAACAAAATAATTCAGTTTTGCTCTTAAGACCTTTCACCTGATTGGATGAGACCCACCAAAATTATTTAGGATAATCTACTTAAGTCAACTGATTGTAGCTAATTAACCACATCTGCAAAATACGTACCTTTACAGCAACATCCAGCTTAGAGTATGATTTGAATAGCTGGGTATGTGTCAACTTGGCTAGGCCAAGGAACCATGACACTTACCACACTCTGTAAGTCACTCCTCATGTATTTGAGAAGATGTCTTTGGATTTTCTTTATGTGGATCTCAGGAAAGGTAATTTCTTATGAAGTGGGCCAACCTGTCTCCTTTCCAAGAATAGATCTACTTTCTCTGCTCTTCCCTGTACATAAATGTTTATTCCCAAGGATGAATTTCTATTTTTCTTCATCCCTTTTTCCCTTACCATCTCCTGAAGTTATGCCAGTGTTATATTGTGGCTGATGTTAGTATGTTTTTGTTTTCTCCGTTTAAAATGCCTCTAATTATGCCTGTAGTGTCATTCTCCTAATTCAGCAAAGCCTCAGGTTGTCGGCCATATCCACAGTCACCCTCCAAGCCTGGCTCTGTTGATGTAAGCTTCCATCCTTGTCTCTTGTAACCCTGGCCCCCTAGTTGGAACAGGGCTCAACATTTGACACCATGACAATCAATCTTCCGGCTAGACAGTGGCTTATGAGCTGACTCAATAAAACCTTTGCCCAAGGAAGATGTTAGTAATTAGCTAACGGATTGATTCCTTTTTTGGAGAGTATGAATATGATAAGGAGAGAAGGTTAGGCAGTTGGGAGTAAAAACAGTAGCTGAAAGATACACAAGAGAAAGCTAACCTCAGAAACCATTAGACAACAACCAGAAGAGGCAATGATTAAGCAGAAACTGTGTGAAGAGGAGCTCAGAGGGCTTAAAGAAGATAAGATAATGGCTTAGTGTTGATAGGAGCAGTAGGCCCAGGGAATGATAGAAGCTGAGTAAATTTCCTCATGGAGCACCAGAGAAAGCAGGTGCAAATGAAGAGGAATGGATTATTGGCCAGGCCTTGGGGAAATTCAGGATAACCACCCAGAAATCCAGGAACAGACATACAAGCGACGGCATAGAAACTTAAGGGGAGCTGGGGAGTGAAAAGTTTGTTTAGGCTCCAGTGCAGCTCTAGCAACTGAATTATCTTCTCAGACACTCAGGAGAAGACTTTCATTACTTCCTTAGTTTAGTGTGATTTTCTCCTCCCCCAGAGAGTCTTACACATAAAGTTATGGTGTGAAGGGCTCACTCTTTTGTCAAGAATTGCATCCTCTCAGCAGTTTTCCCTTATCCATTCCCTACCCACTCCCAGCCAGTTTGTGTTAGCTGTCTCTTTTCTGTGGCTCTGTGGTACCTTGTACAGCCTTATGTCATACTATCTCATTGTAGGCTAATTGTAGGTTTGTTTGCCTATTTCTTGCATCTACACTCCCTCTACCTGACTTCCAGTACTACAAACTATATTTGGTCAGGAAGTATGTTTTTAATCTTCTCTATATCTCCAACATATACTATAGTCACTCCCACAAAGTAGCCAAACAATGAATGTTTGTTGAATTGAGCTATTAGAAAAACCTTTTTTTTTTTTTTTTGTCCAGGCCACAAAATAAAAGCAGAATGTCAGAAAAAGCAGAATGGGCTAATAAGAAAGCTCAATATCTTATTCATAATAATGGTGTAGGAGCTGAGAACATAGTTAATTTGTACTTAAAATTCATGTCTCCATGACTTTACAAAAATTTTTCAAGCAGCCAACTGTGTCTGTTCAGCCTGACATCTGGTGCTACAATTCTCCAGATTTAAAGGTACTCTGGCCAGCTTTGTTCCTTTTAAGGAAAAGAGTCTGCTGCGTGCTTCCTGTAACCTCTAGTTTCTTATCTGAATTCAGATCCACACTCTTGGGCAGATGAGGCTTGAGGCTGACCCTCATGGAGATCCCCCGGGCTTCCAAATTTAGAGTCTAGGATCCAAATCTCAGCTCTACCACTTGCCATTTTTGTGATCTCAGGCAAGTTCTTTGCTTCTCTGAGCCTCAGTTTTCCAATTGGTAAAAGTGGGGATAATAACTCCTTCACTCAGTTGTACTGATAATTTAATGAAAAATATTTCTGAAAATACTCCACACAATGCTTTACACATAGTAAAAGCCAAATAAATTATGAATTTCCCTTCCTTTTTTTCTGGAAGGTAGAGAGGAGAAGGGAAGGAATAGATTGATGGCAGGGGATAAGGGCCCTAAAAATGACAGGAGTCCTGAAAACCAAAAGTGGTGGCAGCCTAGTTTTTACATGCCACTACTTTATAGTCTGATAAAGCACAGGTCATGATCACTAAAAGCCACACGGCACCTAAGATAGCTGCTGCAAGAAATTCCTTGATCAGAGCACAGAAGGACATTCAAACTCTGCGTGTTTGAAATGCACAAAGCAGATAGGGAAAGAGGCACCATTGGATGGCAAGAAGAAAAAATTTTGCCTACACCAAGCAAAAAAACCCCAAAAATCATAAAACAAGGAGAGGTTCAACACATGCTATGTCAGAGAGTCCTGGGAGTGTACAGAGGTGTCTGACTTTAACCCCCTCCAAATATCAACCCCAGAACTGAAAAAGGAGAAAGAACGGAAGGTCTTCATAATCAGTTGGAAAATCTTACACAATATTTATAGGAACTTTAAACACGTATCCCTTCTGAGGTCCCTAAAGAAAGCCAAATGACACTAGCTATTCAGGGACTCAAAACCCCAAATAATATTAGAGATGAGGGTCTGTGCTTTCTAGCTACTCTCAGAAGGGTTCTCTTAGTGAGTATTAAAGCTGTTAAAGTTAGCTCTTGATGTACTCTGAACAGGCTACTCAGCAGTCAGGAATTGAGGTATGGCAGGGAGGGAGTAGAATTCCATAACAGGATGAGCTTGTTAGCCAAATCTGACTGAAAATGTCACTTATCGCTGCCCAATGTATAAGGTGGAAAAAGTGGCTAAAAATTACAGCTCTTCACAATCAGTGTCTCCCACTCCCATGAAAGAACATTAAAAAAAAATGGAATAGACTACCCAATGTGTTGTTAAAGGCAAGTGACTTGAGACTTGCCCCTCAGAGAATTGTTGGAATAGGGCTTCACTTTTCTCTCTGTGTCAAAGAAACTTTGAGTATCTTTTTAAATGTTTTGAAATAAAAATGGCAAGAACATAGGTTATCACCCACAAATTACATTTAATGGTGTTTTGAAAGAGTTAATTCAAAAATCCTGTGTATGAAGAGTAAATCAAGATGCCAGCCTGCAGGAAAGTTACCTCTACCAAATCTTATGAAATGACAGAAAAGATTAAAGGGGGTGAGGTTAATTGGTAACAGGACAGGGGACAAGAAAAATGCCGTAAGTGTATGAGAAATTTTCAGGAGATGGGATCAGACTTTAGAAAAACATACTAGAGCAACTGTGCCGTACATTTGGCTCTAGATTGCTGAGGAGGTAGGATAAATTTCAGGGATGCTACAAGCTCAGAGAGAACAGGTTCTATGAATAGGACATCCTAGGGTAATGGCCAGAGTGATTAACTGAAACACTGCATTTGGAGCAGCTGGACTGCTACTCACATTCCCTTCTTTTGCTTGTAATTGTCCACAGATTAAGTAGTGAGCCTGTGGATTCTGAGAGCCAACAGACAGAAGAGTAGCAGTGGACCCCAGGAGGCACAGGGAGGCTCCTCACTCTGAAAAGAAACACTCTCCCCAGCAATATGCCCTTCCCTTCACCTATAATCACAAGTTGACCCACATCAAGCAGAAGGAGAGAGCTAACAGGGATTCTTATTTATAAAGTAAAAGAATAATCCAATACAAGAATAATACAAGTTTGCAGAGACACCAAACTCAGAAAAAATAATACCTAACGAAAGAGAGTTTATAAATTTAAAAAAGATGAATACAAATTCTTTTTATAAATTTTATAATTTTAAGAAAATATAATTATTGTATATAAAATATATACTTATAAATATCACAAATATAACAATTATCCTCAAAGAGGTTCAAGATATTACATCCATGAAAATGAAACAATGATCCCAGAAATTTAAAAACATGATTTTTGAAATAAACTCAGGACATATGTATCACCAATAGAATCTCTTTGAAAGGATGACTATAGGATAAATTTTAACAAAATAAATGATGAATCCAAGAAAGATGAAGGTGAAGCATTCAAGAATCAGTGGAGAGAAAAGAGATGATTTGTCTAAATATGACATATATTTAAAATTAATAGCATAAAATTAAAATCTAGATTAGACGTTGGCAAATGTTTTCTGTAAAAGACCAGATAGTAAATATTTTCAGTTTTGTGTTCCATATAGACTCTGTTGCAACCACTCAGCTCTGCTGTTGTAGTGTGAAAACAGTCATAGATAATATGTAAATGAATGTGCGATAAGACTTTACAAAAGCAGGGGGCAGGTGAACCCCTGTTCTAGATGATTGCAACATAAAGATGGCAGGGACAAAGCATGATGGAGAGATAGGAGGTAAGTTCTAAAAGCTGTATGTTTTATAACTTTTATATAGCTGTGTGTATATGATAAACACATACACACACATATGGAACACCAGATGGCAGAAAAAAAGTCAAGCCATCAGTGATTCCAGTACATGACACATGGACAGAATTTCTTTAATAAAAAAATCTCAAATTTAGAAAAAGACACCTAAAAAGAAGGTTGGAAATAAAAACGTAGAAAGATACATCAGGCAAGTTCTAATAAGGATAACAAATATAGTAACAATGTTAGACAAAAAAGAATAATGCGAAAAGGGTTTGACAAGATAAAAAATGTTCATATTAGTGAAAAATAGAATTCTGTAAGAAGCTCTACTAATACTGAACCTTTATAAATCTAAGAATATAACATCAAATGTCATCTTTATAACCTATAAAGTGAAAATGATAGAAATATAAGTAGGAATGAAAAATACAGAGCCATTTTAGAAGACTTTAACACACATCTCAAATTGATAGATCAAGTAGGAAAAAAGTAAGGATAGAGAGGATTAGAATAACAAAGAAGCTTGATCGAATAAAGGACTTTGTATGAATAAACAGTGAATGCATAGTCTCCTCAAACACACATGAAACATTAACTAGCTGCTAAAACACAAAGAAAATGTTAAATTTCAAGATAAATCATTCAGGTTACATTTTTTATACTGAAATAAAAGTTGTAATTAATAAGCAAATTGTTTATAAACTTGGAAATAAAAACCACTCCTTTAATACAAAAAAATTTAAAATGAAATTATAAATTATTTACAAATGATAATATGTTAAAATTATTGAACATTGTTATACAACCAGCATTATGCTAAGTGATCTACATGGATTATCTTTTTATTTTCACAGTAATCTTGGGAAGTTGATTCCATTATCATCTCATGTCACAGATGAGGAACTGAAGCACAAAGCTGTACTAAATAACCCGGCCAAGGGCACACAATCCATAAATGACAGTGTTGGGATATGAACCTAGATAGCATGATTCAGAGCTAGTGTATTTAACTGCAACAATAAGAATGACAGTGAAAACAATACAAATCAAAATCTACATATACTCAGAGAAAATGCAGCCAGGTATGCGTGTTTTAAAAATAAGAAAAGATTGGCTAGAAATAAATCATGTATAAAGCTTAAAAAGCTAGTGAAAAAAATACATAAAGTAGAAGCAAGGGTATTACTAAAGGAAAAAAACATGAATAAAATGTTGGGGGTTGGGGTGGGATAAATTTGTATAAAACTAAGAGATGATTTTTTGAAAAGAACCAAAAATGTCAAAAGTCTGGAATGTCTCACCAAGGTTAAAAAAAGAGAGAGTTATCAGCATTAGAAATTAGAAGGGGATATAATTATAGGTATGAAATAGATTTTGAAAAGTTTGAGGTGAATACTGAATTTAAGCTAATTTTTACTTATTTATTTATTTGTTTCTTAAAAGTTTTAAGTTTAGGGGTACATGCGCAAGATATACACGTTTGTTACATAGGTAAATGTGTGTCATGGGGGTTTGTTGTACAGATTATTTCATCACCAAGGTATGAAGCCTAGTAGTTCATTACTTATTTTTTTTTGATCCTCTCCCTCCTCCCACCCTCTGCTCTCCCATAGGCCCCAGTGTGTTCTATTCCCCTCTATGTGTCCATGTGTTCTCATCATTTAGCTCCCACTTATAAGTGAGAACATGCAGTATTTGGTTTTCTGTTCCTGCGTTAGTTTGCTAAGGATAATGGCCTCCAGCTCCATCCATGTCCCAGCAAAGGACATGATCTCATTCTTTTTGTTGGTTACACAGTATTCCATGGTGTATATGTACTACATTTTCTTTACCCAGTCTATCATTGATGGGCATCTAGTTGATTCCAGGTGTTTGCTATTGTGAACAGTGCTCCAATGAACATACATGTGCATATGCTTTTATAATACAACAATTTGTTAATATATTCCTTTGGGTATATACCCAGGAATGAAATTGTTGGGCTGAATGTTATTTCTGTCTCTAAGTCTTTGAGGAATCACCACACTGTCTTCCACAATGGTTGAACTCATTTATACTCCCACCAACAGTGTAAAAGTGTTCTTTTTTCTCCACAACCTCACCAGCATCTGTTATTTTTTGACATTTTAATAACAACTGTTCTGACTAGTGTGAGATGGTATCTCATTGTGGTTTTGATTTGCATCTCTTATGATCAGTGATGTTGAGCTTTTTTTATATGTTTGTTGGCTGCATGTATGTCTTCTTTTGAGAAGTGTCTGTTTGTTTATGTCCTTTGCCCACTTTTTAATCGGGTTGTTTTTTCTTGTAAGTTTGTTTAAGTTCCTTGTAGATGTTGGATATTAGATCTTTGTTAGATGCATAGAATGCAAAATTTTCTCCCATTCTGCCGGTTTTCTGTTTACTCTGTCGATAGTTTCTTTTGCTGTGCAGAGGCTCTTTAGTTTAATTAGATCCCATTTGTCAATTTTTGCTTTTGTTGCAATTGCTTTTGGCATCTTGATCATGAAATCTTTGCCTATGCCTATGTCCTGATTGGTATTGCCTAGGTTTTCTTCTAGGGTTTTTATAGTTTTAGGTTTTACATTGAAGTCTTTAATCCATCTTGAGTTGATTTTTGTATATGGTATAAGGAAGTGTCCACTTTCAGTTTTCTTCATATGGCTAGCCTGTTCTCCCAGCACCACATATTAAATAGGGAATGCTTTCCCCATTGCTTGTTTTTGTCAGGTTTGTCAAAGATCAGATGGTTGTAAGTGTGTGATCTTATTTCTGGGTGTTCTACTCTGTTCCACTGGTCTATGTGTCTGTTCTTGTACTGGTACCATGCTGTTTTAGTTACTGTAGCCCTGTAGTATAGTTTGAAGTTGGGTAGCATGATGCCCCTAGCTTTGTTCTTTTTGCCTAGTATTGCCTTAGCTCTTCAGGCTCTATTTTGGTTCCATATGAATTTTAAAATTGTGTTTTCTAGTTCTGTGAAGAAGTCGATGGTAGTTTAATGGGAGTAGCGTAGAATCTATAAATTGCTTTGGTCAGTATGGCCATTTTCACAATATTGATTCTTCCAATCCATGAGCATGGAATGTTTTTCCATTTGTTTGTGTCATCTCTGATTTCTTTGAGCAGTGATTTGTAGTTATCCTGAAGAGGTCCTTCACTTTCCTTGTTAGCTGTATTCCTAGGTTTTTTATTCTTTTGTAGCAATTGTGAATGGAAGTTCACTCATGATTTGGCTCTTGGCTTGCCTGTTTTTGGTGTTTAGGAATGCTAGCGATTTTTGCACATTGATTTTTGTGTCACTCTTTTTCCTTTCCTCCATTTTGTTGGGGATGTACTAATATCTGAGTATGGTTTATTCTTATTTAGATTTCTCTGATTACTAATTATATGGAACATCTTTTCATGTGCTTATATTCATATTGATAGTCTCTTTTGTAAAATGCTTGCTCAAGTTTTTGCTCATTTTGTTTATTGATTTGCCTTTTTCTTATTGATTTGTAGACATTCTTTAGATATTGTAGATATGTTATTTGTTGGATATATATGAATATATATGTGTATATATATACATATATAAACACCTATATGTATATATAAAACATATATAATACATATATATATGCATATATAGCAAATATCTTCTACTAAACTATGTCTTGCTGTTTCATCCTCTTAATGATGCCTTTCAATAAACATAACCTCAGAACTTGAATTAATCCATCTTTTATGTTTTATGTTTTTGGGGAATCTTATTTAAGAAATCACTGCCTACCCAATGTCATGAAATATTCCGTTATCTTCTAGAGCAGGGGTCAGAAATTTATGGCCCATGTGACCTGCCATTTGTTTTTGTAAATAAATTTTTGTTGGAAGACAGCCATTCTCATTCATTCATTTATGTATTGTCTATGGCTGCCTTTGGACTACAACAGCAGAGTTAAGTAGTTGCAACAAAGACTGTATGACCTACAAAGCTGAAAATATTTACTATCTGTCCCTTTACAGAAAAAATTTATTGATTTCTCTTCTTGGATATTACTGTTTTTCTTTCACATGAAGGTTTATAATTTAATCAGCATTAATTTTTGTAGATAGTGTAAATTAAGGTTAAAGTCTGTTTCATGTGAATTATTTAATTGCTCCAGCATCATTTATTGAAAAAAAATCTTATTATTACAAAATTGCAGTGGCATCATTGTTGTACATCAAGTATATATATGAGCCTATTTCTAGATGCTCCCTTTTGGTATACGTATCTATTATTATACTAATACCACACTGCATTAAATATTGTAGCTTTATGGTAAGTTATGCTATCTGATATGGTAAATCTTCCAACAATTTATTCTTCTTCATTTCTTGGCTGCTATAGGTCATTTGCATTTCCATATAACTTTTTGAAATCTCTAATACATTTCCACAAAAATTCTGTTAGGATCTTGACTGGGATTGCATTGAATCAATAAAATAACTTTTGAAGAATAGCTTTTAAATTATAAAATTAATTTATGATATGAAGTCTCCAAATCCATGAACATGGTATATCTATTCATCTAGTTAGATCTTATGTAATTTTTCTTTGAAATGTTTTGCCGTTTTCACTTTAGTGATCTTACATGTCTTTTATAAAATTTATTCCCAGATATTTGAGGTTTTCCAATGATATTGTTAATAGTATTGTTTAAAATTTTTTATTTACCAATTGTTTTTGCAAACACATACAAATACAATAGATTTTTATGTATTGATTTTGTATTCAGTGACTTATCTAAATTCATTAATTCTAATTGTGTATATATTATTTTGGGTTTTTCTATATTTACAATCATGTCATCTGAAATGACACTTTTACTTCCTTCTTTCCAACCTCACAGCTCTTCTTTCATGCCTTGTGGCACTGACTAGGACCTGCAGTGCAATGATTAATGCAAGTAATGAAAATAAATATATTTGAGTGGTTTCTGAATTCAGGAAGAAAGCATTCCATATTTCACCACTAAATATGTTAGCAGCAGGCCTTTTGTACATAAACTTTATCATATTAAAAAGTTCGCTTATATTTCAAATTTGCTGAGAAGTTTTATTATGAACTAGTGGTTAATTGGAGGCCTTTTTGCATCTATTGAGGTGATCAGTGATTTTTACTTTCATTATTATTTTATTATTTACATAAAAAAAGCAAATATAATTTAGTGAAGTAAGTTATATTGATTAACTTTTTAAACCAATTTTTTATTCCTAGAATAAACCAAATTGGTTATGATATGTTATCCTTTTTACATATTCTTTGGATTTGATTATTTAATACTTTGTTCTAATTTTTGTCCCTATGTTCGTAAGAATTATTAGCTTGTAACTTTCTTGTATTATAATATCTTTGTCATATTTTTGTGTTAGGGTTGTTCTAGCCTCAAAAAAATGAATTAGGAGGAAGCGTTTTTTCTTTCTTTCCTGAAAGAGGTTATGTAGGATTGATATATTTTTCTTAAATGTTTTGGAGAATTCACCACTAAATATATCGAAGCTCAAATTTTCTTTGAGGGTAAGTTTTAAATTGTAGATAGAATATATTTAACAATGATTTTTATTTCTTTTAATTTTTCTTTTATCAGTTTAGATGACGTGATTTTATATAAATTATTCATTTTATATAGATTGTCAAATGTATTTATATAAAATTATTCAAAATATTTCTGATTTATCTTTTTAGTTTTGTAGGATCTGTAGGGATATTGCCCTTTGATTCTGATATTAGTAATTTATACTTTTGCTCTTGATTGGTCTTGCTAAGAGTTTATCAAATCTATTGATATTCTTTTTTTAAAAAAAGCTTTGGCTTTGTTGATTTTTCTCAATTTTATGTCAGCTATTTCATCAATTATTGTTTTCATTTTTATTAATTTCCCTCTATTTTCTGTTCTTTTTCTAACTTCTTGAGATGGTAACTTAGAAATTAATTTTTGATTTTTTTTCTTTTCTGATATAGGCATGTAAAGTCAACTTTCTTCTAATCATTGTGAATTAAAAAAATCCAATCAGAGAGAACCCACACAGTAATTTTAACCAAAAAATAATAATATAATAATTATTAGGCCAGGCGCAGTGGCTCATGCCTGTAATCCTAGCACTTTGAGAGGTCAAGGCAGGTGGATCACTTGAGGTCAGGAGTTCGAGACCAGCCTGACCAACATGGCGAAACCTCATCTCTACTAAAAATACAAAAATTAGCCAGGCGCAGTAGCATGTGCCTGTAGTCCCGCTATTCGGGAAGCTGAGGCATGGGAATCACTTGAACCTGGGAAGGGGAGGTTGCAGTGAGCTAAGCTAACGCCATTGCACTCCAGCCTGGGCAATAGAGCGAGAGACTGTCTCAAAAAAAAAAAATTATTAACTGTACCAGGTCATTGAAGTAATGAGAGACTGGCTAGCAAGAAGAGGATCCCAAAGGATATAGGAATAGTAGATGTAGGTTACAGCCTCTTCCCTTGGAGCTGAGATAGCCGACCCAAGGAATATGCCACCCAGGCCTAAGATCAACACCCTGTTGTAGAGGGCACTGCTGTGGCTCACTGGATGCCAGAGAAGTTGCCATGGTGCTGTACTGACGAAATGTACTGGAATTCCACCTTCTGGGGTGCCAGTGAAAGGCATTCATGGGGAGATGTCTCAGTGGAGTCATTCTGCTACACAACTGCCTGCTGGTTGCTGGGTGTGGCTGGCCACTGTGAACTACAGAAACTTGGTACTAGGGAAAACTATGCATCCTGGAGAAGCAAGCACACGAGAACCAGGAAGCAAAAAATGTTTTCCTCCTGCAGTATATTTCTAGTGCCCTGTAATGACAAAGTTCCAGCTGGCAAGAACAAATATTTAAAGGGCCAAAACGCATTTTCACACAACAGGCAAATGAGGAATTGGAGCAGAGAGGCAATAATTCAGTAACCAGCACACACTGCTTTAGCTACACCACATAAATTTTGATGAGTCGCATTTTCATTTTCATTATCTTGAGTACTGGTTTATTTAGAAAAGCTTTGTTTTATTTCCAGACATTTTCAGATCTTCTAGTCATGTTTCTATTAGTTGGTTTTCAGGCTAATTCCACCATGGTCTGAGAACATATCCTATGTGATTTCAATACTTTTGAAGCTTGTTCAGGCTTGTTTTATGCATAGCATATAGCCTATTTTGACAAACATTTTATATGTGCTTGAAAAGAACTGTATTTTACAGTGGTTAGGTGTAGTGTCATATCGATATATCAAGTAGGTCAAATTGGTTAATCATTTTGTTCAAATATTCTATATAATTTCTAATTTTCGTTATCTAATTATCCTCTTGCATCTAACACACCAGAGATAGGTATAACACTGATTAAGATTTTGTCTGTTTTTCCTTTACTTCTACTAATGTTTGCTTATATTACTTGATACTAGGTTACTATGGACATAAAAATTTAGGATTGTTGTGTTTTCCTGTTGAATTGATCCCTCGATCTTTATAAAATGCCATCCTTTATCTCTAGTACACTTCTGGCCTTAAAGTTTACTTTGTCTGATATTAATATAACCACAAACTTTCTTTAGGTTGCTGTTTGCATGATAATATCTTTACCATTCTTTTGCTTTCACTCAGTCTCTGTACTTACATTTAAAGAATAACAACACACGTGGCTGTTTTTTTTGTTTTTGTTTTTTGAGACGGAGTTTTGGTTTGTTGCCCAGGCTGGAGTGCAGTGGTACGATCATGGCTCACTGCAACCTCTGCCTCCCGAGTTCAAGCGATTCTCCTGCCTCAGCCTCCCGAGTAGCTGGGATTACAGTCATTTGCCACCATGCCCGGCTAATTTTGTATTTTTAGTAGAGACAGGGTTTCTCTATGTTGGTCAGGCTGGTCTCGAACTGCAGACCTTAGGTGATCCACCTGCCTTGGCCTCCCAAAGTTCTGGGATTACAGGCGTGAGCCACCGTGCCTGGCCACGGGTTGTTTTTTTAAAATACAGTCTGAAAATCTTTGCCTTTTCACTGGTGTGCTTAGTCCGTTCATACTTCATGTAATTACTTATGTAATTGACTTTACGTTTGCCATTTTGTTTCTGTTTTTAAATTATTTCTCTCATCTGTTCTTTTTCCTTTCCTAATTTTCTTGGGGTTAATTATATTTTTATTTGATGTTTCTTTCTTTATTCGTTGTTCTTTAATTCAGGTTTATTGAGGTACAACTTCCATACAGTAAAGTTCACCATTCTTACTAGATAGTTCTATGAGTTTTGAGAAATGCATAGTTATGTAACTACCACCGCAATCAAGGTATAGAGCAGTTCCATCATTCCCCCAAATTTGTTTGTGCCCTTTTGAAATCAGCCCTTCCCCATATCCTCAGATCCTGACAACTACTGACCTCTTTTCTATCCCTCTAGTTTTACCTTTATAAAATATCATATAAGTGGAACGATATAATATGAAGCATTTTGTGTTTGGCTTCTTTTATGTAGAATTATACATCTCAGTTCATTTATGTTATTGTTTCTGCCATTTGTTTTTTATTAATGAGTACTGTATCACTGCATGGATATACCAATTTGTCTATCCATTCACCAGGTGAAAGACATTTTTGGGGTTATTTCCACTTTTTGGCAACTATGAATAATACATTTGGCTTGTTACCAGTCTTTGGTGACTTTGGAAAAAGTTGCTATAAACATTCCCATATAGGTTTTAATGTGAACCCATTTTCCTTTTTCTTGTGTAAATACCTAGGAGTTGAGTTGCTGTGCCATGTAAGTATACATTTAAATTAAGAAACTGAAAACTCATTTCCAAAATAGTCGCACCGTTTTTGAATTCCCAGCAATAATGAATAAGGATTCCAATTTGTGCCACATCTTCATCAGCCTTTGGTATTGTCAAGTTTTTTGTTTGCCATTCTAATAGGTGTGTGGTGGAATTTCATTGTGGTTTTAATTTGTATTTCCCCAAGCACTACTAATGTAGAACACCTTTTTATGTCCCTATATGTCATCCACATGCCTTATTTTCATACAGTATCTGCTCAAATCTTTCACAAAGTTTTTTCCCTGGGTTGTTTGATTTCTTCATATTGAGTTTTTAGAATGTTCTATGTATTGGAATAGGAGACCTTTAAATGATAAGAGTTTTTCAGATATTTTTCTCTCAGTCTGTTGCTTGTCTTTAATTTTCTTACATGGTCTTTTGAAGAGCTGAAGTTTAAAAGTTTTCAAATATTTTGATGGACAAGTATTTATCAGTTTTTGCTTTTATGGTTCACAGTCCACAAAAATTATTGACTAAGTAATCTCTGAGACATGTGTGACCTAATGTCACAAAGACTTTATCCTACATTATACTGCAGTAGTTTTATAGATTCAATATTTCATTTATATTTGTCATCCATTTTGACTTAATTTTTTGTGTATGTTCTGAGGCATGTGTTGAGATTTTGTTTTCTTTTTCCAACAGATGTCCTTTTCCACACTATGTTTTAGAAAGATAATCAGTCTTTTCTCTATGGAATTGCCTTTGCAATTCTGTTAAAAATCAGCTGGTTATATGTACAAGGGTCTGTATTTGGACTGTTTGGTTCCACTGTTGTTTATGTCTGTCCTTTCACCAATATCACCCTCTGTCTTGGTTACTTGATTATAGTAAATCTTGAAATCTTGTAGTAAGTCCTCCAATTTTGTTCTTCTTTTCAGTTTTTTGTGTACTAGCTCTTTCACTTTTCCTTAAAAATTTTCTGCTTTCTTGAGATAAAAGCTCAGATCATTGATTTGAGAACTTTCTGATTTCCTTTTCTTTCTTTTTTTTTTTTTTTTAACAGGGTCTCACTGTGGAGTGTAGTGGTACCAGCATGGAGTGTAGTGGTACCATAGCTTACTGTAACCTTGAACTCCTGGATGGGAGCAATCCTCCTGCCTCAGCCTCCCCGAGTTGCTGAAACTACAGGAATGTGCTACCAGGCCCAGCTTTTTTTTTATTTTTTATTTTTTGTAGAGACAGGGTCTCCTCCTCTTGCCCAGGCTGGTCTCGAACTCCTGGCCTCAAGCGATTTTTCTGCCTTGGCCTCCTAAAGTGATGGGATTACAGGTATAAGCTACCATGCCTTTCTATAGTTTTTAAATATAAGCATTAATGCTAAAACTTTCACTATGAGGGCAGCTTTATCTGCATCCCAATAATTTTGATATGATGTTTTTTCATGTTGATTCAATTGCAACTATTTTCCAATTTTCTTTGTAAGTTCTTCTGTGACCCATTAATTATTTAGAAGAGATTTTATAAAAATTTCCAAATAGGATTTTTTTCAGAAATCTTTATTTGTACTTTAATTCTGTTATACTTCATATGATTTTTAATTCTTTTAAATGTATTGTTGTTTGTTTTAAGGCCCAGAATATCGTCTATCTTGGTGAAGGTTTCATATTTTTGGAAAAGAATATTCTCTTGTGTGGGTGGCCTATTATATGAATATCAGTTGGGTCAAGGTGGTTGATGGTATTGTTCAGGCTTTTTAATCCTTTACTGATTTTCATTCCTACTGCTTTATTGATTACAGTGAGAAAAGTGTTGATTCAAAAGACCTTTTGATATGATACCACAGTTCTTGGGTGCTCTGAGCCACCAACCATAATTTTGGACTTATCTAATACCTTTTATTCTGTCAGATTTTACTTCCTATATTCTGCAAATCTTTTGTTAGATGTGTGATTATTATGCATTTTTTTGTATATTCTTGGTGAATTGGTTGCTTGTCATTATGTAATTTCTCTCTTTTTTTTTTGAGACAGAGTCTCACTCTGTCTCCCAGGCTGGAGTGCAGTGGTGCAGTCTTGGCTTACTGCAACCTCCACTGCCTGGGTTTAAGCAATTCTCCTGCCTCAGCCTCCCAAGTAGCTGGGACTACAGGTGTGCACCACCATGCCTGGCTAATTTTGTATTTTTAGTAGAGATGGGGTTTCTTTTCTTTTTTTTTTTTTAGTACTTTAAGTTCTAGGGTACATGTGCACTATGTGCAGGTTTCTTACATATGTATACATGTGCCGTGTTGGTTTGCTACACTCACTAACTCGTTGTTTACTTTAGGTATTTTTCCTAATGCTATCCGTCCCCCATCCCCCCCACCCAATGACAGGCCCCGGTGTGTGATATTCCCTGCCCTGTGTCCAAGTGTTCTCATTGTTCAATTCCCACCTATGAGTGAGAACACGCAGTGTTTGGTTTTCTGTCCTTGTGATACTTTGCTCAGAATGATGGTTTCCAGCTTCATCCATGTCGCTACAAAGGACATGAAGTCATCCTTTTTTATGGTTGCATAGTATTCCATGGTGTATGTGTGCCATATTTTCTTAATCCTGCCTATCATTGATGGACATTTGGGTTGGTTCCAAGTCTTTGCTATTGTGAATAGTGCTGCAATAAACATACGTGTGCATATGTCTTTATAGCAGCATGATTTATAATCCTTTGGGTATATACCCAGTAATGGATGGCTGGGTCAGATGGTATTTCTAGTTCTAGATCCTTGAGGAATTGCCACACAGTCGTCCATAATGGTTGAACTAGTTTACAGTCCCACCAACAGTGTAAAAGTGTCCCTATTTCTCCACATCCTCTCCAGCACCTGTTGTTTCCTGACTTTTTAATGATTGCCATTCTAACTGGTGTGAGATGGTATCTCATTGTGGTTTTGATTTGCATTTCTCTGATGGCCAGTGATGATGAGGATTTTTTCATGTGTCTGTTCACTGTATAAATGTCTTCTTTTGAAAAGTGTCTGTTCATGTCCTTTGCCCAGTTTTTGATGGGGTTGTTTGATTTTCTTCCTGTAAATTTGTTTAAGTTCTTTGTGGATTCTGGATATTAGCCCTTTGTCAGATGAATAGATTGCAAAAATTTTCTCCCATTCTGTAGGTTGCCTGTTCACTCTGATGGTAGTTTCTTTTGCTGTGCAGAAGCTCTTTAGTTTAATTAGATCCCATTTGTCTATTTTGGATTTTCTTGCCATTGCTTTTGGTGTTTTAGTCATGAAGTCCTTGCCCATGCCTATGTCCTGAATGGTATTGCCTAGGTTTTCTTCTAGGGATTGTATAGTTTTAAGTCTAACATTTAAGTCTTTAATCCATCTTGAATTAATTTTCGTATAACGTGTAAGGAAGGGATCCAGTTTCAGCTTTCTGCATATGGCTAGCCAGTTTTCCTAATACCATTTATTAAATAGGGAATCCTTTCCCCATTTCTTGTTTTTGTCAGGTTTGTCAAAGTTCAGATGGTTGTAGATGTGTGGTGTTATTTCTGAGGGCTCTGTTCTGTTTCATTGATCTCTATCTCTGTTTTGGTACCAGTACCATGCTGTTTTGTTTACTGTAGGGTTGTAGTATAGTTTGAAGTCAGGTAGCGTGATGCCTCCAGCTTTGTTCTTTTTGCTTAGGATTGTCTTGGCAATGTGGGCTCTTTTTTGGTTCCATATGAACTTTAAAGTAGTTTTTTCCAATTCTATGAAGAAAGTCATTGGTAGCTTGATGGGGATGGCATTGAATCTATAAATTACCTTAAACAGTATGGCCATTTTCACGATATTGATTCTTCCTGTCTGTGAGCATGAAATGTTCTTCCATTTGTTTCCTCTTTTATTTCATTGAGCAGTGGTTTGTAGTTCTCCTTGAAGAGGTCCTTCACATCCCTTGTAAGTTGGATTCGTAGGTATTTTATTCTCTTTGTAGCAATTGTGAATGGGAGTTCACTCATGATTTGGCTCTCTGTTTGTCTGTTATTGGTGTATAGGAATGCTTGTGATTTTTGCACAATGATTTTGTATCCTGAGACTTTGCTGAAATTGCTTATCAGCTTAAGGAGATTTTGGGCTGAGATGATGGGATTTTCTAAATATACAATCATGTCATCTGCAAACAGGGACAATTTGACTTCCTCTTTTCCTAATTGAATACCCTTTATTTCTTTCTCTTGCCTGGTTGCCCTGGCCAAAACTTCCAACACTATGTTGAGTAAGAGTGGTAAGAGAGGGAATCCCTATCTTGTGCCAGTTTTCAAAGGGAATGCTTCCAGTTTTTGCCCATTCAGTATGATATTGGCTGTGGGTTTGTCGTAAATAGCTCTTATTATTTTGAGATACGTCCCATCAATACCTAATTTATTGAGCGTTTTTAGCATGAAGAGCTGTTAAATTCTGTTGAAGGCCTTTTCTGCATCTATTGAGATAATCATGTGGTTTTTGTCTTTGGTTCTGTTTATGTGATGGATTACTTGTATTGATTTGTGTATGTTGAACCAGCCTTGCATCCCAGGGATGAAGCCAACTTGATCTCGGTGGATAAGCTTTTTGATGTGCTGCTGGATTCGTTTTGCCAGTATTTTATTGAGGATTTTGGCATCAATGCTCATCAGAGATATTGGTCTAAAATTCTCTTTTTTTGTTATGTCTCTGCCAGGCTTTGGTATCAGGATGATGTTGGCCTCATAAAATGAGTTAAGGAGGATTCCCCCTTTTTCTATTGATTGGAATATATTCAGAAGGAATGGTACCAGCTCCTTTTTGTACCTCTGGTAGAATTTGGCTGTGAATCCATCTGGTCCTAGAATTTTTTTGGTTGGTAGGCTATTAATGATTGCCTCAATTTCAGATCCTGTTATTGGTCTATTCAGAGATTCAGCTTCTTCCTTGTTTAGTCTTGGGAGGGTGTGTGTGTCAAGGAATTTATCCATTTCTTCTAGATTTTCTAGTTTATTTGCAGAGGTGTTTATAGTATTCTCTGATGGTAGTTTGTATTCCTGTCGGATCCGTGGTGATATCCCCTTTGTCATTTTTTATTGCATCTATTTGATTCTTCTCTCTTTTCTTCTTTATGAGTCTTGCTAGCGGTCTATCAATTTTGTTGATCTCAAAAAACCAGCTCCTGGATTCATTGATTTTTTGAAGGGTTTTTTCGTGTCTCTATTTCCTTCAGTTCTGCTCTGATCTTGGTTATTTCTTGCCTTCTGCTAGCTTTTGAATGTGTTTGCTCTTGCTTCTCTAGTTCTTTTAATTGTGATGTTAGGGTGTCGATTTTAGATCTTTCCTGCTTTCTCTTGTGGGCATTTAGTGCTATAAATTTCCCTCTACACACTGCTTAAATGTGTCCCAGAGATTCTGGTACGTTATGCCTTTGTTCTCATTGGTTTCAAAGAACATCTTTATTTCTGCCTTCATTTTGTTATTTGCCCGGTGGTCATTCAGGAGCAGGTTGTTCAGTTTCCATGGAGTTGTGCGGTTCTGAATGAGTTTCTTTTCTTTTCTTTTTTTTTTTTTTTTTGAGACGGAGTCTCGCTCTGTCTCCCAGGCTGGAGTACAGAGGTGTGATGTCGGCTCACTGCAAGCTCTGCCTCCCAGGTTTTACACCATTCTCCTGCCTCAGCCTCTCAAGTAGCTGGGACTACAGGCGTGCACCACCTACACCTGGATAATTTTTTTTGTATTTTTAGTAGAGATGGGGTTTCACCGTGTTAGCCAGGATGGTCTCAAACTCCTGACCTTGTGATCCGCCCACCTCGGCCTCCCAAAGTGCTGGGATTACAGGCGTGAGCCACCGCGCCCGGCCCTGAGTGAGTTTCTTAATCCTGAGTTCTAATTTGATTGCACTGTGGTCTGAGAGACAGTTTGTTGTGATTTCTGTTCTTTTACATTTGCTGAGGAGTGCTTTACTTCCAACTATGTGGTCAATTTTGGGATAATTGTGATGTGGTGCTGAGAAGAATGTATATTCTGTTGATTTGAGGTGGAGAGTTCTGTAGATGCCTATTAGGTCTGCTTGGTGCAGAGCTGAGTTTAAGTCCTGGATATCCTTGTTAACCTTCTGTCTCATTGATCTGCCTAATATTGACAGTGGGGTGTTAAAATCTCCCATTATTATTCTGTGGGAGTCTAAGTCTTTTTATAGGTCTCTCAGGACTTGCTTTATGAATCTGGGTGCTCCTGTATTGGGTGCATATATATTTAGGATAGTTAGCTCTTCTTGTTGAATTGATCCCTTTACCATTATGTAATGGCCTTCTTTGTCTCTTTTGTTCTTTGTTGGTTTAAAGTCTGTTTTATCAGAGACCAAGATTGCAACCCCTGCTTTTTTCTTGCTTTGCGTTTGCTTGATAGATCTTCCTCCATCCTTTTATTTTGACACTATGTGTGTCTCTGCATGTGAATACAGCACACTGATGGGTCTTGACTCTTTATCCAATTTGCCAGTCTGTGTCTTTTAATTGGGGGCATTTAGCCTATTTACATTTAAGGTTAATATTGTTATGTGTGAATTTGATCCTGTTATTATGATGTTAGTTGCTTATTTTGCCCATTTCTTGATGCAGTTTCTTCCTAGCATTGATGGTCTTTACAATTTGGCACGTTTTTGCAGTGGCTAGTACCAGTTGTTCCTTTCCATGTTTAGTGCTTCCTTCAGGAGCTCTTGTAAGGCAGGCCTGGTGGTGATAAAATCTCTCAACATTTGCTTGTCTGTAAAGGATTTTATTTCTCCTTCACTTATGAAGCTTAATTTGGCTGGATATGAAATTCTGGGTTGAAAATTCTTTTCTTTAAGACTGTTGAATATTGGTCCCCACTCTCTTCTGGCTTGTGGAGTTTCTGCTGAGAGATCCGCTGTTAGTCTGATGGGCTTCCCTTTGTGGGTAACATGACCTTTCTCTCTGGCTGCCCTTAACATTTTTCCCTTCATTTCAACCTTGGTGAATCTGACAATTATGTGTCTTGGGGTTGCTCTTCTCGTGGAGTATCTTTGTGGTGGTCTCTGTATTTCCTGAATTTGAATGTTGACCCACCTTACTAGTTTGGGGAAGTTCTCCTGGATAATATCCTGAAGAGTATTTTCGAGCTTGGTTCCATTCTCCCCGTCACTTTCAGGTATACCAATCAAACGTAGATTTGATCTTTTCACATAGTCCCATATTTCTTGGAGGCTTTGTTCGTTTCTTTTTACTCTTTTTTCTCTAAACTTCTCTTCTCGCTTCATTTCATTAATTTCATCTTGAATCACTGATACCCTTTCTTCCACTTAATGGAATCGGCTACTGAAGCTTGTGCATGCGTCACGTAGTTCTCGTGCCATGCTTTTCCTCTCAAGATGGGGTTTCATCATGTTGGTCAGGCTGGTCTCAAACTCTTGACCTCAGGTGATCCACCCACCTTGGCTTCCCAAAATGCTGGCGTTACAGGCATGAGTCACCATGCCTGGCTAATTTTCCTGTTTATCCCAGGAAATGTTCCTATATTGAAGTCGTATTTTCTGATATTAATATTGCCACACCAGTTTTCTTATGATTAGTGTTTGTATGGCATATGACTTTCTACCCTTTTATTTTGAACTATTTTTGTTTTATCATTTAAAGTAAGTTTCTTGTAGAGAGGATGTAGTCAAGTCTCTTTTTAATTATTAAAATTTAGAAAAAATTCATATAAAAGTCAACATTTAAAACATTTTAAAAATGTACAATTTAGGCTGGGCACGGTGGCTCACGCCTGTAATCCCAGCACTTTGGGAGGCTGAGGCGGGCAGATCACGAGGTCAGGAGATCGAGACCATCCCAGCTACACGGTGAAACCCTGTCTCTACTAAAAACTACAAAAACAAAATTAGCTGGGCATGGGGGTGGGCACCGGTAGTCGCAGCTACTCGGGAGGCTGAGGCAGGGGAATGGCCGGAACCGGGGAGGCAGAGCTTGCAGTGAGCTGAGATCGCGCCACTGCAGTCCAGCCTGGGTGACAGAGCAACATTCCATCTCAAAAAAAAAAAAATGTACAATTTAGTGGTTTTTAGACTATTCACAGTGTTGTACAGCTGTCATCTCTGTTTAATACCAGAACATTTCCATCGCCCCAAGAAGAAACTTGTACCTGTTGGTAGTTAATTCCAATTCTCCCCTTGCTCCAACCCCTGGCAATCACTAATTTACTTTATTTCTCTATGGATTTTCATATTATGGATATTTCATATAAATGCAATGTACAACATGTGGCCTATTGTGTCTGTCTTCTTTCAGCATGTTTTGAGAGTTCATCTGTGTTGTAGCATGTATCATTCTTTTGCTTCTTATGGTTGAACAAGATTTCATTGTATGGATATATTACATAAATTATCCAGTTCATCAGTTGATAGGCACTTGGGTTGTTTTCACTTTCTGGCTATTTTGAATAATGCTGCTATGAACATTCATGTACAGCTTTTTGTGTGAACATATGTTTTTCCCTTCTCTTGGGCATATACATAGGAGTAGAACGGCTGAGTCATGTGGTAACTCTATTTTTAACTTTTTGAGGAACTGCCAAACTGTTTCTCATAGTGGCTGCACCATTTTGTTTTCCCAATAGATTTGACTTAAAAAAATGTATAACATACTCTTTTATTTAGTTGTGTTTACATCATTTACATTAAATGAAATTATTGATATTGTCAGATTTAAATCTATCATCTTGCTAGTTGTCTGCTATTTATGTAATTTGTCCTTTATTCTCTTTCTGTCTTTTTCTGTCTGCTCTTGAATTGGTGGGGGTTCTTTATTTATTTATTTATTTATTTATTTTTTTTGTTGTTGTTGTTGTTGTTGAGACAGAGTCTCACTCTGTCACCCAAACTGGAGGCTGGAGTGCAGTGGTGCTATCTCAACTCAGTGCAACCTCCGCCTCCCGAGTTCAAGCAATTCTTCTGCTGCAGCCTCCTGAGTAACTGGGACTACAGGCATGTGCCACCACACCCGGCTAATTTTTGCATTTTTAAGTAGGCATGGGGTTTCACCATACTGGCCAGGCTGGTCTTGAACTCCTGACCTTGTGATCTGCCTGCCTTGGCCTCCAAAAGTACTGGGATTGCAGTACCACACCCGGCCGAATTGTGTATTTTTTTTAACTCAATATTATCTCTACTATTGGTTTACTTATACTTCTTTTTAACTTTTTAGTGGTTGACATAGAATTTATAATGCATGTCTCAATTAATCACAGTTTACCTTCAAATAACATTATGTCACTCACATGTAATGTTAGAACTTTACAACAGTACACTCCAATTCCTCCCTCCAATCTGTTGTTCTATCATTTTCTTATATTTCACCTTTACACATGTTGTAAACCCAAAGTAGTCTTTCTATTATTTGCTTTAAATAGTTGGCTATCTTTTAGAGCAATTAAAATAAGGAAAAAAAGTCTTTTATCTTTGTCATTTCTTTGTGTAGATTTAAATTTCTGTCTAGCTCTGATTCTTTCTGAAGAAATTTCTGTAATACTTCTGTTTATTTTTGTCTGAAAGTCTTTATTTCTTCTTTATGTATGAAAGATAGTTCTGCAACATATAAAATTCTGGTTTGACAATTTTTTCAGCACTTTAAATATTTCTTTCCATTCTTTTCTAGCTTGCATAATTCCTGATGAATAGTCTACTCTAATTCTTATATTTGTTGCTCTATATGTAAAATGTCTTTTTACGTCTGGTTGTCTCTAAGATTATCCCTTTATCGTTCACTTTTAGCACTTTGAATATAATGTATCCAGGTGGTTTTATTTTTGTTGCTCTTATTTATCCTGCTTATGGTTCTCTGACCTTCTCGTATCTGTGGCTTCATGTCTTACATTATTTTGGAAAAATGTTAACCATCTTCAACCAATGTTAACTCTCCAAGTATTTATTTGGTTTCTTTCTTTTCTCTGTCATTTCCACCCCCAACCACACCCCCAACCCTATGTAGGATTACCATTCTACATAGGGTAGACCGTTTGATATGATACCACAGCTCTTGGGTGCTCTGAGCCGTTTTTATTTACCCACCTTTTTTCTTTTTGTCCTTCAATTTGGATAATTTCTATTGACCTACATTCAATTTCACTGACTTTCCTTGATGTTTTGAGTGCATTGAAAGTAATCTTTATCTGTGTTACCATGTTTTATTTCTAGTATTTCCATTAATTTCTTATAATTTCCATTTCTCTGCTGAAATGCTGTCTTTTTGTGCATGTTGTTAATTTTTTCCCACTAGAACCATATTAATTGTAGTTATTTTAAGTTACTTGTCAGATAATTGTAATGTCTACATTATCTCTTGAATCTTGTTCTTTTGGTTGCATTGTTTTTTGACAGTGAGTTCATTTTTTCTTGCTTTTATATGTCTCTTTCTCTCTTTTTTAATGAAATGCTTCATGAATTTGTCTGTCATCCTTGCACAGGAGCCATGCTAATCTTCTCTGTATCATTCCAATTTTAGTGTATGTACTGCCAAAGTGAGCACTTTCCTAATGTTCTGTTAATTGCTAGAGAGTGTGTAGAACAGTAAGATTCAGGTAAGTAGTATTTATGCCTGAAAATGGGCAGGCATGTTTTTTTTTTTCTCCTACCATTATTGTGTATGTGGGAGAAGGTTGTGTCAAACTTGTCAGGAGTGGAGCTGGTTTTATGTTTTGCTGTTGCTGGGTTTGTCTTCAGTGTACCACTGGCTTCATTCCTCTGCTATTACTTTAACTTTAGGGTGAGAATTAGTTTGCTGGATAGTTTTTCTTGAAGTTCCTAATCCCACCCTCAGGTTTTAGCCTTCCCTGTGTTCCTGAGTTTCAGAATAGGTCACTCTCCAAGGTATCTTACTTGCCAACAGCAAACTGTTGGTGTTTGATTTTCCTGCTGATGAGGCCAGGGGAATTCCCTGTTGTCTTAGTTTAGCCTCATTCTTCAGTAGATCCTATGTCCCTATGTCTAAGGGTGGTGCTTTCTTAATCCTTTCACTCCAGTACTAGCAAAAAATTTCTAATGGTCTAGATCCAGAATGGTTTTGTGGCTCCTCCCCCAACGGTTGGAAGTTTTTTCATCCCCAGCTTCCAGCTCACTTGTGGCCTAGGGATGACATGGTTTGCTATCCACCCCTCCAAACCCCATACCCCAGCTGGTTAGGTCTTTTGTTCTTAGTGGACAAAGGACCAAGCATAGCATGATCTCTTTCCCACAACTTGGTTACTACCATTTTCTAAGGCTCATCTTCATTGGATGCTTCTTCTGGTCTCTTGCTCTCTCCCAAATCTTTCTAACGAACACCTCATGAGCCCTAGGGAGAAGAGCCTATGAATGGGTGCAAATTCGTGTCATGTACATGGCTCCAAAGGATTTTATACTCTTATTTTAGCTCACATCAGCCTTTAGCAATTTGTTTAAAATTTTTGGCTGAATTAATCTTATATACTTTTTAGTGGCCCCATCTTCCTGGTTCTGCCTAGGTGAGCCAGCCTCTTGCCCTTTGTGCTATTATTGTTATATATTTTGTTTGTCTATATTTTTTTAACCCACACGACTTTATTGTCGTTATTTTTTTAAATGCTCAACATTCCCTTATATTACCAATAGATTTAACTTTTCTGAACTGTACTTTTTCTAAATTCCTTCATGTACTACTGTGCTTCCATTCATTCTTGTTTAGCTTTAAAAAAAATTGTATCTTTTTTTCTTATAGTGTAGTTCTGCTTGCAATAAATTGCCTTCATTTTTCAAAGAGGTTCTAACTGAGTATAGAACTCTATACTCAGTTTTATAGTTGGCAGTTATATTTTCCTTTAGCACTTTACATATGCCATTCTATTGCCTTTGGCTTCCAAAAATTCTGTAGAAAAGTCAGTCTTATGTCCTGTTGCTTCTTTGAAGGCAACATGTTTCTTTTGTCTGTTTTTACAATTTTCTCTTTTCATTAGTTTTCAGCTATTTGACTTTAATATTCTTGGGTGTGGTCTCCTTTGTATTTTTCTTGGACTTCTCTAAACTTTTTTTTTAATTTTAGTTTTTTATTTTATTTTACTTTAAGTTCTGGGATACATGTGCTGAATGTGCAGGTTTGTTACATAGGTATACATGGGCCATGGTGGTTTGCTGCACCTATCCACCCATCATCTAGGTTTTAAACCCTGCATGTATTAGGTATTTGTCCTAGTGCTCTCCCTCCTCTTGCCCCCCACACCTTGACAGGCCCTGGTGTGTGATGTTCCCCTCCCTGTGTCCATGTGTTCTCATTGTCAACTCCCACTTATGAGTGAGAACATGCAGTGTTTGGTTTTCTGTTCCCGTGTTAGTTTGCTGAGGATGATGGTTTCCAGCTTCATCCATGTCCCTGCAAAGGACATGAACCCATTCTTTTTTATGGTTGAATAGTATTCCATGGTGAATATGTGCCACATTTTCTTTATCTAGTCTATCATTGATGGGCATTTGGGTTGGTCCAAGTCTTTGCTATTGTAAAAGGTGCTGCAGTAAACAGACGTGTGCATGTGTCTTTATAGTAGAATGGTTTATAATCCTTTGAGTATATACCCAATAATGGGATTGCTGGGTCAAATGGTATTTCTGGTTCTAGATCCTTGAGGAATCACCACACTGTCTTCCACAGTGGTTGAACTAATTTACACTCCTACCAACAGTGTAAAAGCGTTCCTATTTCTCCGCATCCTTGCCAGCATCTGTTGCTTCCTGATAGCCGTTCTAACTGGTGTGAGATGGTATTTCATTGTGGTTTTGATTTGCATTTCTCTAATGATCAGTGATGATGAGCCTTTTTTCATGTTTGTTGGCTGCATAAATGTCTTCTTTTGAGAATTGTCTGCTCATATCCTTCGCCCAGTTTTTGATGGGGTTGTTTGTTTTTTTTTTCTTGTAAATTTGTTTAAGATCGTTGTAGATTCTGGATATTAGACCTTTGTCAGATGGATAGATTGCAACAATTTTCTCCCATTCTGTAGGTTGCCTGTTCAGTCTGATGATAGTTTTTTTGTTTTTGCTATGTAGAAGCTCTTCAGTTTAATTAGATCCCATTTGTCAATTTTGGCCTCTGTTGCAATTGCTTTTGGTATTTTAGTCATGAAGTCTTTGTCCGTGCCTATGTCCTGAATGGTATTGCCTAGGTTTTCTTCCAGGGTTTTTATGGTTTTAGGTTTTACGTTTAAGCCTTTAATCCATCTTGAGTTAATTTTTGTTTAAGGTTTAAGGAAGGGGTCCAGTTTCTGTTTTCTGTGTATGGCTAGCCAGTTTTCCCAGCACCATTTATTAAGTAGGAAATCCTTTCCCCATTGGTTGTTTTTATCAGGTTTGTTGAAGATCAGATGGTTGTAGATGTGTGGTGTTATTTCTGAGGCCTCTGTTTTGTTCCGTTGGTCTATAGATCTGTTTTGGTACCAGTACTATGCTGTTTTGGTTACTGTAGCCTTACAGTTTGAAGTCAGGTAGCATGTTGCCTCCAGCTTTGTTCTTCTTGCCCAGGATTGTCTTGGCTATATGGGCTTTTTTGGTTCCATATGAAATTCAAAGTAGTTGTTTTTTTTCTATGTATTCATTTCATTAGAGAATTAGGTATACCTCACATTACATGGCCAAGGCCAAAAAATTTTGCACAGTTAGAATGTGTTGAAGAAACCAGCCACAATTTAACCAGATTAGATTTCAACAAGGAGATGACTGTATTCCTCCAAATAACCTTCATTTAGGAAGATGACATTCCTCCAATTTGTGGAAAGACAATAAATGCCCTTTCTGCTCTCTGCCACTGAGGAAGAAATTCTCCCTCTTGAGGGACCAACACTATTTCGTTTTTTTTTTCTCTTTTCCCTTTTTATTTCTTTGGTTTCCCCTTTCCACGAAGCTTCTTTAGTCGTTTTTGCTCATCCTTAAAATCCTGATGCTCATCTCTTTTATAGATTCTGGTACTGCATTAAAATTTTCAATATTTTTATTCAACCTATTCTTTCCTATATGTTCTTTACAATATTTATTATTGTCATTTTAATCTCCTTGTATGATAAACATTAATATCTATAGCATTTGTGGGTCTCCTTCTATTCTCTATTTTTAAACCTGATTATTGCACATATTATCCTTTCTCCTTGTATGTCTTGTAATGCCATATATAGTGCATGAAAGTATCATAGAGAAGGAGATGATGTATATTCCACCAGCAAGTGTTTCATCTTTTCTCTGCAAGGCAGATAATGTGAAAGGCTGATTCCCTCAATCCAAAAAAGATTAGGTTAGTTGCGGGTTGCCGTTTTAGTAAATTACAGTGCACCACTGGAGTGTCTTTGGGCCCATCATCCCATTTTGACTGAGTCCGCCATATTTTGTCTCCCCAGCCTGGGTACTGTGAGAGATTCATTTCTTTCCTTGGGAAATTTTGAGATTAGCTTTTTAGCCTCTGCTTTCTAGAAAATGTCTTTATGGGGATATGGGTAGTATTTTTGAAGCAGTTCTTCCTTGTGGGACTTTCTCTCTTAAACACTATATTTATTCTGCCTTTTAGAAGCTTATTGCTGAACTTTTCCACTTTCCCCACAGGCCCAAAACTCAGTAAATATCTCATGAGGAAAGTTTCTCATAGGTTTTGGGTTCCTCAAAAATTCAGTCTGTCATGACAACCTCAGCTACCAAGAGATCCACGTTTTTTTTTTTCCTCACCCACTCAGTCCGTCCCTCTATCTGCATCAAGTTCAGTCCTTAATCCAAGCTTAGAATTAGCAAATTTCCTGGGGGTAAGAAAATTGATTCTAGCAAAATCTTATTAAAAAGGGGTCTTCCTCCTCTGGAATATTATCTAGTCCTTGCTTCTACATTACTCTAATGTCTTTAAAAATATGATTTTTGTCATTTATTTATTTTTCCTCTAATTGCGTATTTGGAACATTGGTTTGATATGACATTTTAAATTTACTCACAACATACATACATATATATATTTTTAACTTTAACGGGAAAAAAGCATGCATGTACTTGCCAGTGACAAGGATTTTAAAAATGCTTTACTTGGTGTTTGCATACAGAAATGTACCTCATGAATTTATAGTTTTCTCATGTTTTAAAGTATTTGAAACCACCAACCTTTATACTTTGTTGAGAAGAGCTAGGGAAGTGAATGACATATAGGAGGCTTTGGCCATAAAAGTGAACTGTGTTAAACAGGAGACCTGTTAAGGAATAATTTTTAAAAATTAAGACTTATCTCTTGTCTGGATACTATAGTGAATATGTGTCAAAGATTTCTTAACTCATTATCAAGGGAATCAACAAGATGGTAAAGCTGGTTCAAACAAGAATTTGAGGAACCTAAGGTATATAGTTATCTAGTCAAAGGAAAGCTAAAATGAGTTTGCTAATAGATAGTGTTTAATGTCCTACAGGGGAAGAAAACCACAACCACTGGCATTACCTTTACTTCCATAGAGAAATCTAAAAGTTAACACCTAATTTTATGGAATTTAAGCCCTAATTAAGAGTAAAGAGTAAGTCAAGCAAAAATAAAATCCTCTAAATAATTCAGTAATTCTTGGAAAGGGCCGTTGCACAATAATTTAGAGTGACATTAAAAAGGTATGTATTCATATTTTTGCCTTACTCCAAAGTACAGACAAATTTTCTTAGCATAATTTACTAAAGTGAAGCAAACTACCCAGAAATATTGTTTGCGTTCACAAAATTTTAAAAATGTGGCATGTCTACATATAGTCTCCCAACTTACAATGCTTTGACTTACAAGTTTTCAACTGTACAATGGTTTGAAAGAAATATGCATTCAGTAGAAATGGGTATGATGTTCTTGCAATATTGGACAGCTTGCAATAAGCTGTAGCTCCCAGTCAGCTGTGTATTCATAAGGGCAAACAACTGATATTCTACAGTGTACTGTATTGCCAGATGATTTTGCCCAAACATAGGATAATGTAAGTGTTATAAGCCATTTAAGGCAGGCAATGCTAAGCTATGATGTTCAGTAAGTTAATTGTATTAAATGCATTTTAACTTATGGCATTTTTAACTTGTGTTGGGTTTATCTGTATATAACCCTATCATAAGTTGAGGAACATCTATATAAATATTGAGAGAAGACTTAGAGACTCTCCACCCACCCCACCCCCAGCCATGATCGCTGATGACAGCTTAAACTGCTGTGTGACAAGAGCCTTTGGTCTAGGGAAATGAAGGATATTACTGATTTTAGTGTTAAACCTTCACATTGTGTAAGCCTTGAAAAATATGTACATTATGCAAGAATGACCTTAGGAGAGGGATAACCTTCCTTGTATCTTCTGAACATTCTACCCGAAGGCAAAGATTGGAGGTATAATGATAGATATAACTTCTCTGCATAAGGAATAAATTATATGAGCCAAGTTAAATAATGTATAAATGTGGTTGCTACAAATGAAGTCAAGATTATGCCTATTCTAACAATTTCCAATAAGTTTATAGGGAAATGAAACTTCATCCATAAGAAAAAAGGAAAAGAACGTAACTGTAATAATGTTTTTAATCTCACAGAATTGACTATACTGAAGAAAGTTATCTGAAGAGGTATATAACAGAATCATTGAAGCTGGGAATGATTCCCACATCTGTCAGTCCTTGGCTAAATCATTTAAATTCTCAAGCCAGATTTTATGCCTAAGACTGAGTATTAATTAGAAAAATCAATGTTATTGCAAAGCCAGATGAATAACTTACGCCTAGCATAGATCTGCTAAAGTAATTTCAACCATGTGCTGGGGTATCAGTAAATGACTTAAACCAGAAGCCAAAGCAAAGTTGACATTCATAGCTTCAGAGGGATTTAATGAATTTAAGATTCTTTTTTTGAATTAAGAGGTGCTACAGGATTTTTTTTTCACTAATGGGTAAGAAAGGCATTGTCTGTGATAGAAATCTTGTATTGAAGAGGTTAAATGACATCTGAATTACTTGCATATTGTCTTCAGCATTAGCAAAATTGCTGGTAGTTTTGAATATAAGGGTTCCTATATGTTTGAGGTGCTTTAAAATATATTTGTGTTGCAGAACGGTGAGGGGAAAAGTAGAACCCCTTTAAAGTTAAATGAAAAGAAAATTCCTTCAAAGATACTGGTTAACAGAGGTTAGTATATAGTTTAAGTCAGGGGTCCCTAACCCCCAGGCTGCAGACGGGTACTGATCATGGTCTGTTAGGAACTGGGCTGCACAGCAGGAGGGGAGCAGCAAGCTAGCATTACTGCCAGAGCTCTGCCTCCTGTCTGATCAGCCATGATATTAGATTCTCAAAGGAGCCCGAACCCTTCTGTGAACCGCCCATGCGAGGGATCTAGGTTGTGCGCTCCTTATGAATCTAATTTTTGATGATCTGAGGTGGAAAAATTTCATCCTAAAACCATCCCTCACCCCCCGCCCCACTCTTAAGTCCGTGGAAAAATTATCTTCCATGGCAATGGTCCCTGGTGCCAAAAAGTTTGGGGACCACTGGTTTAAGCCCTCAGATAGTCAAAATAATTGAAAAATATAAGAAATCTACATTATCTACCCCATGAAGTAATTTTGTAATATTTTTGCACCTTATAAACAGTCTTTGACCTAGGAATTGGTAATGAGAATTGTTATAGGTGACTGCTTTCAGTCAGTTCTCATGGTTATTATTATGCTTTATAGCTCTACCCAAATACAGTGTCCATTCCGAAGATCCGCAGTTTGAGGCACTTGATTCATCCAGGGATGATTAGATTATATTGGTTGATGCTAATCAAATTCACAAGATACTGTTTTCATGAACCAGAACATCAACTTCTTCATTTATAACTTTCTCATTTCTACCCTGAGCGGAGAATACCTACCCCTTAAATGTTGATGTTCTATCATTCTAAATGCTTCTTTCAAATAAAAAAAAGATTTTAGTAATCCTTCTTATTTAACATAGGTGAAAAACTTCTAAACAAAATGTGAGAAAAAGAAAGCAACAATATGTATTTTTAATCCACCAGAACAGAAGGGATTTTATTCTAGGAATGTAATCAAGATTCAATAATAGGAAATATTTTTCTATTTGTAGAAAATTATTTGTATTTCTTAATATAAATAAATCACTTAAAACGTCACAATCATCTCAACAGATGCCAAAAGGACATTTAATAAAATCAAAGTCATTCCTAATATATTCTCTGCAAGAATAGAAGTAAACAGTCACCTTCTTAACATGGTAAAGCGTACTTGTTTCAAACCCCCAGTAGATAGCATATTTTAAAGTAAAACCCAAAAGGCATATTCATCAAAAGTAGACATAATGCTAGGGTGTCCACCGTTACCATTATTACTTAATATTGCATAGGAAGTTCTGGTCAATGCAATAAAGGTGAACCAGAAATAAACTCTTATTATTTGCAAATTATATTCTTAGATATCAAGAAATCTCATTAGAATCCCCAAAACCCATTAGAATTACTGTGACTTTTATTAAAACACTAAGTCCAGGAAAAATGTATATAGAAAGGTTTGTGGGAAAAAATATCCTAAGCTATTAATAATACCTGAAGGGTGGTTTAGAGTTAGATAGTTGAAAGGGAGAAAAGTGGGATTGAAGTAGATGTGGAAAATTCCTTAGCAAAGACCTAGGGGCTAGAGGAAGCATTTCCTTGATATTGCAAAGTGAGGGAAATTCAATATGCCTGTTAATTTGTATAAGAGTTGATACAATTCCAGACAAAACTTTGGTGGGATATTTTGGAACTGCACTAGTTATTTTAAAGTTTATTCTGGATAAAGAAACTGCTACTGTTGTGAAAAGTGAGGTAAAAAATAAATTTGAGGACTGAATGTATAATATGATCCAATTTGTGAAAATAGAGGGGGAGAATAAACATATATGTTTTTATTTATAGTGTGTACATTGTGTGGTGTGTGTGTGTGTGTGTGTGTGTGTGTGTGTACATATACACATACATAACATTTCTGGAAAAATACAACAAAATGTTAACAGTGGTCCCCAATGAGCAGAATTGAGAGTTTGAAGGGACACAGGGGAAGCTGTTTTCTTTTTGCTTTATATCCTTTATATTATTTGCATTACTTCTATGACCATGTTATCATGTTGTAATTTGTTTTAGTTTCTTTATGTTGGTGGTTTAAAACGCATGCAATCAATGAATGATCCTCACTAAAAATATTTCTAGAAGGAAAGCAATAAAATAATATCTTATCAGATGGTATTCAAAAATATCTACTAGATATTAAAGCATATTATAACTGTGCAGTTACAAATACCTTTTATACCTTTTGGTGCAAGATAGTCCTGAAATAAATTTGAATATAATATGAATCCAATGTACATAAAAGATATTTAATCAATGGAAAAGGACAGAGTTATTCAATAAATTATGTTGGAGCAATTGTTTAGCAATTTGGGGAAAAAAATCCTGTAGATTCTCACTTCACGTCTAGCATCAAAATAAATTCCAGATGGTTTGAGTTAAATATCTAAAAACAAATCAAAACATAGGAAAAATAAATGTTAGTATTTATCAAGTTTTTAGAAGACAGCCAAAAAGTAATGAAAAAAATTAATATTTAACTGTGTGAATATTTAAAACTGTATTTACCCCCCCTTCAAAAAACCATAGTTAAAATTAAGAGACAAACATAAACCTGGAAGAAAAAAAAATCACAATTAATTTGGTAACGCTGATATAAATTTGTTGAAACACTAAGACTTAAATTGATATACAAAGGGATGAATTCACAGAAAAGAAAATATGTCTCCAGCAAATATGGGAAATGTCTAACCTCATAGTAATCAGAAAACTGCAAATTAAGGCAACTTCTATTTTTCACCTATGAATTAAACAGATTTTTAACAATCGATAGTGCAATGTCTAATATTATTAATGAGACTTCATTCATTGCTGGTGGAAATGTAAGTCAATACAAATCTTTTAGAAGACATTTTAGCAATGTGTCAAGTGCCCTAAAAATGTTTATGTCTTTTGACCTAGTAATTACACTTCTCCTTTTTTTTCTTTTTCTAAAGAGAGTCAGGGTCTTGCTATGTGGCCTGGCTGGCATTCAAACTACTGACCTCAAGTGATCCTCCTGCTTCAGCCTTCCACAGTGCTAGGATTACAGGCGTGAGCCACAATGCCCAGCTTAATTTCTTTGACTCTATCCTAAAGAAGTAATCCTAAATATTTTATTAAAACTTTGTGCATAAAAAGTTAAAATATCCTTTCAAAGGGTGTGCAGCAGTAAGATACTGGCTAAGTAAACTATGATATTATCTGGAAAGAATATTATATTACCATTTTATCAAGTGTATGTGATAGCATGTAAAAATGCCTGTGTTATATAATATTAATTAAAATAAGGAATATAAACTATATTAAATAATAGAATTATTATTATTGCGTTAAAGAAGGAAATATATAGGAATGAGACTGGAAGGAAACAATTGTTGACTAGTCTTGCAGAGAAATCAAACTCATTTCTCTCTCCAAACATGCCTCTTTACCAGTATTTCCAGTCCTATTTGATGGCCCTACTATCCACTATGCATCCTAAATTGCTGTAGCTATTTCACTTTCTAAATATATCTTTATTGTTTTCCCCGTCCATCCTCACTGCCATTGGCTTGACCTTTTTTTCCAAGTTCTGATCTTCTCCCATAGGACTTAAGTAGTGCCCCCATTTGGTCTCTCTGTTTTAACTATTTGTTTGTTATTGATTTCTAGCTTAATTTTACTGTGGCAAGAGAGTATTCTCTATATGATTTTAATCATGTTAGATTTGTTGAGACTTGCTTTATAGCTCAATTTTGTATAATGTTCCATCTTCACTTATGTGTTATTGAATATATTAATTCTATATTATAACTTTATTTATCTAAGATGTTATTATATCTCTTTTAAATCATCGTTCATTTAAACTCACCCATATTCACTTTTTTTGCTCTTTATGCCTTTCGTATCTCACACCTTCTATGAGATTACTTTCCTTTGCCTGCAGTACATCCTCTAGAATTTTCGTTAGTGTGGGAGTGCTAGTTGCAGTCTCTTGATTTTCGTGTCTCTGAACATTTTTACTTTACCCTCACTCTCAAAAATATTTTCTGTTGGTACATAGAATTCCGGTTGGCAATTACTGCCTTTAGGAACAGTCAAAGATGTCTCCTGGTGTTGCGGGAAACAGAGGTCGTAGATAATTTGAGATAATCTCTACATCTCAAGATCCTTCACTTAATCACATCTGAGTACACACCTTATACCCTAAGGGTATAGCTTTTTGGGCTACAATTTAATTTGGGAAAATCTTCTACTAAACTCTCCTCCCATTTGGGATTTGACTTCTATCTCCACCACCCTGTAAGTTTGCCAGAACCAAATTCAAGTTTTACAGGAATGACAGAGCCTTCAGGCCAAAAGTGGCTTTGATATTGTAGCTTTTTTCTTTGGATTTCAGCCTTCCCTTGGATTTTGGCCTGCTAGTTCCTTAAAATCTTTTCAGTTCTTCAGTACTCTTAAGGAAATTAAAACATATTTTATTCAGTATTTTTTATGTTTTCAGTATGAGCATTAGTTTAAATAATTTGCCTGCCATGGCACAAAGTTAAATCCCCAAATTCTTTATAATGACTACATTTTTATGTTAGGCAACATAAAAAATTATAGGTAAAACCTCAGTATACTTGGAGAGCAAACTAAATGACAAGGTAGTACGTGATTATTACTACAAAATGAAAATAGTGGCAATTAGCTCCTGTGAGTTTAGAAGGAAATAAAATCACCATGGATTGAAATAGTTTGAAAAGTTTAGTGGCAGGAGTACAGTTTAAAGTGCAAGATAGGCCATTGGATTTTTATGAAATAGATTTAAAAATATTTGATTAATTTTTATGACTTCACCTTTATTCAGCTTCTGATAAAATCTGTGTGTCTGGAAACTATTTTGAGATATGAATCTATGGCGTTTTCATCTCTGTATTTCCCCTCTCCTGTGATCATTGCCTTAGAGGAGGTATGCAGATGAACAAAAAGCAGAAATAGTCCACAATTCTTGGTTGTTGCATTCCAAAAGTGTAAGCCCTCAGGAAAACTTAAAGGGGAAGTTAAAAGAAAGGGAGATGTTTCCTAGGCATAAATGGCATGTTTCAAAAGAAACATGAAAGTACAAAGATCTACCTCAGACTAAAATAACAGCTTCTTAGACTGAGGATAGGCGATGAAAATGAGATCTGTGGGGTCCAGAGATGAGGCACTGACACATCATCTTGTGCCACTAGGGCGGCAGCAGAGAGAAAGAGAGTAGCCAGAGAAAAATGACTCTTGGAGCATCTAGGCAGACAGGACATAAGCAGTCTTAAAAAGATCCCCAGGCACTAAACTGGCATAAAAGCAGCAGAGCACATCTAGAATTGTAGAGACCATTGGATATAGGACAACAGACTTCAGCGAGAACTGTTTAAGTTCCCTTTCTTACCCTGGCACTGTGTAAGACACTGAAATTATAGTACAACCCAGGAAGAAGGATATCTCCAAGAATGGCAGAGGTCAATTTTCCTGAGCCAGTGCAATGGAGGCTCAGGATTAGAAAGTTGAAATGTAGAAAAATAAAGTTGTATGTCTTAGCCAATCTCGTGACTGATGTTCAAATTACTACATCTTTAGTTCTCACATTTTCCCCAAGTTGCATCCAAGTGCTTACTAGAAATTTCTAGTTGGGTTTTGCATGTAATTTGGCATATTTTAACTATTTCACTAATATTTCTACTGAGGCAGAGGCAGATGAGACAATTATTTCTATAGTCCCCTTCCTATAGTCAGGGGAGAAACTCAGGGATAGGGGAAATCCAATTTGAACAGAGTGGTTTTTACTGTTACTTAATGTCAGAATGCTTTGTAATGCAGCATAGGACATGGAGGATGCTCTATATTTGACATAATGGCCCAAGTTTTCAATAAATGAAATAAACGTTATGTCAATAGGAGAACTATGAATCTTTTTTATAGAAAGATTATGGTAAAGAAAATTAAACTTCAAGGTGGATGGATGCTATATAATAATTACTTAAATACTAGCCACAACTAGAGTAGAAACTTCCTACCATCATTCTTTTCCCCACTTTTTATGGGATCTGAGATTTAACCCTACTTGCATGCTAACATCTTAGCCTGACCTGGTTTCAGGGATGCTGGCAGAAGACACAAGACTCCTGGGTGAAAAGCAAAGAACTTAACTTTTTTAAAAAAATTATTTATTTTAATAGACAAGTGAAAAAAATATGTATATATACTTGTGGTGTATAATGTGATGTTTTAATATATGTATACATCATAGAATGGCCAAACAAAGCTATTTAACATCGTAGTACCTCATATAATTATTTTTTATGGTGAGAACACTTCAAATATACTTAGCAATTTTCAAATATACAATATATTGTTATTAACTGTAGTCACCATAATGAATAATAGATCTCTTAAACTTATTCTTCCTAACTGAAATTTTTTGTCTTTTGACCAATATCTCCTCAATCCATATAACCCCATCAGACTCATGTAGTGACCATTTTCTCTCTGTTTCTGTAAGTTCAACTTCTAAAAGTTCTACATATAAATGAGAACATATGGTATTTGTTCTTCTGTGCTTGCCTTATTTCACTTAACTTAATGTCCTCTGGGGCCATCCATGTTGTCACAAATGACAGGGTTTCCTTCCTTTTTAAGATTGAATAGTATTCCGTTGTGTATATATATATTTTCTTTATCCATTCATTCATTGATAAACACTTAGGTAGATTCAATATCTTGGCGACTGTGAATAATGTTGCAACATGAACATGAGAGTGCAGACATCTCTTTGACATACTGATTTCATGTCCTTTGGATATATACGCAGTAGTGAGATTGCTGGATCATATGATAGTTGTATTTTTAATTTTTTGAGCAATCTGCATACTATTTTCCATAATGGTTGCACTATTCATAGTCTCACCCACAGTGACAGTGTACAAGGGTTCCCTTTTCTCCACATTCTTGCCCACACTTATCTTTTGTCTTTTTGATAATAACCATTCTAAGAGGTGTGAGGTGATACCTCATTGTGCTTTTAATTTGCATTTCTTTGGTGATTTTTTTTTTACTAGTTCGCTTTTTACTAGCTTTTACTAGAATTTTTTTTTACTAATTAGTTTTCTACTTTCTCATGTTTTTTTGTGTTACTAATAAGCATCTTTTTCTTTCAGCTTGAAGGACTCTCTTTAGCATTTCTTAGAAGACAGGTCTAGGGGTGATAAACTCCCTCAGATTTTGTTTCTCTAGGGAAGTCTTTGTCTGTGCTTTATTACTGAAGGATACGTCTACCAGATACAGGATTTTTGGTTGGGAGTTTTTTCCCTTCAGCACTTTGAATATATTTTCTCACTCTCTCTTGGCCTGTAAGGTTTCTGCTGAGAAACCCATTGCTAGCCTTTTCAGAAATCCCTTATATACAATTTGTTTCTTTTCTCTTGCTGCTTTCAGGATCTTTTCTTTGTCTTTGATTTTTGGCAGTTTGATTATAATGTCTTGGTGTAGTCTTGTTTGTATTGAATCTGATTGGAGGCTTTTAACTTTTCCATACCTGCATATGTATATATTTTCCCAGATTTGGAAAGCTTTCTGTTAGTTCTTTAAATAAGCTCTCTACACTTTTGTCTCTCTCTTCATCTTAACTCCTATAACTCTAATGTTTGCTTTTTTGATGCTATCCCATAAATCCTATAAGCTTTCTTCCTTCCTTTTCATTTGTTTCCCCCTTAGTGCATATTTTCAAATAACCTTTATTTCAGTTCCCTGATTCTTTCTTTTGCTTTATTCTGCTGTTGATGTTCTCTATTGCTTTTGTCATTTAATTCATTGCATTTTCAACTCCAGAGTTCTTGTCTGATTTTTAAAATATAATTTCAATCTCATTGTTTAATTTCTCATTTTGGTCATTTATTGTTTCTCTGATTCTATTGAATTATTTCTCTGTATTTTCTCGAGGTTTTCTGAGCTTCCTTTAAACAATTATTTTGAATTCTTTGTCAGACAGCTTGTATGTCTCCATTTCTTTGGAGTCAGCTACTGGGAGATTGTTGTGTGCTTTTGGTGTTATGTCTTCTTGTTTTTTTCATGTTTCTTATTGTTTTATGTTGATGTCTATTCACTTGGTGGAGCAGTTGCCTCTTTCAGACTCTGTAAGTTAGTTTTGCTGTGGAAAGATCTTCCCCTACAAGAAGGGGGAATATAAAGGCACTTGCTGGGTAGGGTGCAGCAGTTCTGGCACCATTGAGGGTTCCAGATGTGTAGTGTCTGTGTAGCTCTGTCAGCTGGGGGTTGTGTTGATGAAGACTGCAGGAATCCTTCGCAGCTAACACTGTGGCTATTCACAGTGGCAGTGAGGGTTGCTCAGTTCTTAAGCAGTAATTAATGGCTGCTAAGGTTCTCCTGGTTTCTTTTGCTCTCATAGGGGAAGTTGTGGCTGAGGGGGTTTCTCTTGGCACTGGGTCTGGCGTGTGGGCTCACTTGCAGTGGCAGTGGCACTGGTGACTGATGAGTGACCCCTATGGAGTGGCCATGGAGCTGAGGCCTGAAGCACAGACATGCGTGGACTACAGCTCTGGGATCTAGGGTGGTAATGGCATTGGTGCCCAGGGAGCAGGCACCCCTGCCACCTCATTGGTAACAGAATGTGAGGCACAGATGCTTGTAAAGCAGCCGAGGAGCCAAGAATGGGAGCACAGACATGCTCGGAGTTACAAAGTCTTTGGCATCAGGCTGATGTCTAGCTCTCTATGGCAGCTGAGCCAGTTCTGGAGTGTGGCCATGGGAAGCAAGGGATTGGCTCTGGAGTGTGAATTAGCTAACTATTGCAGTGTCTCTGGTGTCTGAGATGTGGGCAGACTCGATACAGCCATAGTGCCTGGGTCTGGAGAGTGGGTGCACGTGGAGCTGCCATGCCTCTAGGATTGGAGCACAACTGGGTTCGGGAGAGGTGTCAGCTTTTTTTCCAATGTAGTTCAAAAGCAGCTGCTTCTTGTGTGTCTGTTGGGGGGCAGAGGGGTGCAGGGAGGGTCATGCACTCACATCTCTCTCTCTCAGGTTCCTCTGTGTAATGGGTGTTCATTACCTCAGTGGCAAGAGATGCCAGTGTCCTCTGTAGAACAGGCTGCTAGGGATTGTGCTGATTCTTGCTGCATGGCTGATACCAATAGCCACCACCTTTCTTTTTTGCTCCTAGTGATCTCTTGGTGTCTCAGGTATGTTGATTTCATCAGCAAGCCCTGCCCCCCCCAGTTTTTTTCAATACAGGTCTTGCTCTGTCACCCAGGCTGAAGTATAGTGGTGCAATCATGGCTCACTGCAACCTTGACCTTCTACGGTCCTCAAACAGTCCTCCCACCTCAGCCTCCCGAGTTGCTGGGACTATAGGCATGCACCACAATCAATACCAGCTAATTTTTTTAATGTTTATAGAGGTGGGTTCTCACTATGTTGCCCAGGGTGGTCTTGAACTCCTGGGCTCAGGTGATACCCCAACCTCAGTCTCCCAAAGTGCTGGAATTACAGACGTGAGCCACTATGGCTGGCGACCAGCAATCCTTTCTATGTGGTTATTCTCCTTTTTTTTTTTTTCTTTTTCTCCATTGTGTTGCTGCAGATTCTTTAATAGGCTCTTGAGCCCTCTCTGGGCTATTTTGGTTTGTGACTAGCTGTCATTGTTTTTTTATGGGAGAATGAAGGCCTTTATCTTCTACTCTGCCATCTTGGTTGACAAAGTACATTTTGGTCATGGCACAGCAGACAGCATAAGCTTTTATGTTTCCCTTTATCACCCAGTTTCCATGGGGATGATATGAAGGTGAGATCAGGTAGATTTTGCACATGTGGTGAATGTAAACCAAGTCCCAATTGAAGTATAAAGAGAAGTAAAGCTTCTGATAAGGAAATGATCCTGATGCACCTAGATGTTTTAGATTTAGAGTTATTCATTGATACAGATTGTAATATAGATTGAGACCCTTTTCTAAATACATATGTGAAAGATCTAGGTCAGAGATGTTGCAAGTCTGAGTAGGAGAAAAAGGGATGCTATTGACCTTCATTATGACCATAGAATGTGATTTGAAACTGAAGGACCAACGATGCTTGTTTTCACTTTGGATGGTTGAGAGGATCATTTACACTACCTTGTGGAGACCTCTTACTTGGTGGCAAGTTGATAACATAAGACAACATCCTCCCCCCTATTTATTATATTTATTCATATTTTTAATTGACAAAATTGTATATATTTATGGTATACAGCATGATGTTTTGATATATGTATACATTATGGAATGGTTGAATCAACCTAATTAACACATGGATTACCTCACATACTTATCATTTCTTTGTGGTGAGAATACTTAAAGTCTACTCTCTTAGCATTATTGTTATTAACTCTAGTCACCAAGATGTCCAGCAGATCTCTCTTGAACTTATATCTCTTGTCTAACTGAAATTTTGTATCCTTTAACCAACATCTTCCCAATTTCCCCACTCCCCCCAACTTCTACCTTTGAAAGAGCAAAGATTCATTCTGACTATGATTTTCTTGGGTATGGGTATGTCTTTGTTTTTCATAGGGCTTCAGCCAATTCTACTCTCAGAGGGCTCATGGAGCATTTAATTTACTGATATGAGATCCCACATAACATGTCCTATAACAAAGGACCCACTTCGTGGCAAAGGAGATGAGGCAATTGGCACATGACTGTGGCATCCTTTAGTACTATCACATAACAGCACAACCCACAGCTGTTAGCTTGCTAATGTGGTGACATGGCTTCAGGATGCCTCAACTGAGGCGCTGGCATAGAAATGACTTCCATCTGAGAAAGAAGCACTATTCTTCATAATGCTGTATACATCTCAAAGTGATGATTATTATATGGTGCTATGTTCCCCATAGTTAGGATACATGGGTTCAGGAATGAAGGGGCAGAAATAGTAGTATCCTCATGCAGCATCATGTTCTTGGAGATTTAGGATCTGTGGGTCTACAGGTCTGTATTGCCAGGGGTGGCGTCCTCTTACCAAGGAACATAGAGTACCTATAAACTTAAAGCTATAGCTGCTTCCTGGTTACTTTGGGCTTCTGGTTCCTCTGTGGCAGCTGGAAGGCAGAGAGAGTAATGAACACACTGGCAGAGAGCATCATGAAGAGGAAGGACTATTGATATATATGAGGGAAGGAAGAAATGGTTTTGGTATTCAGGTGATCCCCTAGGACATCTCTGAGTATTCCTGTGCCTGGTTTTAACACTATACAGGCAAAAATAGCAACTACAGCCTGGGAAGGGCCTTAGACCTTTTGGCAGTGAGGGTCTGAGCTACTCCACCAGGGCAAACCTAGACCACTGGAAATGTTTGTCAATGGGGAGGGGAATCTAGAATGAGTGGTAGAAGAGGGAGATGTCCCTATCTCTGAGCTGCTGTCAATGTGGCTAATATTAGCTCACAGCTATACCCAGTTCTGGAAAAATGCCTTGGGCCACTAGGAGCTGCCTTACCTAGAAATGCCTGAGAAGTAATCCACCATTCCTGACATACATGCAGTGGTGGCTCATACCCAATAGCTGACTGATATGGCGGTACTAAGCCCCTTGCCTCAAGGTGGGTCAATTTTGAGGTGTAGTCATGCCAAGATCTTCCTGTGGGATCAGGCTATGGCTAGATCTCAACTTTTCACACTCATTTTTGTGCTTAGCTTCTTTCCCTATGCTATCCTGCTTCCCTCATATCCTGTTAGCTTTCTTCTGAGAATACCCCTTCAGTAAGTCATTTGCACAAGAATCCTGTCTCAAGTTCTACTTCTAAGCGATCATGACTAAGACATTTCCTTCTTGGCCAGGTGCAGTGGCTCACTCCTGTAACCCCAGCAGTTTGGAAGGCCAAGGCAGGAGGATCACTTGAGCCCAGGAGTTTGAAGCCAGTGTGGCCAAGATAGTGAGACCCCATCTCTACAATATGAAAAAAAAAATGAGCAGGGCATAATGGCACGCTCCTGTAGTCTCAGGTACTCAGGAGGTTGAGAAGGGAGGACCCCTTGAACCCAAGAGTTTGCGGACACAGTAAGCCATGATTGTGCCACTGCACTCCAGCATGGGCGACAGAGTGAGACCCCATCAGACGCACAAAAAAGACAGTCCCTTCTTTGCCATCTAAAAAATAAAAAAAATAAAAAGAAGGAAAAAACAAAAAGAAAAATCCTGGGGAAGAATTCTGACAGACTTGGCATGTAGTAAAGAATTTTCCAAAGAGAGGTCTGGCCTTTGCCCAACTACCAGGAAGTGATCTGTAGGCCCATGAATGTTCTGCCTAATATAAATTCTATTCTAGAATGTTCTGGGGTGGGGGGTGTAGTTTGGCCACCACATGGCCTACAAATGTAATTTATGACGGGGCTTTGGGCCGCAGGGTATCAGTTTTGCCTCCAGAAGGGACTGGAGATTACAGGTATCAGCCTGACCTCAAAAGGTCAGCCATGCAGGCAGTATGTGATCAAGCCCTAGTAAAAACTCTGGTTACCAAAGGTTTGTGTGAGCTTCCCTGGCCAGCCATGTGTGTCTCACATTGTGGCTGGAAGGATTTAACACCATCCATGACTTCATGCAGGGAGGATGACCAGAAGCTCCACATTTGGATCCCTCCTGGACTCTACATGTCTCTTCCCTTGGATTTATTAATCCCTGTATTAAACCATAGCTGTGAATATAACAACTTTCTATGAGTTCCACGAATCCTTCTAGTGAATTATCAAGTATGAGGGTATTTGGGGAACCCCCACATTTGCAACTGGTGTCATAAGTGAGGGCAGTCTTGTGTAGACACTGCTCCTTCTGACTGTACAGTTGGATAAACTCTCACACCTGGCTTGGGTCTTATCTCTACTACCCCTGGTGCCATGACTAGGACCATCTGGGTAAAGTGCAGTCCACTAGTGCATATGATTGGAGCTGGGAGGGAGGGGAGCTAGAGGGATGGACTGTCAAAAAGATGTTTCACTTTCACTAGCGTTTTCTAAGACCCGTTATCTGCCCTGCCTTGACAGAAAAGTCTGCTTGTCCATTCAGATTGTAGCTGATCCTGCTTCTTGTCTTTTCCTTCCTTTCCTTTCCTGCATCAGGGAGAAACACTCTCCTCTCACTCCTAACCTTGACTCTTCTTCCTTCAGATGCCCAATGTATGTTTTTTGTTTGTTGGCACATCTAACATTATTTTACTTGGAAATCAGTGATATATTAGTATTGTAGCCTTCTCAACTAATGCACATATTTACATCTCCTGTACTGTTTTTATCTCTGGCCAATGATTTTCTAATGTTAAAATATTCCTTTACAAAGAAGCTTCTTTGTTAACAGAAATAATATGGCATCCATATCAACTTCTTTACTATCTTAAGGAGCCTTTGGTAATTTTCATTTAAATTTTTATAATCCTAGCTAATAATATTACCTCATTCCTTGGCTTTTCCTGTGTTAGTTGATGTGAGGGGCTTGAGAGTAGCTGGGAGGAAATACCATGGTAATGCTTGGGTATAACCCAAACAAAGGAAATATAAATTGGAATTTGAATATCAGCAGATTTCAAACACAAATTCTGTTTCACTTAGGGTTAGCTTAGGAACTGGGGTAGTATATCTATATACCAATTAGGGAGGTAAAAAGGCAGACACTAAGAGACCAAGGTAGAGACTGACAAGGGTAGACATTATCTAAAGCTTTCACTAATACCTAAACTTAAAAGGACCAGTTAACATGAGAACATCACAGTAGTGAAGGCTGTATGTTTTTTCATATATATATATGTTAAAGTAAGCCTAAATATATATAAATATACTTTTTTCCTTAACTAGTAATAAACTATATATTTTTAATTCTATAATATAAGCCTATTTCTTCTCAATTGCTTTATGGAACAAGTGCAGTATCCAGAAACAGACACAGTTCTGACCTTATTAGCTGAAGGACTGGGGACCATTTATTGTACCTTTCTGAGTCTTAGTTTCCTTACCTATAAAAATAGCAATAAGTATAAACACCTTGTAGGATTGTTGAGAGCATTATAGATAATTTACAAAAAATGTTTGGCCCACAGAGCTGCTTTGTAAATGTGGCTATTACTAATAGCTATTATAACATTCTGGGTTTTAAAAAAATAACTCACCAAGTATCCTTATGGAGGTATCACTCTGATGTTCTAACTGGATATACCAGCTAAGCTGGTGTCCAAGTAGAAACCATTCAATTTTGGGTGTTCCATCCTTTCTGCATCTTGAGTAACTTCTTGAGGACCAGGCTGCTTACTAGTTTCTGCCTTCACTGGCCCTGCTCCTTTAAAAGCACTGTCATCTCCACCTGATATTTAGTCTCACCAGGTTCCTGACCATCTCATAGCTATTGCTTTTGCCTTTGTACCTAAAGGAGGCGATATTTTATCAGATTCAAACCACAGCCATTGGAGTATGGGATTAATTTTACTACTTTGTATGCCTAGGGAGAGTCCTGGCTTCTCATATGTCCTAAAGCCACAGTCTTCTGCTCATTCCTCTGTGTTATCCCAGGCCATTTGACCGGATTTTTCCCTTAGTTAACTGTTCAGAATTCAAGCTCCCCATTGGGACAGGAGCACTGGAACCAAATCCATGTGAATGAGATCCTAACAGCCTGCTCTTGAGGGGCTGAATCTTTTTTCCTATAAACCAAAGGCTTTGTTACGCTTCTGCTCCTAAAATCCCAAACTGCTGCCTCTCCTGGCTTCATATTTTCTACTCTCTACCTCTGCCCACTGGAATGAGCCAAATTTCAATGCGGTCTGAACTGGCGGTGAATTTGCCATTTGAATACTAGCTTGCTACCCTGTGACCCAATCCTATAAGTGGATCAGTTCCTCCTTCTGTTCCATCTTAAATTCAAGTCTCAGTATACCCCACGGCCCAGCTTATACAAGCATCAGCTGCTAAGTGCACCCCAGTATTATATCTTTTTTAAAATTCACATAAATTACATTCCATATAATACCTTGTAAAACTACCTGTATTACATGTATGCTTCTTTTAAAATCTAATTACCTAATTCTGTGACATTCATTCTAGTTTGTTACTGAATTTCAAATTCCATTTTGTTTTAGAGCCCTAGGAAAATTGCTCAAGTTTCTTTAATTAGTATCATTTTGGTTGTCAAATTTTCAAGATGAAGACATTGTGTTTCAGCATTATTTAAAGCTAGGGCATTAAAATTAGCTGGGGATTTTTCAAGAATTACTCATTATGACCCAATTTTAAAGGTATTTTAAATGTAACATTTAAAAAGAATTATTAATGTCTGTACTCTATCTCTTTCGGCTACAATATCTCAAAGTTATATAAAAAGTTAATTGCTAGCCAAAGGTTTCACTTTTCACTGTGTAAAATATAATGTCAACTCAATTGTCTGTATTGGGAAAAGCAGAGTTTGAGTAATTCAAAAGTAATTTATATTTGTCTTTGGAATGCTTTTGCCCTTAAATTTGAATATAGGTGAGTCTAACGTCTAGGGAATTCATGTCAAAATAAGGAAGCTGTATTATGAAGATCTCAAATCAGTAAACTGGTGAGTTCAATTATTCTACTTTTTTTTCTTTTTCTTTTTTGTTTTTTGTTTTGAGTTGCTCTCCTAGGTTGAAAGAAGCAAGTTAAGCTCAGTGTCGTTCCTCTTTGGTAGATTAGAATATTGAACGTAGATGTTAATCCATAGGTCTAGGAAGAGTTCCATAGAAGATTAGAAGCTGTTGAAATAAGAATTTTTGATCCCTATTGGGTTATGTGATTAAGCTAAAACAGCAACAACAACAACAACAAAAGAAATACAGGAAACAGAAAAGGAAGATAGATTATATTATAGAAAAAATAATGTTTACAAAAAATACTGTAGAAATTATATAAAGAGAACAGGGAATGGCAACCGGCCAAGCATTATGTTGACTTGGAATGTACCTACCAAGTGCTGCATATTGCATGTCATGAGGATAGAGGTAAAACTGAGAAGGAAATGAAATAATAAGCTAATGAAGTAAAAACTAATATCTTAAAAAATAGGGCGTCTCTTAAGTACTGGTAAGAAATACAAATATATGATATATAAAAACAAATGCTCTTTTGTGTCATTTTGAATAAGTTTTTACCATAAGCATCTTTTATCTATTACCCAACAACAAACTTGAAAATATATGCCTTGAAATTGAAAATCTACAGAATTTGACAATAACAGCAAATGTTCTCCTAACAATAAGTACCTAACACTCTACCCAGGTGGCTTAGTTTTCTACAAAATTTCTTTTGTTTTTTTCTCACTCTGTTGCCCAGGCTGGAGTGCAGTGGTGCGATCTTGGCTCACTGCAACCTCTGCCTCTCTGGTTCAAGCGATTCTCCTGCCTCAGCCTCCTGAATAGCTGGGATTACAGGTGTGAGCCACCACGCCCAGCTAATTTTTGTATTTTTAGTGGAGACAGAGTTTTACCATGTTGGCCAGAATGGTCTTGAATGCCTGCCATCAGGCAATCCACCCGCCTTGGCCTCCCAAAGCGCTGGGGTAACAGGCGTGAGCCACCGTGCCTGGCCACTACAAAATTTCTAAATTAAAAGACAGCATTTGGTAATGTCTTATCTTCTCCAGCGAGACTGTACTTGTCCTGAGGCCAACTACTGTGCCATAATTCTTTATGTCTATCACAGGCTCTGGGGAAACATTTTACACATAGTAGGCACTTTTTAAAAAATGAATGAAAGCATGAATACTGAATGTGTGCTTATCTCTGATTAGGTCTGGATGTTCCAAATAACAAGAACATTGCAATCTGATTGGCTCAGTTATTTTAATACCCCACCAAGTTGCTTCTGCCCATGTTGATTATGTGATCTGCATGGAACAATTATGGCTATTGTAATTTATTTTATTTATACTACATCTCCTTTACAAAAAAGTATTTGAGACAGTACCACCCTGTTTTCATTCTAAATTTCTAGACCACTTCTATCAACAAAAGTTTCTTGATATTAACAAGGAAAATAGTATTTGAGCAGTATCAAGTACCTTTAGCCACTTCCACAATGTTTCTTCAAATATCTCCCTTTAAAAAGTAACTTTTTGACCTCCCCTTTTTAAATTCTTAATAGAAATATACTTTGATTAGTTAGAAATCTAAATTGTATACTAGCTTTTAAATAGCTTAGTATTCAGGTTTCTTTGATATGAACTTATGTAGGAAGTATAGACTTGTAGTTTGTTTATTTTTATTTAAAGATCATAAACCATTTTATTTTTTCTTCATACTTCTCTGTTCTTCCAAAGCATCTACATTGGGCCCATATCATATAATAGAAAAATAAGTTACTATAATTTTTTTACCCTGCCATTTCCTCAAGCTGTCTCATCTGTCCATCCCTTTATTGCTGAACTTGAAGAAGGAGCCCATACACATTACTTTCACTTTTTCAGCGTTCACTCATTCTTTAATCCTCCCAACTCTGGTTTACCACTCTAATGAAACTGCTTTTCAAAGGCCATTGTTGTCCAATCATAAGATTAGGCTCTCTCTTAGGCTTTATCTTTCTCGGTCTTATTTGGAAAAGTACTTAACACAGTGTCCAATAAACAATCAATTCTCAATATATTTTAGTTCTGTTCCTACAAGAATTGCTTACTGTTATTGATTACATGAATAAATTTTTTATCTGAGTAAATTATTGCATCACAATTAAAAGTTATGTAGGAAGATGACCAAATAGAATACTCCAGCAATTGTTCCCCCCAAACCCCTTCAAGGAATGCCATATTGAGCAACCATCTACCCAATAAAGCACCTTCATAAGAGCCAAAAATCAGGTGAGTGATCACAGTACCTGGTTTTAACATTATATCAGTGAAAGAAGAACTGAAGGGAGAAGGAAAGACAGTCTTTAATTGCTGACGCCACCCCTCCACCATGCCCCAGCAGTAGCAATGGCCCTGTGCCACAGAAATAGAATCTGTGTGCTTGGAGAAGGGAGAGCATAGTGGTTGTAGAACTTTGCATTGGAACTCAGTACTGCCCTGTCACAGAAGAAGCCACACAGCGCAGAAAGTAGCCAGTGCCCATGGAGGGAGCATTTAGACCTGCCCTAGCAAGAGGGGAATTGCCCATCCCAGTGGTTGGAACCTGAGTTCTGGCTAGCTCTACCACCATGGGCTAAAACACTCAGGGTCCCTAAATAACCTTGAAAAGCAGTCTAGGCCACAAGGACTAGAATTCCTGGTCAAATCCTGGTGCTGTTCTAGGCTCAGAGCCAGTGGACTTGGGGTACACATGACCTAGCGATATACCAACTGGGGTGGCCAAGGGAATGCTTGTGTCACCTCTCCCCTAAACCCAGGTAGCTCAGCTCGAAGCTCCAGGAGATACCCCTTACTTCCATTTGAGGAGAAGAGAGAGAAGAGTAAAGAGGACTTTGTCTTGTAACTTGGATACCAGCTCAACCGCAGTACAATGGGGTACTGGGTAGAGTCATAAGGCCCCCATTCCAGGCCCTTGCTCCAAAATGACATTTCTAGACACGCCCTGAGCCAGAAGAGAACCTGCTGCCTCTTCTGAAGGAAAGGACCCAGTTCTGGCAGGATTAATCACCCATTGACTAAAGAGACTCTGGGCCCTGAATAATCATCAGTGGTAGCCAGGCAGTACTCACCAGGAGCCTTGAGTGAGACACAATATCCTGTTGGCTTTCAGTGGCCATGAGGAGAGACTCTCTCTGCTTGTGGAAAGGAGAGAAAAGAGTAAAGGAGACTTTGTCTTTCAGCTTAAATATTGACTTGGCAACAGCGAGGTACAGCACCAAGCGGGTTCCCGGGGTCCCCAGTTCCAGTCCTTCACTCCTGGATGGCATTTTTTGAACCGCCCTGGACCAGAAGGGAGCCTACTTCCCTGAAGGTAGAGATCTAGGACTGGCAGCATTCACCACAAGCTGAAGAGCCCTTGGGCCTTGATCATCGCAGTAGCCAGGCAGTACTTGCTGTGGGCCCTGGGGTGATGATGGCCATGAGGAGAGGCTCCTTCTACTTGAGGGAAGGAGAGGGAAGAGTGAGAAGGACATTGTTTTGTGGCTTGGGTGCCAGTTCAGACACACTTTAATGGAACATCAAATAGGTTCATAAGGTTCCTGACTCCAGGCCCTGGCTCTTATATGGCATTTCTGGACCCACCCTGGGCTCAGGTGGAGCTTGTTGCCTTGAAGTTCCCATGCATGGCTGGATTTGCCTTCTAGACAGAAGCCTGGCTGGATTTGCCATCTGCTGATTGTAGAGCCCTTGGACCTTGAGGGAACATAAGCAGAAGCCAGGCAGTGTTTGCTGTGGGCCCTGTGTGAGACCCAGTATTGTGCTGGCTTTGGGTCTGACCCAGCACGTTCCCAGTGGTGGCCACAGGGGTGCTTGTGTCATTTCTCCTCCAGTTCCAAGCAACTCAGCAGAGAGAGAGAGAGAGAGAGAGGGAGAGAGAGAGAGAGAGAGAGAGAGAGAGAGAGAGAGACTTCATTTCATTTGTTTGGGGAAAAGTAAAGCAAAAGTCTCTACCTGGCCCTAATGTAGATATAGCTGCAGTGACCAAATACTTAGATCACAAGATTCAATTCCCTTTGAATACTTGGAAAGCTTTCCTAAGAAGAACAGGTACAAACAAGACTAGGCTGTGAAGACTACAGTAAATATCTAACTCTTAACTGCCCAGACACTGAAGAATATCAACGAGCATCAAGACCATCCAGGAAAATGTGACCTTACCAAATGAAATAAATAAGGCACTTGGTTGACAAATCACAGAGTGAAAAGAATATGTGACCTTTCGGACAGAGAATTCAAAATAGCTTTTTTGAGAAAGCTCAATGAAATTTAAGATAATACAGAGAAGGAATTCAGAATTCCGTCAGGTTAATTTAATGAAGAGATTTGATAATTAAAAAGAATCAAGCAGAAATTCTGGAGCTGAAAAATGCAATGGGCATATTAAAGAATGCATTGGTTTCTCAACAGCAGAACTGGTGAAGCAGAAGAAAGAATTATGAGCCTGAAGACAGGCTAGAAGACAAAAGAAAAGCGAATGAAGCATGCCTACAAGATCTAGAAAATAGGCTCAAAAGGGCAAATATAAGAGTTATTAACTTTGAAGAATAACAGAAAATTTTCCAAACTCAGAGAAAGATATCAATATTCAAGTATAAGAAGGTTATACAACATCAAGCAGATTTAACCAAAAGAAGACTACCAAAAGGTGTTTAATAATCAAACTCGCAATGGTCAAGGATAAAGAAAGGATGCTAAAAGCAGCAAGAGAAAAAAAAATGAAGAACATAAAAAAGAGCTTCAATACATCTGGCAGCAGACTTCTCAGTGTAAACCTTATAGCCCAGGAGAGAGTGGAATGATGTTAAAGTGCTGAAGGAAAAAAAAAAAAACTTTTACCCTAGAATACTATATCCAGTGAAAATATCCTTCAAGCATTAAAGAGAAATAAAGACTTTCCTAGACAAAAACTGAGGAACTTCATCAGCACCAGCCTTGTCCTACAAGAAATGCTAAAGGAAGTTCTTCAATCTGAAAGAAAAGGACATTAGTGAGCAATAAGAAATCATTAAAGGTAGAAAACTCAATGGTAACGGTAAGTACAGAGACAAACACAGCATATTGTAACATTGTAATTGTGTGTAAACTACTCATATCTTGAGTAGAAAGACTGAAAGAAGAACCAATCAAAACGAATAATTACAACTTTAAAAGACATAGTATAATAAAATAGAAATAGAAACAACAAAATTAAAAAGCAGGGGCATGAAATTAAAGCATAGAGTTTTTATTAGTTTTCTGTTTGCTTAATTGTTAGTTACTTTGTTTGCTTTTGTTAGCAGTGTTAAGTTGTCATTAGTTTAAAATCATGGGTTATAAGATGTTATTTCCAAGCCGCATGGTAACTTCAAATCAAAAAACCTCCAACAGTCTGGGCACAGTGGCTCATGCCTTTAATCCCACCACTTTGTGAGGCCAAGGCAGGAGGATTGCTTGAGCCCAGGAGTTCAAGACCAGCCTGGGCAACAGAGCAAGACACTGTTTACACACACACACACACACACACACACACACACACACACACACGAACATAAAATAGCTATGTGTGCTGGCATGCACCTGAGATCCCAGCTACTCAGAAAGCTGAGGTGGGAGGATCACTTGAGCCCAGGAGATCAAGGCTGTAGCGAGCCATGATTGCACCACTGCACTCCAGCTTTGATAACAGAGCCAGACCCTGTCTCAAAAGCAAAATAAAACAAAACAAACCTACGAAAGATACACAAAAAGTAAAAAGCAAGAAAGTAAAACATACTGCCAGAAAAAAAAATCACCTTCACAAAAAGAAAGGAAGAAAAGAAGGAAGGAAGAGAAGACTACAAAACAACCAGATAACAAATAACAAAATGGCAGGAGTAAGTTCTTACTTATCAATAATAACAGTTAATGTAGATAGACTAAAGTCTTCAATCAAAAGACATGGAGTGGCTGAATGGATTAACAAAGAAGACCCAATAATCGGTTGCCTATTCCAAGAAACACACTTCACCTATAAAGACACACATAGAATGAAAATACAGGGATGGAAAAAGATGTTTCATGTAAATGGAAACCAAGAAAGAACAGGAGTCATTATACTTACATCAGACAAAATCTACTTCAGGCCAAAAACTATAAAAAAGGATGAAAGTCATTGTATAATTATAAAGGGGTCAATTCAACAACAGGATATAACAATTGTTAATAGATACACACCCAAAACTTGAGCATCCAGATATAGACAGCAAATATTACTAGAGCTAAAGAGAGAGATAGACCCCAATACAATAATAGTTGGGGACTTCAACACCAACTTACAGCATTGGACAGATCATCCAGGTAGAAAATCAGCAAAGAAACATTGGACTTGATCTGTACTATAGACCAAATAAACCTAATGGATGTTTATAGAACACTTCATCCATAGCTACAGAATATACATTCTTCTCTTCAGCATATGGATCATTCTCAAGGATAGACCATATGTTAGGCCACAAAACACGTCTTTAAAAATTCAGAAAAATTGAAATAATATCAAGTATCTGACCACAATAGAATAGAACTGGAAATTAATAATAAGAAATTTGGAAACTATACAGATACACGGAAATTATATGATATGCTCCTGAATGATCAATGAAGAAATTAAGAGAAATTTAAAACTTTCTTGAAACAAATGAAAATGGAAACACAACGTATCAAAACCTATGAGATACAGCAAAATACGTACTAAGACCAAAATTTATAGCAATGAGTGCCTACATCAAAATAGAAGAAAAATTTCAAAAACAACCTAATGATGCATCATAAAGAACTAGAAAAGCAAAAGCGAACAAAACACAATATGAGTAGCAGAAATACATGAAATGGAAATGAAAAGGACAATACAAAAGATCAATGAAAGGAAAAGTTGACTTTTTGAAAAGAAAATTTACAAACCTTTATCCAGAATAAGAAAAGTGAGAAGACCCAAATAAAATCACAGATGAAAAAGGAAACATTTCAACCGATACCACAGAAATTCAAAGGATCATTAAAGACTATTATGAGCAAGTATATGCCAATAAATTGGAAAACCTAGAAGAAATGGATAACTTTCTAGTCACATACAACCTACTAAGATTGAACCATGAAGAAATCCAAAACATGAACGGACTAATAACAAGTAATGAGATTAAAGCTGTAATAAAAAGTTTCCCAGCAAAGAAAAGCATGGGATTTTATGGCTTTAGTGTTGAATTCTAACAAACACTTAAAGAACTAATATCAATTTTACTCAAACTATTCTAGAAAATAGAAGGAGAGAGAATACTTCCAAACTCATTCTACGAGGCCAGTATTACTCTGGAGTGCAGTGGTGTGATCATTATGAAAACAAGGATATTTTGACTTCTTCCTTTCCAATTTGGACGCCCTTTATTTCTTTCTTTTGTCTGTTTGCTCTAGCTAGGACTTCCAGTACTGTGCTGAATAACAGCGGTCAAAGTGGACATCCTTGTCTTGTTGCAGATCTTAGAGGAAAGGCTTTCAGTCTTTACCCATTTAGTATGATACTAGCTATGGGTCTGTCATATAAAGTTTTTATTTTGTTGAGGTATCTTCATTCTGTATCCAGTTTTGTGAGGGTTTTTATGAAATGATGTTGAATTTTATCAAATGTTTTTCAGCATCTATTAAAATGATTATATGGTTTTTGTCCTTCATTCTGTTGATATGATGTATCACATTGATTGATCTGTGTATGTAGAACTATCCTTGCATTCATGGGATAAATCCCACTTTATCCCATGATGGTCATAGTCATGATGAATGATCTTTTTAATACATTGTTTAATTTAGTTTGCTAGTATATTGTTGACAATTTTCCCATCAATTTTCATCAGAGATATGGGCCTGTAATTTTCTTTCTTTGATGTGTCTTTGTCTGGTTTTGGTTTCACTCTGTTGCTCAGGCTAGAGTGTGGTGGTGCAATCATGGCTGACTGCATCCTCATACTCCTGGGCTCAAGCCATCCTCCCGCCTCAGCCTCCTGAGTAGCTGAGACCACAGGCATACACCACCATGCCCGGTTAATTTTTGTAATTTTTGTAGAAATGGGGTGTTGCCATGTTGCCCAGGCTGGTCTGGAACTCCTGTGACTCAAGCGAAGCATTGAGCATTTCTATATGCCAACAGTGAACAATCTGGAAAAGAAATCGAGAATGTAACCCCATTTACATTAGCTACAAATACAATTAAATACCTAGGAATAGACTAAAGTAGTAAAAGATCTCTACAGTAAAAACTATAAAACACTGATGCAAGAAATTGAGAAGACACAAAACATGGAAAAATATTCTATGTTCATGGATCGGAAGAGTTAATATTGTTTAAATATCCATATTATCCAAAACGATTTACAGATTCATTGCAATTCCTATGAAAACACCACTGACATTCTTCACATAAATAAAAAAAAAATCCTACAATTTATATGGAACTACAAAAGACCCAGAATGGCCAAGGTCACCTTGAGCAAAATGAACAAAACTGGAGGAATCTCATTACCAGACTTCAAATTATATTACAGAGCTATTGTAATCAAAACAGCATGGTACCTGCAAACAGACACATAGACCAAAGAAACAGAACAGAGAACCCAGAAATAAATTTATAAATCTACAGTGAACTCATTTTTGACAAAAATGCCAAGAACGTACAATGGGGAAAAGATAGTCTCTTCAATAAAAGGTGCTGGGAAAACTGAGTATCTATATGCAGAAGAAAGAAATTAGACCCTTATCTCTTGCCATACACAAAAATCAAATCAAAGTGGATTAAACACTTGTCTAAGACCTCAAAATATAAAACTATTACAAGAAAAGATTGGGAAAGCGCTCCAGGACATTGGACTGGGCAATGATTTCTTGAGTAATACCCCATGAGCACAGGTGGTCAAAGCAAAAATGGACAAATGGGATCACATCAAATTAAAAAGCTTCTTGTAGCAAAGTAAGGAATCAACAAAGTGAAAAGACAACTCATAGAATGGTAGAAAATATTCGCAATCTATCTATCTGACAAGGGATTACTAACCAGAATATATAAGAAGGTCAAATAACTCAAAGAGAAAAAAATGTAATAATCTGATTTAAAAATGGGCAAAAGGAAATGTCAACAGGCTTTTCTCAAAAGAATACAAATTGCAAACAGACATATAAAAACATGCTCAATAGAAATGCAAATCAAAACTACAATGAGATAACACCAGTTAAGATGGCTTTTATGCAAAAGCCAGGCAATAACAAATGCTGGTGAGAATGCAGAGAAAAGGTAACCCTTGTACACTGTTGGTGGAAATGTAAATTAGTACAGCCACTATGCAGAACAGTATGGAGGTTCCTCAGAAAACTAGAAATAAAACTACCAGCAATGCCACTGCTAGGCTGATAGGTACATAGCAAAAAAAAAAAAAAAAAAAAAGGAAATCAGTGTATCAAAGAGATATCTGCACTTCCATGTGCATTGCAGTACTATTCACAGTAGCCATGATTTGGGAGAAACCTAAGTGTCCATCAACAGATGAATAAAGAAAATGTGGTACCTATACACAATGGAATACTATTCAGCCATAAAAATGAACAAGATCCTGTCATTTGCAACAACATGGGTGGAACTGAGGTTTATTATGTTAAGTGAAATAAGCCAAGCACAGGACAAACTTTGCATGTTATCACTCATTTATGGGAGCTAAAAATTAAAACAATTGAACTCATGGATATAGAGTAGAATAATGGTTACCAGAGGCTGGCAAGGGGTTTAGAGTTGGGGGAAGTGGGAATATTTAATGGATACAAAAATATGGTTAGACTAAGATGTAGTATTTTATAGTACAACAAGGTGATTACAGTCAACAATAATTTATTGTACATTTTAAAAATAACTGAAAGACTATAATTGGAATGTTTGTAACATAAAGGATAAATGCTTGAGGTGATGGATACCCCATTTACTCTGATGTGATTATTATGCATTGCATGCTTGTATCAAAATATCTCATGTATCCCATAAATATATACTCCTATGTACCCATGAAACATTGAAAATTAAAAGAAACTTATACCGGCCATTAATACAGTTATATTTAGTTTACCTGTTGCTAATATGCCCAATAAATTTCAACAGTCTTTTTTCACTCATATCCAGGGTAGTTTAAAATCTCAACTCTCCTTTGTTCTTCCTGGCTGTGCTCAGTAACATAATTATTTATCTAAAATACACTTTCCTGGGGGGAAAATGACTAAATATCGGTGAGTACTGGCAGTAGGACACCTGCCCTAGCTTTCTAAGAAATCAAGCTGGCAGCCTAATGAAACTCAGAAAGAGGGATATAAGAAGCTGTTCACTGAATTAAGGTACTTCCACATCACAGGCCACTGGTCTTTTGTCTCAATGTTTATCCTCTACCCTTTCCCCAAGCTTATTGTCTAAACAGCCTCTAGCGAGAGCCTGCATCTGTTACCCAATTTTGGATTCCCCATGCTTTACTGCAGCTCCTCTCCCTAGCCCACCAATCTGGACAGCTGTTTCCAATTTCCCTCACTGGCAATCCCCAGGTGCTACCACCTGGCCACTGCCAGGACTGACGAGATAAAAGGTTTGTAAAACTCTGGGCAGGAAATAGCCTCAACTCTGTGATTTGAATTGAGGTTGATGGGAATAAAACCAACCTACATTTATTAAATGTCCAATATTTGCCAGGCATTTAAAAAATAACAGCTTTGTTGACATAAATTACGTATCATAAAATTCACCCTTTTAAATCATTCAATGCAGTGGTTTTAATGTATTTGTGGAGTTGCACAATCACCAAGGTCTAATTTTAGGACATTTTAATCACCCCCAAAAGAAACCTCATACTCATTAGCATATACTTGTCATTCTCCCCTGCCCCCAGTCTCTGAGTCTCTGGAAACCATTAATCTACTTTCTGTCTTTATGGATTTGCCTATTCTGGACATTTCATAAAAATAGAATTATATATAGCTTTTGTGTCTGGCATCTTTAACTTAGTCTAATATTTCCAAGTTCATCCGTGTTGTAGTTTGGATCAATACATTTATTTTTATATCCTAGTAATATTTCATTGACTGGTTATATCATATTTTGTTTATCCATTCAGTAGTTGATGAACAATTGAATTGTCTCTACTTTTTAGCTATTATGAATAATGCTACTGTGAACATCTGTGCAAGTTTGTCCATGGACATATTTTCAGTTTTCATCAGTATATATCTAGGAGTGAAAACGATGGGTCTTTAGGTAACCACATTTAACTTTTGAGGAACTGCCAAACTGTTTTCCAAAGCAGCTGCACTATTTTACATTTTACCAGCAGTGTATAAGGGTTCCAATTTCTTCACATCCTTGCCAATACTTGTTATTTCCATCTTTTTTATTATAGCCAATCCTACTGGGTGTGAAATGGTATCTCATTGTCATTCAGTTTGCATTTGCTGATGACTAATGGTGTTGAGCATCTTTTCATATGCTTATTGACTATTTGTCTTTAGAGAAATGTCTATTCCAATCCTTTGCCCATTCTTTGATTGAATTATTGGTGTTTTGTTGAGTTGTAAGAGTGCTTTATTCTGGATATTAGACCTTTATCAGATATATGATTTGCAAATGTTTTTTCTCATTTTGTGGGTTGTCTTTTCACTTTCTTGATGATGTCCTTTGAAACACAAAAGCTTTTAATTTTGATAATGTCCAGTTTATCTATTTTTTCTTTTGTTGCATGTGCTTTTGGTATCATATCTAAGAAATCATTCCTGATCCAAGGAATGTTTTTACTCCTGTTTTCTTCTAACAGTTTTATAGTTTTAGCTCTTACATTTAGGCCTATGATTCATTTTAAATTAATTTTTGTATAGTGTATGAGGAAGGGGTCCAACTTCATTTTTTGTATAAGGGCATCCAGTTGCCCCAGGACGATTCATTGAAATGATTACCTTTGCCATTGAATTATTTTATACTATTGCTGAAAATCAATTGACCATAAGTAGAAGGACTTTTTTTCCTGTATTCCCAGTTCTTTACCATTGATCTGTATATTTAATCTTATGCCAGTACTGCACTATCATTAGTGTGGCTTTGTAGTAAGTTTTGAAATCAGAAACTGTGAGTCCTTCAACTTTGTTCTTTTTCAAGATTATTTTGATTATTCTGGATTCCTTGTATTGCTATATGAATTTTATGATAAGCTTATCAATCTACATAAAACATGCTAGCTGGAATTCTGATAGAAATTGTTTTGAATCTGCAGATCATTTGGGGGAGTATTACCATCTTAACAACATTAGGACGTTCATTATCAAGTATGACACTAGCTGTAGGTTTTTTATCGATGGTCTTTCATTAGGTTGAAGAAATTCCCTTCTATTCCTGATTTGCTGAGGTTTTTTATTAAGAAAGGATGTTGGAATTTGTCCATTTTTTCTGTGTTTATTGAGCTGATTCTGTGGTTTTTGTATTTTTTAATTCTGTTGGTATTATATTAGTTGATTTTCAGATGTTTACCTGACTTTGCATTCTTAGAATAAATCCCAGTTGGTTGTAGTGTAAAACACTGGATATTTTATATGGCTGGATGTGGTTTTGCTAGTATTTCGTTGATGGTTGTAACATCCACATTCATAAGGAATATTGGTCTGTAGATTTTTTTCTCTTGTGAAATCTTTGTCTGGTTTTGGTATGGTGGTAATGAATGAATTGGCAAGTATTCTCTCCTTTTCTATTTTTTAATGGAAAAGCTTGAGAAAGATTGGTGTTAATTCTTTAAAAGTTGAGTGGAATTTATTGGTAAAGCATCTGGGCCTGGGATTTTTATGGGAAGTTTTTTTTTTTTTTTTTTTTTTTTTTTTTTTAAAGCAGTGAAACAGATTTTATTCAGTAACAATTAACAGTAGAGAAAAGAGCTGAACTACATTCCGATTTGTGCAGAGGTGACTGGGCTGTTTCAAGGGAGAATGAGAGAGTGGGAGGGGAAATAGTGAGAGCTTGAGTAGAGTCAGGGAAGTGAAAAATCCCAAAAAGCTGGAGGTGGGCACTGGGAGAAGGGGAGGTGGTAGCAGGTTGGTCCATGTGAAACCCATCTGGGTAACTGGCATTTATCAAACTTAGGCTCCTGCCCTCCAAAGAGTCTGGGAGATGGGCCCAATCTTCAGGTGTTGGCTGAAACAAACAGTAAATTCCTCTGGCAGCCTTGAGTTTTCTTAGGCAGGCACTTTAAGGGAGACTAGGGCCATCCTAGGGACGTGGCTTTGATCTCTTAGAAATTCAGTGTTAGTGGGGCCAGGCTCACTGGCTCACGCCTGTAATCCCGACACTTTGGGAGGCTGAGGCAGTTGGACCACCTGAGGTCAGGAGTTCAAGACCAGCCTGACCAACATGGTGAAACCCCGTCTCTACTAAAGATACAAAAATTAGCCAGGTGTGGTGGTGCATGCCTGTAATCCCAGCTATTTGGGAGGCTGAGGCATGAGAATCACTTGAACCCGGGAGGTGGAGATTATAGTGAGCCGAGATTGGGCCATTGCACTCCAGCCTGGGCAACAAGAGCAAAATTCTGTCTCAAAAATCAAAACAAAACAAAAAAAGAAACTCTGCTAGTGTTTGTTCACATCTTTCTAGGCCAAGGTTGAGGCCTAGCGAAGAAGAGGGCTCAGAGGAGCCAAGTAGAGCTTGGTCAAGGACAGAATCTTTGTCAACAGCGCATCCTACTTTCCATTGCTGGTCTATTATGATCCCTGCACCAGCTCTGCCAAGTAGGCTAGCCACTGACATTCTTGCACAGATTCATCAGTGGAAGCCTGGACAGGTTAAAGATAGGTGGCTAGATAATGAGTCATTGCAAATCAGAATAGCAAGTCTTCTGAGCAAAGGGAAAGCAGAGAAAAAGAGGGTCAGGGAGCACAGAACAGAGGCAGCTAATCCAACTGGAGATGGAAACCCTTTCAGGAGTTCCAATGCCAGTCCTTCAGTGGCGCAACCCTGAAACCTCAACAGAGTTTTCAAAATGACATGCACAGGCTTCCACATTTGGGCTCAGTCCCAACTCTCCTTCCGATTGCAGAGAGAGGTTGCTCTGGAAAGTCATAGGGAAGGGCCCTACAGATGACCTCAGACGAACACCCTCTCAACACCCAAGTCTAGAACCCTTCAGAATTTTCTGGAGCTGCCTCCTTCTGCCCTGGCATTTGCACCCACAGCTGTCTGTGCCTTACAGTGTACTTCTCTCCCCTTCTCCCTTGGTGACTCCTTATTTCTTTTTTTTTTTTAATTTCTTTTTTTTTTTAATTATACTTTAAGTTTTAGGGTACATGTGCACATTGTGCAGGTTAGTTACATATGTATACATGTGCCATGCTGGTGCGCTGCACCCACTAACTCGTCATCTAGCATTAGGTATATCTCCCAATGCTATCCCTCCCCCCTCCCCCCACCCCACAACAGTCCCCAGAGTGTGATATTCCCCTTCCTGTGTCCATGTGATCTCATTGTTCAGTCCCCACCTATGAGTGAGAATATGCGGTGTTTGGTTTTTTGTTCTTGCGATAGTTTACTGAGAATGATGATTTCCAGTTTCATCCATGTCCCTACAAAGGACATGAACTCATCATTTTTTATGGCTGCATAGTATTCCATGGTGTATATGTGCCACATTTTCTTAATCCAGTCTATCATTGTTGGACATTTGGGTTGGTTCCAAGTCTTTGCTATTGTGAATAATGCCGCAATAAACATACGTGTGCATGTGTCTTTATAGCAGCATGATTCATAGTCCTTTGGGTATATACCCAGTAATGGGATGGCTGGGTCAAATGGTATTTCCAGTTCTAGATCCCTGAGGAATCGCCACACTGACTTCCACAATGGTTGAACTAGTTTACAGTCCCACCAACAGTGTAAAAGTGTTCCTATTTCTCCACATCCTCTCCAGCACCTGTTGTTTCCTGATTTTTTAATGATTGCCATTCTAACTGGTGTGAGATGGTATCTCATTGTGGTTTTGATTTGCATTTCTCTGATGGCCAGTGATGATGAGCATTTTTTCATGTGTTTTTTGGCTGCATAAATGTCTTCTTTTGAGAAGTGTCTGTTCATGTCCTTTGCCCACTTTTTGATGGGGTTGTTTGTTTTTTTCTTGTAAATTTGTTTGAGTTCACTATAGATTCTGGATATTAGCCCTTTGTCAGATGAGTAGGTTGCGAAAATTTTCTCCCATTTTGTAGGTTGCCTCTTCACTCTGATGGTAGTTTCTTTTGCTGTGCAGAAGCTCTTTAGTTTAATTACATCCCATTTGTCAATTTTGTCTTTTGTTGCCATTGCTTTTGGTGTTTTAGACATGAAGTCCTTGCCCATGCCTATGTCCTGAATGGTAATGCCTAGGTTTTCTTCTAGGGTTTTTACGGTTTTAGGTCTAACGTTTAAGTCTTTAATCCATCTTGAATTAATTTTTGGATAAGGTGTAAGGAAGGGATCCAGTTTCAGCTTTCTACATATGGCTAGCCAGTTTTCCCAGTACCATTTATTAAATAGGGAATCCTTTCCCCATTGCTTGTTTTTCTCAGGTTTGTCAAAGATCAGATAGTTGTAGATATGCGGCATTATTTCTGAGGGCTCTGTTCTGTTCCATTGATCTATATCTCTGTTTTGGTACCAGTACCATGCTCTTTTGGTTACTGTAGCCTTGTAGTATAGTTTGAGGTCAGGTAGTGTGATGCCTCCAGCTTTGTTCTTTTGGCTTAGGATTGACTTGGTGATGCGGGCTCTTTTTTGGTTCCATATGAACTTTAAAGTAGTTTTTTCCAATTCTGTGAAGAAAGTCATTGGTAGCTTGATGGGGATGGCATTGAATCTGTAAATTACCTTGGGCAGTATGGCCATTTTCATGATATTGATTCTTCCTACCCATGAGCATGGAATGTTCTTCCATTTGTTTGTATCCTCTTTTATTTCCTTGAGCAGTGGTTTGTAGTTCTCCTTGAAGAGGTCCTTCACATCCCTTGTAAGTTGGATTCCTAGGTATTTTATTCTCTTTGAAGCAATTGTGAATGGGAGTTCACTCATGATTTGGCTCTCTGTTTGTCTGTTGTTGGTGTATAAGTATGCTTGTGATTTTTGTACATTGATTTTGTATCCTGAGACTTTGCTGAAGTTGCTTATCAGCTTAAGGAGATTTGGGGCTGAGACAATGGGGTTTTCTAGATATACAATCATGTCATCTGCAAACAGGGACAATTTGACTTCCTCTTTTCCTAATTGAATACCCGTTATTCCCTTCTTCTGCCTAATTGCCCTGGCCAGAACTTCCAACACTATGTTGAATAGGAGTGGTGAGAGAGGGCATCCCTGTCTTGTGCCAGTTTTCAAAGGGAATGCTTCCAGTTTTTGCCCATTCAGTATGATATTGGCTGTGGGTTTGTCATAGATGATAGCTCTTATTATTTTGAGATACGTCCCATCAATACCTAATTTATTGAGAGTTTTTAGCATGAAGGGTTGTTGAATTTTGTCAAAGGCTTTTTCTGCATCTATTGAGATAATCATGTGGTTTTTGTCTTTGGTTCTGTTTATATGCTGGATTACATTTATTGATTTGCGTATATTGAACCAGCCTTGCATCCCAGGGCTGAAGCCCACTTGATCATGGTGGATAAGCTTTTTGATGTGCTGCTGGATTCGTTTTGCCAGTATTTTATTGAGGATTTTTGCATCAATGTTCATCAAGGATATTGGTCTAAAATTCTCTTTTTTTGTTGTGTCTCTGCCTGGCTTTGGTATCAGAATGATGCTGGCCTCATAAAATGAGTTAGGGAGGATTCCCTCTTTTTCTATTGATTGGAATAGTTTTAGAAGGAATGGTACCAGTTCCTCCTTGTACCTCTGGTAGAATTCGGCTGTGAATCCATCTGGTCCTGGACTCTTTTTGGTTGGTAAGCTATTGATTATTGCCACAATTTCAGATCCTGTTATTGGTCTATTCAGAGATTCAACTTCTTCCTGGTTTAGTCTTGGGAGAGTGTATGTGTCCAGGAATTTATCCATTTCTTCTAGATTTTCTAGTTTATTTGCGTAGAGGTGTTTGTAGTATTCTCTGATGGTAGTTTGTATTTCTGTGGGATCGGTGATGATATCCCCTTTATCATTTTTTATTGCGTCCATTTGATTCTTCTCTCTTTTTTTCTTTATTAGTCTTGCTAGCGGTCTATCAATTTTGTTGATCCTTTCAAAAAACCAGCTCCTGGATTCATTAATTTTTTGAAGGGTTTTTTGTGTCTCTATTTCCTTCAGTTCTGCTCTGATTTTAGTTATTTCTTGCCTTCTGCTAGCTTTTGAATGTGTTTGCTCTTGCTTTTCTAGCTCTTTTAATTGTGATGTTAGGGTGTCAATTTTGGATCTTTCCTGCTTTCTCTTGTGGGCATTTAGTGCTATAAATTTCCCTCTACACACTGCTTTGAATGCGTCCCAGAGATTCTGGTATGTTGTGTCTTTGTTCTCGTTGGTTTCAAAGAACATCTTCATTTCTGCCTTCATTTCGTTATGTACCCAGTAGTCATTCAGGAGCAGGTTGTTCAGTTTCCATGTAGTTGAGCGGTTTTGAGTGAGATTCTTAATCCTGAGTTCTAGTTTGATTGCACTGTGGTCTGAGAGATAGTTTGTTATAATTTCTGTTCTTTTACATTTGCTGAGGAGAGCTTTACTTCCAACTATGTGGTCAATTTTGGAATAGGTATGGTGTGGTGCTGAAAAAAAAGTATATTCTATTGATTTGGGGTGGAGAGTTCTGTAGATATCTATTAGGTCTTCTTGGTGCAGAGCTGAGTTCAATTCCTGGGTATCCTTGTTGACTTTCTGTCTCGTTGATCTGTCTAATGTTGACAGTGGGGTGTTAAAGTCTCCCATTATTATTGTGTGGGAGTCTAAGTCTCTTTGTAGGTCACTCAGGACTTGCTTTATGAATCTGGGTGCTCCAGTGTTGGGTGCATATATATTTAGGATAGTTAGCTCTTCTTGTTGAATTGATCCCTTTACCATTATGTAATGGCCTTCTTTGTCTCTTTTGATCTTTGTTGGTTTAAAGTCTGTTTTATCAGAGACTGGGATTGCAACCCCTGCCTTTTTTTGTTTTCCATTTGCTTGGTAGATCTTCCTCCATCCTTTTATTTTGAGCCTATGTGTGTCTCTGCATGTGAGATGGGTTTCCTGAATACAGCACAGTGATGGGTCTTAACTCTTTATCCAATTTGCCAGTCTGTGTCTTTTAATTGGAGAATTTAGTCCATTTACATTTAAAGTTAGTATTGTTATGTGTGAATTTGATCCTGTCATTATGATGTTAGCTGGTTATTTTGCTCGTTAGTTGATGCAGTTTCTTCCTAGTCTCAATGGTCTTTACATTTTGGCATGATTTTGCAGCGGCTGGTACCGGTTGTTCCTTTCCATGTTTAGTGCTTCCTTCAGGAGCTCTTGTAAGGCAGGCCTGGTGGTGACAAAATCTCTCAGCATTTGCTTGTCTGTAAAGTATTTTATTTCTCCTTCACTTATGAAGCTTGGTTTGGCTGGATATGAAATTCTGGGTTGAAAATTCTTGTCTTTAAGAATGTTGAATATTGGCCCCCACTCTCTTCTGGCTTGTAGGGTTTCTGCCGAGAGATCCGCTGTTAGTCTGATGGCCTTCCCTTTGAGGGTAACCCGACCTTTCTCTGTGGCTGCCCTTAACATTTTTTCCTTCATTTCAACTTTGGTGAATCTGACAATTATGTGTCTTGGAGTTGCTCTTCTCGAGGAGTATCTTTGTGGCGTTCTCTGTATTTCCTGAATCTGAACGTTGGCCTGCCTTGCTAGATTGGGGAAGTTCTCCTGGATAATATCCTGCAGAGTGTTTTCCAACTTGGTTCCATTCTCCCCATCACTTTCAGGTACACCAATCAGATGTAGATTTGGTCTTTTCACATAGTCCCATATTTCTTGGAGGCTTTGCTCATTTCTTTTTATTATTTTTTCTCTAAACTTCCCTTCTAGCTTCATTTTATTCATTTCATCTTCCATCGCTGATACCCTTTCTTCCAGTTGATCGCGTCGGCTCCTGAGGCTTCTGCATTCTTCACGTAGCTCTCGAGCCTTGGTTTTCAGCTCCATCAGCTCCTTTAAGCACTTCTCTGTATTGGTTATTCTAGTTATACCTTCTTCTAAATTTTTTTCAAAGTTTTCAACTTCTTTGCCTTTGGTTTGAATATCCTCCCGTAGCTCAGAGTAATTTGATCGTCTGAAGCCTTCTTCTCTCAGCTCGTCAAAGTCATTCTCCATCCAGCTTTGTTCCGTTGCTGGTAAGGAACTGCGTTCCTTTGGAGGAGGAGAGGTGCTCTGATTTTTAGAGTTTCCAGTTTTTCTGTTCTGTTTTTTCCCCATCTTTGTGGTTTTATCTACTTTTCGTCTTTGATGATGGTGATGTACAGATGGGTTTTTGGTGTGGTTGTCCTTTCTGTTTGTTAGTTTTCCTTCTTACAGAGAGGACCCTCAGCTGCAGGTCTGTTGGAGTACCCTGCCGTGTGAGGCGTCAGTGTGCCCCTGCTGGGGGTGCCTCCCAGTTAGGCTGCTCGGGGGTCAGGGGTCAGGGACCCACTTGAGGAGGCAGTCTGCCCGTTCTCAGATCTCCAGCTGCGTGCTGGGAGAACCACTGCTCTCTTCAAAGCTGTCAGACAGGGACATTTAAGGCTGCAGAGGTTACTGCTGTCTTTTTGTTTGTCTGCGCCCTGCCCCCAGAGGTGGAGCCTACAGAGGCAGGCAGGCCTCCTTGAGCTGTGGTGGGCTCCACCCAGTTGGAGCTTCCGGGCTGCTTTGTTTACCTAATCAAGCCTGGGCAATGGTGGGCGCCCCTCCCCCAGCCTCGCTGTCGCCTTGCAGTTTGATCTCAGACTGCTGTGCTAGCAATCAGCGAGACTCCGTGAGCGTAGGACCCTCCAAGCCAGGTGCGGGATATAATCTCGTGGTGCATCGTTTTTTAAGCCCGTCGGAAAAGCGCAGTATTCGGGTGGGAGTGACCCGATTTTCCAGGTGCCGTCCGTCACCCCTTTCTTTGACTCAGAAAGGGAACTCCCTGACCCCTTGCGCTTCCCAAGTGAGGCAATGCCTCGCCCTGCTTCTGCTCGCGCAGGGTGCGCGCACCCACTGACCTGCGCCCACTGTCTGGCACTCCCTAGTGAGATGAACCCGGTACCTCAGATGGAAATGCGGAAATCACCCGTCTTCTGCGTCGCTCACGCTGGGAGCTGTAGACCGGAGCTGTTCCTATTTGGCCATCTTGGCTCCTCCCCCCTTGTGGGAAGTTTTTAATTATTATTATGGATTCAATATCTTGTTATGAATCTATTCAGATTTTCTCTTTATTCTCAAGTCAAATTGACCAGTTTGTCTTTCTAGGAATATACTCATTTCATCTAGGCTACTGAGTTCATTGGCAAACAATTATTCATTCCCTTATAGTCCTTTTGGTTTCTGTAAGGTAGGCAGATATCTGCCCCCTTCTTTATTCTTAATGTTAGCAATTTAAGTTTTCCCCTCTCTTTTCCTTTTCAGTCTAGCTAAAGGTTTGTCAGTTTTGTGAATCATATCAAAGAACCAACTTCTATTGATTTTCTCTATTGTTTTTCTATTTTCTGTTTTATGTATTTCTACTCTAATCTTTATTATTTTCTTCCTTCTACTTGCTTTGAATTTAGTTTACTATCCTTTTTCTAGTTTATTAAGGCAGACATTTAGGCTTTCTATTTGAGATCTTTTTTTAAATATAGGCCTTTATAGCTAGACATTTCTAAGTACAGCTTAATTGTGTTCCATATATTGTACTTTCATTTTCATTAATCTCAAGGTATTTCCTAATTTCCCTTGTGATTTCATCTTTGACAATTGATTATTTAGGATTATGTCATTCAATTTCCACATATCTGAGAATTTTCCAAATTTCCTTCTCTTATTGATTTTTAATTTTATTCAATTTTTGTTGGAGGGCACATTTATTGAGGCTTGTTTTATGGCCTAACATATGATCTTTTCTGGAAAATATCTCATGGGCACTTGTGGAGAATGTGTATATCACTGTTTGAGGTGGAATGTTCATAGATGTCTATTAGGTCTAGTTGGTTTATAGCATTTTTCAAATCTTCTGCTTTCTTGTTTATAGTCTATTGGTTCTATCCATTATTGAAACTGGGTTACTGAAATCTCTCTTATTGTTGAATTGTCTTATTTCTCCTTCAATTCTCTCAATCTTTGCTTTATATATTTTGAAGCTCTGTTGTTAGGTGCATATATATTTGTAATTGTTTTGTGTTTGTTGAATTGACCCTTTTATTTATGTTCCTAATGCGTTGATCCTTTTATTATTAAAAAAGTCCTTCTTTGTCTCTGTTAACACTTTTTGCTTTGACGTCTATTTCATCTGATATAAATATAGCTGCTCCAATTCTTTTTTGTTTACTGTTTGCATGCTATATGTTTTGTCATCTTTTTCTTTCAACCTATTTGTACATTTGAATCTAAAGTGCATCATATTGTAGGCAGCATATCGTTGGATCATGTTTTTATCTATTCTACAGTTCTTGGCCTTTTGATTGGAGTGGTTTTTCCACTAAATTTGATTAGTGTTTAGTTTACATTTAATAAAATTACTGATGAGGTAAGATTTATGTCTGCTATTCTCCATTTGTTTTCTATATGTCTTTCATCTTTTTTGTTTCTTTATTCCTTTATTACTTCCTTCTTTTGTGTTAAATAAATATTATCTAGCATATAATTTTAATTCTCTTGTTGTTTCTTTTACTATTTTTTTGAGAAATACTCAGTGGTTTTCTTGGAGATTGCAGTTAACATCTTAACTTAAGCAATCAAGTTCAGATTAATACCATTGTAATTTTAATAGTATATAAAAATTTGCTCCGATATAGCTCCACTTCTTCCTCCCTCCTTTGTGCTATTATTGTCACACATGTCATTATATTATAAACCCATCAATGCAGTTTTATAATTAATAATTTATGCAGTTGTTAAGAGACTACTCAACAAATGAGATTAAAGAACTCTACGCTATTACAACCCTGTACATAACATGCCCACATCCATACTGTATTAAAGGTCTTCAATGTCTCTGTTTGCCTAGGTTTAGAATACAAAAGAAAATTATTTAATTGCTTAAAGTAGTATTTAAAAATCCCACCAGTATTGTTCAGAGAGGAAGTTTCACAAGTGAAATTTTAAAAATCTGTATCATCCATCTGTATTATCCTATTATCACTATAAATTTGAGAATTTCTTAGGTCATAAGGCAGGACCAACCCCTCTGTGATGGCCACAATAAACCATTTCAAAACGTCTTGACCATTTGAATGGCTAAGTTAAAGTTTCTCATTACTAAGACTGTATTACTAAGTGGTTCAGATATCAAAGGAGGGGTTTTTAATGATAATACTTACCATGATACACAAGCAGAAGACTCTTACCAACTGTGTCAACAAAACAAGACATATACATAAGACAAATCACAGATCATAGTGGGCATTTCAACCCTTCTGATGCTCTGATTGCAGATTTCAGAACTTAGAGTACAGAGTATGCAAAAATTTTAATCACACATTATTCTTCTTTCCATAATAAAAAGGTACCCTTTCAAGCTTTTCGTGTTTGCTTTTGCTGTTCCTCAGATTTGCATGTTGATTTCAGTTTTAATGTTGAAACTTCATTTTCTTCATATTAATTTATTTCTCTTTCTCAAAATCCAACTTGTCTGGGCCCAGCAGAAACCTAGGGAAATGGCAGCACCAAATGAGAGAGTCAGCAGGTAAGAGCACAGTCAAAATTGGCCCTATGATCAATTCCCAGGATGAGGAGGCAGAAGCCCAGTTTGTATGAGCCAGTGTTATGGCCAAGAAAATATTGTGAATCATATCTTTCAGATGGGGGGAAGTTGGAAAATGAGTATTAAAGTCAGTGGTCAGAAGACTGGAGGATGGGTAGGTTCAATGCAAAACATAGGTTTGTTGAATGTGAGGTAGGTGGTCCATGTCAAAACATGGTATATGATGTGGAGCCAGGATCACCTATTTAAGGAGGTATATCAGGCTGAACAGAGACAAAACTCTTTCCTCTATGTCCTCTCTAAAACCTTGTGTCATATTCTTGTAATTAACTAGTCTCCCCTGGGCCCTGTATCTGATGCTACAGCTGCAGGTACAGGTGCCCTCATAGGCATTTTTATTGCAACATCTTTTAAACTCTCATTTTATTTTGTCTAGTATTAGATAGTATTTAGGTGCTCACTTCCACTGCAATGGAATTATTCTCTAAAAAGTAATCAGAGTGTATTCTCTGCTGAAGTGTAAGCTTCTTTAGGGCAATAGTTTTTGTTATACCTCTATGTTAGTCAGCTCCAGCTGCCATAATAAAATACCATAGACTGAGTAGCTTAGACAACAAAAATTTATTTTCTCACAGTTCTGGAGGCTGGAAAGTCTCAGATCAAGGTTCTAGTCAATTTAGTTTCTGGTAAGGGCTCTCTTCCTGGCTTGCAGAGGGCTTCCTTTTTACTATGTCCTTACATGACCTTTCTTGTCTGTGTGTGGGGATAGAGGGAAAGAGAGAGATAGAGAGGAGAAAGAGAGAGACAGAGCAAGAGCACATATGCATGAGAGAGATAGGACTCACCCTGGTGTTGTTTCTTCTAAGGACACTATTTCTATCAGATCAGGGTCCAATCCCTGTGACCTCATTTAACTTCAGTTACCTATTCCCTCCAGAGCTGTGGAGATAGGGAGAGTAATATGTTGTGTATGCTTGCTGTATATAATTAGGGTAGCCATATGATTTGTCATCAGAATGGGTACACTTTGAGAGTAAAAAATGTGCTATGATAATTACACCTTATATCCAGCATTGTCCTGGCAAACCTGGCCATATGGTCATACTGGTCTAATACTAAAGGGCTCCTTTGTTTTCCTTTGCCCCTTTGGACACATATCTCCCTCAGGAATATTGTGAAGAGTGGCTGGAACCAGGAAATAAAGACAGTACATTTCCACTAATATGCATGAGACAAAGCCTAAGCCACGTTGTGAATCATCAAAGTTTGTCAAAGCCACTTTACAATCGTAGCCTGCCAGAGTTGTTAACTTCTGGTTTTTATGCTACAGCTGCAGGTACAGGAGCTAACCTGTGAGCTTTCTTGTTATTTTTTATTTCCTACTTGTGGGAAACTCAATGCCACTGTGTGATTCATGGGTCAGAGTTCCTAGTAGATGCGAATGATTAGTGGGTGTGATATAATCAAAGAGGAATACAATAAGGCCACAGTAACTAAGCTGGAAGTTTGACTTTGACATTTAAACCCCCTTGTCCCAGGGCATACTCAAAACTTAGATGTGGCAAACCAAAGAACCAAGGCCAGAGCACAGAATACTCAGGTTAAGAAGCAACTGGTTCCTGAGTGAGGGAGCAGACTCAGAATGCAGGGCTCAAATGGAAAGAGACTGGGAACTTCAGGAACTGCATAGGCAAGTAGCATTTTGCAGACATCATTAGAGTAACCTTCAGCAATTCAACAACAGTTATTCAGTGCTTAAAAGGATCTTTGGACTTTGGTAAATCCAAAGAAAATACTGCAATTAGTATTAAGGCCATTATATGAAAAGGTAATTTATGAAGGACAGGAACAGATATTGGGAAGGGAATTAGCAGGAACCTGACAAACTAGGAGAGGAGGAATCTGAGCCAAGCCAGGCCAGCATGGAAATTATTCTTCTAACCAGCCTAGCTGAGGTTTTGCCCTGAGAATCTACATCACATTCCCATTAAAGCTTATATTTAGTTTATTAAATATATCTATGCTTAAGTTAATACTCTTTCAGTCATGCTTAATTAATTATTTTGCTATCCTCAAGTACTGATTTGAATGACTCCTGCAGATATTAGGACTAGCTAGACCTCAAATAATGGTTAGAGTAAAAATACTAGGGTCTAAAAACAATAGAGATGGAGAAAACATAAGTAGTTGCCGGGGTTAGGAGTGGGTGGGGGAAGGGGTTGACTGTAAATTGGCTGCCTGAGGGAGTTCTGAGGAATGATCACACTGCTTTATATTTTGATTGTGGGAATAGATAAATGACTCTAGGCATATGTCAGAATTCATATAAGTATACAGCACAAACAGTAAATTTTACTATATGTAAATTTAAAAATAAAGGGAACCATGTCCACCTCCGAGGAAGAGTGTTCCTGTCCAAAGGAAAAGCAAGCAGAAAAGGAGTGGAAATGAGCTTCAGGTCTGCGGATCAGCAAGAATACCAGTGTGGATAGAGAGGAGTAGGGAAGAAGTGAGGAGTGGACAGGTTGTGTCAAGTCTGATAGGCCTTAGTAAGAAGTGCATTTTATTTTAAGTGTGGCAGGAGGCCATTGAGAGTAAGCAGGGTAACTACCCGGTCACCTTTGCATTTTTAAAGGCTTACTCTGGCTCTTATATGGAGAAGAAACATTAGGGGGCAATTATGGAATTAAGAAAACCATCGTGGTCATGCAGAAATGGTCTTGGAAGAGTTTTAGTGTGGAAGGAGTGGGTGAGAGGGAGCTTTTTTCTACTGCCCAACCAGAATCCTGTCTCATCATTGAAATGATATACTTAATATTACCTCAGGATTCCTTATCTCTTGGGCCTTACAGAGATGTTGTAGTACGTGTAGAAATGCTGCTAGGCAACTTGAAGGTGAGCTGAAGTTGGTGACTAAATTTTTAGTGACTCCAAGGCACAGTTGTATGATTTTTCTCTAGCGATGTTCAGGAGCCCATGTGTATGAATGGAGAAGGCAGATGGTTTTACTAATCCAGAGTCAAAGTTTTGCCAGATGTGTGTGAGGAATGAACAAAGGGGCCAAATAATATTACTGTAATTCACACTAAGGAGTTAATATTTTAATACAGTACATAATCACATTACAGTAAAAAAATATCACATGTTGAAGACAAGGTGGTGGGAATGATGCTAAGAGTATAGTAGGAAGAATGGTAAAGAGAGAATGGGGTGAGGCATGGTAAAGAGAGGAGGAGAAGAAGGAGGAGGAAAAGAATATCACAGAGTACTTCCTAACAAAAATAAAGAACGGAGGCACAGCTATGGCAGTACACTGAGCTCCATAGAGACAGCACTGGGGCAAGTGAGAGCTGGATGGGTACTGGATGACTCTGCCTCATTGAGAAAAAATAACTAACCATGGGCAAAGGAGATTCTAAGAAGCTGAGAATCAAAATGTCCTCATATGCATTCTTTGTGCAAACTTGTTGGGAGGAGCACAAGAAAAAGCAGCCAATGCTTCAGTCAACTTCTCAAAGTTCTCTAAGAAGTGCTCAGAGTAGTGGAAGATCATGTCTGCCAAAGAGAAAGGAAAATTTGAAGATATGGCAAAGGTGGACATGAAAAAGTAATGAAAACCTGTGTTTCCTAAAGGGGAAACAAAAAAAGTTCAAGGAACTCTATGTATCTGAGAGCCTCCTTCGGCTTTTTTTCTTGTTCTGTTCTGAATATCGCCCAGAAGTCAAAAGAGAACATCCCATTGGTGATGAGGCAAAGGAACTGGGAGAGATGTGGAATAACACTGCACAAATGACAAGCAGCCTTATGAAAAGAAGGCTGTGAAGCTGAAAGAAAAATGTGAAAAGGATATTGCTGCATACCAAGCTAAAGAAAAGCCTGATGCAGCAAAAAAACGGGAGATGTCAAGGCTGAAAAAAGTGAGAAAAAGGAGGAAGAGGAACAAGATGAAGAGGAGGAAGAGGAAGAGGAAGAAGAAGAAGAGGAAGAAGGAGGAGGAGGAGAAGGAGGAAGAGGAGGAGGAGGAGAAGGAGGAGAAGGAGGAGAAGGAGGAGAAGGAGAGGGAGGGGGAGGGGGAAGAGGAAGAAAAAAGTAGTAGTAGTTGGTTCTAGTGACTTTTTTCTTGTCTGCAAACCATTTAACTCCCCTGTACACAACTCACTCCTTTTAAAGAAAATAATTGAAATGTAAGGCTCTGTAAGGTTTGTTTTTAAACTGTCCAGTGTCCTTTTTTGTATAGTTAACACACTAATGGATATGTCTTTAGATATCATGCCCTGGTAGTATTTTCCATAGCCACAAACCTGGCCTGGTACAGTATGGGGGTCGTAAACTGGCATAGAAATCGAAAGCAGGTTCTTATTGGTGCACAGCACAAATTAGTTATATATGGGGATGGTAGTGTTTTCATCTTCAGTTGTCTCTTACACAAAATAATTGTTCTTTTAACTAAATATCACTCTGTAATTGCAAAAAAAAAAAGTCGCAGTGGTTTTGTTGCCATTCTGAATGCTTCTAAGTAAATACAATTTTTTATCCGTTAAAAAAAAAGAAACAGTACAAGTTCTTGTCCTTTTGGAAGTAGTCCTTCCTGGAAGCCTGCATATCAGATCATTACAAGTCTATACTTTAATTTAGAATAGTTCATTTTGGACAGTGTGGGATATATGTGTATAATTTTAATATACACCTTAGGAAGGCATATTAACATTGAGTTACACACATAAGTGGTGTGTAGGAAAAAGGCTCACATTCCACAGGGAATATTCCTAATATCTTTAATTAACTGAGAGGGTTTGTTAATTAGCATACTGCATTAGAAATTATTTTTCATTGGTAAAATATATAGTATTCTACAGATGTGGATTATGTAGGAATATTGTATAGGCTTTTCCACAGCTGCATGAACGGACAAAGTATGGAAATGTGGTGAACTCATTATTTTTACCCTTTGGAATGGTGCTCTATGCTTAGAATTCCAATTAATTCTTTGTATAGCTACTTAGGATGGATTTTGTGGCCTGGCTTCGGCTAGATGTTTAGCTAAGTCATGATGCATCTGCCTTGAGTGACTCTTTCATGCAAGTTACTTGCTCTAGCATTTAAAAGGTCAGAAAAGTGGGGCTTTAGCAAGCTTACACTATAGGTTGTGTGACTGCTTTTATTCCTTCTTACTGAAGAACATGTGTAAGTGTGGCAGATTTGGTCTATAACTTGATTTCATTATAAAATCCACATAATAGACAGATTATAAAGGAAAAGACCAATAGTTCTTACCTACCTCTAGTCATCAGAAGGTTCCAATAGAGCCTAATAATCAGAAATAATCAAACAGGTTTAAGTCAGTTTGGCAATACACTGTGTAAGACAGCCTGCTTTAGAAGGTCCTTGGTTCCTTGGTAGATGAGTATGTGTTCTCTTTTTCTGTGTAGCATTGATTACCACCTTGTAGAAACACAAATGCTAATTCTGGAAGTGAATTATAGAATCATATAGTCCGCTTATTTATGGAGAAATTAAGAAAGATTAAGTCACTTTCTCAAGGTTAATCCATCAGCTAGATAGTGGTGAAAGAAAGAACAGATCCTGGATCTTGTGATACAGAAGTCTCATTGCCACAGAAATGGAGCCATGTTTTTGAAAACAGAACACATGAAATACGTGATTTAGAAAGTCTGGTATGACTTACAGGGATGAAAGGACAAAAGACTCGAGATTCCAAAGGCATTAGCAAAACACTTCCTTTTCTTTTATTCATCCCTGTTGCTCCATACTTAACCTCTTACCCATTTCTATGATACCATATTTTTAAAATCTCCTTTAACTACCTTAAGAAAATGTTCATTATCAAAATTGGGGGATCCAACAGTATTACACATTGGCTCTTCCTGTCTCTGCACCCTCTCATAATGTAAGGTAAAGATATGTGTTGTTTCCTTTTGTTTTAAGGATGCATAATTAATTTTTCTATTTGTCCAAACTGACCAAATGTTCTTGATGGACTCTCGTTCACATATAATATTTGAAATGCTACAACTGAGTATATAAAACAATCCCTATTTCATGGTCTGACTATAGCCAGTATTAATAATGAGAAAATTTAAGTCAACATTTTTTGACCAAAATTTAGTGATTATCCAGAATCTTAAGTCTCTTCCCACCTCTACGTTTTGTGACTGTGCATTTACCATTTGCACAAGGTGCTTCAATGATTCCTTCACTCATGTCTCAAGGTCTGATAATGAACATACGGTCCCCAATTATTTAACACTCCAGGTATCATTGGTTAGAAAGCACAAATGGTTCTTTGGTAGCCAGATAGTTTGATGAGATAAACTCAAGGATTAGAGACCCTCAAGAGATGAGGGTCATCCAAGTGACAAGTGACTGCTTACATACTGTCACTTGCTACTGAATGAAGTCCTCTTTTCCCACAAGAAATTTATTTCAATTTTGGACAGCTTTCACTACTAGGAAGTCCTTCTTTGAATAGAAATCCTTCTCCTTGTAACTTCTACCCACTAGCCTCTTTTTCTATGGTTTTTTAAGTGTCATCGTGAATGCATTCCATTTTTTCTTGCGTGTATCAGCCTTTTGATATTTGAAAGTAGTTTTCATGCCCACACCACAGCTTCAAAACGAAAACTTGTAGACAAATATATTTACTGAAGGACACAAAATAAACTCAATTTTTTCAATTATAAATGTTTTTATCATCTAATTTATAAAACATTTAATATAAAATATTTTTAAACATCCACGTTTTACATAAATAATCTGAGTTATTTTTAGAAATATTTAGAAATTACAGGTAACTATCTTAGTTTGGGTATGTCCAGAAGCAGATGAGACAAGGATTTGAGTAAAAATCAGATTTGGAAATGCAGAACAATTCAGAAGAGTAAAGGAGTAATATAAGGAAAATAATCCAGCCAATGAAAGGTGTGTTCGTAAGCCAGCTGTCAGGGTGGGCAACTGGAGAAAAATCTCATGGAGAAACGCTGGGAGATGCTGCAAAATAAATACCTCAGAATTACGCTATCTCAGTAGTGGGCTACTTCCTCACCATTTTCATCTCACTCACATGCAGAGCTATATTCCACAAATCTGGAATAAAAAGCCCTCAGGCATGGAGGTAGCCATTAGAAGTTGGATGGAGTATTGGGTGGGACACTAAGCATCTAAGTCAATAAGTTAATGATAATTGTAATTATTCATTGGGTACAGTGTATGCTGCTTGGGTAATGGGTGCACTAAAATCTCAGAAATCACCATTAAAGAACTTACCCGTGTAACCAAATACCACCTGTTCCCCAAAAACTATTGAAATAAAAAATCATTATCAAAATAATGATTAACATTTTGATATTCTTTCATTCAGATTTTTTCCAAATGCATATATACTTGAATATAAATTATTCCTAAAGAAAAATCATTCTATAACATTAATTTGTAGTTGTCTTGTCACTTAATAAAACCACATTTTTCTATTTCAATCAATATGAATCTGCTCATATTATTACTGATGATATAGTACGCCATAATTTATTTAATTTCCTGATTGGACATTTAGATTAGTTCCGGGTTTTTGCTGTCATGAAAAAATGCTTTATTTCAGTTTCATTGAACAATGAATCCTTACTTGCTTCAGCTGCCACTTAATTTTGTTTATTAAAACAATGCTTAAAAGATATAAACAGTATGGGAAAGAATACCATTGGAGGGGGTGAAGCAAGATGGCAAGTAGAAGCCTCCACTCATTGTGCCTCCCACAGGAACACCAAATGTAACAAGTATCTACACACAAAAAACACCTTTATAAGAACCAAAAATCAAGCGAGTACTAACAATACCTGATTTTAACTTCATACTGAAAGAAGCACTGAAGAGGGTAAGAAAGACAATCTCGAACTGCCAACACCACTCCTCCCCCATGCCATCACAGCAGCCTCGTGGTGCAGAAGGAGAATCTGTGCGTTTGCGAGAGGGAGATTGCAGCGATTGCAGAACTTTGCATTGGAAACTGGTGCTGCCAACACTGGGGAGAACTCAGCCAGCAGCCTCAGGGGGAGCATTTAGACCAGCCCTAGCCAGAGGGCAAACACCCATTCTAGCAGTTGGAACCTGAGTTCCAACATGCCTCACCACTGAAGCCTAAAGTGCTTTCGGGCCCTAGGTAAACTTGAAAGGCAGTCTAGGCCACAAGAACCGCAACTCTTAGGCAAGTCGTAGTGCTGAACTGGGCTTGAGGCCAATGGACTTGGGGAACACACAAACTACTGAGACACCAGCCAGGGCAGCTAAGGGAGTGCTTATGCCACCCCTCCCCCAACCCCAGGCAGCATAGCTTGCAGCTCCAAAATAGCCCCGCTTCCTTCTGCTTGTAAGGAGAGGGGAAAGTAAAGAGGACTTTGTCTTGCATCATGGATACCAGCTCAGCCACAATAGGGTAGGGCACTGGGCAGAGTCATGAGGTCCCACTCCAGACCCTAGCTTCTGGATGACATTTCTAGACACACCCTGGGCCAAAACGGAACCTGCTGCATTCAAGGGAAGCACTTGTTCCTGGCAGGACTCATCACCTACTAACAAAAGAGCCCTTAGGCCCTGAATAACCAGCAGTGACACCCAGGTGATACATCGTGGGCCTTGGGTGAGACCCAGCACATTCCCAACTGTGGTGACTATGGTGATAAAGTAAAGGGGATTTTGTCTTGCACCTTATGTACCAGCTCAGCCACAGTGGGGAAGAGCACCAAGCAGGCTCTTGGGGTCCCTGATTCCAGCCCTGACTCTTGGATGGCATTTCTCAAACTGCTTTGGGCCAGAGGGGAGCCCACTCACCTGAAGGGCAAGTCCCAGACTGGGCAGCATTAATCACAAGCTGACCAAAGAGCCCTTGGACTTAAAGTGAATATTGGCAGTAGCCTGGCAGTAAGCTTCAAGGACCTGTGGTAGTAGTGGCCACAAGGTGTGTCTCCTCTGCTTGTGGAAAGGGGAGAGAGAAGTGGGAAGTACTGGGTCTCATGGTTTGAGTGCCAGCTCAGCACTCAGTGGTAAAATAGAACACCAGATAGATTTCTAACATTTTTGACTCCAGGCCCTGACTCCTGTATGGCATCACTGGACCTGAGGACTGGGAGAACTAGCCACCCTGAAGAGAAGGACAGACGCCTGGCTGGCTTCACCACCTGCTGATTGTAGAGTCCTAGGGCCTTGTACAAATGTAAGTGGCAATCAGTGGCTACAATGGCCCTTGGGCGAGATCGAGTGCTGTATTGGCTTCAGGTTTGACCCAGAGCAGTCCCAGTGGTGGTGGCCTCAGAAGTGCTGGTGTCACCCCACCCCCAGCTCCACACAGCTCAGCACAGAGAAGCACTCTCCATTTGTTGGGGAGAAAGTAAGGGGAGAGAACAAGAGTCTCTGCCTGGTAATCAAGAGCATTCTTCTGGATCATGTCCAAGGCCACCAAGGCAGTATCTCTGTGAGTCTAGAAGAACCACAACATTACAGGGCTTGGAGTACCCCCTAATGCAGGTATGGCTTAGATTTCAACACCCAACACCTTTCAAATACCTGGAAAGCCTTCCTAAGAAGTATGGATAAAGAAGCCCAGACTGTAAATAAAGACTGCAGTAAATACCTAACTCTTCAATGCCCAGACACTGATGAACATCAACAAACATCAAGACCATCAAGGAAAACATAATGACACCAAACGAACTAAATGAGTTAATTTAGTTCCGGGATAAATCGTGTGGAAACAGAGATACGTGACCTTTCAGACAGATAAATCAAAATAGCTATTTTTAGAAAACTCCAATTCAAGATAATGCAGAGAAGGAATTCAGAATCCTCCCAGATAAATTTAACAAAGAGATGGAAATAGTTAAAAAAAATCAAGCAGAAATTCTGGTGTTGAAAAATGCAATTGACATACTGAAGAATGCATCGAAGTCTTAGTAACAGAATTCATCAAAGAGAAGAAAGAATTAGTGAGCATGAAGCTGGGCTATTTGAAAATACACAGTTAGAGGAGACAAAAGAAAAAAGAATAAAAAACAATGAAGCAAGCCTACAAGACCTAGAAAATAGCTTCAAAAGGGCAAATCTAAGAGCTATTAGCCTTAAAGTGAGAAAGTTTATTTGAAGGGTTACTATCAGGGAACTTCTTAAACCTAGAGAATATTATTAATATCCAAGTACAAGAAGGTTATAGAACACCAAGCAGATTTAATCCAAAGAAGACTACCTCAAGGCATTTAATAAACTCCCAAAAGTCAAGGATAAAGAAAGGATCCTAAAAGGAGCAAGAGAAAAGAAAAAAAACAAACAAACATAGAATGGAGCTCCAATATGTCTGGCAGCAGACTTCTCCATGGAAACCTTATGGGCCAGGAGAGAGTGCCATGACATATTTAAAGTGCTAAAGGAAAAAAATATTTTACCCTAGAATAATATATCCAGTGAAAATATACTTCAAACATGAAGAAGAAATAAACACTTTCCCTGACAAACAGAAGCTAAGGGATTTTGTCAATACCAGACCTGCTCTATAAGAAATGCTAAAGGGGGTACTTCAATCTGAAAGAAAAGGACATTAATGAACAAGAAGAAATCATCTGAAGGTATAAAACTCACTGGTAAGAGTAAGTACACAGAAAAAGTCAGAATATTATTGCACTGTATGGTTGTAAACTACTCTTATCCTAAGTAGAAAGACTAAGTGATGAACCAATCAAAAATAATAAGTACAATAACTTTTCAAGACATAGTATAATAAGATATAAGTACAAGCAATGAAAAGGTAAAAAAGTAGAGGAACAAAATTAGAAATTTTATTAGTTTTCTTTTTGCTTTAGTTAGTTCATGCAAGCAAAGTTATTATCAGCTTAAAATAATGGATTATATAATAGGATTTGCTAGTCTCATAGTAACCTCACATCAAAAAATGCACAACAGATACACAGAAAATAAAAAGCAGGAAATCAAATCATACCACCAGAGGAAATCACCATCAAAAAGGAAGATAAGAAAGAAGAGAAGGCCACAAAACCACCAGAAAAAAAAAATGGTTGGAGTAAGTTCTTACTTTTTAATAATAAGATTGAATGTAAATGGACTAAACTTTCCAATAAAAAGACATGGAATAGCTGACTGGATTGAAAAAAAATAGGACCCAATGATCTGTTGCCTAAAAGAAACATATTTTACCTGAAAAGACATACATAGACTGAAAATAAAGAAATGGAAAAAGGTATTCCATGCCAATAGAAACCAAAAAGAGCAGGAGTTGCTCTGTTTATATCAGGCAAGATGTATTTCAAGACAAAAAGAGAGACAAAGAAGGTCATTATGTAAAGATACAAGGGTCAATTCAGTGACAAGATAAAACAATTTTGAATATATGTGCAGCCAACATTGGAGGACTTAGATATATAAAGCAAATATTATTAGAGGTAATGAGAGAGATAGACCTCAATATAATAATAGCTGGGGAATTCAACACACCACTTTCAGCATTGGACAGATCATCCAGACAGAAAATCAGCAAGGAAACATCAGACTTAGTCTGCACTGTGGACCAAGTACACCTAATAGATATTTACAGAACATTTCATCCAAGGGCTGCAGAATACGCATTCTTCTCCTCAGCACATAAATCATTCTCAAGGATAGACCATATGTTAGCAACAAAGGAAGTCATAAAACATTCAAAAAAGTTGAAATAATATCTAGCATCTTCTCTGACCACAATTAAATAAAATCAGAAATCAATAAGAGGAAGAATTTTGAAAACTATACAAACATATGGAAATTAAACAATATGCTCCTGAATGACAAGTAGGTCAATAAAGAGATTAAGAAGGAAATTGAAAAATTTCTTGAAACAAATAATAATGGAAACACACCATGCCAAAACCTATGGAATATGGCAAAAGCAGTACTAAGAGGGAATTTTATAGCCATAAGCACCTACATAAAAAAAAATTTTTAAATAAACACCCCAGTAATGCATGTTAAAGAACTAGAAACTACAATGAACTCAAACAAATTTACAAGAAAAAAACAAACAACCCCATCAAAAAGTGGGCGAAGGACATGAACAGACACTTCTCAAAAGAAGACATTTATGCAGCCAAAAAACACATGAAAAAATGCTCATCATCACTGGCCATCAGAGAAATGCAAATCAAAACCACAATGAGATACCATCTCACACCAGTTAGAATGGCAATCATTAAAAAGTCAGGAAACAACAGGTGCTGGAGAGGATGTGGAGAAATAGGAACACTTTTACACTGTTGGTGGGACTGTAAACTAGTTCAACCATTGTGGAAGTCAGTGTGGCGATTCCTCAGGGATCTAGAACTGGAAATACCATTTGACCCAGCCATCCCATTACTGGGTATATACCCAAAGGACTATGAATCATGCTGCTGTAAAGACACATGCACACGTATGTTTATTGCGGCATTATTCACAATAGCAAAGACTTGGAACCAACCCAAATGTCCAACAATGATAGACTGGATTAAGAAAATGTGGCACACATACACCATGGAATACTATGCAGCCATAAAAATGATGAGTTCATGTCCTTTGTAGGGACATGGATGAAATTGGAAATCATCATTCTCAGTAAACTATCGCAAGAACAAAAAACCAAACACCGCATATTCTCACCCATAGGTGGGAATTGAACAATGAGATCACATGGACACAGGAAGGGGAATATCACACTCTGGGGACTGTCGTGGGGTGGGGGGAGGGGGGAGGGATAGCATTGGGAGATATACCTAATGCTAGATCACGAGTTAGTGGGTGCAGCGCACCAGCATGGCTCATGTATACATATGTAACTAACCTCCACAATGTGCACATGTACCCTAAAACTTAAAATATAAAAAAAAAAAGAACTAGAAAAAGAAGAGCAAATCAAACACAATATAAGTAGAAGAAAAGAAATAAGACCAGAGCAGAAATAAATAAAATTGAAATGAAAAAACATCAAAAAAACAAAAAATTGGTTTTTGAAAAGAAAAAATGTACAAACCGTTAGCCAGAATAACTAAGAAAAAAGGGAGAAGATCTAAATAAATAAAATCAGAGGTGAAAAAGGAGACATTACAACTGATAAAGCAGAAGCTTGAAGGATCATTAGTGACTACCATGAGCAACTATATGCTAATAAATTGGAAAATCTAAAAGAAATGGATAAATTGCTAGATACATAAAACCTACCAAAATTGAACCATGAAGAAATCCAAAACTTAAACATATCAATAACAAGTAACAAGCTGGAAGCCATAATAAAAAGTCTCCCAACAAAGCAAAGCCCAGGACTTGATGGCTTTTTTGCTGAATTCCACCAAACATTTAAAGAAGAAGTAATAACAATCATACTCCAACTATTCTGAAAAATAGAGGAGAGAATACTTCCAAACCATTCTATGAGGACAGTGTTACCCTGACACCAAAACCAGACAAAGACACATCAAAAAAGAAACCTACAGGCCGTTATCTCTGATGAACATTGATGCAAAAATCCTCAACAAAACACTAGCAAACCAAATTCAACAACACATCAAAAAGATCATTCATCATGACTAAGTAGGATTTATCCCAGTGATGGAGGGATGGTTCAACATATGCAAATCAATCAATGTGATACATCATATCAACAGAATGAAGGAAAAAAAACCATATGATAATTTTAATTGTTGCTGGAAAAGCATTTGATGAAATTCAACACTCCTTCATGATAAAAAAAAAAAACCCTCAAAAAACTGGATACAGAAGGAAAATACCTCAACACAATAAAAGCCATAGATGACAGAACCATAGATAGTATATCACGCTGAATGGGAAAAGACCAAAAGCCTTTCATCTAAGAGCTGGAACAAGACAAAGATGCCCACTTGCACCCTGTTATTCAACATAGTACTTGAAGTCCTAGCTAGAGCAATCAGACAAGAGAAAGAAATAAAGGATATCCACATTGGAAAGGAAAAAGTCAAATTATCCTTGTTTGCAGATGATATGATCTTATATTTGGAAAAACATAAAGACTTAACCAAAAAGCTATTAGAAATGATACAGTCAGTTAAGTTGCAGGATACAAAATCATACAAAAATCAGTAGCATTTTTATATTCCATCAGCAAACAATCTGAAAAAGATATCAAGAAACTAATCTCATTTACAGTAGCTACAAATAAAATTAAATACCTAGGAATTAACCGAAGAAGACAAAGACCTCTACAGTGAAAATTGTAAAACACTGATACAAGAAATTGAAGAGGACACAAAAAATGGAAAGATATTTCATGTTTATAAATTGAAAGAATCAATATTGTTAAAATGTTTACATGTCCCAAAGCAATTTATAGATTTAATGCAATCCCTATCAAAATACCACGGACATTCTTCACAGAAACAAAAAAAATCCTAAAATTTAAATGCAACCACAGAAGACTCAGAATGGCCAAAGCTATCCCAAGCAAATGAACAAAGCTAGAGGAACTACACTACCTGACTTCAAATTATACTACAGAGCTATTGTAACCAAAACGGCATGGTACTGGCATAAAGACAGACACATAGACCAGTGGAACATAGTAGAGAGCCCGGAAATAAGTCTGTACACCTACAGTGAACTCATTTTTGACAAAAGTGCCAAGAACATACAGTAAGGAGAGAACAGTCTCTTTAATAAATCGTGCTGGAAAAATTGGATATCCACATGCAGAAGAATGAAATTGGACCTCGGTCTCGTGCCATATACAAAAATCAAAATGATTACTGACTTAAATCTAAGACTCAAAACTGTGAAACTACTGAAAGAAATACTGGGGACACTCTTTAGAACATTGGTTTGGGCAAAAATTTCTTGAGTAATACCCCATAAACACAGGCAACCAAAGCAAAAATGGACAAATGGGATCACATCAAGTTAAAAAGCTCCTACACAACAAAGGAAACAATCCACAAAGTGAAGAGACAACCCACAGGATGGGAGAAAATATTTGCCAACTATCCATCTGACAAGCGATTAATAACCAGAATATATAAGGAGCTCAAACAACTCCATAGGAAAAAAATCTAAAAATCTGATTTTTTTAAATGGGCAAAGGATCTGAATAGACATTTCTCAAAAGAAGACATACAAATGGCAAACAGGTATATGAAAAGGTGCTCAACTAAACATCAGAGAAATGCAAATCAAAACTATAATGAGATATCATCTGACACCATTTAAAATGACTTTTATCCAAAAGACAGACAATAACAAATACTGGTGAGGATGAGGAGAAAAGGGAATCCTGGTACACTGTTGGTGAGAGTGTGTATTAGTACAACCACTATGCAGAACAGTTTGGAGGTTCCTCAAAAATTGAAATAGAGACACTATATGATCCAGCAATCCTACTGCCAGGTATAGAGCCAAAAGAAAGGAAATCAGTATGTTGAACAGGTATCTACACTCTCATGTTTATTGCAGCACTGTTTACAATAGCCAGTATATACAAGCAACCTAAGCGTCCATCAGCAGATGAATGGATGAAGAAAATGTACATATACACAATGGAGCACTATTCAGCCATAAAAAGAATGAGATCTTCCCATTTGCAACAACAAAATGGATGGAACTGGAGGTCATTATATTAAGTGAAATAAGCCAGGCACAGAAAGACAAACATCACATGTTTTTACTCATTTGTGGGAGCCAAAAATTAAAACAATTGAACTCATGGAGATAGAGAATAGAAGGGTGGTTACCAGGGGCTGGGAAGGGTATGGGGATGGGGGAAGTGGGAATGGTTAATGGGTACAAAAAATAGTTAGAAAGATTAAATAAGACAATATTTGCTAGCATAACAGGGTGATTATAGTAAAAACTAATTTAGTTGTACATTTAAAAATAACTAGAAGAATATAGTTGGATTTTGGTAACACGAAGTACAAATGTTTGAAATGATGGACACCCCATTTACCCTAATATAATCATTACACTGTGCATATATGTATCGAAGTATCTCATGTAACCCATAAATATATATACCTACTATATACCCACAAAAATTAAAAATAAAAAAATTTGTTAAAGTGTGCAATGTATTTAAACACAAACGATTCATATTTTCTTCATAGTTTAGAAATATGACTTATATAAGTTTAAATGCAAAATATTATATGATTGTATCATAAATTACAGCCATTTAGGTTACAGGGATTCAACTTCATGTGTTTCATATACTGCTGCTACTTCAACTTAGGATGCATTTATTTACATTTATGGATATTGATTTGGATTTTACCTGCATAAAGTCCAGTTCAGTACCATCATGGTCTCCCATGTGCAGTTGCATCGCTGAAATACTTTCATTTCTTCTCAGAGTACTTGTTATTTGTTAGTTTGTAGCGGTGGCAAATTATGTATCATATCCCCATAATCTCAACTTGTTCAGTGGGTGTGATTGTCTTAGGTTGGGTTTCTGGGAAACAGACTCTGAGATGGTGCAATAAACTGAATGTTTGTATTCCCCACCCCCCATTCATGTTAAATCCCTAATCCCAATATGATGGTATTTGAAGGTGGGGCCTTTGGAAGGTAATTAGGTCACAAGGGTGGTCCCTGCATAAATGAGATTTCCTTATAAGAAATCAGAGAACTAGCTAGCTCTCTTTCTCCCATGTTATATCTCCCAATATTTCTCTGGTAATATCTCCCAGATTACCAAATTGGTAATCTGCAATCCGGAAGAGGGCCCTCACCAGAGCCCCACCATGTTGGCACACTGATTTCAGACTTCCAGCCTCCAGAACTGTGAGAAATAAGTTTCTATTGTTTATACACCACCCAGTGTATGGTACTTTGTTATAACAGCCTGAGATGACAGATGGAAATTAGAATGCAGGAGATTTAATGGGGAGTAGACTCATAAGCATTACCTATATGAGAATGATTGGGCAGCTGGAGAAGTTGAATTGCAGTACAGTTGCAACAACAGCCTCAGGTGATACTACAAGGAGCTGGTATGGCCCTTCAGAATTATCCTGAATTAGGGCAAGGGAATTGGGCCCTTATACTCCTACATCAGCCAGTCTTTGGTTGTTGGCTGCACCTTGGAGAGGGGAGTGAAAACTGGGGCAAGGCATTACCTTTCAGCGTAGGGCGATTCCCAGTAGAGGACTCAGCTGTGAACTGCAAGTGTTTGACACTCCCAGCAGCTAGGGGTGTAAGTACTTTAACCCTGAAGAGGGTATCTGAACAATGCATGACAACATCTTCTATAGTCTACCGCTTGTACAGCTTGTATCCTCTTGCTTCATGTAATAGTTATTTCGCATCTGGAGATAACTTACCCTGGATTCTAGTTAGTCTTTTTTTCCTGGAAAAATTTACAAGAAAAAGATTAGTGGGAAAAAATTCCAAATCCTGACATTACACTTCATCCTGAGGCTGTAACTGATAAATCATTATTTCCCTCCTGTTCCACACATTCTATATCCCCTTCACATTCAACTTGCACTTCTGCTGGGCTAAGTGGCTTATCTGGTGGGGCTATTCAGATCCTTATCCTTGAGGGGTCTGACCCTCTAGTTACCACATCTGTCATAGGCTGTGGATACTGCATGTATTCGTCTGGCATCAACACTGGGTAGGGGAATTATCAAGAGACTGTGAAAATAAGTAATTCAAAGTATAAGCTGTTGGAACTTTATTTTGAGCCTTAAATGAATGTGATTATAGGGCCTGAGTCTGTGCAAGCAACCGTAACTGGGGCAGCTGTAACCTTTGTTTCTGTGGTTAAATATTAGCCTTTTTCATTGCCATATTTTGTAAAATGTTGTAAATGACTAAAAGGCACCAGGGAAGACCCCTTCCTTCTTACTGTTCATCTTCATTATAGATGAACTTCCCTCTTACCTCTGTCACACAAAGACTTCATGGCTATTACATTGTCTAACACCCTTTTCAATTGGAAAGGAAAATAAAACAAATGGTAATTCATTAAATTACTGTAACTCATAAACAAGCCATGTGTAGAAAATGTTGTAATCCTGTTAAATTTTTTGGTTTTCTTCCTATATAAGCAAGACCTTAACTTTTAATTTTGGAGCACTGACCTCATTGCAGGAGTCTGTGTTTCCCAAGTGGCTGGTCCTAGTTTTTTGCTTAAATAAACTCTTTAAAACTGGATTCTGATCCTTTTGATTATTTCAGGTTGATAAGACATTCCAGTAGATGAGCTACATCCTAAATGGTTTTTCCTTCCCATTGTGTAACAGTAACCCTATTTCTTTCTAGTTAATTTTCCTGCCAGTATGGAGACTCTTTTCCTTCCCTGCTAGTCCTTTGGCACAAGGAATCTGAAATGACCAGGTGGCAGCCATAGCTTAAAGTTTAGTGAGACTCTTATCAGTGTGTCCCTTTTGGGAAGCATTTCCTCTCTGCAAACTAGAGCCTCTAGGCCTGCAGAGCCTGAAGTTGCTGGTACAGGAAGCACTTAGAGTATTACTGAGAAAAGCTAATCTACTTTTGCCACTTGGATTCTCCTCTTTGGAAAAATAGTACCATTCAATGTTCATTGACTTAAGATGCCAAGCCTATCCTAAAGGGTAATTCCCCATCCTCACATGATACTGTTCTTTCAAAAGTCTGCTCCACCTGTCTATCAGACCTGCAGGTTTTGGGTGGTGCAGTATATGATAGGACTAGTGAATCTCATGGTCACGGATCCACTGCCACAACTTATTTGTACAACAGCTCACTTGGTCTGAGACAGTGATCCCTTGTATAGTGGTGTAGGCTGAGGCACTTTGGGTGAGAACTGTAAACCTATATTTGAAATGGTTATTATTTATTTTGGAGGGGATCTTTCAGCAAGCCCCAGACCACTGGACTGTTAAAAATGTTGGCTGGGCGCGGTAGCTCATGCCTGTAATCCCAGCACTTTGGGAGGCCAAGGTGGGTGGATCACCTGAGGTCAGGAGTTTGAGACCAGTATGGCCAACATGGTGAAAGCCCATCTCTACTAAAAATACAAAAAATTAGCTGGGCATGGTGGCGAGTGCCTTTAATCCCAGCTACTTGGGAAGTTGAGGCAGGAGAATCACTTGAACCTGGGAGGCAGAGGTTGCATTGAGCCAAGATCACACCATTGGTCTCCAGCCTGGGCAACGAGAGTGAAACATTGTCTTAAAAAAAAGTCACTGATGTGGTAGGCCTGAATCTTTATAGGGGTGTCCCCTATGCTCTGGTGTGCATGTATTTTACAAAAGCATCCTGAATACTTGTCATTTCTTACTCATAATGTTCTGTGGGAGGGCCTAGTAGTCCTGGTATTTTCAAACTATGTTATGAAAAAGAATAGGAGAATACAGGCCTGGTGTGGTGGCTCACGTCTGTAATCCCAGCACTTTGAGGGGCTGAGGTGGGTGGATCACCTGAGGTCAGGAGTTCCAGACTAGCCTGGCCAACATGGTGAAACCCCGACTCTACTAAAAATACAAAAATTAGCCGGGTGTGGTGGTGTGTGCCTGTAATCCCAGCTACTCAGGAGGCTGAGGCAGGAGAATCGCTTGAACCCAGGAGGTGGAGGTTGCAGTAAGCCCTGATCACGCCACTGCACTGCAGCCTGGGTGTCAGAGCAAGACTCCTTCTCCAAAAAAAAAAAAAAAAAAAAAAAAAAAAAAACAGGAGAATAACTTAGCCCCTGGGCAAAACCATTCATTTGTACTGTTTTCCATCCCATGTAAGGCCAACTGTTTATACTCTTCCTGCCTGCTAGGTATTGAAAACAACGCATATGCCAGATTAATAAGCCCATATCATTTATCAGGGGCTGTGTTAGTCTGCTGTAATAAAAATACCACATTCAGCAGAGTAGCTGCAATTAGGGTTACTACTTAGTTAAGTTCGAGACATTATGCACAGATATAGACTGAATGCTTACGTCCCCCCGCCAATTTATATGTTGAAACCTACTCCCTAGTGTGATGGTATTAGGAGGTGTGGCCATTATTAGGTGATTAGGTCATCATGGCAGAGCCTTCATGAATGGGATTAGTGCCCTTATAAAAGATTCTGGAGAGCTCCCTCACCCCTTCTGACTTGTGAGGACATAGGGAAAAGATGACTGTCTCTAAACCAGGAAGTGAGCGCTCACCAGATACTGAATCTGCTGGCAGGCTCCTCAACTACAAGCAATTCATTTCTGTTGTTTATAAGACACTCAGTCTGTGGTATTTTGTTATAGCAGCTCAAATAGATTAAGACCTTCACCTTGTATTTTAGAGGCCAAAGTGGATAATGACTTGGGGATATGATGGGTACCACTAAGCCTGTATCATTGACGTCTTCAAGTATGGTACTAATCTTTGCCATTCCCCCTAGAAGCAGCATTGTTTTTTATTTTACAATCTTCCAAGGATGGTAAGGGAAATTTAAGGGATTTTCTGCTATAATAGCTTTGTTCACAGTTCAAGAAACAAATGTGAGGATTCTGCCAATTGCTAAGTATATCCATTTCAATGATATGTTTAGGTATCATGAAAATGACCATTAGGTGGGTCAATAAACATAATGGACTCACTGTGAGATAGACTTGGGCCAATACTCTATTTATTACCTGACATCCTCTTTTATTCTAACAATCATGATAATACATCATTGGTTGTCAGTATTCAATCAGAACTTTTATTCAACGTCTCTCAAAAGGTATTCCCTTTTGAAGGAACATAATTAGTTAACTGTTGAATTTTCCATTTCATTTAAAATAAGCCATTGCTTTTTTCAAGCTCCTAAAATCCATCTCTGCTTATGAGAACTGGACAACAAGATCCTTGCCAGGGTGTTAAGTCCAATGTCATGGGAGAGCCCTTAGATCAACAGACTCTCTTATTCCACTCTATGCTCTACTTCCCTTGATTCTACATCCTCAGGATATACTTCCTAGTTCTTGCTCACGTATGTTACTGAACTCCTGCAGCTCATTTGTAGCTCATCCATTTCCTCCTTTATCAGACCTGCCTCTCCTTTATCGTGCTGTGATTTGACCCTAGTCAAATCTGATTGCCAAGACAGGAGTGGGTGACAGATCCTGAAATGGTCAAACACTGTCTTATAAGTCATCTGCCTATTTAAAACTTCTGCATATTCTTCAAGCAAAGCAGCATGCATCTTTTAACAAAAATGAGTGGGCCATTTCTGCAGGCCCATAGGGTTCGGGCACACCTGGGGTTCAATGTTCTGAAGTAGGTCTATTTAGAATACTTAACCCAAGTCTCAGAGTTGTATTACTCCCATCTTGGGGCCCTGATTTTGGCACAGGGGGCTTGCTAGGGTTGGAAATGCTATATTTTCTAAAGTTCTGCCACTCTTAAAGAGTAGGTTCTGTGAAGATGAGGGTTTCTTTAATTAATACCAATGAAGAGATTTAGTTTTTATACCTGGCTTTGAATTGATGAGCAATCACATTTAGCCTTTTTTTTCCTTCTCTTCAAAGCATTCATGGTGCTTAGCAACAGTTATGCAATTCCACAATCCTTATAATTACTCCTCCTCCCATACTTCTTAAATGCCAGCGATATTACACAGGCCAGTGCATCTCCTTCTAGTAGATCCCATTGCACTCAACCACAGTTGAAAAGTGTTAACAATTTTACTGCTTTAACGTATCTTGAATTATCAGTGTTCAACCTATTAGTAGCAATAAGGTATTCTTGACAGCTGGCCAGCGGTGAGTCACCTCCTGAATACCACCCTTAGGGTCTGCTTCTACCCCATACCTAATACTGATGTGTCATTGGTTGGATTTCCTAGAAACAGAAGCTGACACAGGGATTCAGGTAGAAGGGAATTGAGGGAGTGTACTTCAGGGGAAACCCTAAAAAGAAAGAAAGGGAAGGGAAGGAAGGGAAAAGAGCATGCAATATTTCCCTTGGTCAATTGTGATCATTTGAGCAGAAAAATAATAGTAATTATTATTTAAATAACTGATTTAAAAAGTTGAACCCATGAAAGGTCATGAGTGGATATAAATATGCAAAAACATTGATATAAAAATATAAAAATATACTCAAATACAAAAAATTGACTTTAATAGATTTTTAATGTCAGTTCTAGGTGCACATGAGAGTTGATGGTGGGCAAAAATGCTGATGATTTTAGAGATAGAGGTGGAAAAGATAGTTCTTTGTTTAAGTAATGAGTTTGTATTGGTTTCCCCAGTTTATCATATTATGTGGCTGTTCTCAAATTTTCTTGTCAGCTATGTTTTTTTTTGATAAGTGAACTTTTTCTATTACATTGATATAGTTTCAATTTCTTGCTAATCCCTTTGATGAAGCCTAGGGTCTGGAATTTGAAAGTTCAGACATGACCATCCAACTAAGAACTAAAATATCACTCCTTCCTCTTCACTTGACACCGTCATCAGTTGGTACTTCTCTTGTGGTCCCATAAAAATAGTAACTAATCTATGCCAGGCGCTCTCCTAATACTTCATATTCATTACTCTTACATTTCACAATAAGCTTTTGAGGTAGGAAATGTTATTATCCCTATTTTTCAGATTAGGAAGCTAAGGCTCAGAGAGGTTAAGTGAAAAGGACACACAGCCACATGGCTACCTCTACTCAGTTTTTGAAAATTCAGCCCCAAAACAACTGGCTATAAAAAATCAAAACTTAAGAATAGTTGTCCTTTCTATTGCCGCTTGCAACAAGAAACTTCTATCAACCTGTGTGTGGTCAAAAAAAAAGAAGAGCAAACATTATGGTTCAGGGCATTTAATATTTAATTTAAAAGAAAGAAAAGATAAGCTCTTATGTGCAGGAGAAAAGTTGGTGTTATCGGGGAGTGGCAGAAATAAACACACTTAAACATTGGCCCAGTGCAGTGAGTCCCTACACTAAAGAACAGTAAAGAACTTTTTTAAAAAGCCTTCATAGAAGAAAATAAGGAAAGGTTATGTTGGACTGAAACACAACCCACAAGGACAAATGTGGTTTTGTTAAGGAGTGTATTCAAGAAACTTCCTGCAGCTGTACCCAAAGTGGCAGCTCCTGGAGAGAGAGAAAATGGAATCTCTCAGCTGTTGTTTCCCAACAGTCGGTAGGATGTATGCTTTCCTAATGGGGTAAACTCCCATGTTACCTAAGTCCAAACATTGTTAGCCAGATGAGAAAGAAGAGAACATTAATCATAGCTCTCCAGAGAGATGATTTTAATCTTTTCCTAAGGGCAACAATTTATCTTGCAAGGCTTCAGATGCTGTATAATGCTCCAACTTGCCTTTTCAAAAGGCTACTGAAGCAAGAAAAATAGAATGGTAACATAGCAGGAGAAAGGAGTTAGGGCCATGAAAAAGAAAACATATGATTAGGAAAGAAAAATCTGATAGGTTTATAAAAATAATTTAAAACAGTTCATAGATCAAAGAAGAAGTTACTATAGAAATTAGAAAATATCTGAACTGATTGATATTGAACATATCACCTAAAATTGTCAGAGGAAGCTAAAGTAGTACCTAGAGAAAATTGTTAGCCTTAAATATATCTAGATATCCAGAAAAGAAAGGCTACATATCAATTTTTTAACTTTCAAATAAACTATAAGAAGAATAGCAAATCAAACCTAAAGAAAGTAGAAGAAAGGTAATAATAAAGCTAAGAACAGAAATCAATAAAACAGAAAATAAATATATTGTAGAGAAAAATTAACAGGCTAAAAGTTGGTATTTTGGAAAAATTAATGAAATTGATAGACTCCTAGCAGGACTAATCAAGTGAAAAAGGAGAAATGGCAAAATTACCAATATGAGCAGAAAAAGAGGATTTCACTATGATCTTGTATTAACTAGAAGTATAGTAAGAGGATATTATCAACAACTTCATACTAACAAATTTTACAATTTAGATGAAATGAACTGACACCTTAGAAACACATTTTGCCATCAAGATAGTGAAAAGACAACCCACAGAGTCAGAGAAAATTATTTTAAATCTTATGTCTATCTGATAAAGACCTTGTATCTAGAATATACAAAAACTCCTACAACCCAATAAATAAGAAAATAAATAACCTATATTTAAAAGGGATCAAAGGATTTAGATCCAATGGATCCAGTGGGCAAAGGATCTGAATAGACATTTCTCCAAAGAAAACGTAAAAATGGACAATAAGCAAATGAAAAAACTTTTAACATCTTTAGCCATCAGGAAAATGCAAATCCAAACTACAGTGAGATACCACTTCACACCCATGAGATGGCTATCTATATAAGATGGACAATAACAAATGTTAGCGAGGATGTGGAGAAACTGGAACTCTCTTACACTGCTGGTGAGAATGTAAAATGGTGCAATCACTTTGGAAAACAGTTTGATAGTTCTTGAAATGGTTAAGCATGGAGTTATCATATGACCCAGCAATTCTGCTCCTAGGTATATATCCAAGAGAACTGAAAACATATGTTCACTCTAAAGCTTGCACATGAATGTTCATAACAGCATTATCCATAATTGCCAAAAAATGGAAATAATCCAAATTTCCATCAACTGATGAATGGATAAATACATGTGATATATCTATATAATGGAATATTATTTACCATGTAAGTGAATGAAGGATTGATAAATGCTACGACAAAGGTGAACCTTGAAAACACTGTGCTAAATGAAAGAAGCCAATCACAAAGGACTATGTTGTGTAATTCCATTTATATAAAATTTCCAGAATAGGCAAATCCATAGAGACAGAAATTAGTGGTTGCTTACAGCTAGGTGGGTGGAGGGAAATGGGAAGTGAGTCTTAATGGGCACGGGGTTTCTTTTTGGGTAATAAAAATGTTCTAAAATTGATTGTGGTGATGCTTGCAAAACTCTGTGAAAAACCACAGAATTGTTCACTTTAAATGGGTGAATTGTGTATTATATACTCCAATGATGCCATATTAGGTAGGACATCATCATATTTGGATATTTGGCCAAATGTGAAATTAGAAAAAAAATCATTAGGAAAACACTTGCTTCTATTATACAATGTATACAAAGTCTAATGAGAAAATTTTTGTTTATTTTCTTCTTTTTTTAAAAAATTAAGAATACACTGGGAACATAAAAAGCAGAATTACAGGAAAGTTAGATCTGTCTTTGTTAGCAGAACTGTTTGCCCCCGTTTAACACAATACCTAGACCCCATCCACAATGACTGTTACTATTACCCCAACTCAGTCTACTCAGTATCTTCACCTTGTTTGTCTGCTTGTTTTGTTTATTGATTTACTTACTAGTTTTTCTATCTATCTATCTATCTGGATATATATATATATATATACACACACACATATATATATGTATATATATATATGTATATATAATTTGAATTGTTTGACTTTCTTCCATGCATTAGTGATAATCTTCTAAATGCAGATATTCTGGGAGAGCTTATCTCCTCCCAGATTAAGAGACCTCCACTGAATGAATAGAAATTGGGGGTGGGGAAAGGAATGAGGGTTAAAAGAGTAGATATTTTGGAAGCATGGACATGAATGGACAATTTTCATGAAGGGCAATTTTCTGACATATTTGTGTGTTGGGGGAGAATCCTGTAACCCTAAGAGGGGAAGGTTAAAAGGCAGGAATTACTAATGGCAAACAACTCATAATGTATGCCTAAAGAACTGTGTTGAGGCTACTGAGCCTGCATCCCAGGTTCAGGTGAAAGTGTTTTCTGGCCTTTTCCCCCCTAAGAGATGGGGTCTTGCTATGTTGCCCAAGCTACACTCAAACTCATGGGCCCAGATGATCCTCCCACCTCAGCCTCCCAAGTAGGCTGGGACTACAGGCATGTGCCACTGCGCCCAGCTTCTTTCCCAGCTTTTTAAGGGGGAAGTGTCAGCCAAGTCCCATCCCTTCAGTAGAGGTTTTTAGAGCAACAGTTGCCTGGTTGTAGGTGGAAGGAAAACCTGGACAAAGCAACCGCCAAGATAAGGAAAAGGTTGAGATAGTGTGACCCAGATTATGGTGATAGTTGTCATGAAAGGCCCAAGCACAGAGAAGACTGTGGATAAACTAGTAATAGCTTTGGGGCAAGGAACAACTTGGAGTCAGAAGTGCTACTCTAAAGACATTCAGCTGGACAGCATGTTGTTGTAGGAGCCAATGGATGTCCGTGGCTGGATTCTGGGCCCCATCCTTCTGATTCATAATATGAAAGCGTTCATAATACAACAGGGTTACAACTTGGGAAGGACAATTGGTCAGTTAAGCTGAGTGGAGTGCCTATCATAAGTGGGAATCAGGATACATGGCAGTGCCAAATACAAATTTGGGAGTACTTAATATAAACATTGCCTGCTTGCTTCTCATAGAGTTTAATGTATTTTGAGATCTAACCAACCACAATAAATACTCAGGGTTTCTTCAGAAAAACAGATACAGTGAAGGCTCTCAATCGGCAAGAAGAAGTCCCAGTGAAAGTGAATTTTTGAACTGAGATTGGAAGAAGATGCCTCAGAGAGGCAGGAGAGAAGCAGGGAGTGAGCTCAAGTATGATTTGGGGTATCTCAGCTCATTCTTCAGAGGAGGAGGTGGGTTATGAGTTTGCCAGAATAAAGCTGTGTCTGAGCTAAGATGGGTGTCTGGCTCTTACTAGGGATGGGCTGAGGCAGGATTGCAAATGGTGTTTCCTGGATCCCAGGATGGCATCTATCCTTCTCCAAATCTTTTAAATGAGTCTAACCTCTGCACAAAAAGAAGCACTTAAAGCCCCAGAATTAAGTCAGTTCAACTTCCATTTGCTACTCTGATATCCTGTCCAAAGTCTTGAGTCTTCTAACCCATTTCTCTAACATCTTAGTCCCAAGGTGAATCATCTTGATTGATAACACATTTGGGATATGCTTTATGACTCAACCACACGTTTTTCTTTAGGACATTTGCAGATAGGAAAAACCAACCCCACCCATTCTATACACTCTTATTCAACATAATGTGGAAAGTCTAGACAGCACAATAAGCCAAGAAAAGGAAATTAAACGCATAAAAATCTTAAAAGAAAAAATAAAACTGTCACTATTTGTAGACGACATTTGTCTGCATAGAAGATCCTAAGAAATCTACCGGAAATCTCCATCTAATAATTGAGGTAAGCAAGTCTCAAAAAATACAAGATAAACGTACAAAAGAAATTGTATTTCTGTATACTAGCAATGAACACTTGGGCTCCAAGAGTAAAAATATGATACCATTTACAATCTCTCTCTTTCAGAAAAAGAAATACTTAGGTGTAAATTTAACCAAATATGCGTAGGACTTGTATGGTGAAATCTGCACAAACACTGATGAAAGATTTCAAAAAGGATCAGAATAAATGGAAAGTCATATTGTGTTCATGGATTGAAAAATCAACATAATAAAGACAACATTTCTCCCCAAATTAATATACAGATTTAATACAATTCCTGTCACAATCCCAGCAAGTTGTTTTGTGGATATAAATGAGATTATTCTAAAATTTGAATGAAAATCCAGGGGAACTAAAACAGGTTAAAAGTTTTTTAAAAAGAAAAATAAATTGAGGATAAGTCTACTCAGTTTCAAAACTTATTATGTATATATAGTAATCAGGGTATGTCCTATTGCCAGAGGGATGGACACATAGATTAGTGGAATATAACAGAGAACCCAGAAAGGGAGCCAGAAAAATATGCCTAATTGATTTTTTGATAAAGATGCAAAAGCAATTAAATGGGATAAATATAGCCTTTTCAACAAATGGTTCCAGAGCAACTGGAAACCCATAGGCAAAAAAAAAGGAAGAAAATAAACTAACAAAACACAAAACAAAACAAAAACTTTGACCTAAGTTCCATACCTTTTACAAAAGTAATTCAAATTGGACTGCAGACTTAAACATAGTTTAAAAGTGTAAAACTTATAGAAAAAACACAGGTGAGAATCTTCAGGATTTAGGCCCAGGCAAAGAGTTCTTAGATTTAATAGCAAAAGCATGATCTATAAAAAGAAAAACTGATAAACTGGACTTTATTAAAATTAAAAACATTTGATCCATGAAAGAATATGTTAAGAGGGTGAAAATACAAGCTATAGAGTGGCAGAAAATATTTACAAGCAACACTTTTTATAAAGGATTAGTATATAGAACATATAATGAGCTCTTAAAACCCAACAGTAAAAAAAATCAATCCAATTTAAATATGGGCAAAAAACTTTAAGAGATTTCACTAAAGAAAATAGAGGATGTTAGAAAAGTGCATGTATTTATAGACATCAACATGAGACATCCATGTTGGTAATGGAAATGTTCTGTACCTTGTCTGTATCGATGTCAGTATCCTAATTGTGATATTGTGTTATAATTTTACAAGATACCACCATTGGATGAAACTGAGTGAAGGTGCATAGAATCTCTGTATTATTTCTTACAACTCAATGTGAATATAAAATTATCTTAAAATTTTAAGTTTTTTTATATAAAAGGAGGGGATTAAGATAACTTGCATTGACATCTGTTATGTCATGGAAATTTTGTGAAGTACTCCTTCTCCTGGAAGTAGTTTGTTAGGGATGGAAATTGCATCATAGGAATCAGGATAATTGAGATTCCAGCTCCTGGACACCCAGAGAGAAACAGTTGATTTCATCTCAGCCTGAAGAACTTCTATAGCATTCTTTGTAGTATAAGTGACCTGATGAAAAGTTTGCATAGTTTCCTTTGATGCAAAAATTTATATTTTTCTTCATTATTGGCATATATTTTTGCTAAATAAACAACTCAGGGTTGATGGTTTTTCCTCTCAGTACTTTAGAGATGTTCCATTGTCTGCTCACTTCTATTATTTCTGAAGACAGGTCAGTTATGATTCAAATCACTGTTGCCATGTATAAATTATGTGCCAATTTTCTTTGACTGCCTTCAAGATTTTCTCATCTTTTGTTTTCAGAAATACGACTATGGCATGTGGGCATGGCTTCTTTCCTTTGTATTTATACTGCTTGGTGTTCACTTAGCTTCTTATTTCACCATATCTGGGAAATTTCTTTCTATTATTTCTTTAAATGTTTCTTCTGCCTCATTCTGTCTTTTCCTTCCTCCTGTGATTTTTACAATAACTCATATGTTACATACATTAGAATTACTGATATTGCCTCACAAGTCCCTGAGTTCATATTTTTACCATTTTCTCTTTTTTTTCTGGTTCAGATTGAATAATTTCTACGGACCTATCTTCAGGTTCACTAACCATTTCCTTGTCACCCCTATTCTGCTGTTTGGCCCATCAAGTGAATTTTTCAATGTTTCCATGAGTAGTTATAATAACTGCTTTAAATTCCTTGTTGGTTAATTCCAACATCTGGGTCTTCTCAAGGTCAGTCTCTGTTGATGATTTTTTATTTTGAGAATGAATCACATTTCATTATTTCTTTGTATGTCAAGTAAATTTGGATTGTATCTTAGATAATATGAATGCTTATGTTGTAGAGACTATGAATTGTCTTGGATTCTTCCAAAGAGTTGTTATGGCATGGAATTAACTTGGTAAGACTCAACCTGCAAAATTTATCTCTTGGGAAACAGCTCAAATCTAATATTGATCATTAATTGAGCTGTTTGAAATCTGCCCATGCATGTGTAATTCAGGGGTCAGCTAGAGATTTGGGCAGACTTTATACACATAATTTTGGGATTTCCCTCTCTGATGCTCTCTTGTCTAGTTGCTCCAAATTTGCTCTCATGTTCTTTAGGCCTGAAAGACTATGGGTTTTCTATGAGTATTTTAGCAACCCTCTGTTGTACCAAATGCAGCGTTCCCTCAGACTAAAGCTATTAAAATAGGAAACCCACACCCTGCTATTCCCTTCACCCAAGTATCGTTTTCCTTTCATAAAATGCCTGTTCTTGGTCATTCTCCAGTGTTTACAGGTGGCTTTCTGTGCATATGTGTGTGTATACACACACGTGTATATGTATATAAGCACATATACACACGTGTATATATGTGTGTGTATATATATACACACGTGTATATACTTGTGAGTGCATATATATATGTATGTGTGTGCGTGTGTGTGTGTTTGTGTCCAGATTTATAGTTATCTGCAAATAGGTTGGTCCAGTAAATTACTAAGCCATACCAGAAGTTGAACCTCATTTCTCATTTCTCTCTTTTTAACCTAAAGAACATCTGTTCATTTGTCAAGAATCGGTTAAGACTTTACCTTCTCAGAGAAGCCCTCCCTTACTGCCCTCTCCTTTAGGTTGAAAGTGAGCTGTCCCTCCCCTGTGCTGTCATAGGTCCCGGTGTCATGTTTGCTTATAGTCCTTATATTGTAGTGAAATTACTTATGTGTATATTTCTTTTTCAAGAATCTGAGCCCAGGCACCCTAGTTTATTTGTTTATCTTTGTATCCCCAATGCTTAGTACAAAGTCTGGTGCATAGATGCTAAATATTTTGTTGCTAAATATTATTTCTGTATTAATATGCAAAATATATACATACATTATGTTTTATGATTCCCTGTTGGCAAGTGTGTAATGTCCAGAGATTCAAATTACAGTGTTCAAGGGCACATGTCCCACATAACCTTTGGCCTGTTAATGATAGGATGATTTTGGAGAACAACAAAGTAGACTGGATTCCTATTAAGGATTCCAGAAACAGCAATGGGAAAGGCATTTGAAATTAGTAACTGAGATAAAGTTTATGTTGTGTTGAGTAGGCACTAGTGGTAAGGGGCTACATAAGAAGGTAGCCATATTGTGGGCCCACAGATGCCTGGAAGGTTCTCATGCCTTTCACACCAACTAATTTCAGATTCTACTCATTTAATCTAGAATAGCCTTGTGACCTGGTGAGTCTGAACTTTTATTTAGCCTAATTTAGAGTTTCAACCATTAGTTTCATTCTGCTGGGGAATACAGCAATCCTGGTCCCATAAATATCATACTTTTTTTTATTCATTTCGCTAGGCCTTGAGCTTGTATTGATCTTTAAAAAGTCCCTGACTAAAGTGACAGTGGTCATGGAAGGGGTTTGTTGTGTCTTCCATTAGTATAAACCTATTTAAATAATTTACTTTAGAAGATAATTGATTAACTGAGAGGTAGCTGAAGCCAAGACCAGGCAAGAATGTGACATATGATGAGTGCTTAAAGAAAGGTATTTTTAGTATGTGTGGCAATGGAGTTGGTAAGGCAATGGAGTAGAAGAATGGCAATGGCAAAATATTTCCATAGCTTCACTGAGAGTCACTGTTTCAAAGACCAGTGGTCAATTTTCCCTTCATAGGCTGCCAAACCCCAGAAACTTAAGATACAACAAATAATGTTTTCCGTGTCTTGAGGAAAAGATGATGATTTGTGGATGTTAATCATAATTCAAGAGTGAGTCTTACCCCGATTTTGTGTACCTTTCTAAGAAAGATAAATCTCACATTATAACAATACACAAGAAATGTGTAGATCCAAAGTAACGTTGTTCTGAAATTTATGCCAGGTTTCTGTTTATTGTTTCTAGGAAAGGACAAAGACCTACCTAATAAACCTGTCTCAATGAGATAATGAAGTCATGATAGGAAATCATCACTGTTGAATATTTCAGCACAAAATGCAATTACAAGGGAGTTAGAATGCCATCCTCCTTTAAAGAAGATATCTTATTGCAAGTAAAAACCTCTCAGTTTGCCCTCAAAAAGTTAGAGTGTGTAGTTCCACTTGAATATAAAAAAAGTTATGTCACATGCAGAGGACTGAAACCACCCAAGAGCTCGAGTGCAGCCAGTGTGGCAGTATCTGCATATTGTGTAAGGCTTCTTTGAATGGAGAGAATGGGAGAACAGCAGGAAAAGCCCTGAATGATCTCTGTGTCTTTAGTTAGGCAAGAAAAAGGCCTAGCTACAGGTCATTACCCATAGTTTTTGCAAATGTCATGAATAATCAGACTTAGCAGTTACCATAATATTGAACTAAAAAAATTCTAGTTTCAAAAAATCATTTTCAATATAGGCACAAAGATTGGATTAATATCCTCTATGTGAAAGAGAAAACTTCTTTTTGTCATTGTGTATTTCTTTAATTCAAAATGTTATTTCAAAGAAAGTATCAAGTTGAGTTCTCTACAAAATGCTTTATTTTGGTTTCTCTACAAAATGCTTTATTTTGGTTTCTTTATTTTGGTTTTATTTAACTCCCAGTACATAACTTTGTTAACAAGGCATTTTAGACACTATTATCATCCCCTTTAGTATTTGAGATTGGGTGGGAAGAGGATGCAAGATAAGTACATAAGAAACCTTTTGGTCTAAAGATATCCTTGTAAGTGAGCTTAAAGCTATTCTAAAATGAACAAGAATGAAAGAACCCACAACTTTAACACTTTGTGAATGAACTTCATTTCCAGGAATTTGGCATGTGCAATTTTAGAAGGAATCCTAGACAGGAGTGGGTTGGAAAGTGTTGAGTAATGAAGTGTTAGATAAAGGCACAGCCAGAAGTTAATTGCCGTCTTCTTTTTTTGAGACAGAGTCTCGCCCTGTCGTCTGGGCTGGAGTGCAATGGCGCGATCTTAACTCGCTGCAATCCCCGCCTCCCGGGTTCAAGCAATTCTCCTGCCTCAGCCTTCCCAGTAACTGGGATTACAGGTGCCCACTACCACGCCCAGCTAATTTTTTTTTTTTTGTATTTTTAGTAGAGATGGTGTTTCACCATGTTGGCCAGGCTGGTCTTGAACTCCTGACCTCAGGCGATCCGCTCGTCTTGGCCTCCCTAAGTGTTGGGATTACAGGAGTGAGCCATCATGCCCCGCCCTGTATTTCTATTTCAAGCATTGCCATTTGTCTTCTATTAGTATAAACCTATTTAAATAATTTACTCTTCTTTTGACAATGCAGTGGCTGATGGCACTTCTGTTCTTGTTTATTATCTCTGTTATTTTCAGTATTTTTACCAGATGATATTTTATATCAGGTTACTGGAAAGCAGCAAACATATTTGTTGTCATATCAGAGATATATTATTTTAAAATTTTAGAAATTACCTTTTTATGCAGCAAATTTTAGTGACTCCCACCAAACTCTGAAATAAGATGTTTGATCAGTTAATGAAAATTGAGCTCTGATACATAGTTTCATACTATATGAGAGTTCTTTGGAAAATACATTTCTAAATATCTTTAAATTGCTATTTTCTCTTCTCCATCTTCTCTCCCACTTGGTGCATTGTCTAAACTGTCTTTCCCAGGCTTTCCTATTGTTAGAGGAATTATGTAAAAGTGAAGCAAATATTTGAATTCCCGTGAGGTAGGGCACAATATTTAGGTGCTCACAGCCCCTTTCTGCACAAATAGATCAGAAGTACCCCTTAAGTACAGGGAGCACTACTGAGGTTTCTAGGATGTCAATACCATGACCACAGCTGATTGAACCCAAAGTTTGTCAAGAAAAAATAAAAATATAAGCTTGTTTTAATTAAATTAATGTACATGCTATAGTTTTGATTTTGATTACTTCCTCTCAAGACAGCCATGACTAATCTGTTAAAAAATGAATAGTCAGTTTCTAAGGATGCTACAAAAAATATTTGGCTTTGACTATTTGTAAGTAAAAAATAAAAATAGCATTTATTACTCAACTTCCGGTATTTTTACAAAACCACAATTTCTGATATTTTTATAAAACCATTGGGGAAAAATATAAAATCATCTTAGTACTCTGAACTAACAGTGTACACTTTTCAGAATTATAATCTACAGCTTTCTGAGTTGTGAATAATAGCTTCTTTTAAGGTTACATTAATTTAAAAGGAATCAAATAATATTAAAAGTAATTTTTGACCATGATTAAAATTGTGATTTAAAATTACTTATTTGAAATGAAATCTAACAAAAAGTGAAAACAAAATCTAATAAAAAGAGATGATATGGTAAAAATTTAAAGTGACATACAGGAATAAATCAGCATGAGGCAATTTAGTTGGTTAGGCCTAAGCCTTAGATTTTTGGACATGGACTGATTCAAAAGAAATATGCAACTATCCTTTGGCACCAAATTCCTCAAACATATTGTTGAGAGTAATTGCTTTCCACTAATTTCCCTCTAATATGGCTCCTAGTTCTTGTACTTTACTATAAATGTCTTTCCTGAGGCTATCAATGACTTCTTTCTTGCCAGCTTTAGAGGCCTTTTTCCAGTCTGCCTATTGCTCAATCTTTCCATTATATTTTAGATGGGTTATCTTATTTTTCTCTCATTTTGCTTGTAGTGTTCTAAATATTCCAAAGGTAATATGTGTTATTTGTAGTGAAATAGAAAATGCAGATTTGATTATTTGTAATAATCCAGGCTAACATGTTAGTAGAATCCTTCCTGGCTTTTAAGTACATTTTTATATGTTGTATATATGTATTCTGAATTAAGTCAACTGAGGACAGAGACAGGAATCATTATTACATTAATACTCAGATGTCACTGGCTTTTGCTCCACGTGCTTGCAGAGGACATCAGCCACATCTGCAATGTTCCCCAAGTATTTCTGGGAGTCCCTGGAGGTGTATCTTGTATACTAACAAGTCTTATCTTAAACTACTGTTACTGCTTTGTCAAATAACTACCTCCATCAGTCATCATGGACACTGCTGAACACCAACACTAGGTTTCTAGAGCCCTTTAATTGTAAAAGCAAGGTTGATCTCTCAAAGTAAAAAGGTGGGGGAAAGACATACCAGGAAAATCAAAAGAATGTTGTGTTAGTTATATTTATATCAGGTAAAAGTGACCAACCAAAAAGCATTACTGGAGATAAAGAGATTATTACATAATAATAACAAAGTTTATTTCACAAGTATTTAAACCTTGTTCCCTTCTATCACATTTCAATTCCAAGATGTACATTTTTTTCACATTTTAATATATCTGAAGTCAGAGGCATCTTACAGTCAGGCAAGCAGCAAAAGTAATATGATTATAATTGCTTGAACATTTACATCAAAACTTGTAGAATGGGTGTTACTTAGAGGCATGGAAGAAAATTCTGGAGAAAATAGAAAATAGTGGTGCACTTTTAATAAAGACTGAACAACAGTTGATGATACAGAAGACAGTACTGTATGAAGAAGGGTGGACATGGATGACTCTTAGTCAAAAAGTGACTCAAGTAAGTCAAACTGAATTCAAGGAAGGTTGAGGAATAATTTAGCCAATTTATTTTTCCCTAGTTTGATTGAGGAATAATTTACATACAATAAAATTTACCTATTTTAAGTGTATAGTTTAGTAAGCTTTGGCATTTATATACAGTCATATATCCATGCCCATGATCAATATATAGAACATGACCAGAAGTTCCTCATGGCCCCTTGCAGTCAGCGCCTTCCTCCCATTCCCAGTTCTAGGCAAACATCTATCTAGTTTTCGTCAGTATAGTTTTACCTTTTCCATAACTTAATATTAGTGAAATAATTCAGTATATAGTCTTTTGTGTTTGACACAAGCTTACATTTGTTTGGGTAATTACCTAGATTGCTGTGTTGTATTATAAGTATATGTCTAACTTTATGAGACACTGTCAAATTACTTTCTATATGGTGTGATATATGGATCAAGATTAGCTTTTTTAAAATATGGATTTACAATTATCCCAGCAGTATTTGTTAAAAAACTATCCTTTCTCCATTTCATTTTATTAAAATTTGTGGGTCTACATCTGGACTGTCTCTTCTTTTCCATTGATTTACATGTCTGCATTTTTTATCAGCACTAAACCATCTTAATTACTGTAGTCTTGGAATCAGTTATTGTTAATTCTTCAACATTGCTATTCTTATTCTTTCTCAAAATTGTTTTGGCTAGTCATTCTATTGTCTTTCCATCTAATTTTAGAATCAGCTGATAAATTTCTACAAAAGTTTTGCTAGGATGTTGATTGGAGAGAACTGACATCTTAACAATATTGAGTCCACCAATCCATGAACACAGTGTATCTTTCTGTTTAGTTATCTTTGATATTTTCTGATGATGTTTTGCAGCTTTCAGCATACATATTTTGTACATGTTTTGGTAGATTTATACCTAAGCATTTGTAAATAGTACTGCATGTTAAAATTTGATTTCCAATTGTTCATACTAATTATGAACATACTAATTATGAATAATTGGAAATCAAATTTTATAGTATATAAAACTATAATTTTATAGAATAGAATTTTATAGTATGGTATATAGAAGTATAATTAATTTTTGTATATTGACCTCGCATCCTAAAACTTTGCTAAACTCGCCAACTACTTTCATGAATTTTTTGTAGTCTGGTATTTTCTAAGTACATATGATGTCATCTATGAACAAAAAGTTTTATTTCTTCATTTCTAAGATTATCAATTGATTGGCCTCGTTATACAAGGTGGAACCTTCAGTTCTTCAGTATGATTATAAATAGTGATGACAGTGGAAATGCCTGTCTTGTTTCTGACATTAAGAGGAAGGCATTTGATTTTTTAATCATTAAATAATGTTAGATGTAGGGTTTTTTTGAGATGCCCTTTATTAGGTTGAAGAAGTTCCCTTCTATTCTTAGTTGGATGAGAATCCAATGTTTTAGTCTTCTTTTTCTGATAAACTCCACAAACTAGACATTATTATTAGTAGGACCTTTAGATAAATTATTTATTTAGGCCTGCATGCATGTTTATCATCTTGTTTGCTCACCATTCTTCTGGTGTTTCAAAATACTCCACTAGTGTTTTTTTTCTTCCTAAAGCATGTACTTTAGAAGTGCCTTTGGTAGGCATACGTGTGTGCCAAATCTCTTAGGTTTTATTTATCTAAAGATATCTTTATTTCACCCTCATCTTGCAATACAGTATTGGTGAATGAGTGCACAGTTCTAAACTGAAATTATTTTCTTTGATCACTTTTAAGATACAGTAAAATCCCCTCATACTAAGATTAGTGAGGTTGAATATTTTTAACTTCCTGAAAAGAAGAGTGGGCTTATTGTGATAATTAAAGAAATGAGTCACTTGAGCCTGTCTAGCTGTTTGACTAGAAGTTCCAGTGGTCTGGCTCTATAATTAAAATATTTGCTCATCCTGGTTGTGGTTTGGCATCACATGGTGGTGGTGGTGGCTATCTGCTCCAAAATAAATGTCAAATGGTGCCAATTCTGGATCCTGTCTCACTGGCTAGGACTTCCAGAACAGTGGCAGCAATTGTAGTGATCTCGTATTTAGCTGGGTCCCATTTAGTCGGTCTAATCAAAAGAGATAGGGCTATAAGAATACTGTCAATAAAGGAGTCATCCTCAGGCTCACTGTTTCCTGAGATAGAGTGCTGACTTTTCCCACCAATCCCTTACTATGTCCCCTACCCTATAAATTCAGAAGATAGAAGTTTGTCCTACCCAGTTTGAGAATAGAACTAGACAGAAGGCTGCCATTCATTAGTGAGTAATTGGTCATTAATAACCAAGCATGCTTGATCCAAATTTTCATTATAATGGGGCTTATCATCATCAAATTCTGCTAATTATTTTATTGTATTTCTGGCTTTCATTGTAGCTATTAAAACACCTACTTTAATTGCTTCTTTGTAGGTTATTTGTCTTTTTTTCCTCTTGGCTGCTTTAAAGATCTCTTTTTTCTTTGGTGTTTTGGCATTATGACAGCTCCAGGAATATATTTAAAAATTTATCCTCTTTGTGATGCACCATGCTTCTTGAACTTACATATTTGTATCTTTCCTAAATTCTGGAAAATTCTAAGGAATTAACTTTTGTAGTATTGCTTCTCAATTTTTCAAATCTATCCTTCTTGAAATCCGATTTTTTTATATGTCAGATCTTTTCAGTCTAACTTCAGTACTGTTTAACCATTCTCTGTTCATTCTGAATAATTTTTTCAGATATGTTATGGTTTACTAATTATCTGTTTATAATCTGCCATTCGACCTGTCCATTGAGTATTTTCATTTCAACAAATATGTGTTTAATATCTGCAAGCTTCATTTGATTATTTATCATATTTGCCTGGTCATTCCTGATGGTCTCTTTTTGCTTGCTCATTGTTGTGATTCTGTCCCTTATTTCTATTTCTTTCTAAATAGATTTTCTCTATTTCACAGCTGATAAAATTTTAATATCTGAATTTATTGGAAGTCTAAATATTTGTTATTTCTTCTAATTTTGCACTTATGGTGACTTGCTTCCTTTATGTCTGGTGATTTTTGATGGTGAACTCACATTGTCTTAATCTTAACCTGGGAATTTAGTGGGCTTAACTAGAAATTTTTTCTTGAAAAAGATTTGTGTTTGAATCTGCTAGGACCGTTGGGGCACTACCAGTCTAAATGACTTTTAGCCTTTTTGGTTTCTAGATTAGCACAGAGGTCTCAGATTCAGCTCTTCCATATTGCTGTTGATGTAAGCCTTGTTTTCTGAATACAGTTCCCTGGGGCATTTTCTCAGCTTAACCTTTTTATTCTTAAATGCCTACTATCAGAAGATCTTGTTTATTTGTGGGGAAGAGATCTGGAGAATGAGATGTCAGGAGGACACATGGAAATTTCTCCTACTTTCTTCAAGTTCAGTAATGCATAGATAAGTTTTTTTTTTTTTTCCAGAATCTGGTCGTTGTGCAGTGGAAGGGTGTCCCAGATCATCTAGCTCACAATTTTGTTGAAGAAGAAAATCCCTTTTAACTTAAAAAAAAAAAGATTTAATTTTTTAGAAGTTTTACATTTGCAGAAAAACTGAGAATATCGTAGAGAGAGTTCCCATATACCCTGCACCTAGTTTTCCCTATTATTACGATCTTACATTAATATGGTTAAATTGTTGAAATTAGTAGACCATTACTGATACATTAACTGAAGTCCATAGTTTATTCAGAATTCCTTGTATTTTACTATGTCTTTTCCTATTCTAGGGTTTGGTCCAGTATGTCACTGATATGGTTAGGCTTTGTGTTCCCACCCAAACCTCATCTTGAATTGTAATCTCCATAATCCCCACGTGTTAAGAGAGAGACGTGGTGGGAGGTGATTGAATCATGGGAGTGGTGTCCCCCATGCTGTTCTCGTGATAGTGAGTGATGTCTCATGAGATCTGATGGTTTTATAAGTGTCTGACATTTCCTCTTTCACGTACTTGCTCTCTCTCCTGCCGCCACGTAAGACATGCCTGCTTCTCCTTCCGCCATGATTGTTAAGTTTCCTGAGGCCTCCCCAGCCATGCAGAACTTTGAGTCCATTAAACCTCTTTCCTTTATAAATTACCCAGTCTCAGGTATTTTTTATAGCAGTGTGAGAACAGACTAATATAATCACTTTACAAAGCTGTTATATCTCTTTAAGCTCCTCTTGGCTGTGACAGTTTCACAGCCTTGTTTTGGTTGACCTTGACAATTTTGAGGAGTATTGGTTGGATATTTTATAGGATACCCCTTTACTAGAAATTTTTATTGTGGTCAAATATACATAAAATTTACCATGTCAACCATATTTTAATTTGGTGGCATTAAATGTAATATATTCATAAAGTTGTGCAATGATTTAATAATCTTTATCCATTTTCAGAACTTTTTCATCATCTCAAACAGAAACTCTGTACTCATGAAAAAATAACTCCCTATTTTCCTCTCTCCCTAGTCCCTGGTAAACTCTGTTTTCTGTCTCTATGAATTAACCATTTCTAGGCACCTTAAATAAGTGGAATTATGCAATGTTTGTCCTTTTGTGTCTGGCTTATTTCACTTAGCAAAATGCTTTCAAGTTTCATTCATGTAGTAGCATGTCTCAGAATTTCATTTCTTTTTAAGGCTGAATATTATTGTATTGTCCATTCTATGTATACACAAATTTTGTTTTTATCATTTTATTAGTTACAGGAGAGTTTTATTTCTTCTTTTGGATTTTCTTTTTTAAAAAAATTTTCTTTATAGACATTCATGTCATCTATACACAAAGATGGTTTATTTCTTCCTTCCTTATCTGTATACTCCTTATTCCCTTTTATTGTCTTATTGCACTAGCTAGAACTTCAGATGTAATATTAAATAATAATGATGATAAAGGACATGTTTGTGTTGTTCCTGATCTTAGGGAGAAAGCATCCAATTTCATTAAGCTGTAGATATTTTGTGGAAGTTCTTTATCAACTTGAGGATATTTCCCTGTAGTCCTAGTTTTCTGAGAGTTTGTACCTTCAGGGGTGTTGGATTTTGTCAAATGCTTTTGCTGCATGAATTTATATGATCATATAATTTTTCTTCTTTATCCTCTTGATGTGCTGAATTCATTGATTGATTTTAGAATATTGAACCATCCTTGTATACTGAGAATAAATCCCACTCCATTGTGTTGCATAATTCTTTTTAGACATTGTTGGATTATATTGGCTAAAATTTTGTTAAGGGTTTAAAAATCTATATTCATGAGGGATATCAGCTTGTAGTTTTCCTATAATGTCTTTAACTGCTCTTAGTATTAGGGTAATGCTAGAGTCATGGAATGAGTTGGGAAGTGTTCCTTCTGCCTTTATTTTCCCAAAAAAGATTATGTAGAATTGTTATTTCTTCCTTAAATGTATGTTAGAATTCACCAGAGAAACCATCTGGGACTGGTGATTTCTTTCTTGGAAGGTTATTGACTCAATGTCCTTGCCTACTCAGATTATCTATTTCTCCTTGCATGAGTTTTGGTAGTTTGTATCTTTCAAGTAATTGGTCCATTTCATCTAATTTATTAAATGTTGGGGTATAGAGTTCATAGTATTCCTTTATTATCCTTTTAATTTTCATGGGACAATTGATGACTTATTTTCCATTTCTAATGTTGGTACTGTATTGTTTATATTTTTTAATTTTCTGTATATTATGATGTTTAGACATCTTTAAAAAATCCTTTCTGGCTTGGGAGAAACTGCTTCCTCCTGGGGCAAGCCAATTCTTAGCTAAGCAAAAGGGCTTAGCCAGGGAGCATGGCTTTGATATATAAAAAACTAATATGAAGCCATACCTCTTCTGTCTGGTCCATATACAACAGGCCTTCCTCTGTCTTAGCCATTGCAGAGCTATGTACCAGATAATTAAGGACAACCTTTATACTCCGGGGCCCTCTGAAATTATTCATAGTAGCCAATCCTAATGGGTTTACTCTACCTTGCTTTTCCTGTGGAAACTCCAATAGAGGCTCTAGTCCAGGTTTTTCTCTTCCTCCTGTTTTCTGCCTCCTGACTATCCCGAGGCTTCCCCATGTAACCCTGTATGGCATGGCATGCGTCCTATTTCTAGGACCTGTGAGTATAATAAATGTTGTTTTCCTCTCATGGCCACACCTGACTGACCATCACAGAAAATAACACAGAACAGGTTACTTGGATCTTCTCTTTTTCTTGGTTAGCACAGCTATAAGTTTATTGATTTTAACTAGATTGTGGTTTCTGTGATTTTCTCTATTGTTTCCCTGTTTCAGTTCCATTGATTTATGTTCTAATGTTTATTGTTACTTTTCTTTTGCTTTAAGTTTAATATTTTTCCTTTAGCTGCCTTGAAGGTAGACATTCAGAGTTTAGATTTTTCTTCTTTTCTAATATATGCATTGAATGCTAAGCACTCCAAGCACTGCTTTCATAACATTCCACAGGTTTTGATAAGTTATATTTCAAATTTTATTTAGTTCAAAATGTTTTTTTAATTCCTCTAGATATTTACTTGATCCATGTATTATTTAGAAGTATGAATTTAATTTGCAAATATTTTGTGGGTGTCCAGCTGTTTTGTTATTGATTTTTAGTTTAGTTTTATTGTGCTCTGGGACCACAATAAAATAGTTTGTATAATTTCGGTTATAGGTTAAAGTGTGCCACCTCCCCCTCCCTACCATATATTGAAGTCCTAACCCCCAGTACCTGTGAATATGGTCTTTACAGATGTAATCACGTTAGGATGAGGTCATTAGGGTGGCCCACATCCGATATTACTGGAGTCTTCATGAAAAGCAGGAATGCCATGCAAAAGCAGAAACACACAGGGGAAATGCTACATGATTATAGAGGCAGAGAGAGGTTGTAGTGATGCAGCTGCAAGCCAAGGAATGCCAAGAAGTGACAGCCACCATAGAAGCTAGAAAGAGGCAAAGAAAGAGTCTCCCCTGCAGGTTTCAAGCAAAACATAGTCCTGGTGATACTTCTAGCCTGGTTTTGGACTTCTAGCCTCCAGACCCATGAGACAATAAATTTCTGTTGTTTTAAGCCACTCACTTGGTGGTGCTTTATTACAGCTACCCTAAACTATATAATTTATATTCTTTTAAATTTATTAAAGTGTGTTATGGCTAGAATGTGTTCTAGCTTGGTGAATGTTCCATGCGACCTTGAGAAAAATGTGTATTCTGCTGTTATTGAAATGAGTATTCTATAAATGTCAATTAGATCAAGCTAATTGATGGTGCTGTCCAGAGCAACTCTTGCTGATTTTCTGCCTGCTTAACCTGTTAATTACTGAAGGAGTAGTATTGAAGTCTCCAAATATAATGATGGATTTGTCTATTTCTCTTTGCAAGTCCTACCAGTTTTTGCCTCATGCATTTTGACACTACTGTTAGGAGGATTTACACCAGGATTGTTCTATCCCCTTGGAGAATTGACCTCTATCATTAATGCTCCTCTTTGTCCCTGATAATTTTCCTTGTTCTGATGTCATCTTTGTTTGAAATTAATATAGCGACTCCAGCTTCCTTTTGATTAGTGCTAGCATAGTGTTCCTTTCTTTATCCCTCGATGTTGTAAATAGTTTATTTTTAAGATGTTTTAACAGCTTGAGTGATTTATTTCACATATCTATATTTACCCATATAAAGTGTACTATTAATTGGCTTTTAGTGTATTCACAGAGTTGTACACCATCAACACAATTGATTTTAGAATATTTTCACTAGCGCCCCCCAAACCCTGCAACTCCTTAGCTAACCCTCCATCATCTGCCAAGCCTAGACAACTACTAATCTACTTCTGTCACTATGGATTTGCCTATTGCGGACATTTCCTACAATATGTAGTCATATTGAAATAGAATCCTATAGTATGTGATCTTTTGTGAAAGAAATTAGATAATACTTGGTCTTTTGTGAATGGCTTCTTTCACTTAGCATAATATATTCAAGGTTCATCCATATTGTGGTATACATGTACTTCATTCTTTCTCATTTCTGAATAATATTCCATTGTATGAATATACCACTTTTTATTTAATTACTAATCAGTTTATGACCATTATGGGTTTGTTTTGCATTTTGGCTGTTATGAATAATCCTGACATAAACATTTGTACATATACTTTTCATGTGGGTGTGTTTTCATTTTCCTTGGGTGTATACCTAGCAGTGGTTGCTGGATTGTTTGGTAACTCTGTGTATAAACTATTGAGGAATTGCTAGACCATTTTCCACAGTGGCTGCACAATTTTCCCATTCCCACTAACAGTTTATGAGGGTTCAAGTTTCTCTACATCCTCCTCTACACGTTATTGTCCATCCTTTTTTTTTTTTTTGAGATGGAGTCTCCCTCTGTCACCCAGGCTGGAGTGCAGTGGTGCTATCTCGGCTCACTGCAACTTCTATCTCCCAGCATTTCACCATGTTGGCCAGGCTGGTCTCAAACTCTTGACCTCTGGTGATCTGCCCGCCTCAGCATCCCAAAGTGCTGGGATTACAGGTGTGAGCCACCGCGCCTGGCTATCCATCCTTTTGATTATCGCCATTCTAGTGGGTGTCAAGTGGCATTTCATTTTGGTTTTAATTTTCATTTCCCTGAGGACAATACTGAGCATCTTTTCATGTGCTTTTTGCCTACTTGTATATGTTCTTTGGAGAAATCCCTATTTCTTTGCCCATTTTTAACTTGGGTTGTCTTTTTTAAAAATTTTTTTAAATTGTTTTTCTTTTTTTTTTTGAGACAGGGTCTCACTCTGTGACCCAGGCTAGAGTGCAGTGGTGTGACCATGGCTCTTTGCAGCCTTGATCTCCCTGGCTCAAGTGATCCTCCCACCTCAGTCTCCTAGTAGTTGGGACTACAGGCATGTACCACTGGACCCAGCTAATTTTTATTTATCTATTTCCTTTTTTTTTTTTTGTAGAGATGGAGTCTTGCTGTGTTGCCTTGGCTGGTCTGGAACTCCTGGGCTCAAGTGATCCTCCTGACTTAGCCTCCAAAGTGCTCATATTACAGGCATGAGCCACTGCACCTACCTATTTTTGAATTTTAATACTTCTTTATATAGTCCAGACACAAGTTATTTATCAGATATATAATTTGCAAGAATTTCCCCTCTTCCTGTGGTCTTGTTACTTTATTTATGGTATCTTTTGAAACTAAAGGTTTTTAGTTTTGATAATGTCTAGTTTATCTATTTTTTTTTCCTTTTTTTTGTTTTTTTCTTGAGATGGAATTTCGCTCTTGTTGACCAGGTTGGAGCGCAATGGTGCAATCTCAGCTCACCGCAACCTCTGCCTCCCAGGTTCAAGCGATTCTCCTGCTTCAGCCTCCCCAGTAGCTGGGATTACAGGCATGAGCCACCACACCCGGCTAATTTTTTTTTTTTAGGAGTGGCGGGGTTTCTCCATATTGGTCAGGCTGGTCTTGAACTCCCAACCTCAGGTGATCCACCCGCCTTGGCCTCCCAAAGTGCTTGGATTACAGGCATGAGCCTCTGTGCCCAGCCTCTTTTTTCTTTTCTTTTTTTTTTTTTTTGCTACTGCTTTTGGTGTCATATCTAAGAATCCATCAAGGATTCTCAGAATTGTAATTCAAGGTCATAAAGATTTACACCAACAGTTTCTTTGAAGAGCTTTAGAGTTTTAGCTCCTAAGTTTAGGTCTTTGATACATTTTAATTTTTGTATATGGTGTGAAGTTAAGGGTCTAATTGCATTTGGATATCCAGTTGTCTCCCCATCTGTTGAAGACAATTATTTTCCCATTGAATGGTCTTGCACCCTTTCTAAAGATCAGATGACCATACATCATATCACGGTTTATTTTTGGATGTCAATTTTATTCCAAAACAATTGAAATTGTTAACCGCTTACGTGTTTCAGGCATGATCCTAAGCACGAATTCATTTGCTTCTCATAATAACTGTGAAGTGGGCACTATTCTCACTTCCATTTGACAAATGAAGTGGCCGATATACAGAGTGATTTGCCCAAGGCCATATAACTGGTAAGTGGCAGTGCCAGGATAATAATTTAGGTTGACTAACTTGAGAGCCTGAGTCTTAGCCATGCATGCTGTAAACAAAAATTAGAAATCAAAACTTCTGAATTCCACTGAAGAGCTCACTTTAAGCAAACGGGGTGAAGGTCGGATTAGCCACTAACGGTTTGAAAAGCACAACAGGGAGGGATTGCCTCACCAGCTTGCTTTCTATAGAGTAGCGGCAAAGGACCTGCCTGTTTTGGCTGAAACTCTTTCAACCCCCACAAGTTGAGAATTTGCACTAACTAAGTCGAATTTGCAGTTAGGAAGCCTTCCTGGGTTCCTGGGACAGCGCCGAGTGCTGCGAGCAAAGGCCGAGCCCGCTGCCAGAGGCTCGCGCCGCTCGCAGCACAGAACCTGAGAGTGGGAAGGCGTAGGCGCCCGGGCGGGAGGCAACCGGGATGTGGAAACTCTCGCGGGAAGATGCGTCGTTGCCTCGGTAACCGCGTCGCAGTCGCCGAAGATGGCGGGGCGAAGTCTGTGTCTCACGGTCAGTTCAACTCCAGGCTCCTGGGGAGCGTCTGGGTTCCGGCGACTAGGACGCCTAACTTCCTTTAACTTCGGGTCTGAAAGTCTGTGGCTCTTTTACAGAGAAGCAGCGTTCCAGGGACTCCGTTCCCGCCACCCGTTCAGCAACCCTCTACACCTGGACCCGACCTCCTCGCCTTGGAGGAAGAATATAAGTAAGAAATTCGGCGGTTGAACTTTTCCTTCTTTCTTTCATCTGAATGAGGCTGCTTACAAGTACTTTTTTCTGGAGACTGGCTGGATCTTCGGGACCACTCACTCTGCAGCATTCCCTTCTCGTCATCTCGTTCACCTGCCGTTTATCCTTTCTTTGTCTTTGATCTGAGTAGTTCGCCTGCGTATTAGAAGATATTTGAAGTGGGCGAAAATTTAGCCCAAGTAAGCATGTTGTTTAATTTAAAACGTAGCCCAAGTAAACAGCAAGATACTGTTGGAAGTTATTTGGGTAGCAGGAATTGCCACGAATAGTTAGTTCACTTGATAGTTTAGGTTATTTCGCTTAATATCAAGTTCATAGAGTTTACCTTGTGTAAATTTCCTTTAGGTTGGTTTCTAAATTGAAAGGATGCTTCCCACTGCAATCAGAATTACCATTCTCGTTCAAATATTCCTTTTCTTATCTGTTCTCAGTGTAATTACAACTATCCTGACAACGGTGCTTTCATTCTTGGCCCATTCTACTCCTCATCCCCAAGTTTTCACACAGCAGCCAGTGTAATCTTTTAATTTGATCTACCATGCCTTTGCTTAAAATTCTACAGTAGTTTCCTGTTGCATTTCAAAAGCTCTGATCGATGTGGCTCCTCCTGCCTCCTCTATTTGATCTTATTCCCTCTTCCCCTTTTCCCCCTAAAACTCTCCAGCTTCACTGGCCTTTTAGTTCCAAAAACTCTTCCAGGTTTTCTTTCTATCTCAGGAAAGAGACAGTCACACACGCCTTCAACCTGTAATGTGAGTGGCCTTCCTTGACCATGCTAAGTAGGCTCCCTTGTTGGTCTTTTTCATTGTCTCAGTGATTTTTCTTTCTAATTAGCATAATTTGTTACAATAAATTCATTTGTGAATTTCCTTTTTGTCTGTCTCCACTGGACTGTAAGTTCCAAGGGCAGAGGCGATGTCTGTTTTATTTGCCATCATACATACCCTTATAAAAAAGTGCCTTTTAACAACTCCCTTCCGTTTTAATATAAAATAACTAGATTAAAATTTGGAAATAGTTGGCAGTTTGTATCAGAGGGTTAAACTAGAGTTATCGTATGATCTACATATGATCTATAAGCATATTTGAAATTAAAACTGAAAGGTACTGTGTTTAGGTGAACTATACACAGACCAATTTACCACAGCAAGTAGGAAGATAATCATATCTTCTTCTCTCTGATGAAATGGGCCGATTATCCCAGTTCAAAAGTGTACTTAAGCAAATTAATCTGTTTTCTATATATAGTTCTTTATCAGCTATGCCTCAATCAAAACGGTTATTTTCATTATCATTAACCATATAGTATTAAATACCTGGATTAGGTTTATTTGTTCAGTTATTTGAGAGTGTATTTTGCACCTGGTTCTGGTGCATCCTTAGGGATACAGTCCTGCTTAAAATGAGAAATATACAGGGACTATTATTGTATTCTAGCACGAGTTACTTTATAAAACGAGATAGCTAAACAGTATTATATGGTGGCCAGTTGTTACTTGTTCTGTTATCTGTACTCTGAGTTGTGCACATCTGAAGCATATGAACAGAGTAACTCCCTACACTACCTGAATCTTCTAGAATACTTCTGTGTCATGTAGAAGAGTAAAATGTCTGGCCATCCCTGTAAGCAAGAATATGAAATTATAACAGTATGGTATCTGTTTTGCCACCTGTTGTCTTGGCATTGATCATTAGAATGCTACTTCCCAGGGACCTCAATCCAAAACCTTTTGCAGTTCTGCTTCTGTTGGAGGAAATAATCACTGTCCGAAAGGATAGACTAAGGAAGATGCTAATCGCTCAAGTGGATAGATTTTTCAAGCTTCATTCCTGTATTATAATACCAGATAGCTAAACAATAAGATAACATAATAACTGGTAGGGCAAGCCCCCTCATAAATCGCAATTACATTGGATTTACAGATTAATTTGTAGAGAACTGACTTATTTATGCTATTGAATTTTCCACGAATATGATACTTCTCCATTTATGGGTTTTTACCTTTAATAGTGTTTTATCATTTTACTACATAAAATTCTTGCGTATATAATTTGCTTCAAGGTACTGAATAGTTGCTATATAATAAGTGGAATTTTTTCTATTTTCTAATTGGTTATAAATGTAGAATTTTTAGATGTTGATGCTACATCTGCGTTTATATACACACAGATCTTCAGTCCTGCTGAACTCTCTTATTCATTCTGTGAATTCCCTTGGATTTTTGATGAAGACAATTATATGCAAATTTTGATCATTTTGTCCCTTGATAATTCTCCTACATTCTCTCTTTTTCTCTGTTTAGGACTTCCCGTGTGATATGGAATAGAAAAAGTGATGGTGAGCTTCCTTGTTTATGATTTTGAGAAGCCCACTTTTAATAATCACTACATTTGAGGTTTGCTCTAGGGTTTTGGTAGATTCTTTTTATTATGTTTAAAATTCTTCCCCTTAATTCCTAATTTGAATGAGTGTTAAATGTATCAAAACTTATTTTTTCCCTAATTAATTCAGCTGTTGGTATGTTCTTTTTCCCTCCTTTAATGTTTTAACATACTGAACTACAAAGGCAGGTTTCTTGTTTTCCTTTAAAGACTGCTAGATTTGATTGCTATAATTTTATGTAGGTTTTTTGCATCTATGAACAAAAGTGAAATGGGTGTTGTAGTTTTTCTCTACTTCTTTTCCTTTCTGTTTTTGATATCAGTATCATTCTGTCTGTATGAAAGAAGCCGAATAGTTTTCCTTTTTTGATTCTTTTCTTGGAAGCTTTTTATAATTAGAGATTTTCTGCCCTTTGATTAAAATTGTGAAACTGTCTGAGTCTAGTGTTCTTTTATTCAAGGGGATTCTTTTTGTCTATGCATTTAGCTTCTTTAATGATTAGATGTACTATTTCTAGAATAGTTTTTGGTTATTTCTAAAATAATTTTTTGTTCTAGAAAAGTGTTCATATCATGTATGTTTTAAAATACATTAGCATAAACTGAGTCTATGGTGGTATGTTTGAAATCTTGACTGTATCCATAACCATGTACACCCCTCCTTTTGGTAGCTTTCCAATATTGTTTATTTTTGTCTTTTTCTTTTTCTATCAAGCTTCCTGGGAGATTTATCTGTTTTATTGGTCTTTTCAGAGAACCAGCTTTGGTTTTCTTGCTAATCTGTGCTATTTTAAAATTTCATTAATCTTTACAGAAATAAAGACAAATGATCTCTTCTAACTGGGGTGGATTAATTTTTTGTTTTTTAGTTTATTTACCTCATTTATTGTTTTTCTTATTTCTTAATAAATATATTTAGTCTTTAAATTTCTCTCCAACTGTAGGTTAACTATATTCCAGGACTTGTTTTGATGTATATTTCTTTTATGGTTATTTAGTTCTAAATATTATACGATTTTCATAGTAATTATTTAGAAGTGTGTTTTTTAGTTTGCAAGCACATAGGGTTGTTTGTTTACTGTTGTCTAGTTTTTATTTTTCTGAGTATGTATGTGACAAGGTCTTGCTCTGATGTCCAGGCTGGAGTGCAGTGGTGTGATTATGGCTCATTGCAGCTTCCACCTCCTGGGCTCAAGAGTTCTCCCACCCCAGCCTCCCGAGGAGCTGGGACTACAGGCGCATGGCACCATGCCATGCTAATTTTTTTTTTTTTTTGAGACAGGGTCTCACCCTGTTGCCCAGACTGGAGTGCAATGGTGTGATCTCAGCCCACTGCAACCTTCATCTCCCAGGCTCCTGAGTAGCTGGGACTACAGGCATGTGCTAACATGCCTGGCTAATTTTTGTATTATATTTTTTGTAGTGATGGGGTTTCGTCATGTTGCCCAGGCTGGTCTTTAACTCCTGGTCTCAAATGATCCACCTTCCTCGGCTTCCCAAAGTGCTGGTATTACAGGCCCAGCCTAGTTTATTTTAAATTGCATTATGATTAGAGAATTGATGTGATATTAAGTTTTTAAATGTATTGAGACTTATTTGTGGCCAAGTGCTTGTTCACTTTTTGTAAAAGTTCTATGCGTTCTTTGATAGAAAATGTATTTATTATTTGTTGGCTAATCTGTTTTATATTTGTTCTTCATGACATCGGTATCCTCACCTTTTTTCTTGTTGCAGCTTTATTGGTTTCTGTTAGAAGTGTATTAAAAATCATCAATTATAATTATAGTTTAAAAAAATTCCTTATAATGTGGCCATTTTTGTTTGGGAATATCTTGTTTGACTTATTTAAATCTTCTTGATTCATTATTATGCAGTGTCTATCTTTCTTCATCCCTTTATGTTCAAACTTTGTATGTCATTTATCAGTAAGAGCATTCTTTTTATAACCAGTCTGATAATTTCTGCCTATTAATAAGTGAATTTAATATATTTACATTATTACATAACTTGAAGTTGTCTTAGCCACCTTATTTTTTATATTTTCTATTATGTCTTGTCTTTGGTTCTTGTCTGTCTTCTGCTGGATTGAATGGGTTTTCATTATGTCTTTATTTTTAGTGATGTGGAAAGACGTTAGAATGCTTTAACTTGGTGTCCTCTGTCTTTTAAATTAGATAATATTTTACTTTGTTGTTTTGAATACACCCACACCCAGTTAATCATCAATTTTTTTATAGTCTGTACTAATTTAGATTTATCATGTTTTCAGATATCTTCATAATTCTTTTTTTCCAGATTCAATTTCCTCCTTCCTGAAGTGTAGACCCTTTATTACTTTTTGTGAAAACCTGAGTCTTAAACTCTCCAGTCTTTTTGAAAATTGTTACTTTGCATTTATTCTTCAATTACAGTTTATCTGAATGTAATTCTAGATGGCCAGCTTTTCCTTCTCAGCCCATTAAAGATATCCTTATATTGTCTGTTGGTAATATAAGGATAGAAATGTTAGAATGTCAGAAATGTTAATGAGCCATCTGCTGTCAGCTTTTTAGATAATTATGCTGGTAGACTATTTTTCTCTGTTGTTTTGAAATAATGATTTGGTAGTTTAGGGAGTACTCTCTTTAAAATTCTGTATTTTCACTGTGATGTATACACAGGTGGATTTGTTTTCTTTATTCTTCATGAGATCCATGTCTTCAGTTTGGGAAATTCTCAGCATTAGCTCTTGAAATACTGTCATTCTCTCCTCTTGGGATTTCTTTTTTTCTCTTTTGGAGACAGAGCCTTGCTCTGTTGCCCAGGCTGGAGTGGCAGTGGCACGATCTTGGCTCACTGCAACCTCCGCCTCCCAGGTTCAAGCGATTCTCATTCCTCAGCCTCCCCAGTAGCTGAGATTACAGGCATGCAGCACCACACCTGGCTAATTTTTGTATTTTTAGTAGAGCCGGGGTTTCGCTATGTTGGCCAGGCTGGTCTCCTGGCCTCAAGTGATCCTCCCTCCACCTCCCACTGTGCTGGGATTACAGATGTGAGCCACTGCACCCAGGCCTCTCTGGGATTTCTTTTATAACTTCTGTTAAGTAGGAACATAACATCTGTCTTCAATGGATGTTAACCTGTCTTTTGTGTTTTTATCCCCTTGTTTTCTGTATCTCCTTGTAGGTGATTTATTTATATCTGTCTTCTAATTCACTCATTCCTTCTATGCCCATTATGCTGTTCAACATATCTGTCAAATTTCCTTGAGTTCTTAATTTCAGTGACTGTGTTTTTCATTTATGTAATTTATATTTGGATCTTTTTCAAATTCAGCATTCTTTTATGATAAAATCTGGCTCTTGCCTAATGTTTTTCTAAGTGCATTTTTTTTTTCCAAATTAATGCTAATTTTAAAATCTTTTTTTAATTGTTATATTATCTCTTGTTCTTATAGTATAAATTTTCCCTTTCCTCACATCTGCTGATTCTCTCTTTCAGTGGCTTGTTTCTTTATGCAATTTGTTACCTTTCTGAAGTCATCTTTAGCAGTTTGCTTTTTGAGAGAGTCCTATATATTCTAGATGAGTAAATGTTCCTATAGGGTGGTTTTCAATTTACCTTTACTAGTTTCGAGTTTTGATTGATTCCACGTCAGCTTTCTTCTATTTTAAAGTTTTTCCATGGTGTCCTTGTATCACCTAGATAAGATGAATTTGGACTTCCCTCTTGTTTGTTTTAATTACTCACAAGAGAATCTTTTCTACCTGTGGTTCTAGTTTCATTTCTGCTCACCTAAGGTTGTGGGTAGAATTTTTGTAGTCTGTGTTTCACAGGTGTATCCCTTCATGACTCACATACATCAGCTTCTAGCTTTTAAGCTATTTTGGCTTCTGTTCCTGTTTGTTGCTCTCACTTTGAATTGCTGCTTTATTCTTAGTACCAGGGCATTTCCCTTGCCTGAGTTTGAGCTTAGCAATATTTCCTCCATTACATTTTATCTGGCATTTCCATGGATTTAGAGTAGCATAGTCTTCTCAGTCATCTTGGTCCACTATATTAATTGGAAACTTAATCCTTGTGATTAAGTCCTTGTTAGGGAAATTTGAAAAATCAGGTAATGGCACTTTAAAGGCACCTTTAAGTCTTTCTTAGATATTTTTCTTTTGACCAGGTAATCCTAAGATATAAAAATATTTCTTAAAGCTTCAGACTGTTAAAGGATATGGTACTAATCTCCCCCCCTTTTTTTTTCCCTGGGGGTGGAGATGGTGTTTTGTGTTACTTCTGAATCCCATGTCTAAGAAAAACAAGATATCTAATTTTTAAAATCCTTAACATGTCTCCTTCACAAAACCTCAGAAGATCCTAGGTGGTCTAGAAATGTGACATCTCAACAGGAGAAAAAAGTTATATGCTTTTGAATATATTTATTATGGTGTTAACCTTTAAAAGTGAAAAGGGGACTTAACAATAGGGACAGAGTTCAGTACATTATCTTAATTGCAATTTAATCGTATAGCAGTTTAACATGCTTCTAAAGATTACGTGAAGATAGATATTCCTTTTATATTGCTGTGGGAAAACAGTACAAAATTGTGTGTATGCTATAGATGAAAATTGGAAGGGAATATTAAAAATAAAAATGGATGGTGGTGGTAGGATTATGGGCAGTTTTTCGTTTAAAAACAATTTTTTTCAATAATATTGTCATCCTTGCAGTCTTAATATAGGACCAAGTAAATAGTATTTCTATTCTTGCTAGATTCCAAGTAGAATGAAAAATCATAATTAAAAAAGGAGTGACAGGTAGAGGTCAAAATAGTCACCTTTATTTCCGAGGAAGCTTGATATTAAAGTATGTATCTGAGGTGTGAGCCACGTTGGGTCTGCTCACTAAACCTCACATTTAGCTCCCCAGTTATAGCAATACCCCAAACCAGAGCAGGTCTCCCCCATACCGTGCCCACTTCTGCCCACATTAGAGCAGGGCCTGTCTCTGGAGAAGCAAGGTTAGAATTTGCATTCTTTGCAGGTAGGCTAATAACGAGGAGGTGGTGAGTGGAACAGAGTTGAACTCACCCAGCTTATTCTTCCCAAATATATTAGATAAGTTACGTCACTTGAAATTAATAGAGGGCCACAGAAAGGCTAATACTTAGTGTTTGAGTTCCTACTACAAGGAAGGAGGAATCATGGGGAGTTGAGGATAAGTTCTTAATGGCTGTGTTCATTTTAGAGTAAGAATGCCATATGTATATTTTGGCATTTGTTGATTACGTCACTTGATAACGTGTAATTGCTGAAGTTTATTTTTTATTTTTGTTAAGATCTTCAGTATATCCCAATTATTTTCTGCTTTTAGGCGTTTAAATGCAGAATTGCAGGCAAAAACAGCTGACGTGGTTCAACAAGCTAAGGAAATAATAGTAAGTATATGTACAATTATTAATAATTCTATATAAATGCTAGTTTTTTATCTTTTTCATTTGATATATGACATATATACAAAACACTAGCCAAAGCATGTGTGTTCAGTTCAATGAATTATTACAAATTGAACATGAATATATATGCATAGGTATAGGAATGTATATATGTATATGTTTTTAGTAAGCACACATTTTCTAAAAGCCACTGAAAAAGTACTTTCCATTTAGATTCTCCAGTCATCTAAATTCTCATTATAAATTCTCATTATTAATTGATAGAATAGAGCAACTCTCCTTAGAGGAGTAGTCTACTTTAAAACTTTTATCAGTTCTTAGTTAATTTTGATTCTTACTTTCTATCCTCCCTATGCCCCAAAATGGAGTTGATGGAAGCAGGGAAGGAAACCTAGGCAATATTTTATCTTCATGCCTTATACAAATCCATGATTATTTGTTAGTTTAGGAATAAGAAATGTATCATATATAACATTTCAAGTAATATATTTTGATAATGGTTACAGATTTGTATTTTATAATTTATAATTAGATGTTTTACTAAAAATATTTATAATTAAATTTATACTTATATGTTTTACTAATTTATAATTAAATGTTTTACTACAAATATTTTTATTTCATCTTTTAGTTTTTGCCAGTGTCTGAAAAGCAGGAAAATACTTGTACAAAAGGACCCCACGTTATAGTAGAATGACAGATTCATTACGTTTTCTACTCAGAGAGCCCTGTAAAAAGAATCTCCCCCTGCAAATAAAAAACAGAATAGAAAACTGGGATAAGCTAGGAAAGGGGTTGGGGAATGGATTCCTACCCCTGCAGAAGCAAACAATATAAGGTTTCTCATATTTAATTTTTATTTACTCACTTTCTCTTTTTAAAATTTTTAATGTTTGTGGTTACATAGTAAGTGTTTATGGGGTAAATGAGATATTTTGATACAGGCATGCATTGTGTAATAATCACATCATGGAAAATGGGGTATCCATCCCCTCAAGTATTTATCCTTTGTGTTACAAAAAATCCAATTATACTATTTTAGTTAATTTAAAATGTACAATTAAATGATTTTGACTATAATAAACATGTTGTGCTGTCAAATACTAGGTACTATTCATTCTTTCTGACTATATATTTTTTTACCTATTAACCATCCTTATCTCCCACCCCTGCATCCCCCATTACCCTTCCCAGTCTCTGATAACCATTCTTCAACTCTCTATCTCCATATGTTAAGTTGTTTTGATTTTCAGATCCCACAAATAAGTGAGAGCATGTGAAGTTTGTCTTTTTGTGCCTGGCTTATTTCACTCAATGACTTCCAGTTACATCCATGTTGTTGCAAGTGACAGGGCCTCATTATTTTTTATGGCTGAATAGTACTCCATTGTGTATATGTATCACATTTTATTTATCGATTCATCTGTTAGTGGACACTTTGGTTGCTTCCAGATCTTGGCTATTGTGAACAGTGCTGCAACAAACATGGAAGTGCAGATATCTCTTTGATATATTGATTTCTGGGTCAAATGGTATTTCTAGTTCTAGATCCCTGAGGAATCGCCACACTGACTTCCACAGTGGTTGAACTAGTTTACAGTCCCACCAACAGTGTAAAAGTGTTCCTATTTCTCCACATCCTCTCCAGCAGCTGTTGTTTCCTGACTTTTTAATGATTGCCATTCTAACTGGTGTGAGATGGTATCTCATTGTGGTTTTGATTTGCATTTCTCTGATAGCCAGTGATGGTGAGCATTTTTTCATGTGTTTTTTGGCCGCATAAATGTCTTCTTTTGAGAAGTGTCTGTTCATTTCCTTTGCCCACTTTTTGATGGGGTTGTTTGTTTTTTTCTTGTAAATTTGTTTGAGTTCATTGTAGATTCTGGATATTAGCCCTTTGTCAGATGAGTAGGTTGCGAAAATTTTCTCCCATTTTGTAGGTTGCCTGTTCACTCTGACGGTAGTTTCTTTTGCTGTGCAGAAGCTCTTTAGTTTAATTAGATCCCATTTGTCAATTTTGTCTTTTGTTGCCATTGCTTTTGGTGTTTTAGACATGAAGTCCTTGCCCATGCCTATGTCCTGAATGGTAATGCCTAAGTTTTCTTCTAGGGTTTTTATGGTTTTAGGTGTAACGTTTAAGTCTTTAATCCATCTTGAATTAATTTTTGTATAAGGTGTAAGGAAGGGATCCAGTTTCAGCTTATACCCAAAGGACTATAAATCATGCTGCTATAAAGACACATGCACACATATGTTTATTGCGGCACTATTCACAATAGCAAAGACTTGGAACCAACCCAAATGTCCAACAATGATAGACTGGATTAAGAAAATGTGGCACATATACACCATGGAATACTATGCAGCCATAAAAAATGATGAGTTCATGTCCTTTGTAGGGACATGGATGAAATTGGAAATCATCATTCTCAGTAAACTATCACAAGAACAAAAAACCAATTGCTGCATATTCTCACTCATAGGTGGGAATTGAACGATGAGAACACGTGGACACAGGAAGGGGAACATCACACACTGGGGACTCTTGTGGGGTCGGGGGAGGGGGGAGGGATAGCTTTAGGAGATATACCTAATGCTAAATGACGAGTTAATGGGTGCAGCACACCAGCATGGCACATGTATACATATGTAACTAACCTGCACATTGTGCACATGTACCCTAAAACTTAAAGTATAATAATAATAAAATAAAAAAAAGATATATTGATTTCCCCTCTTTTGGACCTATACGCAGCAGTGGGATTGCTGGATCATATGATAACTTTAGTTTTTTGAGGAACCTCCAAACTGTTTCCTTTGTAGTTGTACTAATTTACATTCCCACCAACAGTGTACTAGGGTTCCCTTTCTCTACATCCTTACCAGCATTTGTTATTGCCTGATTGCCTGTCTTTTGGATATAAGCCATTTTATCAGAGTTGAGATGATATTGTAGTTTTGATTTGCATTTCTTTGATGATCATTGATGTTGAACACCTTTTTTTATGCCTGTTTGCCATGTGTGTGTTTTTCTTGAGAAATGTCTATTCAGATCTTTTGCTCATTTTTAAATTGGATTATTAGATTATTAGATTTTTTTTCCTATAGAGTTGTTTGAGCTCCCTATATTTTCTACCCTTGTCGATGGGTAGTTTGAAAATATTTTCTCCCATTCTGTGGGTTGTCTCTTTACTTTATTGTTTCCTTCACTGTGCAGAAGCTTTTTAACTTTATGTGATCCCATTTGTCCATTTTTGCTTTGGTGACTTTTGCTTGTGGTGTATTACTCAAGAAATCTTTGTCTACTCCAATGTCCTGGAGAGTTTCCCCAATGTTTTCTTATAGTAATTTCATAGTTTTGAGATCTTAGATTTAAGTCTTCAATACATTTTGATTTGATACTTGTATATGGCAAGAGGTAGGGGTCTAGTCTTCTTCTTCTGCATGTGGATATTCCGTTTTCCCAGCACCATTTATTGAAGAGACTGTCTTTTATCCAGTGTATGTTCTTGGCAACCTTGTCAAAAATGAGTTCACTGTAGGTATATGGATTTGTTTCTGGATTTTCTCTATTCTGTTCCATTGGTCTGTGTGTCTGTTTTTATGCCAGTACTCAGATGTTTTGGTTACTATAGCACCATAGTATAATTTGAAGCCAGGTAATGTGATTTCTCAAGTTTTGTTCTTTTTGCTTAGGGTAGCTTTGGCTATTCTGAGTCTGTTGTGGTTCCATATAAATTTTAGGATTGTTTTTTCTATTTCTGTGAAAATGCGATTGGTATTTTGCAAGGGGTTGCCTTGAATCTGTAGATTGCTTTGGGTAGTATGGACATTTTAACAATATTGATTTTTCTAATCCATGAACTGGAATATCTTTCCATTTTTTTGTGTCCTCTTCAATTTCTTGCATTGATGTTTTATAGTTTTTGTTGTAGAGATCTGTTACTGCTTTGGTTATGTTAACTCCTAGGTATTTTATTTGTGGCTACTGTAAATGGGATTACTTTTTTATTTATTTTTTAGATTGTTGACATACAGACACACTACTGATTTTTGTATGTTGATCTTGTATCCTGCAACTTTACTGAGTTTATCATTTCTAATAGTTTTTGGTGGAGTCTTTAGGTTTTTCCAAATATAAGAGCATATCATCTGTAAATGAGGTTAATTTGACTTCTTCCTTCTGATTTGGATGCCCTTTATTTCTTTATCTTGTCTGATTGCTCTAGTTAGGACATTGAGTACTATGTTGAATAACAGTGGTGAAAGTAGGCCAGATCTTAAAGGAAAGACGGTCAGTTTTTCCCATTCGGTATGATACTAGCTGTGGGTCTGTCATATATGGCTTTTATTATATTGAGGTCTGTTCCTTTTATACTCATGTTTTGAAGTGTGTTTACCATGAAGGGATGTTGAACTTTATCAAATGCTTTTCCAGGATCAGTTGAAATGATCATATGGTTTTTGTCCTTCATTCTGTTGATATGATATATCACATTGATTGATTTGTGTATGTTGAACCATCCTTGCATCCCTGGGGTAAATCCCACATGGTCATGACAAATGGTCTTTTTAATATTCAGCAAACTGAATTCTGTTTGCTAGTATTTTTTGAGGATTTTTGCATCAATATTCGTTAGAGATATTGGCATGTAGTTTTCTTTTTTTGATGTGTCTTTGGTTTTGGTTTCAGGGTAATACTAGCCTCATAAAATGAGTTTGGAAGTATTCCCTCCTCCTCCAATTTTTGGAATAGTTTGAGTTGGTTTGGTATTAGTTCTTCTTTAAATGTTCGATAGAATTCGCAGTGCAGCCATCAGGTCCTGGGCTTTTCTTTACTGGGAAAATTTTTTATTGTGGCTTCAGTCTTGTTACTTATTATTGTTCTGTTTAGTTTTGGATTTCTTCATGGTTCAATCTTGGTGGGTTGTATGTATGTGTCTAGGAATTTATCTGTTTCCTCTAGATTTTCCTATTTATTGGCGTATAGTTGCTCATAGTAGCCACTAATGAGCCTTTGAATTTCTGCATTGTCAGTTGTAATGCCTCCTTTTTAATTTCATATTTTATTTATTTGGGTCATCTCCCTTATTTTGTTAGTCTGTTAATTTTGCTCATCTTTAAAAAAAACCAACTTTTTGTTTCATTGATCTTTTCTTTATTTCAAATTCATTTATTTTTGCTCTGATCTTCATTTCTTTTCTTCTACTAATTTTGGTTTGGTTTGTTCTTGCTTTTCTGGTTCTTTAAGATGCATTGCTGGCTGGATGTGGTGGCTGATAGCTGTAATCCCAGCACTTTGGGAGGCCAAGGCACGTGACTCACTTGAACCCAGAAGTTTGAGACCAGCCTGGGCAACATGGTGAAACTCCATCTCTAGGAAAAATACAAATTAGTCAGATGTGGTGGTGCACGCCTGTAGTCCCAACTACTTGAGGGGCTGAGGAGGGAGGATTGTTGAGCCCAGGAAGGTCTAGGCTGTAGTGAGCCATGATCATGCCACTGCACTACAGCCTGGGCAACAGAGTTTCTCTCTATCTCAAAGAAACAAAAAAAAAAAAAGAAAGAAAGAAAAAAAAAGAAAAGAAAGAAAGAAAAAGAAAAGATGCATTGCTAAGTCATTTATTTGAAGTTTTTGTTCTTTTTTGTTGTAGGCACTTACAGCTGCATAAATTTCCCTCTCAGTACTGCTTTCACTGTATCCCATAGATCTTGGTATGTTGTGTTTTCATTATCATTTGTTTCAAGAAATTTCTCAGTTTCCTTCTTAGTTTCTTCATTGACCCATTGGTAATTTAGGTGCATATCATCTAATTTCTATGTCTTTGTATAGTTTCCAAAGTTCTGGTTATTAATTTCTAGTTTTATTCCATGTGATCAGAGAAGATGCTTGATATTATTTCAGTTTTTAAAATATTTTACAACTTGTTTTGTGACCTAACATATGGTCTGTCCTTGAGAATGATATACATGCTGAGGAGAATAATGTGTATCTGTAGTCTTTGGATGAAATGTTCTGTAAATGTCTATTGGGTCCACTTGTTCTGCAGTGCAGATTAAGTCTGATGTTTGTTGAGTTTCTTTCTGGGAGATCTGTCCAGTGCTAAAAGTGGGTGCTGAAGTCTCCAGCTATTACTGTATTGTGGTCTAGCTCTCTCTTTAGCTCGAATAATATTTGCTTTATGTATCTGGGTGCTCCAGTGTTGCATGCATTTATATGCAATCATTATATCCTGTTGCTGGATTGACCTCTTTAGCATTATATAATGACCTTCTTTGTCTCTTCTTACATTTTTTGTTTTGAAATTTATTTTGTCTAAGTATAGGTTCTCCTGCTTTTTTTTTTTGGTGTAGAATATCTTTTTCTACCCTTTTTATTTTCAGTCTATATATATATCTTTATTAAGTAAAGTATGTTTCTTGTAAGCGACAGATCATGGGGTCTTGTTTTATCATCCATTAAACCAGTCCGTCTTTTGATTGAAGAGTTTAGTGCATTTACATTCAGTGTTAATACTGATAAGGGCCTTAATCCTGTCATTTCATTATTTGTTTTCTGGTTGTCTTGTGGCATTCCTTCCTGTCTTCCTTTTATTGAAGGTGATTTTCTCTTGTGGTATAATTTAATTTCCTGATTTTTATTTTTTGTGTGGTCATTGTATGTTTTTTGGCTTGAGGTTACTGTGAGGCTTGCAAATACTATCATATAACCCATTGTTTAAAGCTGATGACAACTTGACGCTGATTGCATAAACAAACATGCAAAAAGAAAACTAATACAAACTCTACACTTTACTTTTATCTCCCTAGTTTTTAACTTGTTGTTACTGTTTCTGTCTTACTGTACTGTCTATGAGTTAAAAAGTTGTTGTAGTTATTATTTTTAATTGGCTCATCATTTAGTCTTTCTACTTTAGAGTAGTTTACACTCAATTACAGTGTTATAATATTCTGTGTTTTTCTGTATGTTTACTATTACCAGTGACTTTTGTACCTTCTGATGATTTCTTCTTGCTCATTAACATCCTTTTCTTTTAGATTAAAGAACTGTCTTTAGCATTTCTTGTAGGACAGGTCTAGTGTTGATGGAATGCCTCAACTTTTGTTTTTCTGGGAAGGTCTGTTATTATCTTTCATGTTTGAAGGATATTTTTGCTGGATATACTATTCTAAGGTTAAAATCTATATTTTTTTCTTCAGCACTTTAAGTATGTCATGCCACTCTCTCCTGGTCTGTAAGGTTTCCACGGAGAAGTCTGCTGCTAGATGTATTGGAGCTTCTTTGTATGTTGTTTGTTTCTTTTCTCTTGCTGTTTTTAGGATCCTTTCTTTATCTTTGACCTTTGGGAGTTTGATTATTAAATGCCTTGAGGCAGTCTTTTTTGGGTTAAATCTGCTTGGTGTTCTATAGTCTTCTTTTACTTGAACATTGATAACTTTCTCAAGGTTTGGGAAGTTCTCTGATATTATCCCTTCGAATAAACTTTCTACCTCTCTCTTTCTGCCTCTTCTTTAAGGCCAATAAGTCTTATATTTGCCCTTTTGAGCCTATTTTCTAGATCTTGTAGGCATGCTTCATTCTTTTTTCTTTTGTCTCCTCTGTATTTTCAAATAGCATGTCTTCAAGATTACTAATTCTTCTGCTTGATCAGTTCTGCTATTAAGAGACTCTGATGCAGCCTTCAGTATGTCAGTTGCATTTTTAACTCCAGAATTTCTCGATTCTTTTTAATTATGTCAATCTGTTCGTTAAATTTATCTGATAGAATTTTGAATTCCTTTTCTGTTACTTGGGTTTCTTTGAGCTTTCTCAAAACAGCTATTTTGAATTCACTGTCTGAAAGGTCACATGTCTCTGTTTTTCCAGGATTGGTCTCTGGTGTCTTATTTAGCTCATTTGGCAAAGTCATGTTTTCCTGGATGATCTTGATACTTGTAGATGTTTGTCACTGTCTAGGCATTGAAGAGTTAAGTACTGTAGTCTTCACAGTCTGGGTTTATTTGTGCCAGTCTTTCTTGAGAAGGCTTTCCAGTTATTTAAAGGCACTTGGGCCCCCTGCCCAATATCACTAGGGTTTTTGCAGACTTGTAGAGGCCTTGGTGGTCTTGGATAAGATCTGAAAGAATTCTCTGGGTTACCAGACAGAGACTCGTTCTCTTCCTTTATTTTCTCCCAAACAAATGGAGTCTCTTTCTCTCTGTGCTGAGCTGTCTGAAACTAGGGGTGTGGTGATGCAAGCACCCCTGTGCCCAGCACCACTGGGATTGTGCTCCGTCAGACCTGAAGCCAGAACAGTACTGGATGTTGCCCACAACCTGCTATAAACACTACCTGGCTACCACCTATGTTCACTCAAGGCCCTAGAGCTCTACAATCAGCAGGTGATGAGGCCAGCCAGGTTTGTGTCCTTCCCTTCAGGGTAGCGAGTTCCCCCAGGCCCTGGGTGGGTCCAGAGATGCTGTCTGGTAGTCAGAGATTGAAGTTAGAAATCTTAGAAATTTATCTGGTGTTCTAGTGTTTTGTGGCTAAGCTGGTACTCGGACTACAACATAAAGTCCTTCCTGCTGTTCACTCCCCTTTCCACAGGCAGAGGAGCCTCTCCTTGTGGTCACCACCACCACCAGTCCATAGCAGGGTTCTGCCAGGCCACTGCTAGTGTTCACTTAAAGCCCAAGGGCTTTTCAGTCAGGTCGTGGTGAATGTTGCCAGGCCTGGGACTCACCCTTCAAGGGAGTGGGCTCCCCTCTGGCCCTGGGCAAGTCTAGAAATGCTGTCTAAGAGTCAAATCCTGGAATCAGGCACCCCAAGAGTCCACGTGGTGCTCTGCCCTGCTGTGGCTGTGCTAGTTCTTAAGGTGCAAGACAAAGGCCCCTTTACTTTTCCCTTTGCTTTCACAAGCAGAAGGAGTCTTTCACTGTAGCCACTACAACTGGGAATGTGCTGGATCACCCCTGAAGTCAGTATGTCTCAGAGCCCAAGGCCCATGGCCTGCTATTAATACCTTGGTATTGCTGCTGGTTATTTGGGGCCCAAGGTCCCTTTATTTAGCAGGTGATGAATGCTGTCAGAACTGGGTCCTTCCCTTCAAGGCAGCAGATTCCCTCTTGGCCCAGGATGTGTCTAGAAATGTCATTTAGGAGCTAGGGCTTGTAATGGTGGCTGCGTGACTCTGCCTGGCACCCTGTTGGCTGTCTTCCATGGCCGAGGTGGTATCCGAGATGCAAGATAACATCCTCTTTACTTTTTGTTCTCCTCTCCTTAAACAGAAGGAATGAGACACTTTTGTTGCTGTGAACTGCACTGCCTGGTGTTGGGGAAGGCATGGCATAAGCAATCCTTTAGTGCCCTGGTTGGTGTTTTCCTAGGTCACAATTGGTGTCTCCCTAGGTGCCAGCCTAGTCCTCTGGCTCTGAGTCAAGCCCAGCACTAGGATTTGCCTAGAAAATGGAGCCATTGTATCCTAGACTGCCCTTCAAGTTTACCTAGGACCCCAGAGCACTTTGGCCAGTAGTGGCAAGACTTGCTGACAAACTGGAGTTCTGACCCACAGGATGGGTGATTTTCCTCTGGCTATAGCTGGTCCAGATGCTTCCTCCATGCATGGGTACTCAAAGTCTCCGCCCCGCATGACTTTGCTCTCCACTCTGACAGGGCAGCACTGAGTTCAATGCACAGTCGCCCAGTCACTGTGCTGTCCCTCCCCTAAGTGCACAGACTCTTCAGGCTGCACAGCCACTGCAGGAGTGAGTCAGGAAGGGGTGGTGTCAGCTTTTTAAGTCTCTCCAACCTTCTTCAATGCCTCTTTCAATGATATGAAGTTAAAACCAGGTACTGTGTTTGCTCACCTGATTTTTGGTTCTTGTGATGATGTTTTTGTGTGCAGGTAGTTGTTAAAATTTGGTGTTCCTGCAGAGGGAATGAATAGTGTAGGCTTCTATTCCACCCTCTTGCCTCACTTTCATTTCTTGATGTGTCTTTGCCAAAAGCTTTTACCCCTGATACTTCACTTTTAGCATCTTCACAGTCTTCTCAACATTGAAGTTTTTCCTGATTTGAGACAAATTTTTCTACCCATTTAGTGAATTTATTTTTTAAATTTCTTGTGCCTCCTTCTAATTTCTGCTGTATGCTGTATAAGCTGGAAGACTCTAAAGGGCTGGGGAAACTGGAGTTAGAAATATTATGTAAAGGCCTTGATATTCTTACATTTTCCCCTTAGGATGGAATTTTTTAACCCAGAACAAATGAAAGGTGCAACTAGTGTTATAGACCTTATCTTCATACTATAGCATTTAGAATTCCGTGCCTTTATGTTATGGAAACCTTGGACAATTCTGAAATGATGAATGTTCAGAGAGGCACTTGAATATATCTTAATGGTTTGGTTTTTTTTCTATATGATATATTACCTATCTTTACTCATTTAAGAGAGATCGGCAAGAAGTACGATCTAGGCCTGTTTCAACACAAATGAAATCATGTGATGACGAAGATGATTACAGTTTAAGGTAAGTATCTTAAATTCTCAAGCACCTTCTTTTAAAAGGATGTACATGGATCGTTATGTAAGATCTTTTTTGCATGCAAACATTGAAAAATCTATAATTTGAAGAATAATGTATATATAGGGGGCTTATACCAATCAGACACAGTGCAAGCCCTTTATCTCATGTAATTTTCAAAATATTATTTTGAAATGTATATTCTTGTCCTCATTTTTAAAACTTTAGAGAGGAAACAGGAAAAGTACATAATCGATGTGAATAAAACTATGAAATCATATTGTAGCAGACGGAATGATGATCACCAAACATTCCAAGTCTCTTACAGTTGTCATTGGGCTATGAACAGAAGTTTAGTTAATCTCTTCCAAGCCAAAACAGACAAAAATTGGTGTGTGGACCTCCAAATGACTTTCCAGCCATGAAGATGAGTAAAATTCCAATTGGTAAAATCTCCTAGCCTGGTGTCTGGGTGACCGTGTGTGGACCATGTAGAAAAAAGGATCTTTCTTCGTCACTACTGCTGCATTGAATGGGTTAAGCCACTGGAATTTTTAGGTTACTATCCTGCTTATCTTTGCTAATGTTGAAATTGGTATTGGGAATGGAATGCTGCATAACAAAAATTCAGAAGTGTGGCATTACCTTAGCAGTTAGGTGGGAGCCAGCAAGGAAACTGATATTGGAGGCTGGAAAGATAAAGGATTAATATTATGTAGTGGCAATGAATTTAGTAAAACTATCATCTGTGGTAAATTGGGAGGCACAACAGGTGTCTAATGAACTTGTTCTCTGGGGAAAGAGGCTGAAACACAATATCAACAGTATGTCCTGTTAAAGAGACAAGTTTGGGAAACATTTGGCTGATTTGTAAGCAGAAATAAAAGGGAATACCTGATTATCTAATTCAGAGTCACAAAGATTTACGACCATGATTTCTTTGAAGAGCTTTATGGTTTTAACTCTTAGATTCAGGTTCTTTGATCCATTTTGAGTTAATTTTTGTATGTGGTATAAGAGTCAACCTCCATTCTTTTGCACATGGATAGCCATTTGTCTCAGCATTATTTGTTGAGAAGACTGTTCTTTCCCCATTGAATGTTCTTAGCACTTTTGTCAAAAATCAGTTGACTGCAGACATATGGTTTTATTTTTGGACTTTCATATCTGTTCCATTGATCTATATGGTTGTCATTATGCCAACAGCACACTCTTGATTACCCTTGTTGTAACTGTGGAGTTGTGGAGTAAGCTGGTTTTAGACCTCAAGAATTACAAGGTAAAATTGAGAAAATCTGTAAGGAACAAAAGCCTATCAAAATTCAACCTTGAGACAAATATCAGACTAAACATGTGGACTTCATGACTACTGATACAATTTTTCAGTGGATTAAGGCTCCTCAATGCAAGGATCAGATTAAATGGCACATAGTGAAACTTTTCATTTGGGTAAAATGGCCCATGGCAAAGACCTAACTAAAGTTATAGTCTCTCCTTAGAAGCTTGACAGTGTTAAAGTAACCCATTTTTAAATTGAGAAAGAGAGGTCAGGTGAAGAAATAAATAAATAATTAGTCTTGGAAAGAATTGTAGGTGATGTAATGGCATGTAGAACTGGCTGAAATTAAATAGGGAAGAAACCCACTAGTTTGGGGGAAAGTTTTATCAGCAAAGAAACTCTAACAATGGACTATAATTATTTCTGGCTTTTAAAATATTAAAACAACTATGGGTACCCCGCCTTCCAGTATTCTAAGATCAAGAAGTAGGCTATAAGAGGTGCATAGCCCTACAGGGTTTAGAGACAAAAGAGAAGCTTATTACTGACATGGCAGTATATTTGGCTCATGTGAAATATTGGGACATTATTCATTTATTCAAAAATAATTATTGCATGCGATCCAGTATTTCCCTTCCTAGATATTTACCCAAGAGAAATATAGACATATATCCACGAAAAAACCTGCATGTGAATTTTTAGATCAATTTTATTCATAATTACCAAAACCTGGAAATAATTAAAATATTTATCAATTGGTGGCTGGATAAACAAATTATGGTATATCCATGCAATGGAATACTACTTGGCAATAAAAAGACATGAACTACTAATAGAATAACAACATAGTTGCTAAGTGAAAGAAGCCAGGCTAAAAAACGTCCATAATCTATGTTTTCACTTATTTGATGCTCTGGAAAAGGCAGAGCTTTAGGGACAGAAATCAAAGTGGTTGTCTGGGGCTTGAGTAGGAGTTAGGGGACTACCAAGGAACACAAGGGAACTTTTTGAGATGGTGGAAATACTCTCTGTCTTGGTGGTTGTGGTGGTTATGTGACCATATACATTAGCTAAAACATATTGACCTGTATATGTAAAAAGAGTATATTGTGTGATGTATCAATTATATCTCAAACCTGAAAAAAATAATTTTTGAACACTGTTAGTGCCAGTTCTAGCTACTGGTATTACAGTGGTGAGTAAACAGACCTGATCTTGCTTCCAAGAAGTTAATATGTGTTGCTTTTGAGTATTTTTTAAGTACATCAATTACACATTTTTATATTTTGATAGACATATGTATGCGTACATATACCATGAAACCACTTATCTTTATTATATGTAATACTGTGATATTCTATGAAAAATAGATATTTAAGTTATCAAAATTCCAAACTTTGGATTATACATAAGATTAGACATGATGTTTATCCAGTAAACTAAAGAACTGAAATGATGCTAACAACAGATGATGATGTTGTGATGATGACGCTCTGTTTACCTATCAGTTTTTTTTTAATGCAACTGTTTGAACAGATGGCTTTTACCATGTAAAACATGGCATTTGTTGATCAGTTGGGAATTCCTGAATATGGGAGATAATTCTATAAAGAAACCATTCATTTCAGGTTGGAACAATGATATTCCACCTAAATAATTATAATTAGGAAGAATATATTTTAATAGGTCTTCAACACCCAGGATGACTCTGTCAAAAAATGTGATGGGAAACCAGAGTTTAATTTCCTAATAACGTAGTATACGTATCCTCCAGTCTGCTTGAAGCATGGTTTACCATACAGTTATTTCCATCATATTACAAACAGACATTTCATGGAGTTAAACAAAAGTAAGAATACCATACTATAGCTTACTTTTCATGAAAATACACTAGCAAAGTAATATCACTGTGAAATCTGATGGAGACAGATAACCCTTAAATGTCTTTTGGCTGATATGTATGCATGTATGTTGGGGAATGGAATGAAAGGTACAGAAAATGTACTAAAATGACAAACATTAATTTAAAATGAGGAAGATTAAAGAGGACACTTAAAATTTGTATAACATTTGGAAACATTTTCATGTCATTTGTGAGAATGATTTAGTTTCTGTAATTTTTAACATATTTTGAAAGCCTTTTTTTCTTCCCAGAGGTATTTCTAATAGTTAAGAGGTTTATTTATCTAAGTATATCTTTGTATTTAATATGAAAAAATTTATGCATGGCTAGCTAAGTGGGAGGCATCTGATGGAAAATAATTTTAGTTGTATGTCTTCTCCAATGGTTAGGAGTTCTCAGGGGATATAGTGGAGTTTTTTCATAGCAATAATGGATGCTAACATGGTATGTTTTCAGAGATATAAATACAATGCCCAAGACAATGGGTTAGGCAAACTTTTTCTGTAAAGGGGCAGATAGCAAATATTTTTAGATTTGTGGGCTGTATAGTCTGTTGTACCTGCTTAACTTTAAGGTTGTAGTGTGAAAACAGCCATAGATAATACATAAATGAGTGAGTGGGTGGATTCAGCCTGTGGGCCATAGTTTGCAGACCTCCATAAACACTCCTTGTTTGAAACTACAAATATATTTTGAAAACCTTGTGTATAAAAATGAATTGCATTTTACGTGTATTTATTCATGCACTCAACAAATACTTACGCCAGTAGTACCTGGCATATAAACTTTTAAATTGACTAGGCATAGAATATTGAACAAGGCAGACGTGATTTCTACCCTCATAGAGTTCACAATATAATGAGGAAAACAGGCACTAACCAGGTGTTTTAAGTGGATTAAAAGAACAGTAACATTGAGTGGGCTTACAATAAAAAGCCCTGTGGTGAATTATTTGTAAAATGGGTAATTGCTGTGGATAGCCCACAATTACTCTTTATGATTTCCATTCATTAAAATTTTTGCTACATTTTCCTACTAGAATATTGGCATTATAGTGTATCTTCTCAAAGGTGAATTATTTAACCAAAGCATTTTTCTTGTTTATGGTACTCATTCAAAATAAATTAACATGTGGGTAACTAGAATTATAGCAAAGTCTGTTTGATTGTTGAATATTTTCCCTTTCAAATATAATTGTTGAATTTCATTGTCTCAGCTCAGTGTCATCTATTATTAATGTATAATGTTTATTTTTGGCCTGTAGAGGTCTGTTACCATCTGAAGGGATAGTTCATCTTCATTCAGAAACTAAGGTATGAAATCAAACTTTCTGTGAATGCAATTATATTCTGTAGAACTCCGGATATTTTTTAGACTTTTCTTAGACAAAGCAGAGAAGGGGTATGACTCAACAGAAATAGAATATGAACCTTGATACTCAGAGGGATGCATTTGTGAAGTGTCCCTCATAAACTAAATGGAATCCTTTGTTGTCTCATAATTTCACTGAATAATTTGGAGGTATAGTGGAAAAAATGTTAGGTGAAATGACTTTGTAAACTGAGGCTTATTTTTTTTTCCTGACGCTTAAATCTAGTAGAGAGAAGACTTGAAAAAGAATGATACTCATATACAAAGAAGGTGATTTGAAAAGTTTGTTTGTTCATTTAAATAGTGACAGTGTAGAGATCACTCTTCCAGGTGTAGAACATAGTGGGATCTATGTTTCCCATCCATGGAGACCTAAGCCAAGGGAACTGTATACCTGAAGGCCACGGGAGGTCTGCCTGGGGAATAATTGGTTCATGAGGAGAACTAAATTCTGTGAGTCAGAACGTCCAGATTTATTCATGACATTCCACTGGCTAGCTGAATACCATTGAATCTTTAGGACTCATTTTCCTTATACTTGAATTTCTTGGTTTTGGTGTTATCTAGGTCTTTTCCAGCTATACAGTTGTGATATTCTTGAAAACACATTTTTGGTAATTCCATGAAAATAGCAAATAGCAGTTTTTCTGTGTAGCAAAATTCTATGTGTTACAGAATTGCTTTCTTTGGCAAATGATTAGACTCTAATTAGTCAATACTTTCAATTCTTTTCATGTAGCCAAAGACCAAAAACATTGATCCTGTAAACAAGGTTCAAAACAAATTACACTCTGCAAATAAAGGAAGGAAAACAAATTCAAGGTATAGTATAGTTTTCAAAGTATTTCTTTTTTTTTAGTTTTGTAATTCACAATACCATCATTCTTAATTATTAAGCTCTGTTTGTTTTTCCAGATCTTTTTACACCCTAAACATTAAGTTACACCACATATATCTTATCCACATTCAGTAATTTAGAACATTTTCTACTCAGGAATGTTTTGCAGCAGTTAACAAATATTTTATATTGTTCTCTTAAGCAAAATTGCTAAATCTAAAATTTTTATAAATGTTATTTCTAGTGAGTTATTCTCTTAGAACTGTGACTACAACTGGGTTTTTTTTTTAATCTCTGCCTAGTTCTCCCAAATAGGCTCAATAGTGTAGTTTTTGAGTATTTGACAAAATGCATATATTATTTTGTCTGTTGAGCTACAGAATGATTTGGCATGCTCTAAATAGGACTATAATATAATTATAATTTACATTTTGTTGTTTTGGGTGAGAAAGAATTCAAGACGGTTCTTAGTATTATAAGCATAAAAAGGGACCCAAGATGCTCCCTAGGATAGGATGCCTTCTAGAAAAGGTGGAGGATTGGGTTGCACCAACCATCTTCAGTAAGTTATTAAATTTATTTGTCTATTACTTACCCAGGCTGATCATTGTATTGTAATTCTGGAAAAATCTTTGTTCACTTTTGTGTCTTAATTGTTTAAATAACTTTTTTTTTTTAATAAAAGGGATGGAAAAAATAGAGTGAAGTGATAAGGAACAGAAATTAACTATACAATAGATTGAAGAAAAGAACATACATGCCACATACATGCATATATAACTGGAAAGGGTTATCTTTTCAGACTTCACATTTTTTTAAAAAAAGTTGATTTTTCAAATAGAATTCTGAAGATCAAGACCTACTATTTGATAGCACAATAGGGTGACGATAGCCAATAATAACTTAATTATATTTTTAAAATAAAGAGTGTAATTAGATTGTTTGTAACTCAAACAATGCTTGAGGGGATGGATACCCCCTTCTCCATAATGTGCTCATTTCACATTGCATTCCTGTATCAAAACATCTCATGTACCTCATAAATGTGTATACCTACTGTGTACCCACAAAAAATTAAAATGAATTGTGAAGCCTTTGCTTATGTTTTAAAAGTGAACTTGGCTTTCAGAACCATAAATTTGTTGATGTGTCAATGAATTAGGCCTGGACTATTCCTCAGTGCCTTTAGAAATGAGTTTGATTTTGTCTGTCTTCTCCTTTTCATTAAAAAAAATTCACATCCAACTTTTTGGTTAGTATTGATTGTGGTTAAGAATGTGTTTCTTTGGGTGGAAAAAATGTTGTTTGATTGAGCTATTAGCTCTTCACTCTGTAATTCTTTCTCAAGGGGTATTTTTCTTTGCTGTTTGTAGAATTATGGCCAGGATGATGTCAGTTTGTACAGTTTTTCTCTAGAAGCGTGTAAATTTAAAAGTCATAGGCTGGATTTGACCTAGGAGGCCAAGTGCAATACTCTTAGTTTTGGTATTGCCTTATTTGGAAGCAAAGTCTATACCATCTGGCCTCATAAAGCCTTCTCTAGCTCTGTGGTCACATGATTCATAAAAACCAAAAATCTGCTAAGTCTCTTGTAATATAGTCCTTGAAAGTATCACATGTAGATTTCATCATAAATTTAAAATGTGTAATAGTAGTCTCTTGTAATATAATCCTTAAAAATATCAATTACAGATTTCATCATAAATTTAAATTTATAATAATTTTGATCTGCTTATTTGGGTAAAAGGCATATATCCTGTCTACCTTTCCTATTTTGTTCATATGTACGTATATACATACATATGTATTTAATTTTTATTTTTTAGTGTTAAATTGAAATACTCTGATGTCCAAACTGCCGACGATGTTGCCATTCCAGAGGATTTCTCAGACTTTTCCCTTGCAAAAACAATTAGCAAAATTGAAGGGCAACTGGAGGAAGAAGGCTTACCTGAATATATAGATGATATTTTTTCTGGTGTTAGTAATGACATTGGAACAGGTAGATTTTCTTTAGTTTTTTATTTTTATCTTTATAGCACAGTTACTTAGAAGAAGAAATCTTGGGGAACTATTTCTTCCATTTAAAAAAATGTATTGTGATGTCTTGGTTTGTTTCAGAATTATCTAGTAGGATGTGGTGGAGGGAGGAATGAATGGGATTATAGATTAAATAAAATTGGCCATGGGTCAGTCATTGTTAAAGATAGGTGGTGGGTAAATGAGGTTCATTGAACTCGCCTACTTTTATGTTTCATATTTTCCATTATAAAAAGTAAAAATAAAAAAGACTATATTGTACTGATTTGATTGAATACATTTCAACTTAAGTTAAAATACCCATTGCTTATTGTTAAAATATTAAAAAAGTTTTTCTGAATTTTTTCATTTACTGTTAATATATTTTATTTATTGCATGTTAAATCAACACATGCAAAAGGACAAATGAATTGACATTGCATCAGGTAAAACAATCAAATGAGTGTTCTAATGAATATAATTTTTCTTCTTATTAACTCATTCTTTGCATATCACTAGAATAATAATACTAAATTTTGATCAACTGAAAACATTAGTAAATTTATGAGGAGCCTCCTATGCTATTGAAACAAAAAAGTAAGACAATTGAGTATATATGAACTAGTTACTGCTGAACTATAATACAATTAATTGTGACTACAGGCAAGCCACTTAGCCCCTCTGTAATAGCAGTTTATTCATTTGAAAATTTAGTAGTTTGTATTAGATGATCATTAAGTTTATGTATTAGTCTGTTCCTGCACTGCTATAAAGAAATACCTGAGACTGTGTAATTTATAAAGAAATGGTTTAATTGGCTCATGGTACTGCAGGCTGTATAGGAAGCATAGCAGTTTCTGCTTCTGGGGAGGCCTCAGGAAACTTCCAATCATGGCGGAAGGCAAACAGGGAGTGAGGCATCTCACACGGTGGGATCACGAACAAGAGACGGGGGAGGTGCTACATGCTTTTAAACAACCAGATTTCATGAGAACTCACTATCATGAGGACACTACTAAAAGGGATGATACTAAACCATTCATGAGAAACCACCCCCATGATCCATTCACCTCCCACCAGGCCCCACCTCCAACACTGGGGATTACAATTCAACATGAGATTTGGGTGGGGACACAGATCCAAACCATATCAGTTTATCTTTAAAATTCTCTGATTCTGTGAAAAATCATAATTTATATGTATAATAATTATTGTGTTACTAATCACAAGTAGGGAGCAGTTTTCTTCTGCACTTACTATATTTACTGATCTAATCAAGCTTTCTAGGGCTAGTTATGGTAAGGGAAGGTAAATGGAGCAGTAAGTTGCCTTTAGGTCTCTCTAAGATGCTTTAGAGGATGTGATGCACAGGCATTGATTGTTCCTCGGTAGAGGAACATGGTCCCATGTCCCATGGCCCTGTTAGAACTTTGCCTCCCTGTGTTCCCTTTTTAGTATCACTGGCCTAGGTGTCTTCTCTTTTGGGAGAATTTTCTCTTATTTTAGATGATTGCTTGGAATGGTTTGGTTATGTGTGGGAGAAAAAGACCAAGAGGTAATTTGGGAGCACAGATTACTTTGTAAGATTAAAGCTAGGGTCGAGTGGGGAGCAGAGTTTAGTACTGTGGGCCTCCAGACATGGGAGCACTCTGCTCCTTGAGTTAGAGTTGAGGTAGAGTTACTAAGGTTAGAGTTAGGGAGAAAAAGAAATGGGAAAAGTCATGCTTTCCTATTTTTTCTTCCCTCTTTCCCTCAGAGGCCAACTACTGTCAACTTCACCCTTTTTAATTTGTCATTTCCCTCTACTCCCTACTCACCTGGAGTTACATGAGAGGCTGGTAGGAGAGTTGAGGCCAAAGAGACCTAGGTAGGGTTAGAGCCAACCATAATTCATCAGCTCCATGATAACACTGAGGGCACTTAAAAAAGCTGGAAGTGTGTATGGAGATGTTTTATGCTCTGCACGTCACATGTGTATGGCTTAGTGAGATTTGTCCTAATGACTTCTCAGAGCAGTTCCAAGTGTTTCCTCAAGATAAATTCCATGATGGTAAGGGTTGTTTTATAATATTCCTACTATGCCATTTTGAACAAATCACTGAATGACTTATGAGTGAGTTCTAAGTTCAGTTTTCACTTTATTTACTTTATGGGCCTATAAACTTCAAAGATTTACTGCTGATATTATTGAATAATGAACTTTTGCTGGCAGTAAAGTACCAAAGATAGATCCTGAAGGTTTGTGGGAGAAAGCTTAGACAGTAAGGTATTAGTGTATTTCTTTGCTTCAAAGACACATATACTACATTTTAACTGCTCAGAAATTGGGATCTGTGTTACAGTCAGTGGCATTTTGTAATCACAGTGGCTGCACTGAAGCTGAGTTTTGCTAGAGAAGATTTATGTTTGTTTCTGCCAAACTCTCAGGGACATTACTGACCTGAGAACACTTTAAATAATCTGATGTAGTTTGGACCACCCTGGTGCGTGTGAATTTAGTCTGCAAACTTATGTGAATACTACCTGTGATTTCTTTCTGTTGAGTGGATTTATTCGTCATTGACCTTTTCATTAGGACTGTTGAGTACCTATAGTGCCCCCTAACAGATATCTCCTATTTGACTCCCCATCTTGAGTATTTTCTTCTTTATAAAGTAATGGTCTGTCTTACAATTGATGTCATCTTAGATTCAGCAAAAGACAGTAAATATAATTATTTAAATTCACAGAAGCACAGATCAGATTTCTAAAGGCCAAACTCCATGTTATGCAGGAGGAATTGGATAATGTTGTATGTGAATGCAATAAAAAGGTAAGTTTTAAAAACCTCTTAAAAGGCTCTAATATTCAAAGATATTTTAGGAGCAATTTCAATTACATTTTTTGAATTACTTTATTTAGATATAAATCATAGTTAAATTTTGAATTCAAAAATTGTATATAAGTACTGAACTTTATTCTGAGATGTTGAATTTTCACAGAGCTGAAATATCTTAAATTCTTGCTACAATTAGAATTCTCTATATTAGTCTTACAAATGTAGTGTAAGCTATTAAATGCAAATAAAACATTTGACTTCCATTTTTGAAGATAAAAATAGACTAATTTGTTTTTCATGAAACGTGTATAAATATCAAAGAACATATGAAACGTCTTTTTTTCTGCTTTGTTTTGATAACAAATCTTACATATTTTTTCACATAATCTATAACTTTATAACTATAGGAGGATGAAATTCAGAATTTAAAGTCTCAAGTAAAAAATTTTGAAGAAGATTTTATGAGACAGCAGCGAACAATTAATATGCAACAGTCTCAAGTAGAAAAATACAAAACTCTTTTCGAAGAAGCAAACAAAAAGTATGATGGATTACAGCAACAGTTGTCTTCAGTAGAAAGGGTAATTATTTGGTATTTTTCCTAACTTAATGCCACAGATACAAGAAAATTATTAAGGTTACACATTTGTATAGATGCCATTTTGACAGTTCAGTTATTTTATTAGTATTTACTGAAAACTCTTTCCCCTTACATAGAATATTTTTAACAACTTTATTGAGATGTAATTCACCCTTTTAAAGTATGCAATTCAATGGCTTTTGGTGTATTCATAGAATTGTGCAACTATCACCACAACCATTTTCATAATCCCTAAAAGATACTTCATACCCTTTAGCCACCACACCCTGACCCTGCTCCCCTCAATCCCTTACAGCCCTAGGCAACCACTATTCTATTTTATGTCTCAATAAATTTGTCTATTCTGGAAATCACATATACGTGGAATCATATAATATGTGGTCTTTTGTGACTGACTTTTACTTAAGATATTTTCAAGGTTCATTCATGTTGCAGCCCCTATCAGTATTTTATTTCTTTTTATTGGCAAGTAACATTCTGTTATATGGATATAACACATTTAATTTATCTGTTTATCAGTTCGTAGCTTTAGGTTATTTGGGTTGTTTCTACTGTCTGACAATTTTAAATACTTTGAATATTCATGTACAAGTTTTTGTGTGCACGTATGTTTCTATTTCTCTTGGTTATATAGCCAGGAATGGAATTGCTGGGTCATATGGAAATCCTATGTTGACCTTTTGAGGAATTGCTGACTGTTTTCCAACCTGCCTGTACCATTTTACATTCCTACCAGTAGTGCATGAAGCTCCTAATTTCTACACATCCTCACCAACATCTGCTAGATTATCTTTTTGATTATAGCCATACTGCAAGTGTAAAAGGGTTACCTCATTGTGGTTTTGATTTGCATTTCCCTAATAACTAATGATGTTGAACATCTTTTCATGTGCTTATTGGCATTTGTATATTTTCTTTGGAGAAATGTCTGTTAAGGTCTTTGCCCATTTTTTAAATTGGATTTGAAAAAATTACTGAATAATAAGAACTTTTAAGTTCTTTATGTGTTTAGATACAAGTCCCTTATCAGGTATATTTTGCAAATAGTTTTCCCCTACAGTGGGTTGTCTTTCACTTTCTTTATGGTACTCTAAAGGCACAAAAGTTTTAAATTTTGATGAAGTCCAGTTTATCTAATATTTATTTGGTTTCCTGTGCTTTTGGTGTCATATTTAAGGGGAGAATGTATTTTAAATAAACTATCCTAGCTTATATTAGTGTGCCATTGTGAAAATAAAAATATACTGTTTGAGATTGCTTTGTAAAATGTAGTGACGATAAGAATTATGTAATATAGCATATCCCGAGATTTAGTAAGAAAATGTGCCCCCTTTATTAGTACCCTTACATTTCTCGTTTGTATGGTCATATTTAAAAACCCTGCTTTTTAAACATTTTGGTCTTGTATAATTAGCTTTATCTTGTAATAAATTTTAATATCAAAATCACTTAGACAAAATTTATATGCAGTAAATTCACACTTTTTAGTGTACAATTCTATGAGTTTTGACAAATGTATGCAGTAATATAACTATCACTATAATTGAGACATAGAACAGTTCCATCAGCCCCCCAAAATTCCCTGTGAATTTAGTGAAGGCCTTCCCTAATTCCACCACCAGGCAACCACTGATCTGTGTTTGGTTCTTAAATTTTGGACTTTTCCCAAATGTCACATAAATAGAATCGCATTGGATATAGACTTTTGAATCTGTTTTTTTTTTTTTTTTTTCAGTTAGCATAAAACATTTGATATGGTTTGGCTGTGTCCCCACCCAAATTTCATCTTGAATTCCCACTTGTTGCGGGAGGGAGCCGGTGGGAGGTAATTGAATCATGGGGGCAAGTCTTTCCTGTGCTGTTCTTGTGATGGCGAAAAAGTCTCAGGAGATCTGATGGTTTTAAAAGGGAGAGTTTCCCAGTGCAAACTTTCTTGTCTGCTGCTATGTGAGACATGCCTTTTACTTTCCAACATGATTGTGAGGCCTCCCCAGCCATGTGGAACTGTGAGTCCAATAAACCTCTCTCTTTTGTAAATTGCCCAGTCTTGGGTGTGTCTTACCAGCAGCATGACGATGAACTAATCCAGTAAATTGGTACTAGTAGAGTCAGGCGCTACTGAAAAGATACCAAAAAGTGTTGAAGTGACCTTGGAACTGGGTAAGAGGCAGAGGTTGGAAAAGTTTGGAGGGCTCAGAAAAATACAGGAAAATATGGGAAAGTTTGGAACTCCCTAGAGACTTGTTGAATGGCTTTGACCAATATACTGATAATGATATGGACAATGAAATCCAGGCTGAGGTGATCTCAGATGGAGATGAGGAACTTGTTAGGAACTAGAGCAAATGTGACTCTTGTTATGTTTTAGCAAAGAGACTGGTGGCATTTTGTCCCTCCCCTAGAGATCTGTGGAACTTTGAACTTGAGAGAGATGATTTAGGGTATCTGGTGGAACAAATTTCTAAGCAGCAAAGCACTCAAGAGGTGACTTGGTGCTGTTAAAGGCATCCAGTTTTGAAAGGGAAACAGAGCACAAAAGGTTGGAAAATTTGCAGCCTGAGAATGCAGTGGAAAAGAAAATCCCATTTTCTGAGGAGAAATTCAAGCCGGCTGCAGAAATTTGCATAAGTCTTGAGGAGCTGAATGTTAATCCCCAGGACAATGGGGAAAATGTCTCCCAAGGTATGCAGAGGTCTTCACGGCAGCGCCTCCCATCACAGGCCCAGAGACCTAGGAGGCATGATTGGTTTTGAAATGTGAGGACATGAGATTTGGGAGGGTCTTGGGGTAGAATATGGTTTGGCTGTGTCCCCACCCAAATTTCATCTTGAATTCCCATGTGTTGTGGGAGGGACCCAGTGGGAGGTCATTGAATCACAGGGGCAGGTCTTTCCTGTGCTGTTCTCATGAGAGTGAATAAGTCTCAGGAGATTTGATGGTTTTAAAAATGGGAATTTCCCTGCACAAGCTCTCGTCTGCCACCATGTGAGATGTGCCTTTACCTTCCAGCATGATTGTGAGGCCTCCCCAGCCATGTGAAACTGTGAGTGCAGTAAATCTCTTTCTTTTGTAAATTGCCCAGTCTTGGGTATGTCTTTATCAGCAGCATGAAAACGGACTAATACAACATTCAATATTTATCCCTATTATAGTCCATTCCTTTTTATTGCTGAGTAGTGTAAACTATGAATGAATGTACTTCAGTTTGTTTCCCCACTCATCTAGTAATAAAAGTTAATTATAGTATTTAATAGTCTGAACTTGTGTTTCCAGTATGGTAGCCACTTACCATATGTGGCTAAATTGCGATGTGCTATAACTATAAAGTAAAAATCAGATTTTGAAGAATTCATGTAAAACAGAATGAAGAATGTAAAATATCTCAAAATCTCTTTAATATTTTTTGTATTGGTTATATGTTGAAATAATATTTGAATATATTAGGTTAAGTGAAATATGTTATTAAAATTAATTTTACCTGTTTGTTTTACCTTCTTGCAGTGGCTACTAGAAATTTTGTAATTACATATGTATTCTGTATTCTATTTCTATTGGTCTAAGAAATATATATAATTGGTCTAAAGGGAAAAAGCTGTAGTGTCTAGGGGAACATCCATGTTTTAATTTGTCATGACTTTACCATTTACCGTTATGCACCCAAGCTCTGTCACATCACTGTTCTAGTCTCAGATAATCTTGAAACCTTGGTTATATATTTGATTCTTTTCATGTTCTTGGCCATCATGTCCAATCCTGTGCAATTTTTCTTCCAAATGTTTTTCATTCATCCCTTATTTTCAGTTCCCATTTTGTGTCCATTTTCCATTTCTTATCCATTGTATACTGTACTTTGTCAGTAGATTAATGTTGCCAAAGGGTGACATTGATTATACTTTTCCCTTTGTAGGGGGAGAATTTTTTTTTCCCTTTGTATGGGGATAATTTTTTGAGTGCCATATGCCAGACAAAATGCATTTTATAGAAACGGAAACTGACTGGCCAGGCATGGTGGTTGATGCCTGTAATCCCAGCACTTTGGGAGGCCAAGGCAGGTGGATCATGAGGTCAGGAGATCGAGACCATCCTGGCTAACATGGTGAAACCCTGTCTCTACTAAAAATACAAAACAGTGCCCTTCTAAGATGGCCAAATAGGAACAGCTCTGGTCTGTAGCTCCCAGTGTGATCAACGCAGAAGACAGGTGATTTCTGCATTTCCAACTGAGGTACCTGGTTCATCTCACTGGGACTGATTGGACAGTGGGTGCAGCCCACGGAGGGTGAACTGAAGCAGAGTGGGGTGTCGCCTTACCCGGGAAGTGCAAGGGGTTGGGGGATTTCCCTTTGCTAGCCAAGGGAAGCCATGACAGACTGTACCTGGAAAAATGGGACACTTCTGCCCAAATACTGCGCTTTTCCCAAGGTCTTAGCAACCGGCAGACAAGGAGATTCTCTCCCGTGCCTGGCTTGGCGGGTCACACACCCACGGAGCCTTGCTCACTGCTAGTGCAGCAGTCTGAGATCGAACTGCGAGGTGGCAGCTTGGCTGTGGGAGGGGCATCTGCCATTGCTGAGGCTTGAGCAGGTAAACAAAGCGGCCGGGAAGCTTGGACTGGGCAGAGCCCACCACAGCTCAGCAAGGCCTACTGCCTCTATAGACTCCACCTCTGTAGGCAGGGCGTAGCTGAGCAAAAGGCAGCAGACAACTTCTGCAGACTTAAACGTCCCTGTCTGACAGGTCTGAAGGGAGCAGTGGTTCTCCCAGCATGGCGTTTGAGCTCTGAGAATGGACAGACTGCCTCCTCAAGTGGGTCCCTGACCCCTGTGTATCCTAACTGTGACACACCTCCCAGTAGGGGCCAACAGACACCTCATGTAGGTGGGTACCCCTCTGGGACGAAGCTCCCGGAGGAAGCATCAGCCAGCAATATCTGCTGTTCTGCAATATTTGCTGTTCTGCAGCCTCCGTGGGTGATACCCAGGCAAACAGGGTGTGGAGTGGACCTCCAGCAAACTCCAAAAGAACTGCAGATGAGGGACCTAACTGTTACAGGGAAAGCTAACAAACAGAAAGGAATAGGATCAACATCAACAGAAAGGACATCTACACCAAAACCCCATCTGTAGTTACCAACATCAAAGACCAAAGGTAGATAAAACCACAAAGATGGGGAGAAACCAGAGCAGAAAAGCTGAAAATTCTAAAAACCAGAGCACCTCTTCTTCTCCAAAGAATTGCAGCTCCTTTCCAGCAACAGAACAAAGCTGCATGGAGAATGACCGACGAGTTGACAGAAGTAGGCTTCAGAAAGTCAGTAATAAACTTCTCTGAGCTAAAGGATCATGATGTTCTAACCCAACACAAGGAAGCTAAAAACCTTGAAAAAAGGTTAGACGAATGGCTAACTAGAATAAACAGTGTAGAGAAGACCTTAAATGACCTGATGGAGCTGAAAACCACGGCACGAAAACTCCGTGATGCGTGGACAAGCTTCAATAGCCAATTTGATCAAGTGAAAGAAAGGGTATTAGGGATTGAAGATCTAATTAATGAAATAAAGTGAGAAGACAAGTTTACAGAAAAAAGAGTAAAAAGAAATCAACAGAGCCTTCAAGAAAAATGGGACTATGTGAAAAGACCAAATCTACATTTGATTGGTGTACCTGAAAGTGATGGGGAGAATGGAACCAAGTTGGAAAACACTCTTCAGGATATTTCCCAGGAGAACTTCCCCAACCTAGCAAGACAGGACAACATTCAAATTCAGGAAATACAGACAACACCACAAAGATACTCCTCGAGAAGAGCAACACCAAGATACATAACTGTCAGATTCACCAAGGTTGAAATGAAGGAAAAAATGTTAAGGGCAGCCAGACAGAAAGGTCGGGTTACCCACAAAGGGAAGCCCATCAGACTAACGGGAGATCTCTCAGCAGAAACCCTACAAACCAGAAGAGAGTGGGGACCGATATTCAACATCCTTAAAGAATTTTCAATCTAGAATTTCATATCTAGCCAAACTAAGCTTCATAAGTGAATGAGAAATAAAATCCTTTACAGACAAGCAAATGCTGAGAGATTTTGTTCACCACCAGGCCTGCCTTACAAGAGCTCCTGAAGAAAGCATTAAACATGGAAAGAAACAACTGGTACCAGCCACTGCAAAAACAGGCCAAATGGTAAAGACCATCAATGAGAAGAAGAAACTGCATCAATTAATGGGCAAAATAACCAGCTAACATCATAATGACAGGATCAGATTCACACATAACAATATTAACCTTAAATGTAAATAGGCTAAATGCCCCAATTAAAAGACACAGACTCGCAAATTGGATATAGAGTCAAGACCCATCAGTGTGCTGTATTCAGGAGACCCATCTCATGTGCAGAGACACACACAGGCTCAAAATAAAGGGATGGAGGAAGACCTACCAAGCAAATTGAAAGCAAAAAAAAAAAAAAAAAAAAAAAACAGGGGTTGCAATCCTAGCCTCTGACAAAACAGACTTTAAACCAACAAAGATCAAAAGAGAAAAGGCCATTACATAATGGTAAAGGGATCAATTCAACAAGAAGAGCTAACTATCCTAAATATTTATGCACCCAATACAGGAACACCCAGATTCATAAAGCAAGTCCTTAGACACCTGCAAAGAGACTTAGACTACCACACAATAATAATGGGAGACTTTTACACCCCACTGTCAGTATTAGATTAATGAGACAGAAGGTTAACAAGGATACCCAGGACTAGAACTCAGCTCTGCACAAAGCAGACCTTATAGACATCTACAGAACTCTCCACCCCAACAGAATATACATTCTTCTCAGCACATCACACTTATTCTAAAATTGACCACAAAATTGGAAGTAAAGCACTCCTCAGCAAATGTAAAAGAACAGAAATCACAACAAACTGTCTCTCAGACCACAGTGCAATCAAATTAGAACTCAGGATTAAGAAACTCACTCAAAACCACACAACTACATGGAAACAGAACAACCTGCTCCTGA